>NC_000002.12:78542625-79167625 GCF_000001405.40 Homo sapiens | reverse complement strand
ATATGTACAAATTTTCTTTTCATTAAGAGACAACTCGCTATTATGTAAAAAGTGTGATTTATCCCCTACAAGAAGCCCTCAGAGTGTACCTTCCTACCCCAGCATCCCCCCTACTCCTTCCCCAACTAATAAGGACCCCCCTTCAACCCAAATAGTCCAAAAGGAGATAGACAAAAGGGTAAACAATGAATCAAAGAGTGCCAATATTCTCCGATTATGCCCACTCCAAACAGTGGGAGGAGGAGAATTCGGCCCAGCCAGAGTGCATGTACCATTTTCTCTCTCAGTCTTAAAGCAAATTGAAATAGACCTAGGTAAATTCTCAGCTAACCCTGATGGCTATATTGATGTTTTACAAGGGTTAGGACAATCCTTTGATCTGACATGGAGAGATATAATGTTACTGTTAAATCAGACACTAACCCCAAATGAGAGAAGTGCCGCCATAACTGCAGCCCGAGAGTTTGGCGATCTCTGGTATCTCAGTCAGGTCCATCATAGGATGAAAACAGAGGAAAGAGAACGATTCCCCACAGGCCAGCAGGCAGTTCCCAGTGTAGACCCTCATAGGGACACAGAATCAGAACATGGAGAATGGTGCAGCAGACATTTGCTAACTTGCGTGCTAGAAGGACTAAGGAAAACTAGGAAGAAGCCTATGAATTATTCAATGATGTCCAGTATAACAAAGGGAAAGGAAGAAAATCCTACTGCCTTTCTGGAAAGACTAAGGGAGGCATTGAGGAGGAAAACCTGTCTGTCACCTGACTCTTTTGAAGGCCAACTAATCTTAAAGGAAAAGTTTATCACTCAGTCAGCTGCAGACATTAGAAAAAAACTTCAAAAGTCAGCCTTAGGCCTGGAGCAAAACTTAGAAACCCTACTGAACTTGGCAACCTCGGTTTTTTTATAATAGAGATCAGGAGGAGCAGGCGGAATGGGACAAACGGGATAAAAAAAAGGCCACCGCTTTAGTTATAGCCCTCAGGCAAGTGGACTTTGGAGGCTCTGGAAAAGGGAAATGCTGAGCAAATTGGGTGCCTAATAGGGCTTGCTTCCAGTGCAGTCTACAAGGACATTTTAAAAAAGATTATCCAAGTACAAATAAGCCACCCCCTCGTCCATGCCCGTTATATCAAGGGAATCACTGGAAGGCCCAGGGCCCCGGGGGATGAAGGTCCTCTGAGTCAGAAGCCACTAACCAGATGATCCAACAGCAGGACTGAGGGTTCCCGGGGCAAGCACCAGCCCATGCCATCACCCTCATAGAGCCCTGGGTATGCTTGACCTTTGAGGGCCAGGAGGTTAACTGTCTCCTGGACACTGGCACGGCCTTCTCAGTCTTACTGTTCTGTCCTGGACAACTGTCCTCCAGATCTGTCACTATCCGAGGGGTCCTAGGACAGCCAGTCACTAGATACTTCTCCCAGGCACTAAGTTATGACTGGGGAACTTTACTCATTTCACATGCTTTTCTAATTATGCCTGAAAGCCCCACTCCCTTGTTAGTGAGAGAAATTCTAGCAAAAGCAGGGGCCATTACACACCTGAACATAGGAGAAGGAACACCCGTTTGTTGTCCCCTGCTTGAGGAAGGAATTAATCCTGAAGTCTGGGCAACAGAAGGACAGTATGGATGAGCAAAGAATGCCATCCTGTTCAAGTTAAACTAAAGGATTCTGCCTCCTTTCCCTACCAAAGGCAGTACCCCTTAGACCCAAGGCCCAACAAGGACTCCAAAAGATTGTTAAGGACCGAAAAGCCCAAGGCCTAGTAAAACCATGCAATAGCCCTTGCAATATTCCAATTTTAGGAGTACAGAAACCCAGTGGACAGTGGAGGTTAGTGCAAGATCTCAGGATTATCGATTAGGCTGTTGTTCCTCTATATCCAGCTGTACCTAACCCTTATACCCTGCTTTCCCAAATACCAGAGGAAGCAGAGTGGTTTACAGTCCTGGACCTTAAGGATGTCTTTTTCTGCATCCCTGTACATTCTGACTCTCAATTTTTATTTGCCTTTGAAGATCCTTCGAACCCAATGTCTCAACTCACCTGGACTGTTTTACCCCAGGGGTTCAGAGATAGCCCCCATCTATTTGGCCAGGCATTAGCCCAAGACTTGAGCCAATTCTCATACCTGGACACTCTTGTCCTTTGGTACATGGATGATTTACTTTTAGCCACCCATTCAGAAGCCTTGTGCCATCAAGCCACCCAAGCACTCTTAAATTTCCTCGCTACCTGTGGCTACAAGATTCCAAACCAAAGGCTCAGCTCTGCTCACAGAAGTTTAAATACTTAGGGCTAAAATTATCCAAAGGTACCAGGGCCCTCAGTGGGGAACATATGCAGCCTATACTGGCTTGTCCTCATCCCAAAACCCTAAGCAACTAAGAGGGTTCCTTGGCATAACAGGTTTCTGCCAAATATGGATTCCCAGGTATGGCAAAATAGCCAGATCATTATATACACTAATTAAGGAAACTCAGAAAGCCAATACCCATTTAGTAAGGTGGACACCTGAAGCACAAGCAGCTTTCCAGGCTCTAAAGAAGGCTCTAACCCAAGTTCCAGTGTTACGCTTGCCAAAGGGGCAAGATTTTTCTTTAAATGTCACAGAAAAAAACAGAAATAGCTCTAGGAGTCCTTACACAGGTCCGAGGGATGAACTTGCCAACTGTGGCATACCTGAGTAAGGAAATTGATGCAGTGGCAAAGGGTTGGCCTCATTGTTTATGGGTAGTGGCAGCGGTAGCAGTCTTAGTATCTGAAGCAGTTAAAATAATACATGGAAGAGATCTTACTGTGTGGACATCTCATGATGTGAACGGCATACTCACTGCTAAAGGAGACTTGTGGCTGTCAGACGATCGTTTACTTAAACATCAGGCTCTATTACTTGAAGGGCCTGTGCTGCAACTGCGCGCCTTTGCAACTCTTAACCCAGCCACATTTCTTCCAGACAATGAAGAAAAGATAGAACATAACTGTCAACAAGTAATTGCTCAAACCTACCCCGCTCGAGGGGACCTTTTAGAGGTTCCCTTGACTGATTCCGACCTTAACTTGTATACTGATGGAAGTTCCTTTGTAGAAAAAGGACCTTGAAAAGTGGTCAGGGATAATGGAATACTTGAAAATAATCCCCTCACTCCAGGAACTAGTGCTCAGCCGGCATAACTAATAGCCCTCACTCGAGCACTAGAATTAGGAGAAGGAAAAAGGGTAAATATACATATAGACTCTAAGTATGCTTACCTAGTCCTCCATGCCCATGCAGCAATATGGAGAGAAAGGGAATTCCTAACTTCTGAGGGAAAACCTATCAACCATCAGGAAGCCATTAGGAGATTATTATTGGCTGTACAGAAACCCAAAGAGGTGGCAGTCTTACACTGCTAGGGTCATCAGAGAAGAAAGGAAAGGGAAATAGAAGGGAACCACCAAGCAGATATTGAAGCCAAAAGAGCTGCAAGACAGGACCCTCCATCAGAAATGCTTATAGAGGGACCCCTAGTGTGGGGTAACCCCCTCCAGGAAACCAAGCCCCAGTACTCAGCAGGATGAATAGAATGGGGAACCTCATGAGGACATACTTTCCTCCCCTGAGGATGGCTAGCCACCAAAGAAGGAAAAATACTTTTGCCTGCAGCTAACCAATGGAAATTACTTAAAACCCTTCACCAAAACTTTCACTTAGACATTGATAGCACCCATCAGATGGCCAAATTATTATTTACTGGACCAGGCCTTTTCAAAACTATCAAGCAGATAGTCAGGGCCTGTGAAGTGTGCCAAAGAAATAACCCCTGCACTGCAGGCCATACCTTTCAATCCCTGTACCTTTAACCTCCTTGTTAAGTTTGTCTCTTCCAGAATCGAAGCTGTAAAACTACAAATGGTTCTTCAAATGGAGCCCCAGATGCAGTCCATGACTAAGATCTACTGCAGACCCCTGGACTGGCCTGCTAGCCTCATGCTCCAATGTTAATGACATTGAAGGCAACTCTCCCGAGGAAATCTCAACTGCACAACCCCTACTACACCCCAGTTCAGCAGGAAGCAGTTAGAGCAATCATTGGCCAACCTCCCCAACAGCACTTGGGTTTTCCTGTTGAGAGGGGGGACTGAGAGCAGGACTAGCTGGATTTCCTAGGCTGACTAAGAATCCCTAAGCCTAGCTGGGAAGGTGACTGCACCCACCTTTAAACACGGGGCTTGCAACTTAGTTCACACCTGACCAATCAAGTAGTAAAGAGAGCTCACTAAAATGCTAATTAGGCAAAAACAGGAGGTAAAGAAATAGCCAATCATCTATCACCTGAGAGCACAGCGTGGGGGACAATGATCAGGATATAAACCCAGGCATTTGAGCCAGCAATGGCTACCCTCTTTGGGTCCCCTCCCTTTGTATGGGAGCTCTGTTTACACTCTATTAAACCTTGCAACTGCAAAATATATATATATATATGAAAAATAATTATAAAATTGGTAATGGAGAAGCATGGAAATAAGTGGGACTGAGGAATAACATAAATGGACTACTATTTATTTATCATTTTATTAATATTATTTTTTAAAATAATATTAATTATTATTATTTATAATTTTATTATATTTATCATTTTATTAATGATATTATTTATTATATCATTTATTATTTATCATTTTATTAATCATTAATATTAATGTATTATTTATCATTTTATTAATATTAATTTGATTGTATTACTTCTTTTTGCTTCATTTCTCTAAAAAATAAAGCTAAAAAAGATGGCAAGATATTATCGCTGTAGATTCTAGATGGTCAACCTATACTTGTTTGTTAAATGTTTTCTGTATGATAAAGATAATTTATTACAAAAAGAAAAGCAACATGACTATGGAATTATTTCTTATTTTTATTTTTATTTGCTACCACAAGAAATGTGAACTCTGATACATTGTGAACAGTTCAGATCTGCAAAATTATCACCCACAAGCTGTTTGAGTATGATTTATGGTAATTAATTGAAAACATTATCTTAATTTTTTCCCAAATGAACATTTTGTATTATAACTAGCTTATTCTAAAAGAAAAATCAATAAAAAGCAATAGCCTTTTTAAAATACCCAAATAGATAACGTTAGAAGAGCAAACATGATATGAACAGGGAACTCTTCCAAGATCAATGTGAAAATTTGAAACCAAATAAATATTAACACAGTTTTCTGATAAAAATTATTGCCTCCAATAACTGCACAGGTCATATGATAGTTACTGTTCATGGCTTACGTATAATTGACCAAATTTCAGTAGCTATGTTATCAGCTTTCCAGTTCTTTGATGTTAATAACTTCCCTCATTGGCCTCAGGGGCTTTGAAGTTTTGTCCCTTTTTCCTGTTTTATAGTTGCTCAGCACCTAATCTTATCCCTTTCCCAATTCTTCTGACAGTGTTAGGATAAGATGAAAGGACCAAAGTGGCATTCTGGACATCTGGTTAATATATCTCAAAGGGGTGCACTTTAGTGATAAATCTCCAGTGAGATACAGTTCAAGGCTATTTTTGACATGGACCCTGCTGAGCCATCTTCCAGGAAACCTCTACATTTTACCATCCTTGAAACAAATATATTAGGCTCCTGCAAAGAGATCAGTTTTCACTTTTATAATTCTAAGAATGACTACTAAGTCTTATCTGCAAATATCTGATTCAGAAGATAATAGGGATAAAAGTACAAATTGGACATCTTTTGGCAAAGGAAGCTCCTTAAAACTCAGCCTTGGTTACATCAAGAATAAGAATTCCTGTGTCATCCCTAAGAAGTAGATTTTTATATAACTCAAAACCAGCTCAAGAAATATAATATTTAAACAAACTTCTCAGTGCTTGGTTAATAAGCATTGTTATGAAGAAACAATGAAAAATAAAACAAAAACAACTCAACTTTAGTGAGTTTAGTGAGTGTCATTGCAAAGAAAATTTCACATTGCACTTAGGGATTTTATAACCTTAAGGCTTATTACAAAGGTCACACTATTTCAATTAAGAACAAAAGTGAGTTTTAATAATAAACTGTCAGCATTTCAAATCTTCTCTCCTAGGTATCTTGAAATATACAACATATTGTTGTTAACTATAGTCACCCTATGTGCTATCAAAAGCTAGAACATATTCCTCCTATCTAGCTGTATGTTTGTACGATGAACTAAACTCTTTTCATCTCCCCTCACCCGTCTCAGCCTCTGGTAACTATTCTACCCTCTGGTTACCTTCTACCCCGTACCTCCATGTGTTTACATATTGTTGTATAAATTTTGTGGAAAAAAATCCTTTTTAACAAAATAATCTGCTGGCTATATTTCTTCTCATATTATTTGAGGAATTGCATTGAATTTTGGGTACTGAATTTTGAGGACGTGAATTAAGGATGAGCTACATCTCATGACCTCGTCACAGACCCCTACTATAAACATCTGCATACAAGTTGGCATATTACAACAATAGCATGAGAGTCAGGGTCTGTAGAAATTCCCAGCCTAACTTTTTCCTGGACTGGCCAAACTGAACCTGAACCAGTGTATGGGCAATGTAGTATGCTTGTCAGAGGCACCAAACTGCTAACTCAAAAATAAACATGACTAAAAGAACTTCTCCCAGTATACCCATATGAAGCTGACCATTTGCCCAGTAAGAATGCAATGAAAAGGGCTTTTAATGTACAGCCAAATGGCAGTCCAGCAAGGAAGCTCATGAGCAACCTACAAGTAGTGAGCATTTTGATGTAATAGAGACTTACATGCAATTCAGAATTATGTTTACAACATCACAAAACAAAAATTTAGAGATAGGCTCTCACTCTGTTGCCTAAGCTGGAGTGCAGTGGGATGATCATAACTTACTGCAGCCTTGAACTCCTGGGTTCAACTGAAGGTCCTCCTACCTCAGCCTGCTGAGTAGCTAGGACCACAAGCACACACCACCGCAACTGGCTTAAATTAAAATATAAATTGTAGAGATAGGGTCTTAATGTGTTGCCCAGGCTGCTCTTGAACTCCTTGCTTCAGGTGATCCTCCCACCTCAGCCTCTCAAAGTGCTGGGATTATAGACCTGAGCCACAGCACCTGGCCAACTGACCTATGATTTTACACAATGGCTGCTCTTCCCTTCTTTAACTATTATTCATTCTTCTTTGATCCTCATTATTTGACTGTAGTCCTTCTTATGTCTTGTTTTCCTTCATTACCTCTTATTCTATCACATTGCCATTGTCATTCTCCACTGGGGAAGCTCTTTCTTGCTGAAGACTGGAAAGACAAGTCCATTCACCTGATTTTCTGTAAGATTGTGGCTCATGTATTGACTTGTCAGACAATTCTGAAGTTTCATCAAAATTAGCTATCATGCTTGCATAATGGCCCTGAACCCTCACTCCTACTCTTAGCTTCAGTACCATCTATGTCCTCAACTGTCCATGATACTTATAATTCCCGTAAATCTTCACTTAACACCTAACATTTATTTAATCTTACTAGGCAAGGTAATAAGAAATACATAGGTTTGCCTCCAGAAGTGGGTTCTTAAGAAACCCACCAGAGGAACTCCTCTTTCAGATGTCCACATTAGAAGATTTCATATCACATTTGGTGCCACAGGCCTTTGACAAGGAGGATGCAGAGGAAAAAGCAAACTTCACCTCTTCCTAGGGAAAGTGTTGGCCTGCCAACAGGAAAGAGGCAACATCTGGGAAAATCCCCAGTCTTTGCCAGGAAGAGTCCATGCCAACCCCACCCCATGACCCCTGTCCTGCCTACTCATTGTCACTCTTCACTCCAATGTCCCTCCCCCAGATCCTCTTATAAAATCCCACTCTTTCCTGACCAGACAAACCATACCATATCCCACCAGAGAGGTAAGTGGGAGCTGAGAGAAGATGAGACCCAGGGAGGAGCTACTGCACATGACACAGGAGAATACATGGGAGGGTCCCTTCCTCAGGGAGCACAGGAACTCTGAGACTCAGCAAGGGTGTCCTGGGAGGGCTCGGGGATGGGAGAGTACACAGATTCACAACTCATTCAGAACTGTAGAAGATGATGGATGTGACCAAGATCACTTTAGTCCTAGGGGACTAGAGAAGGAAAATGACATGAGGCAGTGGGGTATCTGTGTGTTCTCCCACTGACCACGCTTTCTTTAGTGACTCCTGATTGCCTCCTCAAGTCGCAGACACTATGCTGCCTCCCATGGCCCTGCCCAGTGTATCTTGGATGCTGCTTTCCTGCCTCATGCTGCTGTCTCAGGTTCAAGGTGAGATTGCTTTGCCTCTAGCACTGGGTTCCCTATGAATCCTCAGAGCTAACAAGAGGAGGAAGGCTCCTGTGTGTCATGTGAGGTAATGACGTGGTGTCTAATGAACCTGCCTGCAGTTCTTGCATCATCTCTCCTTCCTTCAGGTTAACTTGCAGTGGGAGGCTCCATGGTGGTCCACTAACAGTGGAATGAGATGGCTTCCATTTAGTCAGTGGACTCTAATATACACTGGTGGGAAAGTGGACTCTAATATACACTGGAGGGTCAGTAATGAGATGTGGGGAGGGACAATGATTGGAGGACCCAATGTAGAGACAGCCCAGAGTGAGGAGAGTATTGAATGGTTGAATAAGGGGAAAGGGTAATAAGAGACTGGATGGTGCTCCATTTACTACGGCTATTTTGAGATAAAGAATTTCTGAAAACATAAGGGAAGATGAAGGGGTGTCAGGAATGTGGTCTTCCTCCCCAAGGACATTCCTAGGTATTCCCCAAGGTCATCTCCCACCCCAAGCCCCACTCTTCATTTTACCCTCCCCCCTCTTCTTCCACCTCAGGTGAAGAACCCCAGAGGGAACTGCCCTCTGCACGGATCCGCTGTCCCAAAGGCTCCAAGGCCTATGGCTCCCACTGCTATGCCTTGTTTTTGTCACCAAAATCCTGGACAGATGCAGATGTGAGTGGTTAGATGTGGTGTTGGAGGTGACCGGTCTCAGGGGGAGGAGGGTCTCCATTCAGGAGAGTTCCTTGGGAATGAGGATGAACACGTTTATCTTTCACACAGTCCTCCTCCCACCTACCTTTGCCCTGCCCTCCCTCAGCAGGTCTCAGGCTCCCTCTCATTCTCTTTGTTGCCCTCAAAGCTGGCCTGCCAGAAGCGGCCCTCTGGAAACCTGGTGTCTGTGCTCAGTGGGGCTGAGGGATCCTTCGTGTCCTCCCTGGTGAAGAGCATTGGTAACAGCTACTCATACGTCTGGATTGGGCTCCATGACCCCACACAGGTGCCAGTATATCCTCCCCTCTCTGTTACCTCTCAAGGTGCTATTGTTGCCCAGGCCCACTCCCTGTCCCCTGTGCCTGCCCAGGAAGTACTTCAGGGAGCACTGGAGCTCAGATTCTGGGGAATATTTGGGGGGAAAGGGAAGGCCATGAAGCATCTGAAGATCTGAGTTCTGTGGAGGTCTCTATCTTTCAGATAAAATCAATCTGCCTTCCTCAGGCGTATTACATAATTCTCATATGAGGCTGGGTTAACAATTCTCTGAGCTTCATGGAGTCTTTGCCTACTATTCTGAAGGAACTCTTAATGAAGATAGGATCAATTTTTGTCCCCATACAGAACTGACATTACTTTTGAGGTTCACAAGCTAATCACAAATGCTACATCAATTATTGTTCTGCAAATAATATATTACCTTGAGTTGTTCCAAAGGTCTTATGTTTATTGGCTGGAATTTTCCAATAGCAATGAGGAGTCAAGGAAGAGTTTCCTACTCACCGGCAGCATCTGGAATAGCAGACCAACTTTCCTCATGCTGGGGAGCAAATCAGGTGTTGCAGCTAAGGGGCCATGCAAGAAGAGCTGCAATGGCCATTCCCTTCACCTGGCTACCTCCTCTACTCTACAGGGCACCGAGCCCAATGGAGAAGGTTGGGAGTGGAGTAGCAGTGATGTGATGAATTACTTTGCATGGGAGAGAAATCCCTCCACCATCTCAAGCCCCGGCCACTGTGCGAGCCTGTCGAGAAGCACAGGTAAGAAACAGAGGAGCTGCCTCTTCCCAGTGTTTTCCATCTCATCCCCCATTCCTGGGTCTGACCTTCAGGAAATCTTCCTGAGCTAGAAAATACAATGTTAGTGTGTCTTCTCTTATCTCCTCTCTTCTCCACTTTCTTTGAATCTCTCTCCTGGATTGGGACACTGGTGAAGGTGAGGGAGAGGCTTTAACTTCTAGGCTAAAACCTGGGATGCCCCTTCATTGGATTCACAAGCTTCCTCAGCCCCATTCCATTTATGTCTTCTGTCTCTCCAGCATTTCTGAGGTGGAAAGATTATAACTGTAATGTGAGGTTACCCTATGTCTGCAAGTTCACTGACTAGTGCAGGAGGGAAGTCAGCAGCCTGTGTTTGGTGTGCAACTCATCATGGGCATGAGACCAGTGTGAGGACTCACCCTGGAAGAGAATATTCGCTTAATTCCCCCAACCTGACCACCTCATTCTTATCTTTCTTCTGTTTCTTCCTCCCCGCTGTCATTTCAGTCTCTTCATTTTGTCATACGGCCTAAGGCTTTAAAGAGCAATAAAATTTTTAGTCTGCACTTGTTTGTCTTGTATATGCCAGTGTCATAGCCATACTCTGAGAAGGACAAAGTGTTTGAGTGGAGGAAACTTTATGGGTCTTGCTTCTTCCCTATTCACCCAGGCCTCTAGGGAAAATGATGAAGTGTGCATCCCTACCAGTGTGTTATGATGAGGGTGTGGGTCCTGCTCATGTAGGATTTGTGTTGTGGAGAGATGAGGACATTTCTCTCCCGCGTACTTACTGCCCTCCCATTCCCGTAGCCCAAACCTGACAGTGTGACATGAACAGATTTAGGAGGCTCTGATGGTGCTTAGAATAGTACTTCTCAGAGAATGGCATCAGCAGGATGGTAGATAGGACTTTCCAGCTCTTGAACCTTCACAGAAACATTCATTTGAACTACTACCCATTAAAATGGAAATACCTTCACAAGAGCTAACAATCCCAAGTGAGTGATTAAAGCATCTGAATGTTGCAAAAAATAAGAAAGGATGCATCGAAGAGGGTAGAAAGAAGACTTTTACATTATTTATATCACCCCTCCATCAATCTCAGTAAGCACAGCATGGAGAGACATTCCCTAAACTTGGGGAAAGAGAGTGAAATAAGCACTTGAGTTTTCCATGGACCCTAACACTAGGTTTGCCTCAGTAAGACCCAGTGGCCTCTGACTCCAGGCAGACACCCTTGGACTTAGACTCCAGGCTGCCTTGATGCCAGGCCAGGCTCTGTGGCCCCAGGCTCTGTGACCCCAGGCTCCAGGTCAGCCCCCATGACTGCAGCCTCCAGTCTTGCCCCAGAAGATGCAGGCTCTAGACACACACAGCATCATGCTTTTCCCCATAGCTCCAGACCACAGGCCAGCACCCACTGACAAAGACTCTAAGCCCACCTCAAGGACAAGCTAGCACTTGCAGCCACAGACTCCAGGGTGACCCCTGAAATCCTAGACATCAGGCCTGCCCATGTGGACCTGCCCTTCAGACCCACCACAGCTCCAGGATAGCTCCCACAGCTACAACTTCAGGCCAGCACTTGCAGACCCCAGCTCCAGACTGACACTCACAGTCGCAGGATACGGTCCTGTCAAATCCCAAACCCTCCCCAAGCCTTTAGGTCCATCTGAGCACAAAGCCCTGATGCTAGGCCAGCCTCTGTGGCCTCTGTCACTAGGCCAGCCCCCACAGACACAAGTTCTGGATTTTCCCAGTTCCAGGCGAGGCTCTGTGGACTCGGTACTAGTCTGGCCTCATACTCCAGCAGACCCAGGATCAAGCTTCATTACAGTAGACCTTAGCACCAGGCCAGCCCCCCCGACTCAGGCTCCAGCCTTAGCCCCATGAATCCAGTCTCCAGACTTACCCCAGAGGCAAGTTGACATTCATGGTCCCAGGCTACAGGCCACCCCCACTAACCCTGGCTCCATACCAGCCCCTGTAGTTTCAGGTACCAGCCCAGTATGCACAGACTCAAACTCCAGACCTGTCCTAGAGACTCAGATACTACATCTGTCCTAGTGCCTGGCTAACCCCTGAAGACATGGGTTCAAGGCCTGCTTTAGAGCCAGATTGGTCTCCAGGAAGTAGGATTTAGTCTGGCTCCTGTGATTAGAGGCTTCGGGCCTGCCCTCATGAAGTGACTGCCTACCCTGGTATACCAAGTCAATAGGTCCACTTGAGGATGCCAGCAGCAAGCCTGCCCAAAGACCAAGCCAGATGGCCTGCCCAGAATCTCTGGATGACTGACTGGTGAAGGGCTTTGTCTGCTAAAGCCAGTCTGTAAAAACTGGAATAAGTGACTACTTGTTCAAAAAGTCAAACACCAAAGACACATGACCACAAGTATCATAAACAATCAAGGAAATATGATATTACCAACAGAACAAAATAAAGGACTAGTAACTGACCTTAAGGGGAAAGAATTTTACAAACTGCTCAACAAATAATTTAAAGCAATTGTCTAAAAGAAACTCAGTGAGCTACAAGAGAATACAGATAGACAACTAAATGAAATCAGAAAAACAATATGTGAACAAAATCAGAAGGTCAAGAAAGAGATTTGTTTTAAAGTTAAAAAAAAACACATAGTGGCTGAACTGAAGAAATGCATGGAGAATTTCAACAGCAGACTTGATCAAGCAGCAGAAAAAGTCAGTGAGTTTGAGACAAGTCATTTGAAATTATCCAGTCAGAGAAACAAAAAGAAAAAAGAAACAAAAAGAGAAAATAAAGCTTAAGGAAACTATGGTACATGATCAACTGAGCCAATATATATATTATGGGTTTTCTAGAAGGAGCAGAGGCAGAAAATGGGCAGAAAACATATATAAAAAATAATGGGTCATGGGGTTTGGCATCCCCATGCCTGTCAGTGCCTCACCCCAGCCAACGAGCATGCACCCAGCCATGCTGCCACTGCCGTGGCATGAGCACAGATCCCACTGCTATCACCCTGACAGAGTACTGTGGTCACTGCCACTTACTGGAGTGTTGTGGCCAGCAATCCAGGAACACCTTTGGACCCCCAGCACAGCAGGTTCCTAACTTCGAGGGGTGAGAGAACAAAGCTAGGGGCCTGATAATAGCATTCCAGAATTGGGGAATGCTGAGCTGAACCTTGGCCCACTGACATCTTCCAGAAATGAAGTGAGTCAACTGAGCCCACCTTATACCACAATCAAACCCCCAAGGGCATCAAAAAGGATAAACACACACACACACACACACACACACACACACACACAATCCATCCAAAAAACAGCAACTTCAAAGATTAAAGGAACGCCAGCCCACACAGATGAGAAAGAACCAGTGCAAGAACTCTGGCAACTCCAAAAGCCAGCGTCTATTTTTACCTCCAAACAATTACACTAGTTATCCAGCAATGGTTCCTAACCAGTCTGAAATATCTGAAATGACAGAAATAGATCTTGGAATATGGATAGGAACCAAGATTATTGAGCTTCAGGCAAAAGTGAAAATCCATTTCCAGGATTCTATACAATAAAACGATACAGAAAATGAAAGATGAAATGGTCATTTTAAGAAAGAACCAAACTGATCTGATAGAGGTGAAAAACTCATTTCAAAAATTTCAGAATACAATCACAAGTATTAACAGCAGAATTGATCAAGCTGAGGAAAGAATCTCAGATCTCAAAGACAGTTCTCTGAAATAACTTAGACACATATTAGAAATTAAAAAAAGATTGAAGAAAATTAAACAAAACCTCTGAAAATTATGGTATTATGTAAAGAGACCAAATTTATGACTCATTGAAAGCAAGCAATTTGGAAAACATATTTCAAAATATCATCCATGAAAACTTCCCCAACCTCCTTGGAGAGGGCAAACTTTAAATTCAGGAAATGCAGAGAACCCCTGTGAGACTACACAAGATAACCATCCCCAAGCCACACAGTCATCAGACTCTCCAAGGCTGAAATGAAAGAAAAAAATGTTAAAGGTAGCTAGAGAGAAGGGGTAGATCACTTACAAAGGGAACCTCATCAGGCTAACAGCAGTGTTGTCAGCAGAAATCCTACAAGCCAGAAGAGATTGGGGCCCTATATTCAGCATTCTTAAGGCAAAGAAATCCTAAACAAGAATTTCATATCCAGGAAAACTAAGCTTCATAAGCTAAGGAGAAATAAGATCCTTTTCAGATAATCAAATGCTAAAGGAATTTATTACCTCCAGACCTGCCTTACAAAATAACCTAAAAAGAGTGCTAAATACAGAAAGGAGTGACCATTACTGGCTACTACAAAAACATACTTAAGTACATAGACCAGTGACACTATAAAGCAACCACACAAACAAGTCTTCATAATAACTAGCTAACAACATGATGACAGGATCAAATCTGCATACATCAATACTAACCTTGAATGTAAATGGGCTAAATGCCCCAATTAAAAGGTACAGAGTGGCAAGTTGGAAAACAAGCATGACATAATGGTATGCCCCTCTCATATGCAATGACCCATCTCACATGCAATGACACTACTAGACTCAAAGTAAAGGGATGGAGAAAAATCTACCATGCAAACAAAAAACAGAAAAAAAAAGCCAGGTTTGCTATACCAATTTCAGACAAAACAGACTGTAAACCAAGAGATTTTTGAAAGACAAGGGCATTATGCAGTGGTAAAGGGCTCCATTCAAATGAAGACCTAACTATCCTAAATATATACATACCCAATACAGGAGCACCCAGATTTATAAAGCAAGTTCTTAGAGACCTACAAAGAGAATTAGATAACCACACAATCAGAGTAGAGACTTCAATACTCCACTGGCAGTATTAGACAGATCATCGAAGCAGAAAACTAACGATGATATTCAGGACCTGAACTCAACACTTGACCATATCTAGTAGACATCTACAGAACTCCTCACTCTCAAACAATAGAATACACATTTTTCTCATTGGCACATAGCACATTCTCTAAAATTGACCACACAATTGAGCATAAAACAATCCTCAGCAAGCTCAAAAAAACAACAACATAAAAACAAAAACAGAAATCATACCAACCACACTCTTTGATCGACCACAGTGCAATAACAATAGAAATCCCTACTAAAAAATCACCTGAAACCATACAATTACATGGAAATTAAACAGCCTGCTCCTGAATGACTTTGAGGTAAATAATGAAATTAAGGTAGGCATAAAGAAATTCTTTGAAATGAATGAGAACAAAGATGCAACATATCAGAACCTCCCACACACAGCTAAAGCAGTGTTAAGAGGGAAGTTTATAGCACTAAACACCCACATCAAGAAGTTAGACAGATCTCAAGTTAACAATCTAACATCACACTTAGAGGAATTAGACAAGTGAGAACAAACCAACTCCAAAGCTAGCAGATACAAGAAATAACCAAAATCCGACCTGAGCTGAAGGAAACTGAGATGTGAAAATCATACAGAAGATCAACAAATCCATGAATATGTCATTTAAAAGAATAAATATGACTGATACAACACTGGCTAGACTGACACAGAAAAAAGATAAGATCCAAATAAACACAATCAGAAATGACAAAGGGGACATTACCACTGACACCACAGGAAAAACAAGCAAACAAGCAAACAAACAAACAAAAACCCTCGACGACTACTTTGAACACCACTGTGCATACAAGTTGAAAGACCTAGAAGAAACGGTTTAATTCTTGGAAGCATATAACCTCCCAAGATTGAACCAGGAAGAAATTGAATCCCTGAACAGACCAATAATGAGTTCTGAAATTAAATCATTAATAAAATACCTACCAACCAGAGAAAGCCCAGGGCAGGATAGATTTTCTGCCAAATTCTGTGAGATGTATAAAGAAGAGCAGAAGACACCATTCTTACTAAAACTATTCCAAAAAATTGAGGAGGGGAGACTCCTTCCTAACTCATTCTATGAGGCCAACATTGTCCTGATATGAAAATCTGACAAAGACACAACAACAACAAAAAATCCAACTTCAGGCCAATATCCTTGATGAACATTGATGCAAAAATCCTTAACAAAATACTAGCCAACTAAATCCAGCAACACACCAAAAAGCCACAATCAACTAGGCTTTAGAATGTGAGGTTGGTTCAACATATCTAAATCAATAAATTGATTTATCACATAAACAGAACCAAAAACAAAAAACACATCATCATATCTATATATGCAGGAAAGGCTTTAGACAAAATTAAACATCTCTTTGTGTTTAAACCCTAAACAAAGTAGGCATTGAAGGAATATCCTTTAGAACCTTAAGCGCCATCTATGACAAACCCATAGAAAACATCGTACTGAATGGACAAAAACTGGATGCATTCCCCTTGAAAACTGAAATAAGACAAGAAAGTCCTCTCTCCCCATTTCTATTCTACATATTACTGAAAGTCCTGGCCAAAACAATCAGGCAATAGAAGGAAATAAATGGCATCCAGATAGGGTGAGAGAAAGTCAAACTATCCCTGTTTGCATATGATACTATTCTATATCTAGAAAACCCCATTATCTCAGCCCAAAAGCTCCTTCAGCTGATGAACAACTTCAGCAAAGTTTCAGGATACAAAATCAATGAAAGAAAATCACTAGGATTCCTATATAACAACAATATCCCAGCAGAGAGACAAATCAAGAACACAATCCCATTCACAATAGTTATAAGAAGAATAAAATGCCTAAGAATACAGATAAGCAGGGCGACAAAAGAACTCTACAAGGAGAATTATCAAACACTGCTCAAAAAAATCAGAGATGACACAAACAAATGAAAAAACATTCCAGGCTCATTGATAGGAAAAATCAATATTGTTAAAATGGCCATACTGCCCAAGGCAATTTATAGATTTAATGTTATTCATAAGAAACTACCGGAAACTTTCTTCACAGAATTAGAAAAACTATTTTAAACTTTATATGGAACAAAAAAGCCCGAATAGTCAAGGCATTCCTAAGCAAAAAGGACAAAGCTGAAGGCATCACATTGCCCAACTTCAAATTATACTAGAAGGCTACAGTAACCCAAACTGCATGGTACTAGTACAAAAAGAGACAGATAGACCAAAGGAACAGAATAGAAATCCCAGAAATAATGCTACATACCTACAAACATCTGATCTTCAACAAAGTTGACAAAAATAAGCAGTGGGAAAAGGACTTCCTATTCAATAAATGGTGCTGGGATAACTGGATAGTCATATGTAGATGATTGAAACTGGACCCCTTCTTTATACTATTTTAAAAGGTAAACTCAAGATGGATTAAAGAGTCAAATGTAAAACTATAAAATCCTGGAAGATAACCTAGGAAATGCCCTTCTGGACATAGGATCTTGCAAAGATTTCATGATGAAGATGCCAAAAGCAATTGCAACAAAAACAAAAATTGACAAATGGGATCTAATTAAAGAAAAGAGCTTCTAAACAACAAAAGAAATTATCAAAAGAGTAAACAGACAACCTACAGAATGGGAGAAAACATTTGCAAACTATGCATCTGACATAGTTTGGTCTAATATCCAGAATCTACAAAAATCTTAAATTAGCAAGCAAAAACTGAACAACTGCATTAAAACGTGTGCAAAGGACATGAACAGACACTTTTCGAAAGAAGATATACACACAGCCAAGAAGCATATAAATATGCTCAAAATCACTAATCATCAGATAAATGAAAATTAATACCACAGTGAGATGCCATCTCACACCAGTCAGCATGGCTGTTTTTAAAAAGTCAAAAAATAACAGATGCTAGCAAGGTTGCAGAGAATAGGCTATGTTTATACACTTCTGGTAGGAATGTAAATTAGTTCAGCCACTGTGGAAAGCAGTTTGGAAATTTATCAGATAAGTTAAAACAGAACTACTATTTGACCCAGCAATGCTATTATGGGGCATATACCAAAAGGAATATAAATCATTCTAACATAAAGATATATGCATATATATGTTCATTACACTGTTATTCACATAGCAAAGACATGGAATCAACCTAAATGCCCATCAACAGTAGGCTAAATAAAGCGAATGTGGTACATATACACAGTGGAATACTACATAGCCATAAAAAACAATAAAATCATGTTTGCAGCAACATGGATGGAGCTGGAGGCCATGATCCTCCACCAACTAACACAGGAACAGAAAACCAAATACTGTATGTTATCACTTATAAGTGAGAGCTAAAGTTTGACTACAGATGGCCACCAAGAAGAAGAAAACACACACTGGAACCTACTTGAGGATGAGGGGTGAAATGAGAGCAAGGACTGGAAAAGCACCTATTGGATATTAAGCTTATTACCTGGATGAAAAAATAATCTATACACCAAACCACTGTGACATACAATTTACCTATATAACAGACTGGCACATGTACTCTTGAACCTGAAATAAAAGATTTTAAAAAAAGAAAGAAAAAAATGGTTGTGAAAAACTTCCCATAACTGGTGAGAAAAAGGAACATCTACATCCATGAAGTACAAAAAACTCCACATACATTAAATATAAAGACATCTTCACTGAGACACATTACAATCAAATTCCAAAAAGTCAGGGATGAAAAGAAAATTTTCAATGCAGCGAAAGAAAAATAACATATTATGTGCAAGCGAATGTCTATAAGATTATCAGTTGATTTTTCAGAAGGTACCTTTCAGGGCAGGAGAGAGTGGGATAATATATTCAACATACTCAATGAAAAAACAAAACAAAACAAAACCCTGCAAACCAAGAACACTATACCTGGCAATCCTATCCTTCAGAAACGATGAAAAGAGAGGAAGTTTACCAGAAAAACAAAAGCTGAGAGAGTTCATTAACACTAGACCTTCTTTATGTAAAAGACTAAAAGAATTTCTTCAAGATGGAAGATAAAAATGCTAGCTGATACCATAAAAACACAGGAAAGTATAAAGTATAAATTGACTATGTTAAGTACATAGTAAAATTTGAAATACTCTAACATTGTAGTGATGGTTGGTAAATCACTTAAATCTTTAGCATAAAAGACAAAACTATTAAAAACAACAGTAACTACAATAATTGTTAAGGAATATGCAATAAAGAAACATGTAAATTGTGACACCAATAACAAGAATGTGCAAACAACAGCAAAAGTGTAAAATATTTTTATGTGATCAAGTTATCTTTTTAAAATAGTCTATTATAAATATATTTTTGTAAGCTTTATGGTAACCACAAAGCAAAGACCTATAATAGATAAATAATAAGAAGCAAGCAACCAAAGTATACCACAAGAGAAAATTATCTAGTCAAAAAGAAGAGAGAAAGAGAGGAAGAAAGAAACAAAGGACCTACAAAACAACCAGGGAACAATGAACAAAATGGCAGTAGTAAGTAATTACTTATTAATGATTATTCAAAAAGTAAATGAGTAAAATTCTCCAGTCAAATGGTATAGAGTGATCAAATGAATTTAAAAAAATACCAACACACAACTTAATGTTCCTACAAGAAACTTACTTTAGCTTTAAGAACACACATAGGCTGCATGTGAAAGAATTAAGATATTTCATGCAAATGATACCAAAATAAAACAGTGGTAGCTATAGTTATATTACATAAAATAGACTTTAAGTTAAAAACTTTAAAGAGAGGCAAAGGTCATTATATAATAATAAAGAAGTCAATTCAGCAAGAGGATATAATAATTTTAAATATGTGTGTACACATCATTGGAGCCCATAAATATATAAAGCAAATATCAATAGATCTGAAGAGAGAGAAAAATTGTAATACAATATTTGTTGGATAATTCAGTACCCACTTTCAACAATGGGCAGGTCATTCAGACAGAAAAAAATTCAATAAACAGCGGACTTGAACTACACTTCAGACAAATGGACCTGACAGACATACAGAACATTTCTTCCAACAAGAGCATAATAAACATTCTTCTCAAGTGCACATGGGACATGCTTCTGGAGAGATCATATATTTGGCCATAAACATAGGCTCAACAAATTTTAAACGACTGAAATCATATCAAGTATAATTTTCACCCAAAATAGTACAATACTAGAAATCAATAAAAAGAGAAAGATTGGAAAATATTCAAATATGTAGAAATTAAATGACATTATCCTAAGCAACCAGTGGACCAGAGAAGAAATTAAAAGTGAGATTAGTGGTGGGATCCAGCAGTCCCACTACTGGGTATCCAGCCACATACAAAAATGATTATATATCAAAAAAACACCAGCATGCATGTGTTTATTGTAGCATAATTCACAATTGCAAAGATATGTGCCCATCAACCAAAGATGGATAAAGAAAATGTAGCATACATATATATACATATACATATACAGACACACACAGACATATACCATATATATATACACACACACACATATATACCATGGAATAATGGTAATTGACTAGCCATAAAAAAGAACAAAATAATGTATTTTGCAGAAACTTGGTTGGAACTGGAGGCTGTCACTCTAGGTGAAGTAACTCAGGAATGAAAAACCAAATATTGCATGTTCTCACTTAAAATTGGGAGCCAAGCTGTGGGAACCCAAAGGCACACAGAGTGATAAAATAAACATTGGAGACTCAGGGTGGGGAGGGGAATGAGTGATGAAAAACTACCCATTGAGTACACTACTCGAGGTAGAGTACTGGAGTGATGCGTGCACTAAAATCTTAGACTTCACCACTATATAATTCATCCATGTAAGCGAAAGCCAATTGTACCACTAAAGCTACTGAAATAAAAAATTAAATTAGTATTAGAAAAATATTTTGAGACAAATGAAAACGAATATACAACATACTAAACTTATGGTATGTAGCAAAAGCAGTCCTAAAAGGGAATTTTATAGCAATAAATGCTTACATTAAAAATAAAGATCTCAAATAAACAACTTGACTGTACACCTTGAGAAACTAGAAGAAAAAATAAGCCAATATTTTGTAGAAGTAAAGAAATAATAAAGATTAGAGCAGAAATAAATGAAATAAAGACTAGAAAAAGAATAGAAAAGATCGAGAATGAGAGTTGTTTTTTTTTGAAAAGGTGAATTAAATTAACAAACTTTTAGCCAGACTAAGAAAATAGAAGACCCAAATAAAATGAAGATGAGAAAGGAGACATTACAACTTAAACCACAGAAATTCAAAGGATCATTAAAGAGTATTATAAGCAACTAAGTATCTTATTGATACATATTGGAAAACCTAGAATAAATTGATAGATTTCTAGACACAGAACCAAACAAGATTGAACCATGGAGAAATCTAAAATATACATAGATCAATGGCAAGTAATAAGATGTAATTAGTAATAAAAAGTCTTCCATCAAAGGAAAGCCCAGAATGGGACGGCTTCAAGTCTGAATTCTATTTAAAGAATTAATACCAATCTTTCTCAAACTCTTCCAAAAAATTAACTAGGAGGGAATACTTCTAAACTCATTTTATGAGACCAGTATTACTCTGACACCAAAGCCAGAGAAAGACACTACAAGAAAATAAAACTAAAGACAAATATCCTTGATGAAATAAGATGCAAAAATCCTCAACAAAATACTAGTAAACTATTTTCAACAGCACATTAAAATGATCAAGTGGGATTCATCCCTGGGATGCAAGAATGGTTCAACATATGCAAATCAATAAATAATTTGCAACATTTATTGATTATTACTAAATAATAATAAATTACATTTATTATTGTTACTAAAATGAAGGACAAAAAAGATTATCCAATAGATGCAGAAAAAGCAATTGACAACATTCAGCCTTATTTTATATTTAAAAAAAACTGTCAGAAAATTAGATATAAAAGGAACGTACTGGCCGGATGCAGTGGCTCATGCCTGTAATCCCAGCACTTTGGGAGGCCGAGGGGGGCAGATCACCTGAGATCAGGGTTCAAGACCAGCCTGGCCAACAGGGTGAAACTCTGTCTCTACTAAAAATACAAAAAATAGCCGGCCCTGGTGGCAGGCTCCTGTAATCCCAGTTACTTAGGAGGCTGAGGCAGGATAATCGGTTGAACCCAGGAGGCAAAGTTTTCAGTGAGCTGAGATTGCGCCATTGCACTCCAGCCTGAGTGACAAGAGTGAAACTCTGTCTTAAAATAAAGGAATGTACCTCAACGCAATAAAGACCATATGCAACAAGCCTCCAGCTCTCAACATACTCAATGGTGAAAAGTCAGTTTTCCCTCTAAGATCTGGAACAAGACAAGCATGCCCACTCTCACCACTTCTCTTCAACATAGCACTCAAAGTCCTACCCAGAGCAATTAGACAAGAGAAACAAGCAAAAGCATTGAAACTGGAAAGGAAGAAGTTACATTCTCTCTTTTTGTGAATGACATGATCTTACATTTAGAAAACCCTACAGACTACATTAAAAAATACTATTAGAAGTAATAAAATAATTTGATAAGGTTTCAGGTTACTAAATAAACATACAAAAATTAGTAGCATTTTTACACTAACCATAAACTCTCCTAAAGGAAATCAAGAAAACAACCATATTTCCAGTAACTACAAAAATACTTAGGAATAAATTTAACCAAAGAAGTAAAAGATCAGTGCAATAAAAATAATAAAACTGGTATCAAAGAAATTGAATAAAACACAAATAAATGAAACTTATCCCATGTTCATAGACTGGATAAGTTAATATTGTTAAAGTCTTCATACTACCCAAAGCAATCTACAGTTTCAATGCAATTCCTGTTGAATTTCTAATAACATTTTTCACAAAAGTAGGAAAAATAATCTTAAAATTGAGATAGACCCACAAAAGACCCCAGATATTCACAGCAATCTTGAGCCAAAAGAATAATGCTGGAAACATCATACAACCTGATTTCAAAATATACTACAAAACTATATTAATCAAGACAGCATTGTAGTAGCATAAAAACAAATCCATAGACCAATGGAGCAAAATAGCCCAGAAATAAATTCACATATTTACAGTCAATGGAGTTTTTAAAGATGCCAAGAATAGATAATGTTGATAAACAGTTTCTTCAATAAATGGTGTTGTGAAAGCTTAACGTGCATACATAAAATAATAAAATTAGACGCTTATCTCATACTGTACAGAAAAATAAACTCAAAATGGGTAAAGACTTGAACATAAGACTGGGAACTCTAAAACTACTACAAGAAAACTTAGGGGGAAATGTCACAACATTGTCCATGTTATGACTGTATGACAAAATCAACTGGAAAATCATTTTTTGGTTATAATAGAAAAAACGCAAGGGTAAAAAAGCAGAAAGAGACAAATGAGATTGTATCAAAATAAAAACTTCTGCACAGGAAAGGGAACAAATATTAGAGTGAAGGGACTACCTACAGAATGGGAGAAAATATTTACAAAGCATACATATGATAAGGGGTTAATATTCAAACTGTATGAGGAACTTAATAACTGGCAAAAAAATACCCCAATTTAAAAAATGGTCAAAGGACCTGAACAAACTTTTCTCCAAAGAAGATACAAATATCTAGAGGTATATGAGGAAAACGGCTTAACATCAGTTATCACTAGGAAAATTCAAATTAAAACCTCAGTGTCATCTCACCTCATACCGTTTACAATGGCTGTAATTAAAAATAAAAGGTAACAGTTGTTGGCAAGAATGCAGGGGAAAGGGGATATTTGTATAGTACTGGTGGTAATGTAAATTGCTATAGCAATTATTCAAAACACTATGGAGATTCCTCAAAAGATTAGAAAAGAATTACTGTATAATCCGGTGATTCCATTTCTGGGGAGATATCCAAAAGAAATGACATCCAATCCCAGCACTTTGGGAGGCCGAGGCGGGCGGATCGTGAGGTCAAGAGATCGAGACCATCCTGGCTAACATGGTGAAACCCCGTCTCTACTAAAAGCCCAAAAAATTACCAGGGCGTGGTGGCGGGCACCTGTAGTCCCAGCTACTCGGGAGGCTGAGGCGGGAGAATGGTGTGAACCCTGGAGGCGGAGCTTGCAGTGAGCCGAGATTGCGCCACTGCACTCCAGCCTGGGCAACAGAGCGAGACTCCTTCTCAAAAAAAGAGAAACGACATCCATATGTCAAGTGATATCTTCACTCCCATGTTCACTTAAACCTTACAATAGTTGAGATGGAGTCAAATTCGGTGTCAATCAACAGATGAATGGATAAAGAAAAGTATATACATACAAAGTGGAGTGTTATTCAGCCTTAAAAATAGAGGAAGTCCTGTCATTTGTGACAACATGAATTAACCTGGAGGATGTTATATTAAGTGAAATAATCCAAGCACAGAAAGACAAATACTGCATGATCTCACTACTATGTAAAATCTAAATATCTATATATAAATGGCAAAATGTCATGCTGAGATGAAAAATTCTTTAAAAGTTTAGCTCCCTTATTGGAAGATGAATAATGTGTTTCTCAAAAACCATTTTTTTTGGTATGAAATGCCGTGGTCCAATGAGTCTCTTTTTACACCAGCAACACGTATGACCCATGACCAGGACCCCTTTATTGACTCTCAGTATTCTTTTCAAAGTACACATGATTCTGTTTCTTCATTCATTGTACTTGAAATGTAACTAGAGATTTAGTCCAGTTATAATTGTATTAAAATATTTACATTGATATTTGGAGATGCATATATAAAACATTTCAGCTTTGGCTGAAAAAATGTTGCACTGAGGAACATAAACATTGTGTGGAGTTGAGGTATTTAGAAACCAAGAGGTATTCTATCAAGAAAATGTTAGCCAGAGATGCTGTCTGTAGAATGTGCATGTAATGTCTTAGGTGCTACTTGAAATTTATCATAGGGATGAGAAAAGTTTTCCAGTTGTATAATGCTTTTGGTGCATTCCTTCTTCAATTCCATCATTTTAAAGATTTTCAAAAGCTTATCATCTCTCTGCTGCCAACTTCCCACAGACCTTTCCTCAGACAATTAAATCCACACAAATCATCTTTTTCTAAAAGTCATTGACTACTCTAAGTGTGAAGAGCCCTCTTGTTTTATGGAGAGAGAAAATAATGTTCAGAGAAGAGTTGAGAGACAATTGTCTCACGTTTCTCCACTTCTTGCAAGCAGAGGCACTTACTGCCATTTTTTCTAGACTATCTTTCAAGAATGTTTGGGTAGTGAAAAACCTTTTTTTTTTTTGTTTGTTTTTTTGAGATGGAGTCTTGCTTTGTTATGCAGGCTGGAGTGCAGTGGCGCGATCTCGGCTCACTGCAACCTCCGCCCCCCAGGTTCAAGCGATTCTCCTGCCTCAGCCTCTCAAGTAGCTGGGATTACAGGCACGCTGTAATTTTTGTATTTTTAGTAGAGACGGGGTTTCACCATCTTGGCCAGGCTGGTCTTGAACTCCTGACCTCATGATCCACCTGCCTCGGCCTCCCAAAGTGTTGGGATTACAGGCGTGAGCCACCGCATCCAGCTGTGAAAAACCTTTAAAAGTAGAGACAGCATCTTCCTCCAGAGCAAAGGGTAGGTTTGCTTATAGTCTTGAAAGTTTCCATTCATAGTGAAGACAGGCATACTTACTCCCAGGTACAATAAAGAAGTCTCCCTCTGAAGCAAAGGGTAGGCTTGCTTGTTGCCCATTATAAGTGATTCAGGTTCGTTCCCTAAACTCTCATAATGTAATTACAGGGGCCATTTCTCCCCTGTAACATAACCCACTCAATGTGAAGGCATCTATCTGGCCCATCGATGTCACCTCCATGAGACTTAGAGTAAGGGAACCTAGGGTGAGTGTGCTGCTGCTTGTTCTGCTTACTGTACCATGAGTAATAAAAGTCCTTTGTCTTTTGCCAATCTCAAACTGTGGAAGTCTACCTTACCTTGCAAGTAGGGTAAAAATCTCAGAACCTTTATAATTCTTGACATGAAGTTAAATGATTTTTGCTTGCAGCACATTGGAAGAAAACAACAACCTCAGCTTTCTTTTTCTCTCTCTCTTTTTTTTTTTTGAAATGGAGTCTTGCTCTGTCACCCCAGCTGGAATGCAGTGGCACATCTCAGCTCACTGCAACCTCTGCCTCCCGGGTTGAAGCGATTCTCCTGCCTCAGCCTCCCAAGTAGCTGGGATTACAGGTGCCTGCCACTGTGCCTGGCTAATTTTTGTATTTTCAGTAGAGATGGGGTTTTGCCATATTGGCCAGGCTGGTCTCGAACTCCTGACCTCATGATCCGCCCACCTCGGCCTCCCAAAGTCCTGGGATTACAGGTGTGAGCCACTGTACCCGGCCCAGGAACAGCTCAGCTTTCTAAGAATGTCTCCCCAAAGAAAACCTGAAGGTAAAACAAATGTCCTTCCAAACATTTGCAAACATCAAATACTGTGGAGTTCAAGAGGATCACAGATTCGGGAATCTTGTAAGAAAATAAGTATGGAAGAAAATCAACCAGAGCACTACTAAAATTTGGGGTTATACAGTCAGAGTTTTTATTAGCCTATCCTCAACAACACTTACAAAAATAAATTTTAGGATTTTTGTTTGTTTCTTTAAGAATTTATCTATATTTCTAAAGCCATCTTCGTAACAACTTTTAAAATGCTGACCATTTAATAGTTGGAATCTTTGAACATTTTGAGTATAAAGTGCCAGAGAATACAATTATAGGTTATTTAACTATGGGGATATGTTCTAAAAAACGCATCCTTAGGTGATTTCATTTTCACGTGAACATCAAAGACTGTACTTACACAAACCTAGATGGGATAGCTACAAAGCGTCAGTAGCATAAGACTTTATTTGAAAATGTTCTGGCTGGGCGCGGTGACTCACGCCTGTAATCCCAGCACTTTGGGTGGCCGAGGCGGGTGGATCACGAGATCAGGAGATCGAGACCATCCTGACTAACACGGTGAAACCCCGTCTCTACTAAAAACACAAAAAATTAGCCGGGCGTGGTGGCAGGTGCCTGTCGTCCCAGCTACTCGGGAGGCTGAGGCAGAAGAATGGAGTGAACCCGGGAGGCGGAGCTTGCAGTGAGCACTCCAGCCTGGGCGACAGAGCAAAACTCCGTCTCAAAAAAAAAAAAAAAAAGAAAAAAAGAAAAGAAAATGTTCTTGGCCTAAGAAGAGTCCCAAGGGCCATTCTGACTTGGGGCAGGAAGGTGAAATGTTTTATGGGGCTTTAGCAAGGGTACTTCAGCCACCATCAAGGATAGAGGGACTGTTCCTGAGGATTAGCAGTCATAAATTGAGTAATTTGAATTTAATCAAAAGATATGAAGATAAATCGTTAGGGGATGAAGTATTATGCAAGTGGGGATTAGTTGGAGGAGGGGGACATTAGCTGAAAGGGCATGAACATGAAAGTCCAGAGGAAATGTCTTAGGTATGAAGCCTTTTGATTCTTTCATGTGGGAAATAGAGTAATTGTTCCCCTTATACAAGTTTGAGTGAGGTTCATCGCAGAGGAGCATGAATTATTTGCCATGCTGTGCTATGCAGAATTATGACCCCCATGACCCTTGATGTTATGTAATGTGTGCCCTATGAATGTGAGCAGAACCTGTAAATAGGATGAGATTGAAAAACCACAACTATGTTATATTACATGGAAAAAGGGATTCTTGAAGATACAATGAAGGTTACTAATTCATTGACCTTGTATCAATAAGAAAGCAGGTTTTGGGAGATTCCTGGAGGGGCCCAGTCTAATCACGTGAGCCATTTGAAAGCAGATAATTTTCTCTGACTGGCAGCATAAGGGGAAGTCAAGAAATTCAAAGGCCAAAAAGAATTCACTGTCCTGTTGCTAGCTTAGAAGATGGAGAGGTTCTTGTACCAAGGAATCTAGCTGAGACTGGCACCTAAGCTGATAGCCAGCAAGGAAGTGGGAACCTCAGTGCTACAACTCTACAACTACAAGGAACTGAATTCAGTCAATAATCTGAATGAGAGTGAAAGTTTGTCACACAGCCAAGTTAAACTAATAAACTGACTTTACAGGGGAAAAACATATATGGGGATTAGTCTGGAATCCTCTTGTGAGTTATAATTACCTTCTCCAAAGATCAAAGACCTGGTTCCTCTAAAATTTTAATGAACAGATCTTAACCTATCTTCTGGTGCATTATAAGGCTATTTTAATCTATGCTAAGGAGACAACATGAAGGAAAATTCTTAGGTCTGGCCCTATTGTGTTCTTTAATTGGCTAAGTAGAGAAAATGCCAATGTTGAAAAGAACCAATAGGAAATTCTACTGGATGGTAGGATCAGAAGGCAAGCCAGCAAATCCAGTAAGGGAGATTCTCAGAAAGAACCTGGAGCTCCTTTTGCAAAAGATAGAGAGTGATCTTGATGGTTTTAAAAGTGTGCTCAACAGAGGAAGGAAAGCATAGGCTTTTCAGCTACTTGTGGGACAGTCCAAATTGAAATGCATGAATGGTTTGAGAAGTACATAAAGGTTATAACAGGGTGATGCAGGCAGTGGTCTTGTCAGGAAATGGACAGTGCAGAAGGACTGACCATACATGGACTGACAGAACCTGCAAGTGGAGGGTGCTCAGAGACCAAAACAAACAAACAACAACAACAACAGCAACAACAACAGTATATTAGACTACGAAGGAGAAAAAAAGAAGAATTGAGTTTTAGCTCTGCTTTCTTCCATAGTACAGTATTGGAAAAGTCAATTAAGTTACCAATATTTTAAACTCTATTTGCCCCACTGCTCCAAACAGGGATGCTCCATAACCATTCAGCAGCTCCCTTCTCCCTGTGTCTCAAAGACGGCCCTACTCCAGGTTCTCACTCTCTCTGCCTCTACTACTGCTGGCCTAGCCTGCATAACAGCTGCCAAGATTCCTGGAAGGTCTCAGCTGCTTGCTGGATCTTCAGGGCTGCAGGATAGGACATCTGGTTTCTGCTGAGCAAGGGCAAGGTCTGCCTTGAACTTGGAAAGGTTTCCAGTTTAGGGGAAGGGACTTCATCTGTGGCCATTCCCAGGATATGCCAGGAAGAGCTCCTCTTGATGCCAGAACCTCTTACTGTCAATGCCCTCTGTAGAACCGCTGTCTCTCACTCCTTGCTCCACCCCGGCTTAAATACTGTGGCTCTTCTCTCAGATCCTGTTATACATCTCTACCATTACCTAGCCTGAAAAGCCACCTCAGATTCAGCCAACAAGTAAGTGGGCATTACAGGAGAAGGGTACCTTTCACAAGGGCTGTAATCTAAAATCTTGGGGAAGATACAGCGTCATCTGTCCAAGAGGTGTCAGCAGTAACGAAGCCTCAGTAGAAGCCAAAGTTATTTTGGATTACTGAGCCTGTATAGTTTCCAGATTCTCAAGAGAAATATATGGGAATGTAGATATCTCAGAGGACCTTCCTGCTGTCAGGAATTCAGAGGAGGAAATAAGGAAGGTAATAGGTGCTCTGCTCTCATTCTCTCAAACCCTCTTCCCTGTGTTTTCCTATAGAGATTGCTGATTTGCTCCTTAAGCAAGAGATTCACTGCTGCTCAGCATGGCTCAGACCAACTCATGCTTCATGCTGATCTCCTGCCTGATGTTCCTGTCTCTGAGCCAAGGTGAGATTGTTTTCCCCACACATACCTCCCACAACCCCAGCCCTGAAGCCCTCACTCTATCCTCATGCATATGAGTTCACTTGAGAAAAAGCAGAGTCAAGTTCAGGGGTTGTCTTGTGTTGTTCAGTGATATTTATTGCTGATCTCATCCCATTCAAAAACATCCTGACCTCCCTAAGGAGTTAGAGATGGAACTTAGCATAACCCTTTATCAGTGACCACTGCAGTTGGCATTGGTTTGTCATATTAACACTACTCATGATGGGGGGGTTGAGGATGTCTGTTTGTAGACAGTCATTAGTGGAATGGGGAACTGAGGGGAGCTTTGTGTGTAGAGAAACTGGACAGGCTTGAGAAAGAAGCCTCAGTCCTTCAAGGAAGAAAAAGCCATAAGTAAAAGGGACAATGGGGACACTTTTCATGAGCCTATTCATTGTGTGCTCTTGTCTTGAGCAAAGACATCTTGAGAGCCTATAGGTAAGATGCAGAAGGGCAGAAGTGACCAATCGCTTCGTGACCTATAGGATCCTTCTATTCCTATAAAGAATCCTCAGAAGCTCCTACCTCATATTTTAGCCTTTACCTTGCCCTGAGGGTCTTTCTTAATTGTCTCTCTTTTCCCAGGACAGGAGGCCCATGCTGAGTTGCCCAAGGCCCAGATCAGCTGCCCAGAAGGCACCAGTGCCTAAGGCTCCCACTGCTACTACTTTAATGAAGAGCATGAGACCTGGGTTTATGCAGATGTGAGTGAGGAGAGCAGTGTGGGAAGGGAGGCTCACGAAGGGAGGGGAAGCTGCCACTCTCCAGTGTGTTCAGTGGCTGATATGAGATGAGACTAATCCCCTCCCTATCCAATCATCAGCCCAAAACTTTCCAATCTACTTTATCCCATCATTCAGCACAGAGATGCTGGTGGTCAGTGACAGCATCATCAGGGACATTTCTGTGCTGTCCTTTTTCTGTTACATCCTCTGGGAGGGCTCAATATGTCTCCCACACTTTCCTCCTTCACTGAGTGCTCCATTTTCTTCTCCAACAGCTCTACTGCCAGAACATGAATTCAGGTAACCTGGTGTCTGTGCTCACCCAGGCTGAGGGTGCCTTTGTGGCTTCGCTGATTAAAGAGAGTGGCACCAAGGATAGCAATGTCTGGATTGGCCTCCATGACCCCCACCGGATCAGTCTGCTGCATCTTCTACCTCCTGATTATCAGGTTCCAGAGGGTCTGATGTCTGGCACCTCAAGCATCAGTTTTTACTATATTATGATAAAAGCAACCTCTCTATAAATCATATAATGTAAAGGATATCAAGGTTCTCCATAGGTTCTTCGAGATAAGCTTAAAGCTGAATTTCCTGTGTGTTTCAGGCATTCACAGATAAACTCATTCTCTGTACTTCTAGGGTAGCATCTTTATGTATCTATTATGTACCTCTTATCTATTGTGTTATCATCTCTGTTATAGAAGAGCCTTCTGTAGACCATATAGAAAAAGATTATAGAGGAGGAGAATCTACTGCTGGCAATTGGGAACCGCAAGGTATACTAAATAATATATCAACAACTAATGGCCATCTAATGCTATGCTGGATATGAACTTTTGGGGCCTCAGGAAAGAAAAACCAGGAACTAGTTTCAATAATGAGGTGTCATGGTTCCCTGTGGCAAATTTAGAACACTTATCGTTTGGCAGGACACAGAGAGGTAGGTGAACATTCCAGGAAAGAAGCAGCTTAGAGAAAATGTGGAGGAAATAATATGACACTTAGAGAAAAAGGAAGGTTTATTCTTGTCTTATGTCTTGACCTGTTTCTGAGTGCGAACACAAACCAGGTGTTTCTGTCTCTTTCTGAGTCACGTCTGCCCCTGTTCTGGCCCTTCCCCATCTAGAACTGCCATTATCAGTGGAGTAGTGGGTCCCTGGTCTCCTACAAATCCTGGGACATTGGATCCCCAAGCTGTGCCAATACTGCCTACTGTGCTAGCCTGACTTCAAGCTCAGGTGAGAGGCACAGAATCCACACACTTATTGCCATCCTCTCCTATTTATCTCTGAGGATCGACCGGGGACTGGGATAGAGGAAGGGTGAGCTCCTCATTCAGGAAATAGAGGAGTGTTTCCTCTTTATTTTTGCTGAGTCCTGCAGCCAGGAGGGTAATACACTCTGATCCCCTCAGTCTGAATCTTCTCATTGTCTTATAGGATTCAAGAAATGGAAGGATGATTCTTGTAAGGAGAAGTTCTCCTTTGTTTGCAAGTTCAAATACTGGAGGCAATTGTAAAATGGACGTCTAGAATTGGTCTACCAGTTACTATGGAGTAAAAGAATTAAACTGGACCATCTCTCTCCATATCAATCTGGACCATCTCTCCTCTGCTAAATTTGCATGACTGATCTTTAGTATCTTTACCTACCTCAATTTCTGGAGCCCTAAACAATAAAAATAAACATGTTTCCCCCATAGTGCTGTCTTCTGTGTCTGCTATTTCCCCACCTAATGCCTGGGTAGTTGGGATGGCAGTGATTGTAGCACTCTAGAAGTTGCTTCGGCCCATTCACTTTTAAAAACTTTGTCCACATATCATGCATGTTGGACTCAAGGGTTTATGAACATATGGTGGCCTTGCTTATGACAATGTTAAGAAGATAAGGATTTCACTCACCACCCACATATTTCCATGGACCCAGTGTCAGAGAAATTATTACTGTTGATTTACAAGTGACTGGAGTGTTTGGTACTCTAAAGAGGTTCACATACCTGTGACCTGAGGAAGGCACATCTGTGCTTTGTTATACAAGTTGAAGCTATGACTGAAGTGATAATTTGAGAATTGTCAGGTCTACAGTGTTGAATGCATTGGTGTTGGAATGACTAGAGGCTTGGTGGCCAGCAATGTTGGTTAAATGGCACTCCTGGAATGAACGGCTAAATGAATAATAAATTAGATTAATAAAATACTCAGGCATAGTTATTTAATAATCCTATCTTCATATACAGTCAAATTCTGAAGTACTGATGTTAGGACTTTAATGAATTAATTTTGTGGGAACACCATTCAGCCCATAACACCAACAGCATCAATAATACTATTACCTGGGATTTAATAAAACAATGCAATCAAAAGGCACATATTGTTAGTCTGAATTAAAACAACAACAAAATCTATTTATGAGCTATGAATAAATTGACTTAGATTCACAGACACTGTGGAGATGAAAGTGACTCCATCTTGGGTGCTAATCTGCCATGTTGACTTTTGATTAGCCCCAGTCGTGGGAATGCTTCCTGATTCCTACATTATTTACTGTCCTTAGGGTAAGAACATATACTTACTAGAAATCTTGCCTTTAGAAAAAAACAATCTTGAGGTCTTTGCACAAATGATAGGCTATAGTGAACATAGCATTCTTGTCTGTTTGGAAGGGTTGCCTCTAATTGTCTGTATAGAGCACGTGCACTCTTTCCCTGCGGTACATAAGCCCTGGGGCCAGGGAGTAACAGTGTGGAGATCTCCCTGTCGGTGGCCGCCAAGACCACACTTCTGTCTGTATGTTCCCCAGCAAATCACCCTTTACTGACAAACTGGACTCTTCTGCCTCAGTCTTTAGTTTCTTGGCTCCTTTCGTGTTTGGTGGTTGCTTTGCATATATGGTCATTTATGAAACAACTGGGGAGTCAGTCAATAGGGGTCCAGGAACCAAAGTTTGGGCAAAAGGCAGGAAACATACGTGGAGGAAATCCTGGCAGGCTCCCCTCATCTATGTGGGGTGGTGTTGGCTACTTGCTAGATGCCTGTGGACCATCATGTGAGTACAGAGATGCCCTGAAAATGCTGGAGGGTCTAGAATGCTTGTTAGTAGAACATCTTACAGCTCACTGGGGTAAGGAAGTTCACCAGGTGGCTGAGACAGAGGGTTGGCCACTGTTACGGATTGTGGGAATGGCCACAGAAGTGTAGTTAGCAGCTAAGATGAAGGTACTAAGACTAGAGGAAGAATTACCATTAGAAAAGGATATGTGGACCTCCACGTCCATGTTTGCATCTAGTCTGGCAGATAAGCTCAAAACTCAGGATACTCACCTGGAACCCCTAGCCTGCTGCTTTATATGGTTAGATGGGAGAGAGCTGTGTTGGCCAAAAGTGCAAGCTGTTCTTCCTAAATTGGACTGGAACGCTAAGACTTGTTGTCCTTAGGAACCAAATAGTGAGTGAGATGAAGACATACCTCAGGAGGAGGAGGATAATTATCCTTCCCTTTTGAGAGCAAGACCTCTCATGCAATGGAAAACAAAAGCCCAACGCCTGCAGCCAGCTGGTAATGGACAACCTTTTCAGGAAAACTTCAATGTCCAAAATTACACCTTGGCAGAATTATTGAACATAGCAAAAACTTTCAAAGAGCAGCCAATAGAAAGCTGAGCCACATGGATGATGCAGCGAAGAAAACCTAGCGTGAATGGCATTTCCTTAGCAGAAAGTGAAGCTGATACAATGAGTACTGTAACCACCCAATCTGCTTTGAGACAGCATTGCATAGTGCTGGAACTGCTGAGAGCAAGCACAGTCTTATAGACCAGATTATCCTGGCTGTGACAGAGGCTTGGCCAAATGAAGGGGACTTTCCGGGTCAAACTCTGGTAAGGTGAACTCTGGAGGAAACAAGGACCAATTTAAAGGAGTTGGTCATGCTCAGGCCATCTATGCCCAGCAATTTGCAGGACCAAATAAGGCCGTGTTTACCATAGGCAAAAATATATATATATATATAATAATAATAAGTTGTTGCAAGCTGCCCCGTCCCCACCACCCCTGGAATTGCTATGGTTCTTTCCTATGCCTCTTAAGCCCTCTTCTGGGACAAGATATATATTACATGAGGAAGCTGTAGCTAATCTTGGAAAAAATGAAAAGGAAAGAGATAAGGTCTGTCTGTTTGCTAAAAAAAAAAAAAAAAAAAAGGTGGGGGAGGGGGTGGAGAAGAAGAAGCCAAGTCTGCCAGACTAAAAAAGGGAGGAATGAATGGCCTAGTTAGGATTACCAGGAAGCAGATATGGTATGATCTGATCTCAGCTGGAGAAGACAAAAAATAGATCAGAAACACAATGCCGTATTAGTGGGCCTTTGGAAAAACCTGGCACCTGATCAACATGTTAGACTACTTCCTAGTGCCCCACCATAATAGAGAGTAGACGAGGAAACTTCACATAAAAGAACCCCAATCTCTGCATTCCAGGGGCAACTCCTCCCCAGCCTAGAGACTGTTGCCTCCTCCTGCCAGCAACAGGGGGCAAACAGGCCCCATGTGGATCTCACAATCTATTGAAGTCCAAAAAACAAGCAGAAAGGCTTAGCCTTAGTAGACATAGGTGAAAAATGCACCATAATTCATGGAAACCCAAAGAGACATCCTGGTAAGTGAGCAGCTGTGGATGGTTAAGGGGAGCGAACAATTTGAGTGAAACAAACTCCTTTCCTCATTTGTATTGGACAGAGTACCCCCACTTATTATATGTTTGTATCTCATTTATTCCATAAAACATCTTCCGTAAGGATGTCCATTTAGAATGCACTTTACAAATGTCTGTGAGGGACTTAGCCCATGAGTTTGGGTGGTAAAAGCTATTTTAAGAGGGGAAGCAAAATGGGAAGGGGTACACCTTCCTCCTCCACTGTGTTTATTAATGTGAAACAATACCATCTTTCTTGTGAGATAAAAGAAATGACAGGCACCATGCAGGAGCTGGCCAAAGTTAATGTTATATGGCCATTCCACAGTCCTTTCTAGAGTCCTGTACGGCCAGTAAGAAAACCTGATGGCACCTGGAACGTGAGAGTAGACTACCAGGAACTAAATAAGATGGTTCTAGAGATACACATCACTATACCTAACATAATCTAAGTGATAGAGCAAATAATACCAAAATAGCGCTTTGCACCCTGACTCAGGGAACCAATTTGCCTTTACTTGGAACAGCAAACAATGGACATTCCAAGTGTTGCCCCAGAGTTTTTTCCACGGCCCCACTATTTGTCATGGAGTGATTGCTAGAGATTTAACTTTGTGTTCACTGCCACCTGCTGTTAAACAGTTTCATTATAACAATGATATTATGCCAACTTCTGAAGACTCGCTATTGCTACAGCAGCACCTCCATGCATTGTGCACTCTTCTCCAATCCAGAGGATGGGCCATCAATTCACAAATGATACAAGGACCACGATTGGCTGAGCAGTTCCTAGGGGCACTTGGTTGGGTAAGACATGCCTTATCCCAGGGACAATCATTCATAAAATACAGTTTGCCATGCCTAAAGCATTTAAACAGTTGCAAAGTTCCCTAGGTCTTTTGGAATATTGGCAGGCTTTCATTACACTTTTAGCGCAACGTTTTCATGCTCTATACTGACTAGTGAAGAAGGGATCTAGTTGTTGCTGGGATAAAGAACAAGAAGACGCATTTGAGAAGGCTAAAATATTAGTGGCTCAGGCACAAGCCTTAGGTCATCTCTTCCCAGGGTGCCAATGTCTTTGAATGCGAACATAAGGCCTGAGGGGATCAGTTGGGTAGAAGAGTTGTGTCCCAGGCCTGTATCAGCTATTCTCTAAGCCTCCACTTTACAAAAGTGGCATGTATCCCTGCAACAACATAGTGCCTTCTCCGTGAGTCCCTTGGGAATGAACTGCATGCTATCTTAGAGCCAGTGCTATATATGGGGCCAGTGCTATCGATGGGACCAGTGCTGCCCTTATTGAGGAGCCTCCACAGGAGATGCCTCCAATAGTGCACAAAGGCACAGCCCCCATTCCTGAAAATGTGTGGTGCTCCAATTGACAAGAGCTAACCCTTGTATATGGATGGCAGTAGCTGTACAACCACGGACAGATACTATCTGGTTTGAGATAGGAATGTAGCAAAGCAGTGGGAAGAACTCTGAGGTGCATGGTTGGTTTGTACCCATGAGCCACTGCCTATAGTTCTCTGTACATATAATTGGGCAGTATTTAAAGGTCTTACAATTGGCTTGCCCAAAGGGCCCAAGATGACTGACACGTGCTTTGAAAGTCTTCTGGGGAGCTGCTATGTGGAAAGACGTTTGGGAAAGGCTGCAAGAACTCACTGCAAGCTTAACTGTGTATCATGTTTCAACAACAGTCAGATTCACCTCCTGGAAACATGGAAGCTGATACTCTAGCAAAAATTAGAACACCAGCTCCCTTGCAATTACCCGAACTAGCTGATTGGTCCATAAACACAGTGGGCATCACATTGCAGGAGTGTGCTGACAAATAGCAAAGGGAACAAGATTGCCCCTCTACTATGCAGATTTAGTGGTGACAGTAATGAACTGCCCCTGCCATGTCCCGCAAACACCTGGACAGAAACAAGGTGAATATATACACATACACACATAGGACAGCTGCTCTTGTAAGAACCTGGCAGATAGACTACATCAGACCCCTGTCAGGCATCCTGGAACAAAAGCATGCACTAACGTGTGTGTACATACTGCCAAGAGATTGTTGCAGCCTTCCCTAGAAAAATGGCAAACCAAACAACCATCATTAAGGGCTTGGAAAAATTCACTGACATGTATGGATACACTCCATGCATTGATAACAATGGAGACATGCGTTTTACTGGATATGATGTCCAAGATGGGGCACATGAAAAAGATATAGACTGGAGATTTCACATGCCATATAATCCCCAAGTAGCAGGGTTGATTGAAATGGAAAATGGCATTTTGAAGGCACAACAGCAAGCACTCTCACATTCTAATACCTTGCATTTCCAGGGAGTTGATTCACTGGATGCATTAGAAAATGAAAACTAATAAGCAAAAAGTAAAATATTCAATCCCTTGGTTATTGTAATATATAATAGTTAAAATGAAAGTAAAAGAGAGTGCTGGGTTGGAACTTAAGGCTGGAGCAAGTTTTGATGTGGGCCTGTCTGAGGTCATGCCACTAACCTCAAAGCTACCCACAAAAGGGAAGATTATTCCAGGACAAAAGAAAGTACCTCAGACCAGTGGTTACCAAAAAGATAGTCAATATGAGAGAAGGAACAACCAGTAACTATTGGAACAAGAGGATATAGTGTGAAAGAATTTTTTCCTGTTGCAGATCAGCATCATTAGCTTTTTGAGAAAACTTAAATAAATGGTTTCTGAGAGTAATTAATTTAGGAGCAGTATCTTTGGTTTCAAATGCTGCAGAGTGAAACAGCATGTTTGGGTTAATGCAGGACCCACAACTCACTATTGAACAATTGCAAATGGGTATAAATGATCCAGACACACATGAGGTAAATCCTGAGGGAACCGCCAGCCCGGTGGGTTGGATGAAAGCCGTTGTGAGATCTGTTTATCCTGAGGAAAGGAGCAGTCCAGCTCTCCCTGTAAATGCCAAGTAAAGCACTTTAGAAAAAGCAGTTGATATGTTTTCTATGAAAGCCGCATAGGCCTGGCTTTATGATGACAGGGATATTCGCCACTGAGTATGGCCATTACTTAGGTCAGAGTAAATGCTGTGGTTAAGGTGACCCCTTCCACATGGGAACCTCATGTGACTTTACTCCTGCAGAGTTAAATATCAGTTCAAGAAGCCGTATCAAATTTGCTGTCTGAGCTTCCTTTCATGGGTCTCACAGATGTTAATAAAAACACTAAGTTTATAAACAAGAGAATGGGGGAAGGCAGGAGGGAGAGTGGATGGACCCATCTCAGAAAGGTAGACATTTTTAAACAAATATTAAGAAACAAGGTGAATGAAGAAAACATTGATAGTGATGAAACTGAGAGGAAAAAGAAACGGGAGAGACATGGGACTCAGGCAGCAGGGTGAAAATCTTTAGATGATTATTAAAAAATGGAAAGAATAAAATGGAAATTAGTAGGATTAAAACAAAGGTCTTCATACAACACGATTGAAGGTTGAGTGGACCAAAAGGAGCCCCTCCTAGCCCCCCGGCATTAAAGAGCCTAAGTCTCTGAACCCAAATGCTTTTCCACAGAAAAAAAGTAAAATGGTCTGGGGATGGAGAAAAGAAGTTCCTGGATCCTAGAATATAAAAATATAAAGGTTAATAGGATTATGAAAGTTAAAATATATAAACAGGCTTTATGTAAAGTAGTTGTGTCTCCTTTACCTAAATGTTTTATGAAATGTCTGACTGAGGAATGTTTCCTCTACCTTGCAGTATAAAACGGAAGGCATGTTAATCTGTTTTTTCAGCAATAGATGTCTTAATGGTGCACAAGGGGGGACTTGTGCCATTATGAAGGCTGAATGCTGTGTACATATTCTTAATAATTTAATATTATTATTATATTATTATTTACTATTATATTAATATTTAACATTATTAATATAATAATAAAATTCTTAATAATTCCAGCAATATAACTTCAGTACTACAGGACACGCATGAACAAATAACTGCCTTTTCTTTCTGACTCTACCCTTTCTCCCAAAGGCTCTCCTCTTTTTTTTTTTTGGCTCCTGGAGAACATGGTGGCAAAAGGCATTATTAATTCTGTTTCTTATACGTAGCATAGGTATCATCACCTGTTGTTCATATTACTGCTGTAGCCTCTGCTTACATGTGAAAACAAATTGATGTAACGTGTTACCCACACCATCAAAATGACTGCAGTGCCCCCCACCCTACCCTATCCCCAGCTCAGGGACCATTGTGGAACAAGTGGGTGTGTGAGATTATAAGAACCTGATTAGAGCTGTGGAGTATGGAGACAAAAGTGACTCCATCTTGGAAGCTAATCTGCTATATTGACTTCTGCTTAACCCCAGTCCCAGGAATACCTCCTGATTCTTTCTTTATTTACTGTCTTTCCTTTTTTTTCTTTTTTTGAGACAGGGTCTTGCTCCTGTCACTCAGGCTGGAGTGCAGTGGCATGATCACAGCTCACTGCAGCTTCTGTCCCCCTGGGTTCCAGTGATCTCCCTGCCTCAGCCTCCTCAGTAGCTGGGATGACAGGCGCACCTCATGTCACCACATCCGGCTAATTTTTGTATTTTTAGTAGCGACAGGGTTTCACCATATTGCCCAGGCTGGTCTCAAATTCCTGTCTAAAGCAATCCATTTCCCTTGGCCTCCCAAAAAGCTGGGGTTACAGGTGTGAGCCACCATGCCTGGCTTATTTACTGTCTTTGGTGCAAGAATATGCACTCACTCTACATCTTTCCTTTAGAGCAAAGCAACCTTAATATTATCATACAAATTACAAATTATGACACATAGAGCATTTTTCCTTGTTCTGGAAGGCTGCCTTTAATTGTCCCTACAAAGCATGCACCCCCTTTCCCTATGGTGTATAAGCACTGGGCCTGGGAAGTTATGGTTCAGAGATCTGCCTGTCTTGCTGCCACCAAGACCACACTTCTGTCTGTAAGTTCTCTAATAAATCACCCCTTACAGACAAACTGGATTTGTTTGCCTTGTTCTTTCTCTTCTCATCTCCTCCTTCATTTGCCAGTTGCTTCACATATATGGCCCTTTCATGAAACAGATACAGTAGTTTGAAAGTAAAAAATCAGGAAAAGATATGTCATACAAACAGCAACCATAAGAACACTGAAGTGTCTGTTCTAACGACAGGCATGTTAGACACTAAAGCAAAAAATGTTACTGGACATGTTAGACATTAAAGCAGAAAGTGTTACTAGAGGAAAGGAGGAGCGTTTTATAATGAGAAAGTGGTTAGTCTTTCAGAAAGGTGTAATAATTGTAGATACCTGTGCAAATAACAACAGAGTCCCAAAATGCATAAAGCAAAATCTGGGAGAAGTGAAGGGAGAAACAGGTGATTGAACAGTTGTAGTTGGAGTCTTCAATGCACACTTTTATTAATGGGTAGAATACTTAGAAGATCAACAAGAAAGTAGAACACTTTAAATATATTCTAAATTCACTAAACCATACAAACATATATAGAATGAACGCTTCACCTAATGTCAGCAAAACACACATCCTTCTCGAGCACACAAGATATATTCTCTAGGAAAAACCATATGGTAGGAATAAACAATTTAAAATAATATCAAGAAAACATTTTCATTACAATAATATCAAAACAAATAACATTTTAAGAAAAATTTTTAAAAGAAGTGCAAATCTTGTACACTAGAAACTACAAAACATTGTTAAATGAAAGTAGAGAGACCTAACGAAGTGAAAAGAGAGTTTGTGTTCATGGATCAGGGACTAAATATTAAGGTGAAAGTACTCTCTAAATTGACCTTCAGATTTGTTTTAATCCCCATGAAAGTCCCAGCTGCCTCTTGCAGAAATTGTCAAGTTGATCCTAATATTCATATGGAAATTCAGAACAGCCAAAACAATATTGGTCTAGAATAGACAAAACAACTTTGGTAAAGAACACCAGTTCTTACAGTTACAGTTTCAGATTTTTAGAACTTATTACAAAGCTAAAGTGATAAAGATTGTGTAGAATTGTCATAATGACAAACGTGAGTTAGTGGTATAGAATGCAGATGTCAGAAATAAACTTTTAGCCTTATAGTTAGTTGTTTGTTGCCAACTGTGTCATGGAAATTCAAGAGGGAAGAATACTCTTTAGCAAGTGGTGCTGGAGCAACTAAATAGCTATATGCTAAGGAATGCATTTGGTTCTATTTCTTACACTGTATATAGAGATTGATTCAAAATGAAATATAGACTTATATTTAAGAGATAAAACTATCAAACACTTGAAAGAAAACATTTAGTAACTCTGTAAATTTATGCCAGATCTCCTATAGATACCACATAGTTGGATCCTGATTTTGTTATTGTGGTGGTTGTTTTAATCGAACAACCTGTGTTTTTAATTGGATTGTTTCATCAAATCACATGTAATAGTACTATTGATATGGATGGTGTTATGGTCTGAATTGGGTCTTCACAAAATGAATCTGTTAAACTCCTTAGACTCAGAACTTCAGGATTTGACTGGATCTGGAGATATAATCTTCAAGGAGGTAACTAAGTATGCCTGGATATTTTAACTATTTACTGATTTATTATGTATTCAAGGAGAGCCATGTAACAACTGTTGCTGGATTCCAAGTCTCTAGGTTATTCCACTATGCATTCAGCACTCTCTAGATCTGAAAATTTTCCTTAAATTACCCATTTCCGTTGTGGCTTCAATTTGCATATGGAGCAAAGATGCGACATCCTCATACCGTAACTATACAAATTTCTCATGAATATCAAATACTTCAGCCATCTGTAGACCATTAACAATCACTTCTGTAACTTGAACTGGGTTTATGTGAATACAAGTATACGTCATTTTATCGTGCTTGATAGATACTGCGTTTTTGGTTTTTGTTTTAATGGAAGGTTTGTGACAACTCTACATTGAACAAGTCTATCAGTGCTGTTTTCCAATATCATGTACTCACTTCAAGTCTTTGGGTCATATTTTGGTAATTTTGCAATATTTAAAACTTTACTATTATTATTATATCTGTTGTGGTGATCTGTGATCAGTGATCTTTGATGTTACTATTATCATTATTCTTGGCTTCAATGAAACATATAAAATTATAAACTTAATCAATAAATGCGTGTGTTCTGACTACTCACTGGTCACTTCCCCAGCTCTCTCCCTTTTCTCTGGCCTCCCTATTCCCAGAAACACAATAATATTGAAATTAGGCCAATTAATAACTTTCCCATGGCCTCTAATTCTTCGCGTGAACGGAAGAATTGCACATCATTTGAGTTAAATTAAGAGCTAGAAATGATTGAGCTTAGTGAGGAAGGCATGTCCAAACTGAGATAGGCTAAAAATGAGGCCACTTGTCCCAAACAGCCAAGTCGTGAATAAAAAGGAGAAGTTCTTGAAGAAAGTTAAAAGTGTTACTCCAGTGAACACACAAATAATTTAAAAAGCACGTCCTTATTGCTGACTTGGAGAAAGTCAGCAACATTCTGTGAAGGCTGAGAGAGTTGAGGAAACTGCCTAAGAAAAGTCTGAAGCTAGCAGAAGCTGCTTTATGAGGTTTCAGGAAAGAAGCTGTCTCCATAACATAAAAGTTCAAGGTAAAGCAGCAAGTGCTGATGGAGAAGCTTTAGCAAGTTATCCAGAAGATCTAGCTAAGATAATAAAGGCGGCGACACTAAAGCCTGGATGAGAGCATCTGTTTATAGCATAGTTTATTGAATATTTTAATCCTACTTGTTAAGACCTATGTATGAGAAAAAAGATTTTTCAAAAATATTACTGCTCATTGATGATGCACCTTGTCACCTAGGAACACAGATATATGCAAGAAGATTTAGGACTTTTTCATGCCTGCTTCTAATACAAAATCTGTTTTGCAGCCTAGGGATCAAAAAGTAATTTCACCTTTCAATTCTTATTATTTAACAAATACATGTCACAAAGCTATAGCTGCCATACATAGTGATTCCTCTGAAGGATCTGGGCAAAGTAAATTGAAAACCATCTGGAAAGAATACACCATTCTAGATACCATTAAGAACATTTTTTATTTAAGGGAGGAGGTCAATATATCATTATTCACTGGAGATTGGAAGACGCTGATTCCAACTTCATGGATAACTTTGAAAGGATCAAGATTTCCATGAAGGAAGTAACTGTGAATGTAGTGGAAATATCAAGAGAACTAAAATTAGAAATGCAGCATGAAGAGGTGTCTGAACCGCTGCAATCTTATGATAAAACTTGAAAGGATAAGGAGCAGCTTCTTATGGATGAGCAGAGAAAGTGGTTTCCTGAAATGGAATCCACTCTTGACAAAGGTGCTGTGAACATTGTTAAAATGACAACATAGGGTTTAGAACAACATATAAACTTAGTTGATAAAGAAGCAGCAGGGTTTGGAGAGGCCGACTCCAATTTAAAAGAAGTTGTACTGTGGGAAAAATGCTATCAAACAATACTACATGCTATAAAGAAATCATTCATGAAAGGAAGAATCAAATCAATGTGGCCAACTTCATTGTAGTCTTATTTTAAGAAACTTCCACAGCCACCCTAACCTTCAGCAACTACTGCCCTGCTCAGGCAGCAGCCATCAACATTGAGGCAATACCATTCACGAGCAAAAGAATACTACTTGCTGAAGACGCTGATGATTGTTAGCATTTTTTAGCAATAAAATACTATTTCATTAAAGTATGTATATTTCTGTTTAGATATAATGCTATTGCTCGTATAATAGACTACAGTAAAACATTTATATGCAAAGGGAAGCAAAAAAAAAAAAACCTGTGTAACTTGCTTTTCTGTGACATTACCCTTATTACAGTGATCTGGAACTGAATGCAAAAATCTTTGAGATATGCCAGCATGTGAGTTTTTGGTCAATCTCCATCTTGTTAACCTTGTCATAAGCAAAGCCACATATGTTCATAAATACTGAATTCCAATATGCATGGTATGCGGATGGACTTTTAAGAAGTGGATAGGCCAGAGCAAGCTTTGTTGTAATCACTCTCATCTCAACCACCCAGGCATCAGCTGTGGAAATAGCAGACACAGTAAGACAGCACAATAGTGGAAACATGTTTATTTTTATTATTTAGGGTTCCAAAGACTGGGGTAGGTAAAACTATTGAAGATTAACAAGGCAAACTCAGCAGAGAAGAGAGTGTCCAGGTTGAGTTGAGTTGGAGAGATGGTCCGGTTTAATTTTTGACTCCGTTGTAATTGCTGGATCAGTTCTAGACATGTATTTTCCAGTTGCCTCTAGTTTTTGAACTTGCAGACAAAGGAGAACTTGTCTTCACAAGGCACATCCTTCCATTTCTGGAATCCTATAAGTCAATGAGAAGAGTTACAACTGGGAGACCCGAAAGAGTATGACCCTCCTGGCTTTAGGACTCAGGACAAAAACCAAACATCCATTTCCTTAATGAGGAGTTCACCTTTCCTCTATCCCAGTCCCAGTTCCATCCCTGGAGCTAAGCAGGAGAGAACAGAAACAGGTGGATGGATTCTCTGCCTCTCACCTGTGCTTGAGGTCAGGCTCACACAGTAGCCAGGATTAACACTGCTTGGGGCTCCAATGCCCCAGGACTTGTAGGAGACCAGGGACCCACTGCTCCAGTGCCAGCGGCGGTTCTAGATGGGGAAGGGCCAGAACAGAGGCAGTGGTCACTCAAAAATACATGGAATCACTGGGCCTGTGTGCACACTCAGAAACATGCTAAGACACAAAGGAAGAATAAACCTTGCTAAATATTGTTTCCTTTCCTTTGCTATTGCTCTAAACTTCTTTCCTGAACTGTCCAACTCATTAACTGTATTCCACCAAGAAATAAGTGTTATGAATTTGACAGAGACCCAAAGTATCTCACTTAAAAAGTGGTTCCTGATTTTTTGTCTTTGTGGCCCAGGACCCTCATATCCAGCATAGCATTGGCTGACCATTAGTTGTTGATATATTATATTATTTAGTATACTACCAGGTTCCCAAATGCCAGCAGTACAGCAGCAGATTTTTACCACAAGTCTCCTTTCCTATATAGTCGGCAATCTAGTCTCTCTTGTGACTCTGACAGTAACAAAATAGGTAAGAAGTTGGTGCATAAAGATGCTTTGTTGACTGAAAACAGAATAAGTTTATTCATGAATGACAAGAACACCTAGGAAATTCAGCCTTCCACTTATATCTCCAATCATCTACAGTGCACCTTGCTACACAGGACATTAGAGGATCTGTAAACAGCCTGATTTCTGGAAAGCGATAAAAGCTGGTACTTAAGAGACCAGAACTTGAACCTCCTTCTTACTTCTCAAACCTGATCATTAGGAGATAAAGAAGGCTGCAGCCTACCTTTTTGGGGTCATGGAGGCCAATCCAGACATTGAAGTCATCAGTGCCACTCTCCTTAATCAGTGAGGCCACAAAGGCACCCTCGGCCTGGGTGAGCACAGACACCAGGTTGCCCGAATTCATGTTCTGGCAATAGAGCTGTTGCAGAAGAAAATGGAGCACTCAGTGGAGGAGGAAGTTGTGACGGATATACTGAGTCCTCCAAGAGGACGGGTCAGAAAAAGGACAGCAGAGTAATGTCCGTGATGATGCTGTCACTGACCACCAGGTTCTTTGTGCTGGGAATGTGCTGAATAATGGGATAAAGTAGATTGGAAAGTTTGGGGCTGATGATAGTATAGCAAGGGGTTCAGTCTCATCTCATTGCAGCCACTGAACACACTGGAGAGTGGCAGCTTCCCCTCCCTTCATGAGTCTCCCTTCCCACACTGCTCTCCTCACTCACATCTGCATCAACCCAGGTCTCACGGTCTTCATTAAAGTAGTAGCAGTAGGAGCGATAGGCATTGGTGCCTTCTGGGCAGCTGATCCGGGCCTGGGGCAACTCTGTCTGGGCCTCTTGGCCTGAAAAAGAAGAGACAATTAAAGGAGGCTCTCAGGGTAAGGAAAAGGCTTGAAGGTGAGGTAAGAGCTTCTGAGGTTCCTTTATAGAAACAGAAGAATCCAGTCTATTATGGGATGACTGCTCACTATTGCTCCTGCATCCTACATCTTCTGTCTTTGGTTTCTTTGATCAGGGGAAAAAAAACAGAATGAATAGGCCAAAGAAACAAGTCTCCAGTTTCCCTTTTATGTCTGGAGCTCAGGCTCTTCTACCTTGAAGGACTCAGCCTTCTACTTTCTCAAGCCTGACTTGGTTTCCCTGAACACAAGGCTCTCTTCAGTTCTCCACCCCATTAGTGACTGTCTACACACAGACATCCCCAAATCCACCATCACGTATAAATTTAATCAGATAAACTCATGCCAACTGCAGCAGTTGCTTATAAGGGGTCATTTTAAATTCTAGCTCCAACTCCTTAATGAGGTGTGGATGTATATAAATGTGAAGAGATCAGCAATAAAGATCACTAAACACCACAAAACAACCCTTAACAGTGACTCTGCTTTTTTTTTTTTTTTCAAGTAGACCCGTATGCTTGGGGATAGAGTGAAGTCTTCAGGGCTAGAAAGAGTTGGTTGGTGGAAAAGAGATCTTACCTTGGCTCTGAGACAGAAACATCAGGCAGGAGATCAGCATGAAGTATGAGCTGGTCTGAGCCATGCTGAGCTGCAATGAATCTCTTGCTTAAGAGGCAAATCAACAATCTCTATAGGAGAACACAGAGAAGGGGGTTCTGAGAGATGGAGAGCAAAGCACCTATTACCTTCCTTAAAACCTCCTCTCAGAATTTCTGAGACCAGGAAGGTCCTCTGAGACACCCACACCTTCAAATGTTTCTCTTGAGAGTGGGGATTATACAGACTCAGTAACTGAAAAACAACTTTGGATCCCACTGAGGCTTCATTACAGCTAAAACCTCTTGGACAGAAACTCATGCTGTATCTTCCCGAAGATTTTAGATCTACAGTGCATGTTAGAGACGCCCTTCTCCTGTAATGCCCACTTACCTGTTGGCTGAGTCTGAGTTGGCTTCTCAGGCCAGGTAGCTGTAGGAGCTTTATATCAGGATCTGAGATAAGAACCACGTCATTTAAGCAAAAGGGGTGGGGGCAAGCGGTGAGTTTTGGGAGCATTGACAGTAAGAGATTCTGGCACCAGTACGAGCCTTTTCCCGGCACACACTGGGAGTGGTCACAACTCAGGTCCCCTTCTGGCAAAAAATTTGGCAAGCTGTCTAAGTCCAAGGTGGACTTTGCTCTTGCTCAGCAGAAAACAACTGAGGGCTCCCATGTGCCCTAATAACCCAGAGAGGAGCAGAGAACAGTAGACTTCCTTGTATTCCCTGTAAATTTAGAGGCTCCTCTTTGGTGTCAGGCATGGGTAGGAGATGGGGAAGAATTAACTGATTCCAAATAATTTAGAACAATGTGCTTGTGGCAATAAGTGGTTCCTCCATGTCTTTTTAGGCTCACAAACCTCTCAAGACCTACCTCAAGGGGTAGGTTAAATTTATATTTCTAAACATTTAACATGTCTAACAAGGTTTGAGCTAACAAAATACACATATTCTCAATGTGAGAATTGTAGAGAGCTGATGCCTAAGGAAGCTTAAAGGAGCTAAATATGAAGTCAGGCTTCATTGAAATTGTCCATTTGAAGTCAACTGTTTGTTAGTATGAAGTCAAAGATTGTGTGGTGAAATTGAGTATTTACCAGAATCATCATAGAATAGTCATTTATAATTCAGGGAATAAAAGCCAATCAGAATGCAAAATTAGGAAGAAAAAACTAACCTGAATATTCACAGAAAGAGAGATAAGTATATGAATTGGGACAAATGGATTAACAAAATATAATAAAATACTAAACAGAATTTAAATCGAATAAAGTAGATATCTATATTTCAACTTGGACTAGTATCAAAGCCATAACATTGAATACAAAAATTCAGTTGCAAGAAGTTATAAGCTATTTGATAAACTTTATATATGGTTTTAAAAGACAGATTAATACTAAATTTTATTTATTAATCAATTCTTATACAGTTTAAAAAATAAAAATCTGAAATGTAAGAATATATATTACAATTTGTCATAGTATTTGCCTAACAATTTTAAGGTTTTTTTTTCTTTATATAAAAACTGATGATGGGCCTGGTGTGGTGGCTCAAGCCTGTCATCCCAGCACTTTGGGAGACTGAGATGAGAGGATCACTTGAGCCCAGGAATTCGAGACCAGCCTGGGCAACATAGCGAGACCCCATCTCTACAAAAAAAGTATATATATATATATATATATATATATATATATATATATATATATATATATATATATCCAGATATGGTGGCACATGCCTGTAGTCTCAGCTACTTAAGAGGCTAAGGTGGGGGATTGTTTGAGCTTGGGAAGTAGAGGTTGCAGTGAGTTGTGCCACTGCACTCCAGCCTGGGTGATAGAACAGGGAACTGTCTCAAAAAATAAAAACAAAAACTAACGATATTAAACAAAGATGACAAATGTTAACATTGTTTATTCTCACTGGTTCATATGCATTTGTTAAATTAATCCAAATTTTTTCTGCTTTTACAAAAAGTAGTTATACCTTTTAAAATGATTACAACCAGAGAATGATTCCTATTTTTTTCTATAAATAAGAGATTCAGAAATATTCTTCCGTTAACAAAGGATATAGTAGGGAAGAGTCGGGTATACTTGGTATCATTACATATTTATCTTGTGAAAATTAAACAAGCAATTAATTTTTAAAAAATCTAAGATAAAAATACTTTATGGCATAATGTTTTCTTTTCTTTTTTTAACTTTAATCTTTTTTTTTTTTTTTGAGATGGAGTCTGGCTCTGTCACCCAGACTGGAGTACAGTGGCTCAATCTCAGCTCACTGCAAGCTCCGCCTTTGGGGTTCACGCCATTCTCCTGCCTCAGCCTCCCGAGTAGAGTAGCTGGGACTACAGGCATCCGCCACCACACCCGGCTAAGTTTTTTTATTTTTTTTTATTTTTAGCAGAGATGGGGTTTCACCGTGTTAGCCAGAATGGTCTCGATCTCCTGACCTCATGATCTGCCTGCCTCAGCCTCCCAAAATGCTGGGATTACAGGCGTGAGCTAACACACCCACCCTTTAACTTTAATTTTAAGTTAAGTGGTACAAGTGCAAGTTTGTTACAGAGGTAAACTTGTGTAATGGGGGTTTGTTGTGCAGATTATTTCATCACCCAGGTATTAAGCCTAGTACCCTTAGTTACTTTTGCTGACCCTCTCCCTCCTCCCATGTTCCACCCTCCAAAAGGCCCCAGTGTGTGTTGTTCCCCACTATTTGTTCAATTGTTCTCATCACTTAGCTCCCACTTATAAGTGAGAACATGCAGTATTTGGTTTTCTGTTCTTGTGTTAGTTTGCTAAAGATAATGGCCTCCAGCTCCATTCATGTCCCTCAAAAGGACATTATCTCATTCTTTTGTATGGCTGCATAGTATTCCATGGTGTATATGTACCACATTTTCTTTATCCAGTTTATCATTGATGGGCATTTAGGTTGATTCCATGTCTTTGCTATAGTGAACAGTGCTGCAATGAACATATGTATGCATATGACTTTATAATAAATATTTTTAAAATATGAGATTTTTTCTAAATTTAACATAACTTCAAACAAGAAATGACTGTCCAGGTATAAAAGACCTAATACTCTAAAATACACAATAAAATATGTTACAACCAGGAAGACATAAAACAGAGATTCAAAACAAATAACAATTGACAAAGTACTCCCATAAAAATCTTTATTGTCCCCAGTAGCAGTAAATCCATTGAGAAGTTGCACTTATTGCTTACATAGGTGACTGGCCAAATTCCACATGCAAGATAACAAAATTTAGGACATAAATTGGTAGCAGCCTTGGTCCCAGAGAAATTCCTTTTTCAGGAAAGCCATACATTCAATCCCTTTAATATTTTCCTTATTTTTCTGAGGAACTTCAAGGACCTTTGACCTAGTTTTATAAGATTCCCAGAAGCTCATTTCAGGCCTTTCCCATCTATTCCTTATGTTAATTTTCTCAGAGATAGAAACAAGTATCATGGACGTTAGGGTTAATATGTGCCCAAGTGGGGCAATTTCTTGATAAGACTTAATATGGCTTAGAACGTTTCAAGGCTGTAGGTGATAAATGGTGCTACTGGCCATCATCCAGTAGGTATTTTCTGCTTTTGATGCTTGTAATAGAGATTTTAGACTTGTTATTGAGAAATAATTTTCCTCTTGTTTAAATACTTAGCAGGCATGTGAATAGAAGCCTGTCTGCAAACCTTAGACTGGAGAGGAAAGGAGCTCAAGAAATACAAGATACATTCAGGACTTTCCCTGGTCTGCTGTGTTCTGCAGACATAAAGAAAACTTACTTATAACTTAGCCTTTTCTGCTTCACAGGAAACCTCTGTTTTATTTGACAAAAAATTTCTTTTTCTTTTTTTTTTTTGAGATGGATCCTCACTCTGTCACCCAGGCTGTAGTGCAGTGGTGCCATCTCAGCTCACTGCAACCTCCGCTTCTCAGGCTCAAGTGATTCTCCTGCCTCAGCCTTACAAGTAGCTGGGATTACAGGCATAAGCCACCACGCCTGGATAATTTTTGTATTTTTAGTAGAGACAGGGTTTCACTATGTTGGCCAGGCTGGTCTCGAACTCCTAACCTCAGGTGATCCACCCACTTCAGCCTCCCAAAGTGCTGTGATTACAAGCATGAGCCACTGCATCTGGCCATTTAACACAAACTTTCATTGCATGCTCTCTGTGTCAGGGACTATTCTAATGCTGACTAACAGGAACCTACTTAATCCACAAGACGTCCTAATAATATAGGTTCTATTAAGAATCATATTTAACAAATGAAGAGACTGAGGGTCAGAGAAGAACTAACTAAACCAATTCAAATGGCAGATATTTATTGGAACTATATTCAACACAAGCAGTTTTGCTTTAGGGTCACTTTGTTATTCCAACTACCTGAGTTTCTTTTATTAAGTAATTTCCATGTTCAACCCATCTAGGCCTCTGAGGACTGATTTAGTAACCACAAACTCATTATGGCTATGGCCAGAGACACCATAAGAAGAGCTTAAAATGTAAATAAGTATAAGACATCAAGCACCCATACCTACCCCACAATTTATTTGTTTTTTTTTTTTAAACATCTATTAACAACACAGTTCTGATCTGAAGTCACAAACCAGTGTGGACAAATAACTTGAAATATTGGAGGAGCCTTGGAAGAGCAGAAACTTAGGGCCCCCACCTCACCCTTTCTCATGTCTCAGCACTTGTTCAGAGAAATGAAAGACACAAAAAGATTCAGGAAAATACCAGGCACAGAAAGATAAATACCACATGTTCTAGCTCAAATGTGGAAGCTAACAATTTAGATCTCATAGCAGTAGAGAGTGAAATAGTGGTTACTATAGTCACAGAAGGGGACGGAGAAGACAGCGAAAGCTTGGTTAAGGAATACAAAAGTACAGCCACATCTGAGGAATGGGTTCTAATGTCCTATAGCACTACAGGGCGGCTATAATTTATAACAATTTTGTGTAAATTTTTGAATAGCTAGATGAGTGAGTTTTGAATATTCCCAACAAAAGAAACGATGCATGTTTGAAGGGATAGATATGCTAATTACCCTGGCTGGTTTATTACACATAGTATACATGTATTGAAATACCACAGTGAACCCAAGAAATATGTACAGTTATTATAGGCCAATTAAAACATTGAAAGGAAAAAAGGAAAAAGAAAATAAAAAGCTATTACAGAAAACTATCCAGGACCTCTCCCTACTCTAAATCTTGCCTCACTGAATAGTCAGAAACACCTACTCTATCAAGCCCCCAGTTATTTAATGTATTTATTTGAGTATAGAGTTTCTAGAGAAGTTGTAAGTTCCTCAAATCCACAACAGAAGCTATTTTCCTGTGGATCCCTCCTACTGTAAAGAGAGCTTTAAATTTGAATTCCAAGCAGAGGGCAACGGTAGAAACTCAGAGACCTTACAAATGGCTCTGACACAAGGGAATTCTGGCATCAGGGGGAACTCTTCCTGACACACCCTGGGAGTGGTCACATATAAAGTCCTCTTTCACAAACAGCTTGGCAAACTGTGCAAGTCAAAGATGGGCTTTGTCCTTTCCCAGCAGCAACCAGATGTCCAGTTCTCATGGCCCTGAGCAGCCCAGGAAGAAGCAGAGACCTTCCAGGAATAGTGATGATGGGTGTGAAGGGAGGACTCTGGGAGGAGGGGCAGTGAGTGGTGTAAGCCTTGAGCAGGACCATCTGTGGGACAAGGGACAAGGGCAGCAGCAGGACAAGATGTGAACCATCCTGCTTGGGGCAGTGGGGAATGGGAGAGACAGAAGTTCGTGGAATGTTAACGTCATTTACCATGGAGGCCTCCTCTACTGACTAGGCATGTCCTGAAAGGAGCCTGTGGAAAGAGAAACTCCCATGGAAGAAGCTGAAGGTTTCTGGGGACTGCACCTTACATCTCACTTCCCCAAAGTAATAAATCAACTCTAATGCCTCTTCAGAACTGTTACCAGATACCTTGAGGATAAAGAGGAGGAAGAGAGTGATGATGGTGATGATGCATTCAGCAAAGGCACTCTTTAACACTGTTGGCTTTCTGCTAAACACATAACAGTGATGATTAAAGCTGAAACTATAATTCTCTGTGTACCTTCATAATACCTTCAAATACACCCTTTCATATAATAGTTTAGAATATTTCTGTTATATTATTCCATTTGCACAAACATGTATATTACAATTTTCATGTTCTGAGAAATATTTGTACATGTGTCAAATATGTTAACTTTTAAAAAATATCCCTACATATTGGGAGGCTAAGGTGGGTGGATCATGAGGTCAAGAGATCGAGATTATCCTGGCCAACATGGTGAAACCCCGTCAAAAATTAGCTGGGCATGGTGGCGCACGCCTGTAGTCCCAGCTACTTCGGAGACTGAGGCAGGAGAATCGCTTGAGCCTGGGAGGCGGAGGTTGCAGTGAGCCAAAATAGCGCCACTGCACTCCAGCCTGGCAACAGAGCAAGGCTCCATTTCAAGAAAAAAAAAAAAATCCCTACATAGAAGACGTTACCTTAGTAAATAAATAAATAAATAAATAAATAAATAAATAAACCTTATCCACAGAAAGGTGGATTAACTTGCCCAGGGTCACACAGTAACCACGATATGTGGCATAGTTAGAATTCAGACCCAGTGAACCTAACACCAGGGTCTCTGCTGTTTCTCTGCTCTATCACCCACCCTGCAAAAGTTCTAAAATTCTGACACAACTGGTAAGAATGGAAAGTTATTGGTAGATGGGATCACGTATTGTTCCACTCCCTCTCATAAGGAGACAGGTATTCAGAGAATTTTATTGTCTAGTTCAGACACTAAAATTGGATCCCTCCTCTCTAAAGAGAACCATTGTCCATTAGTGATCAAACAAAATGCTGAAACTCCAATCCACTTCCCAGTCTGCTATTCCTTCCACCACTTTGCCCCTCCTTTCCCTGTGGGCTCCAGCAGCTATTTTACTTTATGGTTATTTTGTAAAAGCTTCCCATCGACAACCTCATCTCCACATGGAAGCTGGAGTTATACCATATCTTCCTCTGAGTGTCTATAGTCTCTCAGGTTTCCTAACCACCCCATCCCACTTCCTCCATTTATACATTTCACAGAGAAACAAAGTCAAACTCAGTTTTGTGAATACATTGTCTCTACTTTGCAGTCTCCGGACCAGTTGACTTGTTGCCAGTGGGGTTTGACTTATTTTTGTGAGACTTCCAAGGAGGAATCACTCGTCAAGGACTGTTGTCAACTGTCCATTATAAGCCTATGGGCTGAAGGGCCAAATTTGGTTTAGGGAAAGCTCCAAAGATTCTGATCCTCAGTTTCTGAGTGAATTATCTTCTGCAGGAGTAATGGATCCCTGAACCCTAAAACATGAAAAGCTAAGCATATAGCCATGGTCAGAGCCATCATCTGCCAAACAGCATTGGGCTTTTAAAACACACATTGATGTTAGCCACAGACTAGCACAAATATAAACTGCCTTAAAATCTGAGGTTTAAGAATAGAGGTGGAGTTTGGGAGCTCAGATTTTATTCTCTCTCATGTGAAAAGATTCTTTCTTCAGAGAAACAATGGCCTGCCTCAAAGACATGGTAAATCCACAAATTTAAACTCAACTCATAATGGATGTCTTGCTATGGAATTAGAGAAAATGTAAAAGAGGAAGCCAGATAACACTTTTAAAAATACCATTATGTTAATTGAGATGAATATTAGCCAGAGTCCAGATGAACCAAAAAGGTAAGAAAATCAGAGAAGGTTATAATATGTGTTCCCTCCAAAACTTTTGTCGAAATTTAACTGCTATTGCAATACTACTAAGTAATGTTACCTTAAAGAATTAATGGAGCTATGAGGCTTCTGTTCTCACGGGTGGGATTAATGCCAATATAAGATGGCTCCTTTCATTTCCTTTTGCCTTTTTGTCATTCAGCCTTTTACCATGAGATAACACAGTAAGAATGCCATTGCCAAGTGCAAGCACAATGATGTTGAACTTAGTATCCAGAGCTGTGAGAAAATAAATTTCTGTCAATTATAAATTTCCCTCTCTCAGGTATTCTGTTCTAGCAGCACACACACACACACAAAAACTAAGATAGAAATTGGTACCAGAAGTGGTATTCTTACCATAACAAATACATAAAAACTTATGTCAGCTTTGGAACTGGGTAATGAGCAGAGGCTGGATGGGTTTGAAAGAAGAGGCTAGAAAAAGTCTATATTGCCATTAACAGAGAGTTAAGGGCTTTCCTGATGAGGGCTCAGAAGAAGGACAGCTAACAGCCAAGCCTAAATCATCTCTAAGATTACTAAGTAAATGTATACAGAATATTGTTAGCAACATAGACACTAGAAGTAATACTGATAAGGTCTTAGATGGAAATGAGGAGCATGGTATTGCACAATGGAGGAAGGGCCATCCTTTATATAAAGTGGTAAAGAACTTGGCTGAATTATCTTTGTGTCCCAGCAATGTGCGAAAGCAGACTTTAAGAACCGTAAACTAGGATGTTTGCTAAAAGAAATATCTCGGCAGCAAATTGTTGAGGATGCTGCATGGCTTCTTTGACCTAATAATAGTAAAATTCAGGAAGAAAGAAGCAACTTAAAGCTTATGGATGCTGGGCTTAATACCTAGATGATGGGCTGATCTGTGCAGCGAATCACCATGACATACGTTTACCTATGTAACAAACCTGCATATTCTGTACATGTACCCTGGAACTTAAAATAAATTTGATGAAAAAAAGAAGATATAATTTATGTGAAAAGATAAACAAAGTGTAAATATTTGAAAAAATCTCAGGGTTGCTTTGTTTTTAAGAAAGAAAAAGCAAGGTAACAAGAGAAAACCAAAAATATAGCCAAGTAACTATTTGATATAGAGATTAGTATGAATGGAAGAAGCCAGCTGCTTCTTCATCAAGACAATTCATCAAGACAACGGAAGAATGATCCCAATGGCATCTTGGAGATTACTGGTGCTGCTTCTCCCATCACAGATCTAGAATGCCAATATCTAGGGGATAGAATTATACTAAAAGCTGGACCTTGGAAGCCCTGGAGACCTTGATGCTCAATGCCCAGGGCTACTTCAAGTCTCTGATGCCTACATTCCCGAGTAGCAATCCTTACCATCTCAGAAGTGGCTCAAAGGATCTCACATGTGGAATAGGAACAGCTCCGGTCTACAGCTCCCAGCGTGAGCGATGCAGAAGACGGTGATTTCTGCATTTCCATCTGAGGTACCAGGTTCATCTCACTAGGGAGTGCCAGACAGTGGGCGCAGGTCAGTGGGTGCGCGCACCGTGTGCGAGCCGAAGCAGGGCGAGGCATTGCCTCACTTGGGAAGTGCAAGGGGTCAGGGAGTTCCCTTTCCGAGTCAAAGAAAGGGGTGACGGACGCACCTGGAAAATCGGGTGACTCCCACCCGAATACTGCGCTTTTCCGAACGGCTTAAGAAATGGCGCACCACGAGATTATATCCCGCACCTGGCTTGGAGAGTCCTACGCCCACGGAGTCTCGCTGATTGCTAGTACAGCAGTCTGAGATCAAACTGCAAGGCGGCAGCAAGGCTGGGAGAGGGACGCCCGCCATTGCCCAGGCTTGCTTAGGTAAACAAAGCAGCCGGGAAGCTCGAACTGGGTGGAGCCCACCACAGCTCAAGGAGGCCTGCCTGCCTCTGTAGGCTCCACCTCTGGGGGCAGGGCACAGACAAACAAAAAGACAGCAGTAACCTCTGCAGACTTAAATGTCCCTGTCTGACAGCTTTGAAGAGAGCAGTGGTTCTCCCAGCACGCAGCTGGAGATCTGAGAACGGGCAGACTGCCTCCTCAAGTGGGCCCCTGACCCCTGACCCCCGAGCAGCCTAACTGGGAGGCACCCTCCAGCAGGGGCACACTGACACCTCACACGGCAGGGTATTCCAACAGACCTGCAGCTGAGGGTCCTGTCTGTTAGAAGGAAAACTAACAAACAGAAAGGACATCCACACCAAAAACCCATCTGTACATCACCATCATCAAAGACCAAAAGTAGATAAAACCACAAAGATGGGGAAAAAACAGAACAGAAAAACTGGAAACTCTAAAAAGCAGAGCGACTCTCCTCCTCCAAAGGAACGCAGTTCCTCACCAGTAACGGAACAAAGCTGGATGGAGAATGACTTTGACGAGCTGAGAGAAGAAGGCTTCAGATGATCAAATTACTCTGAGCTATGGGAGGACATTCAAACCAAAGGCAAAGAAGTTGAAAACTTTGAAAAAAATTTAGGGGAATGTATAACTAGAATAACCAATACAGAGAAGTGCTTAAAGGAGCTGATGGAGCTGAAAACCAAAGCTCGAGAACTACGTGAAGAATGCAGAAGCCTCAGGAGCCGATGAGATCAACTGGAAGAAAGGGTATCAGCAATGTAAGATGAAATGAATGAAATGAAGCAAGAAGGGAAGTTTAGAGAAAAAAGAAAAAAAGAAATGAGTGAAGCTTCCAAGAAATATGGGACTATGAGAAAAGACTAAATCTGCGTCTGACTGGTGTACCTGAAACTGATGGGGAGAATGGAACCAAGTTGGAAAATACTCTGCAGGATATTATCCAGGAGAACTTCCCCAATCTCGCAAGGCAGGCCAACATTCAGATTCAGGAAATACAGAGAACGCCACAAAGATACTCCTCGAGAAGAGCAACTCCAAGACACATAATTGTCAGATTCACCAAAGTTGAAATGAAGGAAAAAATGTTACGGGCAGCCAGAGAGAAAGGTCAGGTTACCCACAAAGGGAAGCCCATCAGACTAACAACGAATCTCTCGGCAGAAACCCTACAAGCCAGAAGAGAGTGGGGGCCAATATTCAACATTCTTAAAGAATTTTCAACCCAGAATTTCATGTCCAGCCAAACTAAGCTTCATAAGCGAAGGAGAAATAAAATACTTTACAGACAAGCAAATGCTGAGAGATTTTGTCACCACCAGGCCTGCCCTAAAAGAGCTCCTGAAGGAAGCGCTAAACATGGAAAGGAACAACCGGTACCAGCTGCTGCAAAATCATGCCAAAATGTAAAGACCATCAAGATTAGGAAGAAACCGCATCAACTAACGAGCAAAATAACCAGCTAACATCATAATGACAGGATCAAATTCACACATAACAATATTAACTTTAAATGTAAATGGACTAAATGCTCCAATTAAAAGACACAGACTGGCAAATTGGATAAAGATTCAAGACCCATCAGTGTGCTGTATTCAGGAAACCCATCTCACATGCAGAGACACACACAGGCTCAAAATAAAAGGATGGAGGAAGATCTACCAAGCAAATGGAAAACAAAAAAAGGCAGGGGTTGCAATCCTAGTCTCTGATAAAACAGACTTTAAACCAACAAAGATCAAAAGAGACAAAGAAGGCCATTACATAATGGTAAAGGGATCAATTCAACAAGAAGAGCTAACTATCCTAAATACATATGCACCCAATACAGGAGCACCCAGATTCATAAAGCAAGTCCTGAGTGACCTACAAAGAGACTTAGACTCCCACACATTAATAATGGGAGACTTTAACACCCCACTGTCAACATTAGACAGATCAACAAGACAGAAAGTCAACAAGGATACCCAGGAATTGAACTCAGCTCTGCACCAAGTGGACCTAATAGACATCTACAGAACTCTCCACCCCAAATCAACAGAATATACATTTTTTTCAGCACCACACCACACCTATTCCAAAATTGACCACATACTGGGAAGTAAAGCTCTCCTCAGCAAATGTAAAAGAACAGAAATTATAACAAACTATCTCTCAGACCACAGTGCAATCAAACTAGAACTCAGGATTAAGAATCTCACTCAAAACTGCTCAACTACATGGAAACTGAACAACCTGCTCCTGAATGACTACTGGGTACATAATGAAATGAAGGCAGAAATAAAGATGTTCTTTGAAACCAACGAGAACAAAGACACAACATACCAGAATCTCTGGGATGCATTCAAAGCAGTGTGTAGAGGGAAATTTATAGCACTAAATGCCCACAAGAGAAAGCAGGAAAGATCCAAAATTGACACCCTAACATCACAATTAAAAGAACTAGAAAAGCAAGAGCAAACACATTCAAAAGCTAGCAGAAGGCAAGAAATAACTAAAATCAGAGCAGAACTGAAGGAAATAGAGACACAAAAAACCCTTCAAAAAATTAAGGAATCCAGGAGCTGGTTTTTTGAAAGGATCAACAAAATTGAGAGACTGCTAGCAAGACTAATAAAGAAAAAAAGAGAGAAGAATCAAATAGACACAATAAAAAGTGATAAAGGGGATATCACCACCGATCCCACAGAAATACAAACTACCATCAGAGAATACTACAGACACCTCTATGCAAATAAACTAGAGAATCTAGAAGAAATGGATGAATTCCTCGACACATACACTCTCCTAAGACTAAACCAGGAAGAAGTTGAATCTCTGAATAGACCAATAAAAGGATCTGAAATTGTGGCAATAATCAATAGCTTACCAACCAAAAAGAGTCCAGGACCAGACGGATTCACAGCCGAATTCTACCAGAGGTACAAAGATGAACTGGTACCATTCCTTCTGAAACTATTCCAATCAATAGAAAAAGAGGGAATCCTCCCTAACTCTATTTATGAGGCCAGCATCATTCTGATACCAAAGCCAGGCAGAGACACAACAAAAAAAGAGAATTTTAGACCAATATCCTTGATGAACATTGATGCAAAAATCCTCAATAAAATACTGGCAAAATGAATCCAGCAGCACATCAAAAAGCTTATCCACGATGATCAAGTGGGCTTCATCCCTGGGATGCAAGGCTGGTTCAATATACGCAAATCAATAAATGTAATGCAGCATATAAACAGAGCCAAAGACAAAAACCACATGATTATCTCAATAGATGCAGAAAAAGCCTTTGACAAAATTCAACAACTCTTCATGCTAAAAACTCTCAATAAATTAGGTATTGATGGGACGTATTTCAAAATAATAAGAGCTATCTGTGACAAACCCACAGCCAATATCATACTGAATGGGCAAAAACTGGAAGCATTCCCTTTGAAAACTGGCACAAGACAGGGATGCCCTCTCTCACCACTCCTATTCAACATAGTGTTGGAAGTTCTGGCCAGGGCAATTAGGCAGGAGAAGGAAATAAAGGGTATTCAATTAGGAAAAGAGGAAGTCAAATTGTCCCTGTTTGCAGACGACATGATTGTATATCTAGAAAACCCCATTGTCTCAGCCCAAAATCTCCTTAAGCTGATAAGCAACTTCAGCAAAGTCTCAGGATACAAAATCAATGTACAAAAATCACAAGCATTCTTATACACCAACAACAGACAAACAGAGAGCCAAATCATGAGTGAACTCCCATTCACAATTGCTTCAAAGAGAATAAAATACCTAGGAATCCAACTTACAAGGGATGTGAAGGACCTCTTCAAGGAGAACTACAAACCACTGCTCAAGGAAATAAAAGAGGATACAAACAAATGGAAGAACATTCCATGCTCATGGGTAGGAAGAATCAATATCGTGAAAATGGCCATACTGCCCAAGGTAATTTACAGATTCAATGCCATCCCCATCAAGCTACCAATGCCTTTCTTCACAGAATTGGAAAAAACTACTTTAAAGTTCATATGAATCAAAAAAGAGCCTGCATCGCCAAGTCAATCCTAAGCCAAAAGAACAAAGCTGGAGGCATCACGCTACCTGACTTCAAACTATACTACAAGGCTACAGTAACCAAAACAGCATGGTACTGGTACCAAAACAGAGATATAGATCAATGGAGCAGAACAGAGCCCTCAGAAATAACGCCGCATATCTACAACTATCTGATCTTTGACAAACCTGAGAAAAACAAGCAATGGGGAAAGGATTCCCTGTTTAATAAATGGTGCTGGGAAAACTGGCTAGCCATATGTAGAAAGCTGAAACTGGATCCCTTCCTTACACCTTATACAAAAATCAATTCAAGATGGATTAAAGACTTAAATGTTAGACCTAAAACCATAAAAACCCTAGAAGAAAACCTAGGCATTACCATTCAGGACATAGGCATGGGCAAGGACTTCATGTCTAAAACACCAAAAGCAATGGCAACCAAAGCCAAAATTGACAAATGGGATCTAATTCAACTAAAGAGCTTCTGCACAGCAAAAGAAACTACCATCAGAGTGAACAGGCAACCTACAAAATGGGAGAAAATTTTTGCAACCTACTCATCTGACAAAGGGCTAATATCCAGAATCTACAATGAACTCAAACAAATTTACAAGAAAAAAACAAACAACCCCATCAAAAAGTGGGCAAAGGACATCAACAGACACTTCTCAAAAGAAGACATTTATGCAGCCAAAAAACACATGAAAATATGATCACCATCACTGGCCATCAGAGAAATGCAAATCAAAACCACAATGAGATACCATCTCACACCAGTTAGAATGGCAATCATTAAAAAGTCAGGAAACAACAGGTGCTGGAGAGGATGTGGAGAAATAGGAACACTTTTAAACTGTTGGTGGGACTGTAAACTAGTTCAACCATTGTGGAAGTCAGTGTGGCGATTCCTCAGGGATCTAGAACTAGAAATACCATTTGACCCAGCCATCCCATTACTGGGTATATACCCAAAGGAATATAAATCATGCTGCTATAAAGACACATGCACACGTATGTTTATTGTGGCATTATTCACAATAGCAAAGACTTGGAACCAACCCAAATGTCCAACGATGATAGACTGGATTAAGAAAATGTGGCACATATACACCATGGAATACTATGCAGCCATAAAAAATGATGAGTTCATGTCCTTTGTAGGGACATGGATGAAATTGGAAATCATCATTCTCAGTAAACTATCGCAAGAACAAAAAACCAAACACCACATATTCTCACTCATAGGTGGGAACTGAACAATGAGATCACATGGACACAGGAAGGGGAACATCACACTCTGGGGCCTGTTGTGGGGTGGGGGGAGTGGGGAGGGATAGCATTGGGAGATATACCTAATGCTAGATGACGAGTTAGTGGGTGCAGCGCACCAGCATGGCACATGTATACATATGTAACTAACCTGCACATTGTGCACATGTACCCTAAAACTTAAAGTATAATTAAAAAAAAAAAAAAAAAAGGATCTCACTTGTGGCTACATCCACCATTCCAGAAGGTGCAGGATGTAAATCTTGGCAGTGCCCACTGGTTGCTAATTTTGTAGCCTTGCCTATTATAGATTTCAAAAGATGCCTCAGAGAGACTCGGGGCTCAAATAATTGACACAAGGACAGGGTCACCACAGAGTTTGTCCACTAGGGCAATTACTAGTAGAACTTTGGGGAGTGGGTTTTCTTCAAAACCCTAACTGTAGATCCAGCAGTGTGAGATGCCACCTGTAGAGGGCTGCATAAAAGAGACTCTAACCTCTGATAGCTACTTCCTGGGATGCATCCAGCAAAATCATGGGGGCCCAACCCTCACCCCAATATGTAGAGAAGGTTTGACTTGGAGCCAAAGACGATTATTCTCAAACCTCAAGATTTAATGTTATTTGCTTTGGTGGGAATTGGGCTTATTACAGACTTATTACAGACTTATTATTTATTTTTATTTTCCATTTCTCTCTTTTGGAATGAGGCTGTCCATCCTGTGCCTGTCCCATCACTATATTGTGGAAGTACATAACTTACTTGATTTCACAGCTGGAGAAACATGTGCCTCAGAATGAATCATACTTGACTTTCACACGTATCTGATTTTGATTATATTTAGATGATAATCTGGACCTTAGACTTTTAAGAGGATACTATAATGAGCTAAGACTTTTGGGGCTTTTGGGATGAAATGAAACATTTTGTACCTGAGAAATACATGATTTTTAGGCAGCTAGAATGCTGCAGTTTGAATGTTTGTCTTCTCCAAAGTTCATGTTGAAATTTAATTGCCATTGGAACAATGTTAAGAGGTGGGACTTTTATGTGGTGACCAGGCCATGAGGATTCTAAAGAACAATTCCTCCTTTCAGGAGCACACACACGCGTGCACACACACACACACACACACACACGGGTTTGTGGTGCTAGTGTGTGTGTAAAAGACAAATTAAATTGCAGGTTAAGAATTGGGTGATGTCTTACATTTATTCACTTTTTAAGCTCTTCTTGTGGAGCCTCTGTCCTTGACCATAATCAATGGGTGGTTATGTGTTGAAATCATTCAGAATCCAGATAGCTGGATGAGTTGCATGTGGAAATAAGTAGAGGAAAATCAGTATTTTGGGAACTCAGGGAATGGCCCTGGAGCTAAACTGCATGTCTGAATCTAGTGCCAACACATAGTAGCTGTTTGGTTTTTTAAAATTTTATTTTCGGTTCAGGGGTACATGTGCACGTTTGTTATACAGGCAAATTGTGTGTTGCAGGAGTTTGATGTATGGATTGTTTCATCACCCAGGTAATATGCATAGTATCTGATAGGTAGATTTTCAATCCTTACTTTCCTTCCACCTTCTATCTTCAAGTAGGCCCTGTGTCTGTTGTTCCTTTCTTTGTGTCCATATGTACTTGATGTTTGGCTCACACTTTTAAGTGAGATCATGCAATATTTGGTTTTCTATTCCTGTGTTAGCAGCTGTTTTAATCTTGCAGGAGTTACCTAGCCTTTCTCTTGCCTTCATTTTTTTTATGTGTCAAATATGGTTCGTAGCAGCACCTACATTATTAGGTTTTCATGGGGATTAAATGGTTTCTAATTAGGCAAGCATTTAGAATTGTGCCTGGCATAGACAGCATGTGACAAAAATTAATGTTTAAAAATCAGAGGTTTCTTGTGAAGCAGAATAGGCTAACTTATAAGTAGGTTTCCTTACACCTGCAGAACACAGCAGACCATGGAATGTCCTTGCTGCATTTGTTATTTGTTCAGCTCCTTTCTTTTCCAGTCTAAAGTTTGCAGACAGGCTATTATTTACATGCCTGCCAAGGATTTAAACAAGTGGGAGATTATCTCTCTCTCATATGTCTAAAATCTCAATTCCAAAGGTGGAAAGCAGAGAATACCTCTTGGAAAATGGCAAACAGCACCTAGAATCAGCCATAGCCTTGGAATTTTCTTGGCGTTATTGGAGGCTTATCAGAAAGTTTCCCCACTTAAGGACATATTAACACTAGATTTCCAGGAGACTGCTTTCCATATACAAGAAGACTGCTGGAGGGAATATGATGGGAAAGACCTGAAATGAGCTTCTTGGAATCTTGTAAAACTATGTCACAGGAAGGGCCTTGTTTTCTGGAGGACAATGAGATAAACCTTGAACAGATAGGAAATACAGTTTATATGCAAAAGGCATCACTTTGGAACAAAGTAGCTGCCAGGTAAAGGTATCAGTTTTATTAGCTTGCACGCGGAATTTGGCCAGTCACATGTGCAAGCAATAAAGTTAATAACATCTCAATGTGTTTCCAGATACTGGTAGCAATAAAGATTTTTATGGGAATACTGTGTCAATTGTTGATACAGTATTGAACTGAATCTCTCTCTGTTTTATATCATGCCAGTTACAGTGTATTTCATTATGTATTTTAAAGTATTAGATCTTTTATATCTGGAATGTTTTTGCTTGCTTTAAGTCTTCTTGAAGTAAATAAGAACTCTCATATTTAAAAAAATTATGCCACAAAGAATTTTTTTAATTTTAAACTATTAATTACTTGTTCATTTTTTTTGCAAGATACACTTATTATGGTACCAAGTATACTGGACTCCTACCTACTGTATCTTTTATGAAGTCTGAAGAATATGATTGACTTTCTTATTTATAAGAAAAAAGATATCTTAACCTGGCTATAAGCTTGTAAGATAGCATAAATATTTTTACTAAATGCAGAAATAAGTTGGATTAACATAACAAACACCTATGAACCTGCCAAGTAGAATAAATAATGTCAACGTTTGTCATCTTTGTTTAATATTATTAGTTTTATTTAAAAAGTTATAAATTCTCCAGGCAAATACTGTGATAGATTTTTCTTTTTATTCTGTGTATATGCAACAATGTAGCAAAAATTATCTCATCAATATCTGACAACTTGATCTTGGACTTCCCCGTCTCAAAAAATTAGAAAAATAAATTTGTGCTCATTAAAAATTACCCAATCTCAGTTATTTCATTCTGTTATAGCACACAAAATGAACTAAAACTAGAAGAATGCCAACCTGGTATCTATCACCTCTTCCTCACTAATGACATAAGCAAGAATTTACATGATGTGTCAATGTATCACAATAAAGAACATTTTATTACTATTATTATTATTACATACATTTTTTTTTTGAGACGGAGTCTCACTCTGTCGCCCCGGCTGGAGTGTAGGGGTGCTATCTCAGCTCACTGCAAGCTCCGCCTCCTGGGTTCAGGCCATTCTCCTGCCTCAGCCTCCCGAGTAGATGGGACTACAGGTGCCCACCACCACAACCGGCTAATTTTTTGTATTTTTAGTAGAGACGGGGTCTCACCATGTTAACCAGGATGGTCTCGATCTCCTGACCTCGTGATCTGCCCGCCTCTGCCTCCCAAAGTGCTGGGATTACAGGCATAAGCCACCGTGCCTGGCCAACATTCTCCTTTTTAAATACAGAAGGCACAAAACTAGCAGAATATAAATTGCTGTAACATATGAGGCTGAGGAATAGAAGTGGAATTTGGAAACCCAAACTGGATTTTCTCTCAAGTGAAAGGATCCTTTCCTCAGAGGATCAACGACATGTCTCCAAGGCAAGGTAAATTCACAAATCTAAATTAAACCGATAACGTATTTCTGGCTATGAAATGACAAAAAGTGTAAGACAGATAACCATATAACCTTTAAACAAATGTCATTATGCCAATTGAGGAGATGAATATTAACCAGGTTTCAGAAGAATGAAGATAGTAAGAAAATCAAGGAAAAATTATCAAGTTTATCTTCTCTAAACTCATGTCGACATTTAATTGAACATTGTAATCATTTTTACATGGACCTTTAAGAAGTGATTGAGCCATGAAGGCTCTGTTCTCATAGGTGAAGTTAATACCATTATAAAATGGCTAGTTTCATTCCCTTTTGCTTCTTTGCCCTTCAGCCTTTTGCCATGTCATGAAACAGCAGGAAGGCCCTTGAAAGATTCCAGCTTCTTGATAATGAACTTTTAAGTCTCTGGAACTGTCAGAAAATAAATTTCTGTTTATTATAAATTATCCAGTCTCAAGTGTTTTCTTCTAGTTGTAGAAAATGGACTAAGATAGAAATTTGTACCAGAAGTGGGGTTGTTACTATAAAAAACACCTAAAAATGTGTGTCAGATTTGGAACTGAGTAATGGGCAGAGGGCAGAAGAGTTTAGAGGATCAGGCTAGAAAAAAGCCTAGATTGCTATTAACAGAGTGTTAAGGGCTATGCTGGTGAGGGCTCAAGAAGAGGAGAGCTATAGGCTAAACCTAAATCAGCAGTGAGATTACTTAAGTGGTTTTCAAGTGAATAATAGCAATATGAATGGTAGAGGTAATTCTGATGAGATCCCAGATGGAATTGTAGAACATGGTATTGCACAATGACCCGAGGGTTATCCTTTTTACCAAGAGGCAACAAACATGGCTGAATTGTCTTTGTGTCCCAACATTTTACGAAAGGCAGAATTTAAGAACCACAAGTTAGGATATCTGGTGGAAGAAATATCTAAGTAGCAAATTGTTAAGGATGCTGCATGACTTTTTTAAACTGTCAATAGTAAAACTTGAGAAAAGGGGAAAAAATTAAATATGAAATGTACATTGAAAAGGAAGTAGAAAGTAAAGATTTGGAAAATTCTTAGTCTGGCTGTGTTTTAAATAAAGAAAAGGCATATTCAAAAAAGAAAAACCTAGGGTGTGGCCAAATTTTGATAAGGAGATTAGCTCCCATCACAAACCCAGACAGAATGCCAATGCCTGGAGAACAGAATTAGATCAAAAGAGGACTCTTGAGAGCCCTTGGGACCTTGTTACTCACTACTCAGGGCTTCCTCAAATCTCTGATTCCTGCATTCCTAAGCAGCTCTTTTAAGCCATCTCAGAAATGGCTTAACGAAGCCCAGATGTGGTGCTGGCCATCACTCCAGAAGGCACAGGGCACAAGTTTTGATGGTGTCCATAGCATGTTAATTCTCCAGGATTGCTGACTGTAGGAGCTAGATTTCAAAAAATGTGTCAGGGAGCCTCAGGGCTCAAAGAGAGAACTGACACAGGTGCAAGGCCACCACAGAGATTACCCACTAGGACAATTCCTAATGAAACATTAGTTGGGGGGTTGCTAGGCAAATAGCTAAACATAAGCAGGAGGGAAGAACTCATGACAAAAGGGAGGTTTGAAAAATTTTACACCCCAGAGAATACCTAAAACAGGCATGCTAAATATAAGCCAAAAAGAGGAAATAAACTCTCTGTTCTCTATTTTCCTTCAATACATTCTCTTTTTTGGTTAAATCAATCGCTTGGCAGAATTCTTCCTCCAGTTAAAACTAATCAAAAATTCCTGCACTTCCCAGTAACAGTTGGAAGCCCCAGCTGCAGCGAACTTTGGGGATAATATTCCAGCCTGTGAGAGCTGCTGCATTGGTTGCTCCCAGAAAAGCCATGGAGGCCTAACCCCTGCCCCAGTCTGTGCTGATAGTGGGACTTGAAGTCAAAACAAAAAATTCTCAAATGTCGGGATTTAATGTTGTTGTTGTTGTTTTTTTTTTTTTGGTGGGGGTTTGGACTTAGTGGGAGCCTGTTAATTCTTTTTATTTTCTGTTGCTCTTTTGTTATGGAATTGTCTATCCTATGCCTGTCCCACCATATATTTTAGAAACATATAATTTGTTTGATTTCACAGCTGGAGGGGAATTTTCCTCAGAATGAATCATAACCTGAGTCTTACATATATCCAATTTTGATGATATTTAGATGAAAATCTAGACCACAGACTTTTAAGATTATGCTAGAATGAGTTAAGACCAGGAGCTATTGGGTTAAAATGAAAGTACTTTATATGTGAGAAGTACATAAGTTTTGGGGGTGACAGAGGCAGAATGCTGTAATTTGAATGTTTGTCCCTTCAAAAATTCATGTTGAAATTTAAGTCCCACTGTAACAGTGTTAAGAGATGTCACCTTTAAGTGGCAATTAGGCCATGAGTGTAAGATTCTCTCTGGGGCCTGAAAGCTTAAGGAGATAAATAATTCTTCCCTTCTCAGGCCCAGTCCCAAGGTGCAAGGCTACTTGTGCCAGCAGCGTGTGCCAGCAGGATAGCAGAAGCAGGAAGTGAGCCAGCTGGAAGACATGTACCCCTTAAGATCGAGAAACAGGCCATCTGGGTCCAACGTAGCAGTTACGTCAGACTAGGACACTTCCTGTTTACAGGAGGCTATAAAACCTTTGCCCCTTCCTCACTTGGGGCTGACGCCATTTTAGGCCTCAGCCATCCTGCACCCAGGTGCTCATTAAAACAGCATGTTGCTCCACACTGCCTCCTGTTAGCTGTTGGTGCGCTCTCGGGGTTTGAAGTGATATAAAAACCTTATATCTGGTGCTGAAACCCAGGAGGGGCTCAGGTCTGCATCCTCCATGGACCTACCCCTCCACCCCAGAAAGCAGGCCACAGCAGCTGGACAAAGGAAGCTCCTTGGTCTCCAGTCACTTCTCTATGCATGCACATCAGTCGCTGATCTTGCCTACTGCTGAGTTTCCTTGGGAGCCCCGTTAACAGGGAAAAATCTGCACAGCCTGTTTTTGTTTCTCTGGTCCAAAAATCCAACATTGGTCCAAGAAGGCTCCAGCACGTGTCAGGCACTCGCTGATCATCTGGTCTTAAGTGGATGCCTCTTAGCCATTTGATCCTGTTTCGGGAACAAAAAAGGCAGCGGTGACAATTGCTCCTTTTATCATCTCCCTCTGGCTGTCCAGGACGGTCTCCTTTTTCCCTGTTCTCCCCAGCCTACCCTCCTTTATGGAAAACTCCCCATCCTCCATTCCAAAAAACAGCCCTCTAGGCTGCCTCATAAAAAACCTGCAAACCTTAGGCCTCAGGCAAGATATCCGCCCTAAGCGCGTTGTCTTTCTTTTTGCAATACAGCCTGGCCACAGTACAAATTAAATAACGGATCCAAATGGCCCGCAAATAGAACATTTGACTTTACAGTTTTAACTGACTTGAGCAATTATTGCCGACGACTGGAAAAATGGGGAAAAATTCCTTATGTCCAGGCCTTTGTGCACTCAGATCACTACCCGACCTCTGCAATCCTTGCTTACCTGTTCAAATCCTTCCCCTCCATTCTTGCCGCCCTGATCACCTTTCTCCCCCGACCCTCTCTCTTTTTCCTCATTCTATCCAGCTGACTGCTGTTCACCCCTCCCAGCCAGTACCTCTTCCTCTCAACTGTCTTCTTTAACCCTCCAAACCTCCTTGTTGTCTTCTCAGCCACCATCTTCCCAGCTGGCATCACCTCCAAAAGTACCCACTTCTTTTCCTACAACATCCTCTCCTCAAGACAACTCTAGCACTGTCTGTACTAATTCTCCTTCTTCACTCCGCTCTCCTGAAGCCTGTAAAACCATCCCACCACATTATGCCCCTATCTATCGTCCACTGCCTGTCAACTCAACCCCCCTTCCCCTTCAAACCCTGAGCAGGAACCACTTCTGGCTTCTTTCTTCTCTCCCACCCATATTTGTTCAGGCACCATCTTTGGCCCATACCCTACCCTTACTTCGGCGCCTGCGCTAGAATGCCCCCTTTGGGAAGTGGCAGGAACTGAAGGTATTGTTAGAGTTCATGTTCCCTTTTCCCTCACTAATGTCTCTCAAATTAACAAAAGACTCGGTTCATTTCCAGAAGACACTACCTTTTATATTAGAGAGTTTCAGTACCTTACCAAGTCTTATAAACTAACCTGGCATGACCTCTACTTTATCCTCTCTTCCACCCTCACCCCAGAAGACCAGGACCGGACCGTATCTGGACCCTAGCTCAGGCACATGCTAATACAATTCATCACCAAGCTCCTGCCCTGTCTACTGGCACAGAGGCAGTCCCCAGCCAGGACCCCCACTGGGATTATTAAGATGGGGCCTCTGGATGGCGCCATCAAGACCACATAATTATGTGTCTCCTTGCAGGACTCAAAAGGGGTGCCCATAAAGTGGTAAACTATGAAAAACTTTCAGAAATCACCCAAGGTCCTGACAAAAACCCAGCCCTTTTTCTCTCTTGTTTAACTGAAGCCATGAGAAAATATACCAACATAAACCCAGCCAGCCCAGAAGAAACCACTATTTTAAACCTTCAGATCATTTCCCAATCCACCCGTGATATTAGGCACAAGCTTCAGAAGCTTGACGATGGCCCTCAAACCCCACGACAAGACCTTATTAATTTAGCCTTCAAAGTCTTTAACAGTTGTGATGAGGAAAGTAAAAGGCAAAAACAGGCAGAGTCTCAAATGCTTGCCTCTGCCATCAGGGGCCCTGCAGGCCCCCAGGGCCGCAGCTCCACACGGAAGCCTCCAAGCAATCCACCTCCACCTGGCACATGTTTCAAGTGCAGCAATAAAGGCCACTGGTCCAGAAAATGCCCAAATCCAGGTAGGCCCACCAGACCATGCCTCCTCTGCAGAGGACTCCACTGGAAGTTGGACTGTGAGTGGCCCCTGCAAGGACCACCCCCATCCCTTCCTGAGCCGGCCAAAACCTCCTACTCAGATCTCATTGGTCTTGCCGCTGAAGACTGACGGTGCCCTGGAACGGATGCCCCAGCAACTACCATTGCTTCATCAGAGCCAAGGGTAACCCTGATGGTGGCAGGTAGGCCAGTATGTTTTTTTAAATTAATATTGGGGCAACCTACTCTGCTTTACCTAATTTTTCAGGACCCACCCAGTCCTCCCAAATCTCTGTTGTGGGAATTGATGGACAAATCTCCAAACCCTGAGCCACCTGCCACTTTTCTACTCCCTGCACACTTTTTCCTTCACTCACTCTTTGTTAGTCTTGCCTTCATGCCCAACTCTGCTCCCAGGCAGACATATCCTTTCTTTTTCTTGCTTTTTTTTTTTTTTTTTTAAGACGGAGTCTCACTCTGTCACCCAGGCTGGAGTGCAGTGGTGCGATCTCCGCTCACTGCAAGCTCTGCCTCCCAGGTTCATGCCATTCTCCTGCCTCAGCCTCCCGAGTAGCTGGGACTACAGGCGCCCACCACCATGCCCAGCTAATTTTTTGTAATTTTAGTAGAGACAGGGTTTCACCATGTTAGCCAGGATGGTCTCGATCTCCTGACCTCGTGATCCTCCCGCCTCGGCCTCCCAAAGTGCTGGGATTACTGGTGTGAGCCACCGTGCCCAGCCGAAACGTCCTTTCAAAACTCCACACTACTCTCCACTTCCACGTTCCCCATAGTACCCAACACATCCACCCAGACCCCTCCAGTACTTCTAGTTTTCTTCTACTCCTTCAACCTCCCACCCTAAAACACACAACCTTTCCTTATCCCCCATCCGTAGTTAATCCTGCTGTTTAGGATACTTGCTCACCCTCAGTTGCAGAACACCACACCCCTGTCCACATTACTCTTAAAGAGCCCACCCAGTTCCTATCACAGAAGGAGTATCCCATCCCCCAAGCAGCTCTCATGAGCCTAAAGCCTATCATTTCTTGCCTTCTTGCCAGTCACCTACTCCGCCCAACAAACTCCCCTTTTAACACACCAATTCTACCTGTCAAAAAGCTAGCTGGAACTTATCGCTTAGTCCAGGACCTCAGGCTCATTAACCAAGCTGTACTTCCAGTATGTTCAGTAGTTCCTAATCCATACACTTTCCACAATTCCCTCCAATACCACCCATTTTTCTGTTCTAAACCTAAAGGATGCTTTTCTTCACAATTCCTTTGCACGCTAATTCCCAAAACCTCTTTGCCTTTATGTGGGAAAACCCCGACACCCACATTTCACCTCTGCTCACCTGGTGCGTACTACCTCGAGGTTTCAGAGACAGCCCCCACCTTCTTAGACAGGCCCTTGCTTGCGACCTTTGTACCTTATCCCTAAAATTGTCCACTCTCCTTCGATGTGTTAATGATCTGCTCCTGCGTAGCACCTCTCAAAGAGACTGCAACGCCCATACTATCTCTCTCTTTTAAACCTGGCAGAACGGGGGCATTAAGTCTCCCCTAAAAAAGCACAAATATGCACCCCCTCAGTCATCTATCTAGGCCTAGCTCTTACCCTGTGTACCCAAGGGCTCACAACCGACCGCATTTCCCTCCTCCTGTCCTTCCCACCTCTGCAAACTAAGCAAGAAATTCTCTCTTTTCTAGGGACAAGCAGGATATTTTAGACTCTGGGTTCCCTCCTTGGCTGTACTTGCCAAACTGTTATACCAAGCTGCTAAAGGCCCTCTCCATGAGCCTTTAAAACCTGCACAGCCTATTACTCAACCTTTCCATCTACTCCAGAAGGCTCTCATCTCAGCCCCCGTCCTCACTCTCCCAGACCTCACCAAACCTTTCTCCCTCTATACCGACAAACAGTGTGAAGTTACACTGGGTGTTCTAACCCAGTCTAAGGGACCCACCCTCCAGGTTGTTGCCTACCTCTCTAAACAGCTTGAAGCCACAGTTCTCAGATGGCCTGCCTGCCTCCGAGCATTGATGGCAGCTGCTGCCCTCACCCTTAAAAACCTAAAACTATCTCTCCATGCCAACCTAACAGTTTATTCAACCCATAACATCAAAGACATGCTAGCTCACCACAGTGTACTAAGTCTCATCTCTGCCCCACAGCTCCTCCAACTGTATGCTCTATTCATAGAAAGCCCCCAAATCACCATGCTAACCAGCTCCCGTCTAAACCCGGCCACGCTCTTACCTGAAGCTACAACCACCCAAGACCCTACACACTTCTGTTTGAACACTATTCAAACCTTTCTTATACCTTTTCCAAATCTAACATACCAATATCTTCCAGATGCCTCCTTTACTTGGTTTGTAGATGGCAGCTCCTTCCTACATCAAGGACGCCGGCATGCTGGCTATGCTATAGTGTCACCCCCACACACACTATTGAAGCCAATCCACTCCTCCTAGGCATCACCTCCCAAAAAGCTGAACTCATCGCCCTCACTCGAGCTCTCACTCTAGCAACCAGACAACAGATCAACATATATTCAAATTCTCATTATGCTTTCCACATAGTATACTCACACTTGTCCATCTGGAAAGAACGGGGTTTCCTAACTGCCAAAAATATCGCTGTCATAAATGACTCCCCCATCAGCAAGCTCCTTCAAGCTGCCCGGCTCGCACAGAAAGTTGCCATCATTCATTGCAGGGGCCACCAAACCCCAGACAATCCTATATCGGTGGGAAATGCTTTAGCAGATCAGGTAGCCAAACAAGTAGCCCTACAACCTGTGCAAGGCCGGTTTCTGTCCCTGTCCTTGTTCTCTCCTCTTTACTCCTCAGAAGAAAAGGAGGACTTCTGAGCCCAAAACCTTCAAAAGCAAGGAGCATCATATGTCAAGGAAGGGCGCTTCGTTCTTCCTCACTCTCAAAGTCTTCCTCACCTCCAAATCCTCCACAACTCTTTCCATGTTGGTTACAAACCTCTCTTGCAACTTCTCTGTCCCATTCTCACTTGTCCTCACCTTTCCAGCCGTGTTTGAGAAATTACCCAAACCTGTTCTATCTGCCACTTAGTGTCACCTCAGGGCTCCCTCTGGCCACCGCCTTTTCCTACTCACCAAGACTGGGGCCAGATACCTAGGCAAGATTGGCAAGTAGACTTCATTCACATCCCGCCGGATAAACGGCTCCTCTGTCTTCTAGTCTTTGTCTGTACTTTCTCCGGGTAGATAGAAGCATTCCCAACAACTTCAGAAGGTGCAAATATCCTCACACTAACTCTCATCATGCATGCAATTCCCTGTTTCGGACTCCCAACATCCATCCAGTCTGATAACGGGCCCGCCTTCATCAGCCAAATTACCCAAGGCATCTCTACATCCTTAGAAATAAAATGGGCCCTCCACACACCCTACAGGCCTCAATCTTCAGGCAAAGTTGAAAAAATTAACTCTGTCCTTAAAGCCCAACTCACCAAGCTGGCTCTAGAAACCTACCAGTCGTGAACAAAAAAAATCTCCCTTTTGCCCTCATGAGACTCTGCACGACACCAAAAGCACCCTCTTTTTATAGTCTCTTTGAAATCATGTGTGGCCAAACTTTTGTCTTAGGGCCTCTACCCTTACCAGACTTTGAGCCATCAGGAATTACCTCCCCTCCTTAATCCAGACACGGTGTTTCATTCGTGAAGCAGCAAATGAGGCCATGCCTCTCCTGTAGACACCTCCTCGTCCTCTCAACATAACTGCATTGCAAGCACAGACATGTTTATCTGCCAACCTGACCCCCACCCAAAAGCTGCAACCAAAGTGGACAGGCCCCTACACTGTGATACTCAGCACGCCAACTGTAGTGAGAGTCCAAAGACTCCCCCACTGGGTCCATCGTACCAGCGTCAAGCTCACCCCCAAGAATACTCCTTCCTCCAAAACATTAACAGTGGGCAACACCCTCGGAGTCACTGTATACAATAACCTAAACAAAGAAAAATGATCCTTGAAGATAGGAGGAAGCCAAAGATGGCAAGGGGATGAATGGCCTCCACAACAGGTCATGGAGTATAACTGTCCTGCCACTTAGGCTGAGGATGGTTCCTGAGGTTATCGCACTCCTATATATATGCTAAATAGAATAATTAGACTACAGGCTGTTCTAGAGATAATCACTAACCAAACCACTTCAGCCCTGGAAATGCTCATGCAACAACAAAACCAAATGCACGTGGCAATTTATCAAAACAGGCTAGCTAGCACTAGACTACTTATTAGCAGAAGAGGGTGGAGTCTGTGGTAAGTTTAATATCTCTAATTGCTGTCTTAACATAGACAATAATGGAAAAGCGGTTCTAGAAACCTCTTCAAACATAAGAAAAGTAGCTCATGTACCAGTCCAAAGCTGGAAGGGATGGGACCCAACAAACCTTCTAGGAGGGTGGTTCTTTAGGATGATTTAAAATGCTGGTAAGGACAGTAATCTTCATCATTGGACTCCTCCTGTTTCTTCCTGTGTTATCCCACTGATAATAAAAGCCATTAAAACTCTTGTTGAAACTACAGTTAACTGCCAGACAATCCAGATGATGCTCCTGCTACAATGACACTATAGATACTAACCCGTCTCTTAAGAATACACCAAAAATTAAATTTTTCTTTTTCCAAGGTGCCCATACCACCCCTATGTCACGCCTGAAGTAGTTATCCCTTTTCCCTTTTCTATAACCAAATAGACAGGAATGTAAGATTCTCTCCAGGGCCTGAAAGCTTAAGGAAATGAATAACTCCTCCCTTCTCAGGCCCAGTCCCAAGGGTGCAAGGCTATTTGCACCAGCAGCGTGCACCAGCAAGATAGCAGAAGCAGGAAGAGAGCCAGCTGGAAGACACGTACCCCTGAAGATCCAGAAAAAGGCCATCTGGGTACAACGTAGCAGTTATGTCAGACTAGGACACTTCTTGTTTACAGGAGACTATAAAACCTTTGCCCCTTCCTCACTTGGGGCTGAAGCCATTTTAGGCCTCAGCCCGCCTGCACCCAGGTGCTCATTAAAACAGCATGTTGCTACACACCATCTCCTGTTGTCTGTTGGCACGCTCTCGGGGTTTGAACCGATACAAAAACCTTACAACGAGGACTCTAAAGAACAATTCCCATTTCCTTAAAAACACGTACACACACACACAGAGGATTGTGATGCTAGCGTGTGTAAAGGACAAATTAACTTGCAGGGTAAGGACTGGGTGCTTAGTATCTTAAATGTATTTTTTTTTCAAGTTCTTCTTGTGGGGCCTCTGGCCATGGCCATGATCAATGGGTGGTTCTATACTGAAATTAGGCCTCAGAGAGCTAGACTGGTTGAATGTGGAAAGAAATAAAGAGAAGGAAACTAGCAGGTTTCATTGAGCTAAGAAAATGAATGCGAAGCAAAACTTCTTGCCTTTGAATCTAGCTTCAATGTAGAGTAACTGTTTGATCTTGGGGAAGTTGCTTAGCTCTGCTCTTACCTTCAGTTTCTTCATATGTGATATATGGTTCCTCCTAGTACCCATATTACAAAGTTGTCATGTGGATTAAGTGGGTGCCTATTTGTTAAGCATTTAGAATAGTGCCTGGCATAGAGAGCACATGATGAAAATTTGTGTTAAATAAACTGAAGCTTTCCTGTGAAGCAGAAGAGGCTAATTTATAAGGAAGTTTCTTTACATCTGCACAATACAGCGGACCATGGAAAATTCTTGGGGCATATGGTACTCCTTCAGCTCCTTTCCTTTCCAGTCTGAAGTTTGCAGACAGGCTGTTATTCACATGCCTGCCAAAAGTTTTAAACAAAAGAGAGATTCTGTCTCCATAATAAGTCTAAAATCTGTTAAAAGGTGGAAAACAGGGAACAGCAGATAGAAGATGGCCAATAGCGCTAAAAATAAGCCATAGTCTTGAAACTCTCTAAGCTTTATTGAGGCGTATCAAGAAATTGCCCCCATTTGGGGATATACTAACACTAGTTATCCAGTTTACCCCTTTCCACCTATGTGAAGACTAACAGAAGAAATAGATAGGAAAGGCCTAAAATCAGCTTCTTAGAACTTTGTAAAACTAGTTCAGGGGACAGGACCTTCAGAATCCTGAGGACAAGGAGATAAATCTTAAAGGATTGGGAAATATGGCTTCCTTGACAAAGGCATCATTTTGGAACCAAAGTGGCTGCCAGTAAATGTCCTCAATTTTACTACCTGGCCTGTGGAATTTGGTCAGTAACCTATGTGAGCAATAACGGTTAGTTATCTAAACGGGCATACAGCTATTGGGGCAATAAACATTTTATGAGAGTTGCGTCAACTGTTATTTGTTTTAAAATGCTTTCATATCGTGCTAGCCACAATGTGTTTTATTATATATTTGAAAGTATTAGATCTTTTGTACCTGAAAAGTCATTGTCTAGTTGAAGTCTTCTTGATGTAAAGAAAAACTCTCATTTAAAAAATTACCACAAATAATTTTTTTGTATTAATTTTTAAAAATTGGCCCAACAGAGTGGCTCCTGCCCATAATACCAGCACTTTGGGAGGCTGAGGCAGGCAGATGGCTTGAGCCCAGGAGTTTGAGACCAGCTTGGGCAACATAGTAAAACACTGTCTCTACTGAAAATACAAAAATTAGCCTGGCGTGGAGGTGTGCGCCTATACTCCCAGCTACTCAGGAGGCTGAGGCGGGAGAACAGTTGAGCCCAGGGGCTCAAGACTGATGTGAGCCTTGTTTGAGCCATTGCACTCTAGCCTAGGTGACAAAGAGAGACCCTGTCTCAAAAATAATGATAATACTACTACTACTACTAATAATTGCTCGTTTGATTTTGGCAAGATAAACTTATGGTAACAAGCATACTAGATTTCTCTTTTCTTCATCCCTTTCTAACTCTGAATAATATGATTGAAATTCTTACAGAAAAAAAAACTCAAATCTTTCTCTGGTTGTAAGCTTTAAAGAAAATTATTTTTAGAAAATGCTGAAATAAATTAGAGTAGTTTGACAAACACTTTTGAACCTGTTAGACTAAACAGTATTAACCTCTGTCATCTATGTTTAAAATGATTATTATAAAGGGACAAAATTATATATTCTCCAGGAAAACAGTAATGTAAACGGTAAAAAGATCCCTGTTCAAAGTTTCCCTTCTTGTTAAAGAATAAATCATAAGTGTTAGAAATAATAGTTTATTTTAAAGACGAACTTCCTTCAAGCCCCCTCGCTTTACGCTAATAACTCTTTGTTAAGCCCTATCTTATATAGCTGTTGAACAGTCACAGGCACGTAGTACATTCCATGTCCTTGTACCTTAACCAAGATATTTGTGTTGGACGTGCTCATAGGTATGTCCTAGTTCACAGCCTGTGCCCCTTCCTTATTTGGAAATATTATTATTTTTGTACCTATTTTAAAAAGTTTTAAATTATTAGCCAATCAGGTTTTAATTTAGATTGTGAGGTCTGGCTCCAGCCAATGGAGACAGGACACAGCAATAGGGACCTCATGCGTAAGGAATAAATATTCTGGTGTCTCTTCATTCTGTGTATGCCCTTGCCATTGTTCCATCTGTGAGGGGCATCCTTTCTGCAGAAATTAAAAATTGCCTCGCTGAGAGAACTTTTTGTCTGAATGCTGACTTTTCCTTGCAGAACTGAGAAACAAACATTTTGCATTTCTAATGAGTATGAAAATTTTTTGTATAGTGTTTTATTACGGATTTATTTTACTTTAAACTACATGTGAATAGATAAAAAAATATAAATAATTAGCTTTTTTAAAGCACATATAAATATTATTAGTTTGTAAATTTTTGCAACTTTTAAAATTCATTTTGTTTATATATGCTTTTGAAATGAGCTCATGTTTATATAAATATATTTAGTTTATTTAATTTAACTCCTGTTAGTATTTCAAAATATATTATTTTGTCATTTATCCCAATTGATATAGCCATCCTTATTTCTGTGAACATTTTGGTTAGTTTTTCAACTGAATTTTAAATTCCAGATTTGCTCTTGTTCCCTGATTCTGAATGGGTATTTAATGGGAATTTCAGTAAGCTTTTAATTTCACATCACTATCTGTAACTTCACAACAACAGACAATTGACTTCAAACCAACAACTTCATATTCCATTACTTTGAGCTTACTTAGGCATCAGCTCCCTGCAGTTCCCACCTGCTTGGACTTTGAGAACATCTGTATCATGCTAGCTACTTATGCTGAAACCTTGCTGGAAACGCTGGCTTAAATTTACGTAACTACTAAACCTTGTGATGTGGTGTGGCTCTGTGTCCCCACCCAAATCTCATCTCAAATTGTAATCCTCATAATCCCCATGTGTGGATTGAGGAACCTAGTGGGAGGTGATTGGATCACGGGAGTAGTTTCCCCCATGCTGTTCTCTTGATAGTGAGTGCATTCTCACAAGATCTGATGGTTTTATAAAGGGCTCTTCCCTCTCCACTCTCTCTTGCTCACCTGCCACCATGTAAGACATGCTTTGCTTCCCCTTCGTCTCCATGATTGTAAGTTTCCTGAGGCCTCCCCATCCTCAGGAAAGTCTGTGAGTCAATTAAACTATGAGTCAATTAAACCTCTTTCCTTTTTAAGTTACCCAGTCTCTGGTATTATCTTTATAGCAGTATGAAAAGGACTAATACACCTTGCCTTCTGAAGTAGGTCTTGAGAGGTTCCTGAACCTGAAAGGGAATGGAGAAATGACTTAAAGCCACCAGCTAATTGGGCTTAATCATTTGGACTCAGTTGACTCTTCCCCTACCCCTACCCATGCCTAAACCAAAGAAAGGATCATCCCACATTTACCTAGCACAAAGAAATCTACTCTTCTGCTCTTTCTAGGACTGCTAAAGGCCATGGGAACTGGACACCTGGATGCTGCAGAGGAAGAGCAAAGCTCAACATCAACTTGGACAGTTTGCCAACCTGTTTGTGGTAAGTTGATGTCATTTGTGACCACTCCTAATGTGTGCCAGGAATAAGCTATTCCTGATGCCAGAATCTCTTACTGTCAGTGCCCTCTGTAGGCCTTCTGATCCTTACTCCTTGCTCCACCCATTGTTTATATCATGTAGTTCTCTCTCAGACCCTGATATAAAGCTCCTACTCTGTCTGACCTGACAAGCCACCTCAAGTGGACAAGGCACTTACCAACAGGTAAAGGGGCATTACAGGAGAAGAGCATGTCTAACGTGGGATTTTCTCTTTTCATTTTGAGGTAGATACAGGGTGATTTTCTGAATAAAAGATCCCAGTAGTAATGAAACTTAAGCAAGACCAAAGCTGATTTCGGGTAATTTGGCCTCTGTTATCCCCAAACCAAAAGAGAAATATCTGGGAGTGTAGCTATCTCAGTGGACCTTTCGGCTCACAGGAATTCAGAGAGGAGAGGATGTTAGAAAGATAACAGGTGCTCTGCTCTCTTCTTCAAACCCTCTTCCCTGTGTTCTCCTACAGAGATTGCTGATTTGCTCCTTAAGCAAGAGATTCACTGCCGCTAAGCATGGCTCAGACCAACTCGTTCTTCATGCTGATCTCCTCCCTGATGTTCCTGTCTCTGAGCCAAGGTGAGATTTTCCCCCACACTTCCCACAACCCCAACTCTGAATTCTTCCCTCCATCCTCATGTATAAGGTTCACTTGAAAAAAAGCAGAGTCAACATCAGGGTTTTTTTATGTTGTTCAGTGATCATTATGGCTGATTTTATCCCATTCAAAAACACCCTCACCTCATTCATGGGTTTGAGACAGAATTTAATAGGACCACTTATAGGTGACCATTGTGGTTGAGTTTATCTGATTGAATCTATATGCGATGGCAGTTTGGGGGATGTTTTTATGTAGTCATTGCTAGGATGGAGAGCTAAGGCAAACGTGTGCAGGGAAACCGAGAGAAACTTGAGAAAGGAGGAAGCCTGGGTCTTTAAAGGCAGAAGCCTCAGCCTCAGAATTAAAGGAAAACGAGGACTCATTTATTTAGCCTATTCATTGTGAGCTCTTGTCTTGAGCAGAGGAAACTAGAGAGAAAAGAGATAGGATGCAGGAGGGCAGAAGTGAGCAATCGCCCCAGTATTCACTGTATCCATATGTTCTTATAAAGGACACCAAGAAGCCCCTAATTCACCTTCCAGCCTTTTCCTTGCCCTGCGATTCTTTCTTAATTATCTCCTTTTTTTTTTCCCCAGGCCAGGAGTCCCAGACAGAGCTGCCTAATCCCCGAATCAGCTGCCCAGAAGGCACCAATGCCTATCGCTCCTACTGCTACTACTTTAATGAAGACCCTGAGACCTGGGTTGATGCAGATGTGAGTGAGGAGAGCAGCAGGGGAAGGGAGGCTTATGAAGGTAGAGGCAGCTGCTAATTTGCAGTGTGTTCTGTGGCTGCAATGAGATAAGATTGATCCCTTCCCTATTCCACCACTGGTCCCAAACTTCCCAATCTACTTTATCCCATCATTTGACACATTCCCAGCACAGAGATGCTGGTGGTCAGTGACAGCATCATCAGGGACATTTCTGTGCTGTCCTTTTTCTGTTACATCCTCTGGAAGGTCTCAGTATATCCCTCACACCTTCCTTCTCCACTGAGTGCTCCATTTTCTTCTCCAACAGCTCTATTGCCAGAACATGAATTCAGGCAACCTGGTGTCTGTGCTCACCCAGGCGGAGGGTGCCTTCGTGGCCTCACTGATTAAGGAGAGTAGCACTGATGACAGCAATGTCTGGATTGGCCTCCATGACCCAAAAAAGGTCAGTCTGCAGCCACCTCTATCTCCTTATAAACATTTTTGAGAGGTAAGAGGGACGTTTAAGGTCTGGCACCGCAATCACCAACTTTTATCTTTTTGTTTGTTTAAATAAAAGCAACCTCTTTATAGATCCTATAATGTATGAGTTGTGAAGTTCAGTGTAGGTAGTTAGAGACATGAGCTGAAGGCTGAATTTTCTGGGCTCTGGGAATTCATGCACCCACTCATTGTGTCTACTTCTAGAAATGCATCTTTATGTACAACTTTTTCCCTATTTTGCTATTGTCTGTCTTGGAAGAGGTCCCTCTGTAGACTATATAGAAAATGAGTAGTGGAGGAGAATCTACTGCTGGCATTTGTTATACATTTTATACAAGTGTATAAAACTGTACAGTATATTATTTAGTTTAACACTATAAACTAAATAATATATCAACGACTACTCTACAGCCAATGTTATGCTGGATATGAGAGTTCTGAGATTCAGGAAAAAAATCAGAAACCACTCTCTTTAATGGGCTTTTATGGGTCTCTGTATCAAATTCTGAACACTTATTATTTGCTGGAAGAGGAGGAGGAATTCGGACATTCTAGAGAAGGAGAAGCTTAGAGCAAAAGCAGAGGAAATGATATGATATTCATGGTGACAACAATGTTTATTCTTTCTGCTATAACTTGGCCTGTTTCTGAGTGTGCACACAGGCCTGGTTATTCTATTGATTTTTGAGTGACCATGGCCCCTGTTCTGGCCCTTCTCCATCTAGAACCGCCGCTGGCACTGGAGTAGTGGGTCCCTGGTCTCCTACAAGTCCTGGGACACTGGATCCCCGAGCAGTGCTAATGCTGGCTACTGTGCAAGCCTGACTTCATGCTCAGGTGAGAGGCAGACAATCTATCCACCTGTTGCCATTTCCTTCCCACTTATCTCTGGGGATGAACATGGGGACTGGGATAGAGGAAAGGTAAGCTCCTTATCTGGAAAATAAAGAAGTATTTCCTCTAGTTTTTTGTTCTGAGTCCTAGGTTGAGGAGGGGCTACACTCCTTCTGATCCTCTATGTCTGACACTTCTCATTGTACCATAGGATTCAAGAAATGGAAGGATGAATCTTGTGAGAAGAAGTTCTCCTTTGTTTGCAAGTTCAAAAACTAGAGGAAGCTGAAAAATGGATGTCTAGAACTGGTCCTGCAATTACTATGAAGTCAAAAATTAAACTAGACTATGTCTCCAACTCAGTTCAGACCATCTCCTCCCTAATGAGTTTGCATCGCTGATCTTCAGTACCTTCACCTGTCTCAGTCTCTAGAGCCCTGAAAAATAAAAACAAACTTATTTTTATCCAGTGTTCTGTCTTCTGCATTTGCTCTTTCTACAGCCCATGCTTGGGTGGTTGGGGTGGGAATGATTGTCACACTCCAGAGCTTGCCATGGCCCATCCACTTGTTAAAACCCCACTCACATTTTATGTATGTCAGGCTTATGAACATGTGGTGGCCTTGTTTATGACAAGATAAAAAGATTAAGATTTCATCCACAACACATGTTAGCATGAACCTAGTGTGAATTACACAAATAATTAAATTGTTGATCCAGTCTGACTGGAGTATTTAATATTCCAGAAGAATTCGCATAGTTGGGGTCTGAGGAGAACACATCTGTTCTTGGTTATGCAATTTGAAGTCATGACTGAAATGATAACTTAAGGAGAATTGTCAGGTCTGCGGTCCTGAGTGCATTAGTGGTACATTTTTGGAGGCCAGCCTGCAAAGTTTGTTAAATGCTACTCCTTGGATGAATGAATAAGTGAATGATCAATTATGTAAATTAAATATACAGGCATACTTAATCATCTCTTTAAATATCCTAACTCTCAATAAAGTTAAATTCTGAAATATTACTCTTAGGACTTTCACAAATTAATTGTGCAGGGACACAGTTCAGCCCATAACATCAATCATATCAATAATAGAGTTAAATGTGATTTGATAACAAAGGAAACAAATTGTCATCCTGGATTAAAGTAACAACAATGAAAACAAGATTCAACTGTATGCTATGTATGAGAGACATGAGTTAAATTAAGACACAAATAGCTTGAAAATAAAAGGAAGGAAATAGACATATCTTGCAAACAGAAACCATAAGAACACTGGTTTCTGTACTGTTACCCAGTGTAATGCCTATATGAGATTGCTGAATTTCTACCCTGTCTGAACTCTGCTTATCTTTAAGAAACAGAATGCCTGTGGTAAAAAGTTTCCTTTATAACTAGTCCAGCTGATACTGGTTAGAATCAAGATCACCATCAAAGGACCTCAGAAAGACATCTGGTTCATTATAATCTCATTTCCATGCTAAATGACACTCCTACCAGCACAATGACAGCTGACAATCACCATGACAATGGCCAGAAGAAGCAATAAAGGTACAAAAAGGAAGCACACTCTGGTTCCTAGGAAGTTCACAACCTATTTCCAGAAAAGACATGAATATTCCTCCCTTTGTTTTTAATGCCCAGTCCTTTCATTGGAGAAACCCTATATTTTAACCACTTTACCCCTCACTAGCAGAGAAGCCAATTTGTGAGTCATGTTCCTGCTTCTCAATTCCATGGCCATCAAATAAATCCTGCAGTGCTTGACACTCACTTTCTGTTTCATGTATTGGCTTTGTGACACCAAATAGGGAAAGACTCCATCTTTTGGGGGACTGGTTTTGTCTGCAATGATACTAATATCAGACATATTTGACTTTAAAGCAAAAATGTTACTTGAGAAGAAAAGGAGTATTTTATAATAATAAAGTAGTTAATTCTTCAGGAAGATGTCTCAAAATACCTGAAACAGGTGGAACCCACTGCAGTGTGACAAAGCCGCTATAACCAGACTGCCCCTCCGGATTCCTCCTCTCTGGGGAGGACATCTCTGAAAGAAAGGCAGCAGCCTCAGTCAGGGGCTTATAGATAAACTCCCATCTCCCTGGGACAGAGCACCTGGGGGAAGGGGCAGCTGTGGGCCAAGCTTCAGCAGACTTAACCTTTCCTGTCTGCTGGCTCTGAAGAGAGCAGCGGGTCTCCTCGCACAGCACGCAAGCTCTGCTAAAGGACAGATTGCCTTCTCAAGTGGGTCCCTTACTCCAGTGCCTGATGACTGGGAGATACCTCCCAGCAGGAGTTGACAGACACCTCATACAGGAGAGCTCCAGCTGGCATCTGGCCAGTGCCTCTCTGGGACAAAGATTCCAGAGGAAGAAGCAGGCAGCAATATTTGCTGTTCTGCAGCCTCCGCTGGTGAGACACAGGCAAACAGGGTCCGGAGTGGACCTCCAACAAACTCCAGCAGACCTGCAGAAGAGGGGCCTGACTCTTAGAAGGAAAACTAACAAACAGAAAGCAATAGCATCAATATCAACTAAAAGGACACCCAGGAAAATCACCATCCGAAGGTCACCAACATTAAAGACCAAAGATAGATAAATCCATGAAGATGAGAAAAAAACAAGCGCAAAAAGGATGAAAATTCCAAAAACCAGAAAGCCTCTTCTCCTCCAAAGGATCACAACTCCTCATCAGCAAGGAAACAAAACTGGATAGACAATGAGTTTGATGAATTGACAGAAGTAGGCTTCAGAAGGTGGGTAATAACAAACCCCTCTGAGCTGAAAGAGCATGTTCTAACCCAATGCAAGAAAGCTAAGAATCTTGATAAAAGGTTACAGGAACTGGTAACTAGAATAACTAGTTAGAGAAGAACATAAATGATCTGATGGAGCTGAAAAACACAGCACGAGAACTTCATGAAGCGTACGCAAGTATCAATAGCTGAATCAATCAAGCAGAAGAAAGGATATCAGAGATTGAAGATCAACTTAATGAAGTCAAGAGTGAAGACAAGATTAGAGAACAAAGAATGAAAAGGAAAGAACAAAGCCCCCAAGAAATATGGGACTATGTGAAAAGACCAAACCTACGTTTGATTGGTGTACCTGAAAGTGACAGGGAGAATGGATCCAAATTGGAAAACATACTTCAGGATATTATCCAGGAGAACTGCCCCAGCCTAGTAAGAGAGGCCAACATTCAAATTCAGGAAATACAGAGAAGACGGCAAAGATACTCCTTGAGAAAAGCAGCCCCAAGACACATAATTGTTGGATTCATCAAGGTTGAAATGAAGGAAAAAATGTTAAGGGCAGCCAGAAAGAAAGGCCAGGTTACCCACAAAGGGACACCAATCAGACTAACAGAGGATCTCTCTGCAGAAATCCTGTGAGCCAGAAGACAGTGGGGGCCAGTATGCAACTTTCTTAAAGAAAAGAATTTTCAACCCAGAATTTCATATCCAGTCAAACTAAGCTTCATAAGCAAAGGAGAAATAAAGTCCTTTACAGACAAGCAAATGCTGAGGGATTTTGTCACCACCAGGCCTGCCTTACAAGAGCTCCTGAAGGAAGCACTAAATATGAAAAGGAAAACTGGTACCAGCCACTGCGAAAACATACCAAAATGTAAAGACAATCGACACTATGAAGAAACCACATCAACTAATGGGCAAAATAACCAGCTAGCATCATAATGACTGGATCAAATTCACACATAACAATGTTAGCTTTAAATGAAAATGGGCTAAATGCCCCAATTAAAAGACACAGACTGGCAAACTGGATAGAGTCAAGACCCATCTGTGTGCTGTATTCAGGAGACCCATCTCATGTGCAAAGACACACACAGGCTCAAAATGAAGGGATGGAGGAATACTTACCAAGCAAATGGAAAGCCCAAAATAAAAAAAAAAAAGCAGGGGTTGCAATTCTCATCTCTGATAAAACAGACTCTAAACCAACAAAGATAAAAAAAGACAAAGAAGAGCATTACATAATGGTAAAGGGATCAATGCGCCAAGAAGAGCTAACTATCCTAAATATATATGCACCCAATACAGGAGCACCCAGATTCATTGAGCAAGTTCTTAGAGACCTACAAAGAGACTTAGACTCCCACACAATAATAGTGGGAGATTTCAACACCCCACTGTCAATATCAGACAGATCAACGAGACAGAATATTAACAAGGATATTCAGGACTTGAACTCAGCTCTGGACCAAGTGGACCTAATAGACATCTAGAGAACTCTCCACCCCAAATCAACAGAATATACATTCTTCTCAGCACCACATCACACTTATTCTAAAATTGACCACATAATTGGAAGGAAAACACTGCTCAGCAAATGCAAAAGAATGGAAATCATAAGAGCCTCTCAGACCACAGTGCAATCAAATTAGAACTCATGATTAAGAAACTCACTCAAAACTGCACAACTGCATGGAAACTGAACAACCTGATCCTGAATGACTACTGGGTATATAATGAAACTAAGGCAGAAATAAATAAGTTCTTTGAAACCAATGAGAAGAAAGACACAATGTATCAGAATCTCTGGGACACAGCTAAAGCAATGTTTACAGAAAAATTTACAGCACTAAATGCCAACAGGAGAAAGCGAGAAAGATCTAAAATTGACACCCTAGCATCACAATTAAAAGCACTAGAGAAGCACGAGCAAACAAATTCAAAAGCTAGCAGAAGACAAGAAATAACTGAGATCAGAGCAGAACTGAAGGAGATAGAGACACAAAAATCCCTTCAAAAAATCAATGAATCCAGCTGGTTTTTTTGAAAAGATTAACAAAATCGATAGACCTCTAGCCAGACTAGTAAAGAAGAAAAGAGAGAAGAATCAAATAGACACAATAAAAAATGATAAAGAGGAGATCACCACTGATCCCACAGAAATACAAACTACCATCAGAGAATATTACAAACACCTCCACACAAATAAACTAGAAAATCTAGAAGAAATGGATAAATTCCTGGACATATACACCCTTCCAAGACTAAACCAAAAAGAAGTCAAATCCCTGAATAGACCAATAACAAATTCTGAAATTGAGGCAGTAATTAATAGCCTACCAACCAAAAAAAATCCCAGGACCAGATGGATTCATAGCTGAATTCTACCAGAGGTATAAAGAGGAGCTGATACCATTCCTTCTGAAATTATTCCAAACAATAGAAAAAGAGAGGCTACTCTCTAACTCATTTTATGAGTCCAGCCTCATCCTGATACCAAAACCTGGCAGAGACACAACAAAATGAAGAAAATTTCAGGCCAATATCCCTAATGAACATCGATGCAAAAATCTTCAATAAAATACTGGCAAACTGAATCCAACAGCACATCAAAAAGCTTATCCACCATGATCAAGTCAGCTTCATCCCTGGGATGCAAGCTTGGTTCAATATACACAGATCAATAAATGTAATCCAACACATAAACAGAATCAATGACAAAAACCACATGACTATCTCAATGGATGCAGAAAAAGCCTTTGATAAAATTCAGCACCACTTAATGCTAAAAGCACTCAATAAACTAGGTATTGATGAACTACATCTCAAAATAGTAAGAGCTATTTATGACAAACCCACAGCCAATATCATGCTGAATGAGCAAAACTGGAAGCATTCCTTTTGAAAACCAGCACAAGACAAGGATGCCCTCTCTCACCACTCCTATTCAACATAGTGTTGGAAGTTCTGGCCAGGGCAATCAGGCAAGAGAAAGAAATAAAGCGTATTAAAATAGGAAAAGAGGAAGTCAAATTGTCTCTATTTGCAGGTGACATGATTGCATATTTAGAAAACCCCATCATCTCAGCCCAAAAACTCCTTAAGGTGATAAGCAATTTCAGCAAAGTCTCAGGATACAAAATCAATGTGCAAAAATCACAAACATTTCTATACACCAATAATAGACAAACAGAGAGCCAAATCATGAGTGAACTCTCATTCACAATTGCTACAAAGAGAATAAAATACCTAGGATAAAGCTTACAAGGTATGTGAAGGACATTTTCAAGGAGAACTACAAACCACTGCTCAACGAAATAAGAGAGGACAAAAACAAATGGAAAAACATTCCATGCTCATGGATAGGAAGAATCAATATCGTGAAAATGGCCATAACGCCCAAAGTAATTTATAGATTCAATGCTATTCCCACTAAGCTTCCTTTGACTTTCTTCAAAGAATTAGAAAAAACTACTTTAAATTTCATATGGAACAACAACAACAACAAAAAGCCTGTATAGCCAAGACAATCCTAAGTAAAAAGAACAAAGCTGGAGGCATCAGACTACCTGACTTCAAACTATACTACAAGGTTACAGTAACAAAAATAACATGGTATTGGTACCAAAACAGATATATAGACTAATGGAACAGAACAGAGGCCTCAGAAATAAACCTGCATGTCTACAACCATCTGATCTTTGATAAACCTGACAAAAACAAGCAATGTGGAAAGGATTCTCTATTTAATAAATGGTGTTGGGAAAACTGGCTAGCAATACACAGAAAACAGAAACTGGACTCCTTCCTTACACCTTATACATAAATTAACTCAAGATAGACTAAAGACTTAAACATGAGACCTAAAACCATAAAAAAACTAGAAGAAAACCTAGGTAATACCATTCAGGACATAGGCATGAGCAAAGACTTCATGACTAAAACACCAAAAGCAATTGCAACAAAAGACAAAATTGACAAATGGGATCTAATTAAACTAAAGAGTTTCTGCACAGCAGAAGAAACTATCATCAGAGTGAAAATGCAACCTACAGAACGGAAGAAAATTTTTGCAATCTATCCATCTGACAAAAGGCTAATATCCAGAATTTACAAGGAACTTAAACAAATTTACAAGAAAAAAACAAACAACCCCATCAAAAATTGGGTGAAGGAATATGAACAGAGACTTCTCAAAAGAACACATTTATGGGGCCAACAAACATGAAAAAAGGCTCATCATCGTGGGTCATTAGAGAAATGCAAATCAAAAACCACAGTGAGATACCATCTCACGCCAGTTAGAATGGCAATCATTAAAAAGTCAGGAAACAACAGATGCTGGAGAGGATGTAGAGTAACAGGAACGCATTTACACTGTTGGTGGGACTGTAAATTAGCTCAACCATTGTGAAAGACAGTGTGGCAATTCATCAAGGATCTAGAACTAGAAATACCATTTGACCCAGCAATCCCATTACTGGGTATACACCCAAAGGAACATAAATCATTCTACTATAAAGACACATGCACATGTATGTCTATTGCAACACTATTCACAATAGCAAAGATTTGGAACCAACCCAAATGCCCATCAATAATAGACTGGATAAAGAAAATGTAGCACATATACACCATGGAATACTATGCAGCCATAAAAAAGGATGAGTTCATGTCCTTTACAGGGACATGGATGAAGCTGGAAACCATCATTCTCAGCAAACTAACTCAGGAACAGAAAACCAATCACTGCATGTTCTCACTCATAAGTGGGAAGTGAACAATGAGAACATATGGGCATAGGGAGGGGAACATCACACACTGGGGCCTCTCAGGGGGTGGGGACCAAAAGGAGAAATAGCATTAGGAGAAATATCTAATGTAGATGACAGGTTGATGGGTGCAACAAACCACCATGGCACATGTATACCTATGTAACAAACCTGCATGTTCTGCACGTGTATCCCAGAACTTAAAGTATAATAATAATAAAAAAGTAAAACAAAATACATGAAACAAAAACTGACAGACTTAAAAGGAGAAGTAGATAATTCAATAATAATACATCTCAATTCACCACTTAGAATAGTGAGTAGAACACTTAAAAGATCAATAAAGAAGTAGAACACTTGAAAATATTCTAATCCAACTGGATCATGCAGATATCTACAAAATGCTTCACCCAACACCAGCAAAACATAGAGTTCTCAAACATACGAGAAACATTCTGTAGGAAAAACCATATGCTAGCAATGAAAACTACAAAATGATATCAAGAAACAATTTCATTGCATTAACATAGAATAAAACTTTTAGAAATTCACTTTTTAAAAAGTTCAAGTTTTGTATACTAAAAGTGAAAAACACTGGCAAATGAAATCAGCAATCTAAATAAATGAAAATACATCTCTTGTTCAGTGACCATAATATAATATAGTATAAAGGTGGACATTCTCCCCAGATTTGTCTATAGATTTATCACAATCCCTATCAGTGTACCAGATGGCTTTTTTGCAGAAATTGACAGGCTGATCCTAACATTCATATGGAAATTCAGAACAGCCAAAGTAATCTGGATGAAGAAAAACAACATTGGAGGGCTTAGGCTTCTAGATTACAAAATTTACTACAAAGCTACAATAATCAAGATTTTGTGGAACTGGCATAATGATAAGCACAGATTTCAGTGGTAGAGAATTCAGAATCCAGGAATAATCTCTTTCATTTACAGCTAGTTTTTTTTTTTTTTTCTGATAAATGTGTCATAGAAATTCAGCAGAGAAGAATATTCAATGGGGTTACTCCGTGTTGGTCAGGCTGGTCTCGAACTCCTGACCTCAGGTGATCTGCCTGCCTTGGCCTCCCAAAGTGCTCGGATTACAGGTGTGAGCCACCACACCTGGTCAATTTCTTCCCATTTTTATGCTACACATAGAAATTAATTCAAAACGGATCACAGACAAATTTAAAAGATAAAACCATCAAAACACCTAGAAGAAATCATATAAGCAACCCTTGGTGACCTTGGAACAGGCAATGGTTTTTTAAAGTTACGACATCAAATGCACAGGTGGTAAATATATACATATATATATTTAAAATATAATAAATACATATGAGATTTCAATAAAATTTACCGATTTTGTGCTTAAAAGGACACAGTCAACAAAGTGAAAAGACAACTCATAGAATGGTAGAAAATACTTGCACATCATACATCTGATAAGGAATCTATATATAAGATATATGTATATATAATATTTGTACATATATCTTGCATATCTTATATACAAGTCTCATATCTGTATCTTATACCTCAATACTAGAAGACAAATAATACAATTAAAAATGAGCAAAATATTTGAAATACATCTCCCCAAATAAGATATACAAATGGCCAAAGAGACATGGAAATATGCTTAATTATGGAAAAATGCTCCATCATTAGACATGAGGAAAATGGAAACCAAAACTGTAAGGAGAGTGTACCTCACATACCTACTAATATGGCTATAATAAAAAAATATAATAACAAGCACTGTTGATAATGTAGAGAAATTGCAATTCTCTAACACTGCTGGTGGGAAGTGTAAAACCATGTGGCTGATTTAGAAAAGAGCTTGACAACTTCTCAAAATATTAATCATGAAGTTACCATATGATCAAGCAATTCTATTTCTAGGGACCTATTGGCTAGAAATGGAAACTTATGTTCACACAAAGACTTGTATACAAATGTTCTTAGCAGGATAATTTTTAACGGACAAAAAAAAAATGGAAATAATCTACATGTTAATCAAACTGATGTTTAGCTCCTTGCCACATCATGACTTTCACCCTCCAGTAATCAAATCCTTCTGTACTACTCTCTCCTTTCGTGTCAGCTGGGCATAGTGACTAGATTCTGAGAAATGAAATACAGCAAAGTGATGGATGCCATTACTGAGATTATGTTACAAAAAATATGATTTTCATCCTGAATACTCAGTCAGCTTGTTACACTGTTCATATAGATGTTTTGAATTTCTGACAGGTTATCTAAGTTTATAATTTTTGCAGATTTCTAGTTCTTATATTTCATATAACCTTTATTCAGACCTGGTATTAAAAGTATAATATATTTATGAATGAACTGGAAACTTTCCTCTTTTAAGATTAGATTATCTGTTTATTGAAGACTTGTAAGATCTCTCAGGCCTCAAACCTTTCAAAGTACTATGAACAGGGTTATTTATTTTAATTCGTGTTTGTAGCTTAAATGGTTCTTTATGTATTGTAGCTTAAATTTTAATTTGTTTAATGACTGTAAATCCATTCAATTTTCCTATTTTTTGGAGTGAGTTTGATAGACTTTTCTAGAAAATTGTCTCTTCTCTCTAAGTTTCAAAAATGTTTTATGATAAACCTATTCAAAGTTTTTTACTGATTTTCTTTTTATTTTTCTTTCCAGAAGCTGCTGATGGTAAATGCAGTTTTTTTTTTACTACTCAGGACTTAAACAAATCCCCCTAATGACCTGTTGCTGAGCAGATCCCTATAGGTAGAGTCTGCAGATGAAATCGTTTCAGCTAAGGTCCATCTGGTTCAATTTAGAATGGGGTTAAGCTATAAATATTACAAAATTAAAAATAAAATGGCTAAATATGATTAAAATTTATCTTATGTTAAAAGATGCATAGGGATGGTAGAGAATTTTAACAATTATCAGCTAACTTGATCCTTTTCACCCTTCTAAACCAATATATTTTGCAGGTAAATAATTCCTACAGATGATAGTTTTGAGTGATCTTTTAAAGAAAACTTTTATAATTCCCAAATAGGTATATTAAGCCCAAAATGCATATATTCTGGATATATACTTAAATACTTATATCCAGAATATATATCATATATACATATCTCACACGTAAAGACCAAATTGCATTTGTAAACTCTAATGCAAAATAGTCTAAAATATTCTTAGCATGATACAATGACGTATCATGTAAATGATTGGTTCTGATACTGGCGAAGGAGTAAGGGATATCAGGTAGACATTCTTCCAGTCTTAGTCCATTTGTGCTGTTACAACAGAATACCTGAGACTGAGTAATTGATAATAAACAGAAATTAATTTTCTCACAGTTTTGGAGACTAGAAATCTAAGATATAGTTACTGCACCTGGTGAGGACCTTACTGCTACATCACCGCCTGACCAAAGGCAAAAAGGCAAAGAGGCAGAGGGGGCCAAACTCCCTCTTTTATAATGGCATTCATCTTACTCATGAGGTCCAAGCCCTCATGACTCAATCACTTCATAAAGATTCCACCTCTTAATATAGTTACAATGAAAATTAAATTCCAACATAAGTTTTGTGGGGGACAAACATCCTGATTTGCTTATCCTGATTCACCTATCATCTTGATTTATCTGGGCCCTAGTTAATACTCATCTGCTCAATTACTATAATTGAGAAGTTAAATGGTCATCTGATTACCTTCTTTACTCTTTAACCTTAAAACATACACAGACAGACATTAGGCTTTCATTTTAGATTTGTGAATATACTATGCCTTGGAGGCATGCTGTTGTTCTTCTGAGGAGAAGATCTTTTCATGTGAGGGAGAATCCAGTCTTGGCCTGCAAACTCCATCTCTTTTCCTAAGTTTCAGATCTTAGGGCAGTTTATATTTCTGCTGCTGCTCTAGCTAGTGTCAATGTGTGTTTGGAAATGCCCATGTTGTTTCATACGTGGTGGCTCTAAACATGGCTCGTGATTTAGCTTTTCATGTTTTAGATTCAAGGATCCACTACCCTTATAAAAGGTAATTCACTCAGATCTTAAGGCTCAGAGTTGTTGGATCTTTCTTCAAACCAAATTTGGCCCTACCGCCCATAGAGCTATGGTGGCCAGCTGGCAATAGTCCTTGCCAGAGTGATTTCTCCCTGGGAGTCTCAGAGAAAGAGATCAAACCTCATTAGCAACCTCAGTTGATTAGTTAACTGGTCCAGCAACTGAATAGTAGAGACAATGTATTCACAAAACTGAGTTTGACTTTGTTTGTCTGTGAAGTGTTTACATGGAGGAAGTGTGATGGTGGTTCGGAAACTTGAGAGACTGAAGACACTCAGAGGATGATATGACAATTACTTGAGCTTTCCAATGGAGACAAGGTTGTGGATGGGAAGCTTTTCCAAAATAACCACAAAGGAAAACAGCTGCTGGCATCTGCAGAGAAAGGAGGAGCTAAGTGGTAGAAGAACATCAGGCTGGGAAGTGGATTGGTGTTTTAGTGTTTTTTCCCACAACCATTGGATAGTGGTTCAGACGCTTAAATTCTCTGAACCCCTGTCCTTTTCTAAGAGGGAGAAATGAACCACATGTGATTTCATCCATGTATAACTTGCCATTCTTTCCAGTTGTTTCAGAATTTTGCAGCTTTTGCAGGGTGAGTGATAGGGCAGAGAGGTGAAGAGCACAGATCCTGGTGTATCATTGGAACCAAATGCTATCTGTGCCACTTGTTGTAATTATTGTGCCATCCTGGGGCAAGTCACTTTAACTTTGTGTGCATGAGCGTTTTTTTTTTCTTTTCAATGATATCTATCTTCTGTGTAGGGAGACTGAAAAGGATTCAACATATTTAAAACACTTATATTTTTCAAAACATGAAAATCATAGTGCAAGTGTTTGTTCAAGTGAAATAACATGGACTCTGGACTAGAAAACGGTGTATTTGAACACTTCGTGCCAGAATTATAGTTTAAGCTTTAATCATCACTATCATGTGTTTAGCAGAAAGACAATAGTTTTCAGAATTTGTTAAGCTGCATGAATTGTCATTATCACTACTCTCCTTCCCTTTCTCCTCACTGCATCTGGCAACAGTTCTAAAGAGGCATTAGAGTTGATTTATTAATTTGGGGCAGTGAGGTGTAAGGTGCAGTCCCCAGAACCTTTAGCTTCTTCCATTGGAGTTTCTATTTCCACAGGCTCCTTTCAGTGCATGCCTGGTCAGGAGAGGAGGCCTCCATGATGAATAATGTTAAGACGCCCTGAACTTGTGTCTCTCCATTTCTCCACTGCCCCAAGCAGGGTGCTCCACATCTTATCCTGCTGCCTCTCTTGTCTCACAGATGGTCCTGCTCCAGGCTCACACACTCAGTGCCCCTCCTCCCAGGGTCCTTCCCTCATACCCATTATCACCATTCCTGGAAGATCTCTGCTTCTTCCTGGGCTGCTCAGGGCCATGGGAACTGGGCATCTCATTGCTGCTGGGGAAGGGCAAAGCCTGCCCTTGACTCTCACAGTTTGCCAAGTTGTTTGTGGAAGGGACCTCTTGTGTGACCACTCCCAGGATGTGCCTGGAAGAGGCTTCTCCTGATGCTGGGCTTTCCTTGCATCAGTGCCCTCTATAGGGCCTGTGAACTTCTCTCATTGCCCTCTGCTTAGAATTGCAATTTAAGACTTCCTTTATAAAGAGGGATTCACAGGAAAATAGCTTCTCTTTTTGGATTTGAGGAATTCACAACTTTTCTTAGACTCCATACTCAAATTAAAAAGCAAATAATGGGGTCTCGATACACTATGTGTTTTTGACTGCTCAAGGGTGCAAGACTTAGAGGGAGAGATCTTGGATGGCTTATTCTAAGAGTTTAGTCCTTTCTGAACATTTTTATGTCCTTTATTTTCATGGACAAGTCCTGAGATATCAAAAAGAGAGGAAGAGTCCTGACTTGCTTCCTGCCTTTCAAGTTTCCATTAAAACTTCAAGTGTTATCTGATCCCATTTGTTTGTGAATTTTGTTGGAGGTTGGTCATATCTGTGCTAAGATTTAAAAAAAAAAATTCTCAATGCCTCCAAACACACACAAAAACGATTGTGGTACCGGTAAATATAAAAGTCAAATTTAATTGTGTGCTAAGGATTGGGTGCGTAGTGCCTCATATTTATTTGCTTTTTAAGATCTTCCTGTGGGGCTCGCAGCTATGGCTATGATTCATCGGTATGTTTTTACCGAATCCAGTAAGGCTTCAGAGAGCTGAATGGATTGAATGTGAAGAAAACTAGAGAGATCTCAGAAAGACAGTTGTGATAACTAAATGACCCTAGAGCAAAACTTGTGCTTGTGTTTGATTTTCACTTCAATACATAGTAGCCGCTTGATCCTAGGTAAATTACTTAGGCCTTCTCTGACCCTCAGTTTCTTCATCTGTTAAATATGGTGGCAAATGGCACCTCTGTTTTTAGGATTTCATGGGAATTAAGTGGGTTCCTGTTTGTCAAGCATTTAGAATAGTGCCTGGCATAGAGACCATACGATGTAAGTTTGTTTAAAATAAACTAGAGCTTTCCTGTGAAGCAGAAGAGGCTAAGTTATAAGGAGGTTTTCTTACATCTACAGAACACATCAGGCCGTGGAAGATCCTTGGTGCATCTGGTAATTTCTCAGCTCCTTTTCTTTCCAGTCTGAAGTTAGCAGAAAGGCTGTTATTCACATTGCCTGCCAAGAATGTAAACAAGAGGGTGAGTATCTCTCCACAGCAAGTTTAAAATCTAGATTATAAGGTTAGAAAGCAGCAAATAGCTTCTGGAAGATGGCCAGTAACATAAAATATCATCTATATATTTGAAACTTCCTAAATGTTATTGGAGGCTTACAAAGGAATTGCCCCACTTGGGGAGGCATTAACACTAGGTGTGTAGGACATATTCACCCTTTCATCTATCAGAATACTCTCAGAGAAAATATGATGGGAAAGACCTGAAATGAGCTTCCTAGAACTTTGCAAAACTAGGTCAGAGAATAGGACCTTGTGGCTGCTGAAGACAAGGAGATACATTTTTAAGGGACAGGAAATATGACTTCCCTGAAAAAGGCATGACTTTGCAACCAAAGTGACTGCCAATAAATGCCCTTAATTTTATTACCATACATGTGAAATTTGGCCTGCTACATATGTAAGCAATAAAGGTATCTATCTTAATGGGTATACAGCTATTGGGGCAATAAATATTTTTTATGAGAGAACTTTGTCAGTTGTTATTTGTTTTAAATCTCTCTCTTTTCCATATTGTGCTAGTGAAGCAGGATATTTCCCTGACCCCTTCACAAGCCTCACAACAGGGGTGCCTCACTTAGCCCACAGCTCTCAACCCCTTGCAGTTGGGGGAGCATGCAGTTGAGCAGGTGCAGGAGCCAGGGCAAGTGCTACTGGGCACCAGCAGGAATGAACTCCGTACCAGCCCCAGAGCAGCATCTAGGGGGGTGCCTGTGACCCCTGAAGCCCCAGAGGGAGTGTTATGGTCAGTGTTCTTTTAGCTTTGCCATCCCTGGATGGCTTATGTCAATGGAGGGTCATTGTGACAGACTTTTGCATTCACACTTGTGGCTCTGAGCTCTTATCTGCAACCCAGGAAAAATCAGGTCACATGAATGAATTGAAGATGGTAAATACAGGGGATTTTATTGCTGACGAAAGTGGATCTCAGCCAGAGAGGGAGCTGAAAGGGGGACAGAGTGGGAAGGTAATTGTCCCCTGAAGACTGGCTGTCCCCAGCCAGACCCCTCTTTGAAGCTATGCCATCAAGCTGCCCCTCTGAAGTCAAGCTGCTTCTCTCTGACATCCAACTCTAGTCTCTGATATCCAGCTGCTTCCCCTCTCTCTGCCACCTGAGCCTGGAGTTTTTATGGGCACAGGATGTGGGGGGTGGGCCATGGGTGGTTTTGGAAAATGCAACATTCGAGCAGGAAAACAGGAATTCAAGTTCTCACTTTGGGCCATGGTTCCAGGCTTGAGGGTGGGGCCCTCACCAGGGATCTGCCCTCTTCTGCCCAGAATTTCCCTGCTTCCTGTCCGTATCATTTCCCATCTTTGAAGACACACATCTAACTGATGTAAGAATACAGATGATGACCAGTCTTAGCTAATTTCTTCTGACAGGGGGCATTTTTTGGAGGGAGAATGGCAGTCAGACTCTTCCCAGAGGTCTATCTAAGGGTCCCTGGCAAATGGGAGCCATCATCTGAGGCTCCAGTTGCCTGACTCTTTGGAGTTTGATGGCCTCTAGATGAGAAGAAACAAGGTTTACAAGGTTAAGCATGCATGGATCAAATATGTGTATTGTACAAAGAGGAGTTAAAAAGAAGAGAATCTAGTGCCAAAAATTACAGAAGTAAGTGAAATATACTAATCATTCTGAAAACAATATGGTGCCCCATGGTATAAAACAGAATAAAGGTAAGAACAGCAAGCATAGGCAAGACTATAAAAAGGATGACTCACCTTATGAAGATTCTGCCAGTTTCATTTTGTATAAACAACCCCAGCTGAGTGTGGTTTAAACTGTAGAATGCTATTGATGTTGAGGGCTGTCTAAAGATCCTTCTACAAATCCGGCCCCCAGCATGAGAGCCATTCTCTCACAGACACTTTTCAAAGATGTTTTGCCACCTTTCAGATTGATATCAGTGATCCTTCCTTAGTAGTCTCTTCCCATGTGTGAAACCATCTTTGTGGAGGAATGGATAATGGTGGTGCACACTGAAGGTCTTTCAAGATTCTGTTCAGCTTGTTACATATTGTATTAGTGTGCTCTTGCAGCTGTAACAAACTTGGTGGCATAAAACAACAGAAATGTATCCTTCCACAGTTCTGGAAGAGAGAAGACTGATATTAGTATTGTGGGGACAAAGTTCAGAGGTTGGCAGGGTCACATTTCCTCTAGATGCTCTAGTGGGGCATCTTCCAGCAGCTGGTGGTTTCTGGCCTTCTTCAGCTTGTTGCTGCGTCACCCCAATCTTCACAGCCACCATCTTCAAATCTCTTTATTCTTTACCTTCACATTGCCTTCTCCTCTGTGTGTATGAGCCTAATCTCTCCCTTATAAGAGCAGCTGTGATTGCATTTAGAACCCACCAGGATAATCCAGGATTATCTCACTGTCCTCAAATCCTTAATCACATCTGCAAAGACTTTCTTTTTCTCCAAATACGGTCACAATTACAGGTTGTAGGAATTGGAACATGATAGCTTGGGGACCACTTTTCATCCTACATACGCTTCATCTCATGTAATCCTGAAGTAAGTATGTATACCCTCCCTTTACAGGTGAGGAATCTAAGACTCAGAGAGCTTAATGCTTTTACATTAAGTATTTTTTGTTGGCCTCCTAATGTGTTCTAGATGCCCTTTTGGTTTCTAGGACACCGCAATCTCTTGATATCATTTTTACCTCATTGGCCACCCTTTTGTTCTCCTTTGGGGCTACTCCTTGCTCTTTTTTTTAGCCTCGATGTCAGACATTGCAATTCTTAATTGCTGAACCTCTTCTTCCCTTCCCTTTTCTTCTTTATTCTCTCACTGCACCCTAACCTCCAAATCATCCTTCTGGGAGTCTTAATGTGAATGTTTTAATAGATACATCAAACTCAAGTTCAAAACTCAACACCTGATTTCCGCCTTTCTCCTACCCCATAAAAAACATTGCTCCAATATCAGCCTCTCCCATCTCACTGATCCATTCTTTCGGTAGCTTCAGCCAAAACCTTGAAGCCATTGCTCATTCCTCTCTTATGCTCTGTTCCACTCCATATTCAAGAATTCCTGTTGATGCTTCCTTCAAAACAGATCTCTCCTGGGCCACTTCCCAACTTCTCCAGGGCTGTGTTCAAGCCCCATCTTCTTCTTGCTTGATTTACTGCAAGTAATTCCTAACTGGTCCCCTGCTTCTACCTCATTGTCTGTGTGTCCTGTTTACTAACTAGCCAGCAGGAGCCTTTTAAAACATGAGTGAGATAATGTACTCAGACCTCTGCTCAAAATCATATACTGGCTCCTCACTTCACTCAGTGAAAGCCTGCAAATGCAGCATGATTCGGTCCTATTTCTGCTCTTTTAACTCTTCCACCCCTGACTGTGTTGCAGAAATCACCAGGCATTCTCTCAATTAAGTCTTTGCATGGCTGTCCCTTCCTCCTGGAACATACTTCTACATATGTCTGCATGATTAACTTCCTCAGCTAAATATTTTAATGAGCCAACCCCAACCTGTATAGTTGTAATTTTGATAACACTTATCTCCTCCTCATGCTCTCCAGTTCTATTGTTTCTCTGCATTTTCTTTATATCCTTAACCCTTCCTATCTTCTATATAATTTACTTGTTTATTAAAAAATGCTCAATGTATGAAAAAAAAACCTGAAGGTGACTTGGGGTTCTTTCTTATTCATGCTGTAATCTGGAGTCAGACCCAAGACCACCGTCTTTGTCTGTTTTGTGTTTCTGTAAAGGAATACCTGAGGCTGGGTAATTTATAACAAAAAGATGGTTATTTGGCTCACAGACCTGTAGGCTCTACAACAAGCATGGCACCAACACCTGCTTCTGGTGAGGGCTTCAGAGAACTTCCACTCATGGAGGAAGGTGGAAGGGAGTAGGCATGACATGGCAAGAGAGAAAGGAGGGGAGAGAGGAAGATGCCAGACTCTTTTTAACAGCCAGATCTCACAGAAACTAAGAGTAATAACTCACTCAATCCTGCAAGAATAGCACCAAGAAGCTCATGAGAATTCTGCCCCTTTACCCCCAAAACCCCTCACTAGGCCCAACCTCCAACATTGGGGATTAAATTTTGACATGAGATTTGGAAGGAACAAATATCCCAAATACATCAATCACTATATTGATAACCTTGGCTAAGTTATTTAATTGTGTTGTGTGTAAAATCAGGATAGTAATGGTATTTGCTTCATAGAGTTGGTTTGATGATTAAATAAGTTAATATACGTAGAGCCTTTATAAAATACCTGGCACTTGGTCAATATTTAATAAATGTTAGTTATTATTATTTGGGTAAGGACATTGTTCATTCTGAAGTAATAACCAAATAAATTCCCTTTTATAAATTATGGGTCTTATGTATCCAAAGCCTAAGCATTCTGTGATACAATCTAGTACGAAGATGAACACGTCACTTGTAATAGAATGACTGTTGAGGCAGAACTTAGAAATTATGCCAGTTGTTCTTTGTCTATAGTTGAAGGCTTTCAGACACCTTTTTGTGAATAATTGCTTCAGTGACTCCCTTTAGGAATGTTAATTGAAGAAGTGTAGTCACACATTTCTGTGATTTAACACACTCTAAGCCTGAAAGGCAGAACTTCGGGGAGGAGCTAGGCTAATGTTCATGTGGAATTGTGAGACCTTCTGGAAGGGAGGGTTTCAAGATTACAGATTTTCTCCCTTGACAGTTAATCAAAACTAGCTCCTGAAAGGGCATCTGGAGAGAGGAATCTGCTGGAAGGTCACTTCACTCAGTACCCAGAGTAAGGGTTTAGCTTTGAGTATTGCTGTTTTCCTAAAAGATGGGTAATAACACTCCTTTTGGATCTAAGTGCTCTGAAACCTCTGGATTTACTGGAATTTTCTTTAGGAAGCTTTCCCTGATCCTGACCTACTCCCCAATTCCTTCCAGGCCTGGAGTCCTTTTGCCAGAGACAAGACGTTTTTATTTCTATTTCATGAGAAAAAGTTTAAAATGAAGGTTTTGATAGTGGGATGAGCAGAGCAAAGAGAAGAGAAGAATGTCATGAAAACAGTGGAAACATTATAAAGATATGAGAGAACAAAGCACTGATGGTTTTTGTTTAACAGGGGAACCAGTTTTCTACCTAAGAGAATCTATAGGTTTCCGAATACCTTAGGAACTTGGCATTTGGACATGGATGCTCTGTTAGGCCATTCTTGCACTGCTATAGATAAATACCTGAGGCCGGGTACTTTATAAGAAAAGACATTTAATTGGCTCACTGTTCTACAGGCTGTACAGGAAGCATAATGCCCGCATCTGCTTCTGTGGAGGCCTCAGGAAGCTTCCGGTCATGGCAGAAGGTGAAAGAGGAGCAGGCACCTCACACCGTGGGAGCAGGAGTAAGACAGAGAAAGTGGCTGGGTGCGGGGGGCATGGGGCAAGATGCCACACATTTAAACAACCAGATCTCAGGAGAACTCACTCACTATGGTGAGGACAGCACTAAGCCATGAGGGATCCTTCTCCATGCCCAAACACATCTCACCAGGCCCGACCTTCAACACGGGATGGCATCTCAACATGAGGTTTGGAGGGTACATCCAAACTTTTATCAGATGCTTTTCTATCTGGGGGAGAATAAATAGGCTGTGTCGATTTTGAAATGCATCCAGTTACTGCTTTTTCTCTATCAGAGGACAGCTTATTTGGCACCCAATGGTGTGGGGAGTTGTCAGCTTGAAGCTGGCAAGAGTCTTCTACCAGCTGTTCTCACTTCATACTGAGATCCAGAGAGTGGCTGGGATCTCCTGAAAAGATCTTCCACTTCTCTTTTTGGTGAGCATTTTTGGGTTTTACTCAAGGAAAAGCTGGTACTGCTGGGATGGAAGAAACAGATGGAATATACGGTCTTCAGAGCTCAGATTATGTTGTCTGATGGGGGTGGAAGGGTGTTATAGGTGCCAAGAATCCAAATGGTGGCATACCACATTTAGTAGGCTGCTGGCATGTGTATATTTTGTTTAATTAGCAGTTTTTGTAAGTCATAAGCATATGCTTTGTTACTTCTTGTTGTTTTAATGGTAAGCTATTATGTACTTTAGTGAAGTCTTATGCCTTCTCTGAGTGACTTTTGCTTATAATTAGCAACTCAGCACATTATGTCATCCCCAGCCTTTCCTGCACATGCCCCATCACCCTCTACCACCCTGCCTGGTACTGTCCTGCTAATAGGCATTGTGGGAAATACAAAGGAAAGGTAGATGCAGATTCTGCTCTAAGTTCCCTTGTAGGAATGGAGTAGAACAGTGGGCCAGAGAAAGGCTCTAGGACCAAAACAATTCAGTGCTTACCCAGGAACAAATGTGCCCTGGTAAATTCTGGTAAGAGATGGAGTGGAAGCCAGAGGCTCCCAGTAGATTTGGCAACAAAGACTTGGAGAAATCTGACCAAAGCTAGGCAAAAACAAAACAGACCAAGGGTGCCATTTGCAGGAATAGAGCCTGATGCTGAATTCAAAGGTTGCTAAGCTAGAGGCTCCTTGTCTCTGTTCCTAGAAGGTGACAGTTTCACCAATGTATAACTACCAAATTGAGTAACATTGTCCAGTTTGCCAAGAGTCAGGCTTTCATACCAGTTGACTTTTTTGGAACCCAAGTTTTTATAATGTTCCTTTCTTGTGTCATTGCTACTGTTTTCTATTGTGTGGCTTCATGACAGTCATGGGCAGAGATCTTTTATTAAAAGCCACAAGTAATTTCTGGGACAAGGCTATGTGTCCCAAAGATTGTATTGATAGATGAAGAAAGTAAACAGCAGAAAATTAATTCCAATGATAAGATGTGGACATTCTTGTATCCTATAAACCCAGACTATAGCCCATTGTATAAGTTCATTCTTACATTGCTATAAAGAACTACCGGAGACTGGCTAATTTATAAAGAAAATAAGTTTAATTGGGTGACTCACAGTTTCATAGGATGCACAGGAGCCATTGCTTGGGAGGCCTCAGGAAACTTACAATCATAGTGGAAGGTGAAGGGGAAGCAAGTGTGTCTACATGGCAGAAGTAAGAGGAAGGGGGAGAGATGAGCAGGAGGTGCTACACACTTTCAAACAACTAGGTCTCATGAGAACTCCCATCACTAAGAGAGCAAGGGGGAAGTCTGCCCCCATCATTCCATCACTTCCCACCAGGCCCCTCCTCCAACACTGAGAATTACAATTCGACATGAGATTTGGGTGGGGACAGAGGGCCAAACCGTATCACTTATCCTCCAAAATGCTTCCCTGCCTAGTCTGTAGGTGGATGCCTTGAGTCAAGGGCCAGTTTATCTTGCCGAAGTGTTAGTACTCTAGAACAGTATGTCTCAGACTTTAATGTGCATTTAAATGACCTGGGGATCTTGTTAAAATGCACATTGTGATTCAATTGGTTGGAAGTGGGGCCTAAGATTTTGCATTCTAACAAGTTCCTAGGTGATGCTGAAGCCCAAATTTGGAGTAGCAAGGCCTAGACCATGCCATTCTTTCTCAGAATTTAAGTGCAAACAGTGGGAGTTCTAGAAGAGAGACATTCTTGTTTCTTGAGCTTGTAGGCTGTTCTTTAGCACCTATTTCCCTTCTTAGGTCCTGCTCTAACCTAGGACAGTTGACAGTGTATGCCCCATTCCCATCTTAAGGAGACTCACAGTGGAATAATAGAGAAAATACAGCATTAAGTATTATTCATTTTCAAATGACTCCATGCATGAGGTTTCCATTTTCTAATTTGAACTGTACTTGGCCAGGCCTAAGCCATTCATTTTTTACTTCTAGCTTAAAGTGAAGGTTAGCTCTTGACATTCTTGGATAAATTTATGGAACAAGAGCTCTTTCTGTGCCTATCTGTCTCTGTCTTTTCTTACTTTTTCCTTGTCTCTGTCTCTCTCACCCCCCAACACCCCTCCCCACACACCTTCATATATGGACAAGAAATAATGAATGGGAATAAGGCCATCAAGTCCAACCGTTCATACACAGAAATATCTCTCCATTAAAAAGAAAACAAATTCCAGAGACAAATTTTTGCCCAACATACACTCAGTTTATATGACCAAACTGAACACCAAGTTCCAGTTTAAAACATTTAAATTCAAGTCCAACAATTACTAGCTGCTTTTATCTGCACAGCTAATCCATCCAATTTGGTGCTTTTCCTAGGAAAAAAAAAGAAAAATATTTGCCTCAAAGGTAAATTTGTGTCTGTCCTTTTATTGCACTAGAAAACTACTCTAATAGTTATCCTCTGCTACACAAGAAACTACCCAAAATATAGTGGCTTGAAAGCAACCACATATTATCACAGTTTTTATAGGTCAGAAATCTGGGCATAGCTTAGCTGGGCTCTCAGCATCAGTTTCACACAAGGTGGTGAACAAAGCATCATCCATGGCTGTAGTCTCCGCTGAAGGTTTGGTAGGAGAAAGGTTCAATTTCAAACTCAGTGACATGGTTATTGGAAGGATTCATTTCCTCCTGGGCTGTTGGACTGAGGGCCTCAGCTCCTTGCTGGTTGCTGGCTGAAGGCTTCCCTCAGTTCCTTGTCACATGGCCCCTCCAAGTTTCTCTCCGTATAGGCAGCTCACAATACTTTAGCTTTCTTCATCAGAATGGGTAACTGGGTGAGCAAGAGAGAGTGTCAACAAGAGAGAAAGCAGTAAAAGCAAGGCAGAAATCCTGGCCTTTTATTACCCAATCATGGATGTGGCATCACATCACTTCCGTCATATACTATTGGTGAGAAGCAAGTCATTATGTTTATCTCACATGCAAGGGGATGGGATTAGACAAAGGATGTCAAACCAAGATGCAGAGATTGTTGGAGGCCATCTCAAAGGGTGCTAATCATAGTTACCAAAGACTTGAAACTATATATTTTCTGGTTTTATCAATAAAGTTTAAAAATATTAGAAATAGAGTAATTCCAATTGATTTCTTTAATTATTACCAGAAAGACACCTGACATTATCTGTCTTTACCTGTAACTAACTCCTTGCATTCTACTCCTATTCAGAACAAAACTCTGAGGATCAAGGACTATAAAAGGGTTGGGACAGTCAGCATCCCTTTCAAAGCCAACATTCAGGATTTTTTGTATTATTTCTGGGGTACTAGATATTATAGGTGTGCTGGAGTTGCTGGTTGACTGCATTTTAGGTAGTTTATAATTTTAGAAACTACAGGGGGACAAGATGAAAGGTAAAACGGGATGGGCTTAAAAATGTAGGATGATTTTTGTGTGTGCCAGCTTTCAATGTTATAGGAATTCCCAGCATCAATCTTCACTGCTCTTTTCTAGTACATGGCAATTACTATAGTTAAAATTGCTAGTGAACAAAACTTCTTTTCTCTGTGGTGACTATGACTTATAAATCCTTAGCGTGTTCTCCTATAGAATACTTTCTCTTCTTCCATTCAGCCTCTTCAGTGAATCATTGATAATATTCAGAAGGCAAAAGAAGAGCACTAAGGAAACGAGTGTGTCTCTTTCTCTCTCTCCTCTCAGGATGGTGTATATCCAAGGAAAGATGATTATACTTTCTCTATTTATGCCACATTGGTCCTTGACTTATCCCTCAAAGAAAATTCTTCCTATCCTTCAAATGGAAGAACTTTTCCAACAGCTCTTGAGGAGCAGAATATGAACTTGAGTAAATAAAATATGAACAGCAAGACTATTGTTAAGAAAATTTAATTCACAAGTACTGTCCATGTACTGGCCTAAAGAAGGGAAAATTTTTAGAAGCAGGAAGAGCAGGCTGTTTTGGTTTCCTAATGGGACTGAGCTGGGGAGGGGTTACCTGTGTCTTCAGGAATTCCTATCCCGTTCAAAGCTTTACTAGAGTCAGATCTGTAAGTAATACTTTTCTTAATTTTCCCTCTTCTAAAAAATTTAGGCTAGAATGATACTGCAGCTTCCTCAAGGAGAGAAACACAAATGTTGAGGTAGGAACTTGCCCTTGCCTGGGGTAGGCACCAGCATAGGAAGAATAAGAGATCAAATTTATATTTGAACTGTTCAAGCATTCAAGGTTAAAGAGTTGAGTGTGAAGTGAAAATAAGATGAATCCCAGAGGCTAAGGGGTGCTATAACAGCCAGAAAAATCTGGGGTATGTATTCTAGCTCTGTGATATTAGGCAAGTTATCAAATTTTCTGAGCCTTAGTTTACTCACCCATAAAATGTTATAATATCCCACAGGATTGTTGTTCATTTAAAATGGGATGAGGTATATAAAGCTCAATAACTCATGATCATTATTATTGTTGACTTGTGGATCAGGAGTGACAACATATGATAGCCTCAGGTTTACTACTTCTGTGTGAAGATTACCTTTTATACAGATTTTACTAAATCATTCATCCTCTCAAAATGTACTACATTTTACTAGAAAACTGGCATTGCTTTATGTCAGGGTTTCTCAACAGCAGCATTACTGACATTTTGGACAAAATAAGCATTTGTTGTGGAGTGATATCTTGTGCATCATATTTTGTTTAGCAACAACCTGGGTCTCTACCCACTAGATGCCAATAGCTAGCACAATTTCCCCTGCTCTGCCTCAGTTGTGACATTCAAAAAGCTCTCTAGACATTGCCAGGTGTCCCCAGAGGACAAAATTGCTCTCCATTGATAATCAGTGTTCCAGATTCTAGGGATAGAAAGACAAGTTAAGATGCCTGTAGAAGTCCAGAGGGCTAGGGAAAGGGATGAAACAAAGATCCACAACTGGAAATAAAAATAGGTAATGAAAACCAGGAAAAGAGATGAAATCACTATTTGAGAATGTGTAAGTTAAGAAAAAAATATACACCAATTAAGAATGGAACCCTGATGAATACTACCAATGTAAGACTGCTTGTGTCTCTTTCAAATCCATTATCCCTCTCTTCAATGGTAATCAAGCTTGAAGCTCCATGGCCTTATGACCAAGTTTAGCCACTGGCATTAGATGGGAGGTGATTTGTGTAGCTGTTGGGTCATTTCTAATTTAGAGATAAGCTGATTCACTTTGGAGGACACTTGGTCCTCTCACTGGCTGGAATACAGAGAAGGCTGTGTCCCTGCTTCAGAGAAACAGATGAGAGCAATTAGAGATGGCTCAAAAACAATATGAAAAGAGCCTGAGTCCAAAATCTTATGTGAATGGAAAACAAACTTATATCTTGTTTAATGTTTTGTGTCTGCATTTTGGCACCTCAACTAATACACAAATGTTTAAATATCAGGTAGAAAATAGGTTTTTATGCAAGAATCAGAGACTCAAAAATGTGAAGAGATCCAGAAAAGTGTGGTGTCGTGGAAGTTAGAGAGCCTCAGGAAAGAAAAGGTAATCAACAATACCATAGAGGCAAGTCTGGTTCGATGGGAGGTGGAACGGTAACTTGACAAACGTTGATTCATTGATATCCTTAATGATAGCAAATTCAGAAGAATGCTGAGAGCAGAAGTAAAATTTCAATGTAATGAGTCAAACGGAGATGTGAAATTGGACATGATTCATACAGGTAACACTTTTTCAAAGTTTGAAAGAGAAGGGGAAGAACTAAATGTAAATTATTTGGGGAGGATAATGGATTCAAGGGAGGGTTATTTTCTCAACTTTTAAATTTGAAATAATTATAGATCCGTAGGAACATTCAAAGTAATATGCAAAAGATCCCAGGCAGTATCAAAACCAGAGAAAACAATTTAGTAAAATCCATAAATTTTATTCAGATATTATCCTTTATACATTCACTCAGGTGTGTGTATGTGTATGTGTGGCCCCATGAAATTTTATTAGATGTGTATCTTTGTGTAACCACCACCACAATCACAACACAATATAAAAAAATACAACTGCATAAGACTCTCTCTTGCTATCCCTTTATAGCAAGATATATATCCCTTTATACCCATCCCTTCTTCATCCCCAAACCTTTGCTATCACCAATTTTCTATAGATCCCCATAATTAGATTATTTCATGGAGTTTTTATAGGTGGAATTTGCTATATACATATATTATTAGCTGTTTTTGCTTGCATAATTTCCTTTGAGCTTCATTCAAATTACTGTGTCCATTCATAGTGTGTTGCTTTTTTATTGCTGGATAGTATGGCTGGACCACAGTTTGTTTAATCATCCACCCAGTGAAAGACATTTGGGTAGTTTCCAGTTTGGGACTCTTGTAATTAAATCCTCATAAATAATTATGTGTAAAAATTACTTATTTACTATAAATAACATATTTAACATCAATTTAAAATAAAATCTCTCAGCACATGAGGACTAGAAGATACCTCTTTAACCTGATGAAGTTTACCTATGAAAAACCTAAAGCTGTGCATCATGCTTAAATGATAAAAGACTGAAAGCTTTTCCATTGGGATTAGGACAGACAAGAATATCTCTTTTGGTACCCTTTTTAACTGTTTTGTATTAAAATTTCTAGCCAATGTCATAAGGCAAGAAAAAAAAAGTCATACAGATTAGAAAGGAAGAGGTCAAACAGTCTTTATCAGAAAATATGATAATCTATATAGGAACCTCAAGAAATCTACAAAAAGATCATAGACCTAATAAATGAGTTTAACAAGTTTTAGAATACAAAGTCAATATAAAAATTAATTGTATTTCTCTATATTTTGATAACTTATTCAAAATCAAAATTCAAAAATCAAGAAAAATTGTAAGAGCATCTAAGAAGAGGAAATACTTAGGAATAAATCTGACAAAAGATGAGCAAGACCTGCACTTGAAATGTTAAAATATCTCTGAGAAAAATTAAAGAAAGCCTAAATAGAGAGAAAGAGAGACCCCGTTTATGGATTAGACGATGCAATATTGTTATGACATCAGTTCACCCTCAAATTAATCTAAAGAGTCAATGTAATTTAATCAAAATCTGAACAAAACTTTTTTGGTAGAAATTTATGCTAATTTTAAAATGGATATGGGAATGATAAGCAAATAAAAGAGGCAAAATTATTTTGGAGGAGAAAAGCAAATTGAAGGACTCACATTACCTGATTTTGAGACTCAATGTTAAACGACAGTGATTCAGACATCACTATAGTATGATAGTGATATAAAGATAAACCACTGAGCCAATGGAACAGAATAGAGGATCCAGAAATAGACCTGCACATATTTGATTATTTTTTTAAAATTAAAGTTAAATAACCACAGAAAGGTGGTATATAAAAGAGTTTCTGCATACTCTCTACCAGCTTTCCTTAATGTTGGAATTTTACATAATTCGGAGAAACCAAGAAATTAACATTACTACAATACTACTAACTAGTGGCATTTATTGGGATTTCCTGCGTCTGCTTCAGAATCTAATCCAGGATCCCGTGTTTCATTTAGTTTTCATATCACCTTAGTCTCCTCCAGTCGGTGACAGTTCCTCAGCCTTTCTTTGTCTTTCATGATCTGAAGACTTTGAAATAATTCTGGTTAGTTATTTTGTAGAATATTCCTCAGTTTGGGTTTGTTTGATCTTTTGTCATGATTTTATTAAGGTTGTATATTTAAAAAAATACAGCAGAGGTGTCGTGCCTTTATCATTGCATCTTATCAAGGGAACATGAGGTCAATATGTCCTATTACTGGCAACGTTAATGTTGATCACTTGATTAAGCTAGCATCTGCCAATTTTCTCCACAGCAAAATTACTATTTTAATTTTTATAACCAGTAATTATTTATTTTGAGAGAAAAACTCTGAGATTATGCAAATATTCTGTTTTTCTTTAAATGTTTGTCCACTAACCCTAGCATTTTGCCTGCAGCAATAATTACCCCGATAATAGCGATTTTCTATTTTCTTCATTTCTTCTACAGTTATAAATTGAAATTCTTCTGTAAAAAAGAACTGTCCCTTCTCTCTCTTCTCTTTATCTAATCATCGTAAATTATTTATATTAGCTTGGACTCAAGGATATTTATTTTATTCTTTGGGCTATGATCAATATTACTATTATTTATATTCTCAACTTTTTCCAGCTTTGGCCATTGAAAGCTCTTTCAGACTGGCACCTACGCCCTTTTAATATGGCTTGATTCCTTTATATCTATCTATCTATCTATCTATCTATCTATCTATCTATCTATCTATCTATCTTTCATGAGCATACATGTGAAGAGACCACCAAACAGGCTTTGTGTGAGCAGTAAAGCTGTTTATTTCACCTGGGTGCAGGAGGGTTGAGTCCGAAAAGAGAGTCAGTGAAGGGAGATAGGGGTGGGGCCATTTTATAGGATTTGGGGAGGTAAAGGAAAAAGGGGGGTTCTCTGGCGGGCAGGAATGGGGGTCACAAGGTACTCAGTGGGGGAGCTTTTGAGACAGGATGAGCCAGGAGAAGGAATTTCACAAGACGATGTCATCAGTTAAGTAAGGAACAGGCCATTTTCACTTCTTTTGTGGTGGAATGTCATCAGTTAAGGCAGGAACCGGCAATCTGGATGTGTACGTGTAGGTCACAGGGGATATGATGGCTTAGCTTGGGCTCAGAGGCCTGACATTCCTGTCTTCTTATATTAATAAGAAAAATAAAATTAAATAGTGGTAAAGTGTTGGGACAACGAAAATTTTGGGGGATGGTATGGAGAGATAATGGGCGATGTTTCTCAGGGCTGCTTCGAACGGGATTAGGGGCGGCGTGGGAACCTAGAGTGGGAGAGATTAAGCTGAAGGAAGATTTTGTGGTAAGGGGTGATATTGTGGGGTTGTTAGAAGGAACATTTGTCATTTAGAATTATTAGTGATGGCCTGGATACAGTTTTGTATGAACTGAAAAACTAAATGGAATAACAGAAGGAGAAAAACAGGTATAAAAGGTCTAAGAATTGGGACGACTCAGGACATCTGATTAGAGAGTTCCTAAGGAGATTCAGCATAGTCCTGCCAGCAAAGATTATTTATTTACTTCAAGAGTTAAGAGTGGCAGTTTGGGGATAGCATCAGGAGATATCAGCTGTGATGGCTTGGAGAAACAGTGTAAACCGGCAGTGTAAACAAGAGCAGGGCATGTATGAGTAGTTGAGAATGGTGAATATGAGTATGACTAGACAGAAGATAGTAGGGATGACAAGTTTTTTTGGGGCACAGTCTAAGTTGGTCTGGTGTCTGGAATGAGACTGGGGCCTAATAAAAAGGAGCGTCTATACAGGAGCTCAAATGGGCTGTACCTTGTAGCATTCTGAGGACAGGTCTGACTTCTGAGAAAGGAAAGTCATAAAAGTATTGTCCAGTCCTTTTTAAGTTGGTGGCTGAGCTTGGTGAGGTGTGTTCTTAAAAGACCTTTAGTCCATTCTGCTTTTCCTGAAGATGGAGGACCATAAGGGATATACAGGTTTCACTGAATACTAAGAGCCTGAAAAACTGCTTGGCTGATTTGACTAATAAACGCTGGTCTGTTATCAGACTGTATAGAGGTGGGAAGACTAAACTGAGGAATTATGTCTGACAGAAGGGAAGAAATGACTGTGGTGGCCTTCTCAGACCCTGTAGGAAAGGACTCTACCTATCCAGTGAAAGTGTCTACCTAGACTAAGAGGTATTTTAGTTTTCTGACTCGGGGCATGTTGAGTAAAGCTAATTTGCCAGTCCTGGGTGGGGGCAAATCCTCGAGCTTGATGTGTAGGGAAGGGAGGGGGCCTGAATAATCCCTGAGGAGTAGTAGAATAGCAGATGGAACACTGAGAAGTTATTTCCTTGAGGATAGATTTCCATGATGCAAAGGAAATGAGAGGTTCTAAGAGGCGGGCTAGTGGCTTGTACTATAGTATAGCCTGTCTTTGCTGGTGTGTGGCGATTAGGCCTGGTGGAACTGCCATCAATAAATCAAGCGTGATCAGGGTGAGGAACAGGAAAGAAGGAAATATGGGGAAACGGGGTGAATGTCAGTTGGATCAGAGAGTTACAGTCATAGGGGTCAGGTGTGGTATCAGGAATAACGTGGGAGGCCGGATTGAAGTCCAGGCCAGGAACAATGGTAATTGTGGGACTTAACAAAGAGTGAGTACAGCTGAAGGAGCCAGGGAGCAGAAAGTATATGCATCAGGTATGAGGAAGACAATAGATTTTGGAAGTTATGAGAAATGTAGAGAGTAAGTTGAGCATAGTTTGTGGTTTTGAGGGCCTCTAAAAGTATTAGGGCGGCAGCAGCTGCTGCATGGAGATATGAGGGCTAGGCTAAAACAGTAAGGTCAAGTTGTTTGGACAGAAAGGCTACAGGGTGTGGTCCTGGCTCTTGTGTAAGAATTCTGACCACACTAACCATGCGTAGGAAGGAAAGGAGTTGTTGTTTTGTAAGGGATTGAGGTTTGGGAGATTAATCGGACACGATCAGCAGGGAAAGCATGTATGTTTTTATGAGAATTATGCCGAGATAGGTAACAGATGAGGATGAAATTTGGGTTTGACTGAAGTAATGGGGGCTGTCTGTGAAGCCTTGCGGCAGTACAGCCCAGGTAATTTGCTGAGCCTTATGGGTGTCAGGGTCAGTCCAAGTGAAAGCCAAGAGAAGCTGGGATGATGGGTGCAAAGGAATAGTAAAGAAAGCATGTTTGAGATCCAGAACAGAATAATGGGTTGTGGAGGGAGGTACTGAGGATAGGAGAGTATATGGGTTTGGCACCATGGGGTGGATAGGCAAAACAATTTGGTTGATAAGGCATAGATCCTGAACTGACTTGTAAGGCTTGTCCGGTTTTAGGACAGGTAAAATGGGGGAATTGTAAGGAGAGTTTATAGGCTTTAAAAGGCCATGCTGTAGCAGGCGAGTGATAACAGACTTTAATCCTTTCAAAGCATGCTGTGGGATGGGATCTTGGCATTGATAAGGGTAAGGGTGATTAGGTTTTAATGAGATGGTAAGGGATGCATGATCCGTCGCCAAGGAGGGAGTAGAGGTATCTTATACTTGTGGGTTAAGGTGGAGGAATACAAGAGGAGGATGCAAAGGAGGCTTTGGATTGGGAAGAAGGGCAGCAATGAGATGTAGCTGTAATCCAGGAATAGTCAGGGAAGCAGGTAATTTAGTTAAAGTGTCTCGGCCTAATAAGGGAACTGGGCAGGTGGGGATACTAAAAGCAGTGCTTAAGAGTATTGTCTAAGTTGCCACTAGAGTTGGGGAGTTTTAAGAGGTTTAGAAGCCTGGCTGTCCATACCCACAACAGTTATGGAGGCAAGGGAAACAGGCCCTTGAAAGTAAGGTAATGTGAAGTGGGTAGCCTCCATATTGATTAAGAAGGGGACAGATTTACTTTCCACTGTGAGAGTTACGTGAAGCTTGGCGTCCGAGATGGTCTACAGGGCTTCTGAGGCGATCAGGCAGCATCAGTCTTCAGCTGCTAAGCCGAGAAGGAGTCAGTCAGAGAGCCTTGGGCCAGAGTTCCAGGGGCTCTTGGAGTGGCTGCCAGATGAGTTGAACAGTCTGATTTCCAGTGGGGTCCCCAGATGGGACGCAGCTTAGGAGGAATTCTGGGCTGCAGGCATTCCTTGGCCTGGCTGCCAGATTTCTGGCACTTGTAGCAAGCTCCTGGGGAGGGAGGTTCTGGAGGAATGCCTGGCCGCTGCGGTTCAGGCATTTGGAAGTTCTTGTGTGCTGGAGATGTGGCTGGGGTTTGTCTCACAGTGGAGGCAAGGAATTACAACTTTTTTCTATTATTGTACACCTTGAAGGCAAGGTTAATTAAATCCTGTTGTGGGGTTTGAGGGCTGGAATTTAATTTTTGGAGTTTTATTTAATGTCAGGAGCAAATTGGGTAATAAAATGTATTTTGAGAATAAGATGGCCTTTTGACTTTTTAGGGTCTAAGGCTGTAAAGCGTCTCAGGGTTGCTGCTGAACAAGCCATGAACTGGGCTGGATTTTTATAGTTGATGAAAAAGAGCCTAAACGCTATCTGATTTGGGATAAAGAAAAAGGAGCATTAACCTTGACTATGCCTTTAGCTCCAGGCACCTTTTTAAGAGTAAATTGCTGGGCAGGTGGGGGAGGGCTAGTCACCGAACGAAACTGTAAGCCGGACCAGGTGTGAGGAGGGGAGGTGATAAAAGGATTATAGGGTGGAGGAGCAGAGGCTGAGGAAGAATTGGGACCTAGCTCCGCCTGGCAAGGAGCAGCCTGGGGAGGAGGAGAGAGGTCAGATGGGTCTGTAGAAAAGGAAGATTAGAAAGACTCAGTGATGCTTGGGGTTGGGACTGAGGGGACAGGCGGGAGGGAAAGGAGGAAGATTTGGGATGAGTTGCACTGGGCACAGAGACTAGGAAGGGACTGACATGTGAAAGAATGCCTGGACATCAGGCACCTCAGACCGTTTGCCTATTTTATGACAAGAATTATTTAGATCTTGCAGGATGGAAAAATTGAAAGTGCTGTTTTCTGGCTATTTGGAACTACTGTTGAGTTTGTATTGGTGTCAAGCAGCATTGCAGAAGAAAATAAGATGCTTAGATTTTAGGTCAGGTGAGAGTTAAAGAGGTTTTAAGTTCTTAAGAACACAGGCTAAGGGAGAAGAAGGAGGAATGGAGGGTGGAAGTTTGCCCACAGTGAAGGAAGCAAGCCTAGAGAAAAGAGAGAGTAGAGACACGGAGGGAAGGGGTTTGGGGGTTCTTACCATCGAGAAAAGTGGGAAAGGGGTCGGGGCACAGAGATACAAGGTCAGGGCACAGAAATAAGGGATCAGAGCACAGAGATATGAGGTCAGGGCACAGAAATAAGGGATTGGAGCACAGAGATAAGAGGTCAGGGCACAGAAATAAGGGATTGGGGTGCAGAGATATGAGGTTGTGGTACTTGCCCCTCCCCCCAGAAAAGTGGGACTTGCCGCTAAGGGTGAAGGAGAAGGGGTTGGAGGTTTTCTGCCCCCCAGAAAGGTGGAGAAGGGATAGTGACACAGAGAGAAGGGGTTGGGGTACTTGCCCCTTCCCCAGAAAAGCGGGACTTGCCGCTAAGGGTGAAGGACCAAGGCAGGTGTCCCTGTGTGGTCTGGCACCTCTGAAACCTGGGTGAATAATCAGAGAGGTGTCCCTGCAATGATTAAACACCAAGGGAAGGCTGCCTTCCCAGTCTGTGACCGGCGCCGGAGTTTTGGGTCCACGGATAAAACGTGTCTCCTTTGTCTCTACCAGAAAATGAAAGGAATTGAAATTAAGAGAAGGGAGAGATTGAAGAGTGGAAAGGAGAAAGTGGTTCAGGGATAGTGAGAGAGGTTGGAGAAAAGAGTAAGAAGAGGCCGCTTACCCAATTTAAAATTGGTGAGATGTTTCTTGGGCTGGTGGTTCTGAGGACCTGAGGTCATAGGTGGATCTTTTTCACGGAGCAAAGAACAGGAGGACAGGGGATTGATCTCCAAAGGGAGGTCCCCCAATCTGAGTCATGGCACCAAATTTCATGTGCATCCGTGTGAAGAGACCACCAAACAGGCTTTGTGTGAGCAATAAAGCTGTTTATTTCACCTGGGTGCAGGTGGGCTGAGTCCGAAAAGAGAGTCAGCAAAGGGAGATAGGGGTGGGGCCATTTTATAGGATTTGGGTAGGTAAAGGAAAAAGGGGGGTTCTCTGGCGGGCAGGACTGGGGGTCACAAGGTACTCAGTGGGAGAGCTTTTGAGCCAAGATGAGCCAGGAAAAGGAATTTCACAAGACAATGTCATCAGTTAAGTCAGGAACAGGCCATTTTCACTTCTTTTGTGGTGGAATGTCATCAGTTAAGGCAGGAACTGGAAATCTGGATGTGAACGTGCAGGTCACAGGGGACATGATGGCTTAGCTTGGGCTCAGAGGCCTGACACTATCTATCTATCTATCTATCTATCTATCTATCTATCTATCTTCTTTCTTTCTTTCTATCTATCTATCTATCTATCTATCTATCTATCTATCTATCTATCTATCTTAGGGTTCTCCGGAGGGGCAGGCCTAATAGGAGACTATATATCTGAAAGGGAGTTTATTAAGGAGAATATTGACTTGCATGTTCACAAGGTAAAGTTGCATAATAAGCTGGAGGAAGAAAGCAAGTAGTGGCTCATTCTGAGTCCAAAAGCCTCAAAAGTAGGGAATCCCACAGTGCAGCCTTCAGTCTGTGGCCAAAGGCCCAAGATCCCCCAGCAAGTCACTGATATATAAGTCCAAGAATCCAAAGGCTGAAGAACCTGGAGTCTGATGTTCAAGGGCAGGAAGCATCCAGCATGGGAGAAAGATGAAAGATAGAAGACTCAGCAAGCCAGCTTATTGCACCTTTTTCCACCTGCTTTATTCTAGCCATGCTGGTAGCCAATTGGATAGTGTCCACCCAAATTGAGAGTTGGATCTTCCTCTTCCAGTCCACTGACTCAAATGTTAATCTCTTCTGGCAACATCCTCTCAGACACACCCAGAAACAATACTTTACCAGCTATCTAGGCTTCCTTCAACCAAGTTGACCCCTAATATTAACCATCATACTATATCTATCTATTATCTATCTATCTATCTATCTATCTATCTATCTATCTATCTATCTATCATCTATCTATCTATCTGTCTATCATCTCTATGTGTGTTTTTATATTATGGGATCGCCAATGCCTTAGTTATATCTTGTATTTTCTCTCACCCAGTGTGAAATCAATCACCTTTCTATACGGCCCTGATTCCTTTTATTGGAAAATTATTTCTAAAAATCAAGATCCTTCTTCTAGGTATGCTCATTGCTCTTGGGACATCCCTGCTTATAGGGGACAGATATAGGAAATAAATTCATGCATACAGACATACCAATTTTTATTTCTATCTCTTTCTCTGGCAATCCAACTGCAATCCAGAATAATGGAGTTCCACCTTTCCTTATTTGTAACTTTTTTCTTCACAGAGAGAAACATGGTTCTCATTATTTACAACATATTTACTTATTGATCCAACACTTCTATACATATAAAGTAGTTTTAAATTGTTATTCTATAGCACTGTGAGAAGCAAATTTACAAACTATGATACAATGTTTACATAAAATTATTTTTTGTCTTTAGTCTTTATAAGTATCTACTCAAAATACTGTTATCCAACTTAAGTCAGCTCATTTTCTCCACCACATACATGTAACCATAGTATGGTTACATGATTCTTTGTAAAAGAGTTAGATTCATTTGTTTTAGTTTGCATTCTATCTCGAGTTCTCTCAATTTTGTTATCTCATAAAAATTTGGATTCTCCTAAATTTGCATTTTTAAATTTTTATAGGTACATAGTAGGTGTATATATTTATGAGGCACTTGAGATGTTTTGATACTGGCAGACAATGTGAAATAATCACATCATGGAGAATGGGGTATCTATCCCCTGAAACCTTTATCCTTTGCGTTACAATCTAATTATACTCTTAATTATTTTAAAATGTACAATTAAATTATTACTGACTATAGTCACCCTGTTGTGTTATCAAATAGTAGGTGTCATTCATTCTTTCTGAGTATTATTTTTGTAGCCATTAACCATCTCCCCACTCCACTACACTTCCCAGCCTCTGATAACCATCCTTCTACTACCTCTATCCATATGTTCAATTGTTTCTGTTTTTAGATCCCAAAAATAAGTGAGAACATACGATGTATGTCTTTCTGTGCATGTTTTGTTCACATAGCATAATGAGGTGGCGCTCCATCCACGTTGTTGCAAATGACAGAATCACATTCATTTTTACGGCTGGATAGTACTCCATTGTGTATATGTACCATATTTTCTTTATTATTTTGTTGATGGACACTTAGGTTGCTTCCAAATTTTGGCTATTGTGAATAGTGCTGAAACAAACTTGGGAGTACAGATATCTCTTCAATATATTGATTTCCTTTCTTTTGGGTATATGCCCAGCAGTGGGATATCTATTCATATATTTTGCTCACTTTTTGGATCAGATCATTACTTTTTTTTCTATAGAGTTGTTTGAGTTCCTTATATATTCTGGTTATTAATCTCTTGTCAGATGGGTAGTTTGCAAATATTTCTTTCCATTCTGTAGATTGTCTCTTCACTTTGTAGATTGTTTCCTTTGCTGTGCAGAAGCTTTTTAACTCGATGTGATCCCATTTGCTCATTTTTCTTTTGGTTGTCTGTGCTTCTGAAATATTACCCAACAAATTTTTGCCCAGCCTCTAATCCCAGCACTTTGAGAGGCCAAGGTGGGCTGATCACTTAAGGTCAGGAGTTCGTGACCAGCCTGGCCACCATGGTGAAACCCTATCTTTACTAAAAATACAAAAATTAATCAGGCGTGGTGGCATGCTCCTGTAGTCCCAGCTACTCAGGAGGCTAAGGCAGTGAAATGGCTTGAACCTGGGAGGCAGAAGTTGCAGTGAGCTGAGATTGAGCCACTGCACTCTAGCCTTGGAGACAGAGTGAGACTCTGTGTCAAAAAAAAAAAAAAAAAAAGGAAAACCAGAAATTTTTGCCCAGATCAATATCCTGGAGATTTTCTCCAATGGTTTCTTGTTCTTGTAGTAGTTTTGTGGTTTGAGGTCTTATATTTAAGTCTTTAATGCATTTTTATTTGATTTTTATATATGGTGAGAGATAGGCATCTAGTTTCATTCTTCTGCACAAGGATATCTCAGTTTGCTCAGCACCATTTATTGAAGAGAGTATCTTTCCCCTGACATATGTTCTTAACACCTTTGTCAAAAAGGATTTCAGGGCAGATGTGTATATTTCTTTCTGGGTTCTCTATTCTGTTCCATTGGTTGATGTCTGTTTTTATGCCAGTGTCATGCTGTGTTGATTACTGCAACTCTGTAATATAGTTTGAAGTCAGGTAATGTGATTCCTCCAATTTTGTTCTTTTTGCTTAGAATAGCATTGGCTATTCTGATTCTTTTTTTGTGATTCCATATAAGCTTTAGCATTGGTTTATTTTCTGTTTCTATGAAGAATGTCGTTAGTATTTTGATATTGATAGGGATTGCATTGAAACTGAAGATCACTTTGGGTAGTATGAGCATTTTAACAATATTGAGTCTTCTAATCCATGAACATATAATTTTTTTATATTTTTGATTACCTCTTCAATTTCATTCATCAATGTTTTATAGTTTTTTTTATAGAAATCTTTCATTTCCTTGGCTAATTCCTAGGTATTTAATATTATTTGTGGCTATTGTAAATGGGATTAAATTCTAGATTTCTTTTTCATATTGTTTGTTATTGACATATAGAAATGCTGCTAACTTTTGTGTGTTGTTTTTGTATTTTGCAACTTTACTGAATTTGTTTGTCAGTACTAATAGTTTTTTTAATGGAATCTTTAGGTTTTTCCATAATGGATTTTTTTGTGGATTCTTTAGGTTTTTCAAAATATATTATCATATCATCTGCAAACCAGGATAATTTGACTTCTTGAATTTCAAATTGGATGCACTTTAGTGTTTTTGCTTGTCTGGCTGCTCTAGCTAGGACTTCCAGTACTGTGTTGAACAACAGTACTGACTGCTATTCACAGTGGATCTTTGCCGTGTTCCAGATCTTAGAGGAAAGGCTTTCAGTTTTTCCCTGTTTAGTATGACACTAGCTGTGGATCTGTCATAATGGCTTTTGTTATTTTGAGGTATGTTCCTTCTATCCCTAGTGGTTTGAGTCTTTTTATCATAAAAGAATGTTGAATTTTATCAAAAGCTTTTTCAGCATCAATTGAAATAATTCTATGGTTTTTATCCTTCATTCGGTTGATATGAAGTATCACATTGATTGATTTGCATATGTTAAACCATTCTTGGATCTAGGAATAAATCCTACTTGGTCATAATAAGTAATCTTTTAAATCCAATGTGAATTTGACTTGGCGGTATTTTGTTGAGAATTTTTGCATCAATATTCTTCAGAGATATTGCCTTGGGGTTTTTTGTTTGTTTGTTTTTTGATGTGTCTTTGTCTGGTTTTAGTATCAGGGCAATTTTCTTTATATATCTGGGTGCCCCAGTGTTGGGTGGATATATATTTAAAATTGCTATATTCTCTTGTTGAATTGACTTATCATTATACAGTGGCATTCTTTGTCTCTTCCCATAGTTTTTGTCTTGAAATCTATTTGGTCTGATGCAAGTATAGCTACTCTTGCTCTTTTTAGGTTTCCATCAATATGGAATATCTTTTTTCCATGCCTTTAATGCCTTTATTTTCAATCTATGTGTGTCTTTATAGGTGAAGTGTGTTTTTTAGACAACAGATCAATGGGCCTTTTTATTTTATCCATTTCATCACTCTATGTCTTTTGATTGTAGAATTAAGTCTATTTATATCCAATGTTATTATTGATAAGTAAGGACTCACTCTTCATTTTGTTATCTGTTTTCTGGTTATTTTGTGGTCTTCTCTTCCTCCTTTATTTCCTTCCTGTCTTCTTTTTAGTGAAGGTGATTTTCTCTGGTGATGCAATTTCATTTCTTTCTTTTTTTGTGTGTGTGTATCCATCGTATGTTTTTTGGTTTGAAGTTAACATGAGCCTTGCAAATACTATCTTATAATCCATTATTTTAAGCTAATAACAACTTAACACTGTTTGCATAAACAAAGAAACAAAAAGAAAATTAATAAAGACTCTATGCCTTACCTTTGTCCCCCCACCCCTTTTTAACATTTTGTTTCTATTTTTACCTTATTGTACTTTCTGTGTCTTGAAAAGTTGTTGTAGCTATTATTTTTAATTGGTTCATCATTTAATCTTTCTACAAAGAATAAGAGTAGTTTACACACCACAGTTATGGTATTATAATACTCTGTGTTTTTCTGTGTGCTTACTATTATCAGTGGGTTTTGCACCTTCAGGTGATTACTTATTGCTCATCAACATCCTTCTCTTTCTGATTAAAATACTCCCTCTAACATTTCTTGCAGAAAAGGTCTAGTGTTGATGAAATCCCTCAGCTTTTGTTAACTGGTTAAATATTTCTCCTTCATTTTTGAAGAATATTTTAAACGGATATACTATTCTAGGATAAAAGTTTTCCTGTTTTTTTTTTCCTTCAACACTTTAAATATGCCATGCCACTCTCTGTTGGCATGTAATGTTTCCACTGTAAAGTTTCCTGGATTGTCTTGATACCTGTAGATGTTCTTCTGTGTCCAAGCATTGAAGAGATAGGTATTTATTATAGCCTTGGAAGTCTGGGCTTATTTTTACCTGTTCTTCTTAGGAAAGGTTTCCAGTTATTCAAAAGGAGTTGGATGTTGTAATCTAAGCCGTATCTGCTTTAGGAGGCACCCAAGCCCAGTAATACTGTGGTTCTTGCATACTCATAGAGGTACTGCCTTGATGTTCTTGGACAGGATCTGGAAGAATTCTCTGTATTACCAGGTAGCAGCTCTTGTTCTTTTTCCTTACTTTCGCCCAAGCAAACAGAGTCTCTCTCTTTCTGAGTCACGTGAAACTGAGGGTGGAGTGACACAAGCACCCCTGTAGCCACTACCACTATGATTGTGCTGGGTCAGACCTGAAGCCAGCACAACATTGGGTCTCACGCAAGACCTGCTGTGATCACTGCCTATGTTCACTCAAGGCTCTGGGGCTCTACAATAAGCAGGTGGCAAAACCAGCCAGGACTGTGTCCTTCACTTCAGGATGGTGAGCTCCCCCAGATCCCAGGCAGGTCCAGATATGCTTTCCAGTAACCAGGGACTAGAGTTAGAAACCTTAGAAGTCTACCTAGTGTTTTACTGTACTGTGCCTGAGCTGGCACTTAAACCAGAAGATGCTGTCCTTCTCACCATTTCCTCCCATTTCCAAAAACAGAGGAGCCTTACCCCATGGCCACCACCACCACTGGCCCATAGGAGTGTTCTACCTGATATTCTCTTAAGGCCCAAGGGCTCTTAAGTCAACTTGTGGTGAATTCTGTCTGGCCTAGGAATCTGTCTTCAGAGCAGTGCACTCCCCTCTGGCCCAGGGGGGTCAAGAAATGCAATCCAAGAGCCAAGTTCTGGAATCAGGGATCCCAAGAATCTGCTTGGTGTGCTACTGCTTTGTGGCCAAGCTTGTACATATGGTGCAAGACGAAGTCCCTTTTACTTTTCCCTCTGCTTTTCTCAAGCAGAAGGAGTCTTGTCATGTAGCTGCTGCAGCTGATTATGTGCTGAGTCTCACCTGAAGCCAGCAAGTCTCAGAGGCTCACCCAAGGCCCTGGATGTAGTACCTGGTTATCACTACTGTTTATTCAGGGCCCAAGGGCTGTTCAGTTAGCAGATGATGAATTCTGCCTGGACTGAGTAATTCCCTTCAAGGCAGCAGGTTCCCTTTTGACCCAGGGTGTGTCTAGAAATGTCCTCCTTGAACTAGGGCCTGGAAAGGGGGCCTCATGACTCTGACCCATTCTCTATCCTGCTGTGGCTGAGCTGGTATCCAAGATGCAAGACCAAGTCCTCCCCACTCTTCCCTCTCTTCTCCTCAAGCAGAAGGAAGGGGTCTCTTTGGACCTGCAAGTTCTGCAGCCTGGGGTTAGGGGAGGACCGATGCCAGTACTCTCTTAGCCATCCTTGCTGTTGTTTCAGTAGGTCATGTGCTCCCCAGTCCATTGTCTCTGGGGTTAGTTTAGCATTGGGACTGTCTTAGGAGTTGCAGTCCTTGTGGCCTAGACTGTCTTTTGCGTTTATTTAGAGCCCAAGAGCACTTCCGCCCTCGGTGATGAGGTTTATGGGAACTCAAGTTCCCTCCTGTGGGATCTGTGATTCCCCTCTGGCTAGGACTGGTTTAAATGCTCCCTCCATGGGTGAGCATCAGCAGAGTTTGGTCTGGTTTTCCTTTCTGCTGTAACACATCAGCACTGAGTCCAATGTCTCAATTGCTGTGCTGCCTTCCCCAGTGCACAGAAATGCTCTCTGCACCCCACCACTGCTGTTGGGGTGGGGGATGGGGGAAGCTTGGGAAGTTTGGTGTTGGTAATTCAAGACTTTTTTCTACCTCTTCAGTGCCTCTTTTAACAATATAAAGTTAAAACCAGATACTGTGAGTACTCAGTTAGTTTTTGGTTCTTATGAAGGTGATTTTTTCATGTAGATAGTTATTAAATTGGTGTCCTTGCAGGGAGGACAATCAGTGGAACCTTCTATTCCACCATCTCGCTTTGCCACTTCTCTCCTAAATTTGATTTATAGATTCAATGTTATCCTTTTAAAAATCCCAGTAAACTTTTGATTTGAAAATTTATATCAAAATCAAATGAGCTGAAATAGCCAAAACAATTTTGGAAAACAAGAACAAAGTAACAAATTTGGCAAAACATATTACCCAATTTCAAAGCTTCTTATAAAGCTACTGTAAGTAAGGCAGTATGGTACTGATGAAAGGATAGACATGTAGCTCAATGAACAGAACAAACAAGGCTAGTCACAGACCTACAAAATAGAGTCAATTGATTTTGTTTTTCTTTTGAGACAGTGTCTGGCTCTGTCACCAAGGCTGGAGTGTGGTGGTATGATCTTAGCTCACTGCAACCTCTGCCTCCTGGGCTCAAACCATCATCCCACCTCAGCCTTCTTATTAGCTGGGACAACAGGTGCACACCGCCATGCCTGACATTTTTTTGTATTTTTGGTAGAGATAGGTTTTCACCATGTTGCCCTGGCTGGTCTGGAACTCCTGGGCTCAAGCAATCTTCCTGCCTCGGCCTTCCAAAGTGCTGGGATTACAGGCATGTGCCACCATACTTGGGCGAGTCAACTGATTTTTGACAAAGGTGTCAAAGGCAATGAATAGTCTCCTCAAGAAACAGTGCTGGAGCAATTCGATGTCCATATGCAAAATAAATGAAACTTGATATAGATTTCACAACTTATACAAAAATTAACTCAGAATGGATAGTAGCTCGAAATATAAATATAAAACTATAATACTTGAAAAAGAAACTATAAAAATAATCCTAGTAGCTTTGAGTTAAGCAAAAAAAAAATAAGTATGTACAAAGCACACAAGAAAATGTTATTAAGTTGGACCCAATGAAAACAAAAATATTTTGCTCTTCCTGAGAAATTGTTAAGAATATAAAAAAGCAAGTCATAAACTGGGAGAAAATGTTTCTAAAACATATTTTGGTCAAAATAAATCTATCTAAAATATTTAAAGACCTCTTGCATCTCAATAATAATAAGACAACCCGATACAAAATGGACAAAAGATTTAAAGAGACATTTCACTGGAAAAGATCTATACATGTTAACTTGGCACATGAACAATTTATCAATATCATTCACTATTAGAGAAACGCATTTTTTTTAAAACTTTTGTTTTAGGTTCAGGGGTTACACGTGCTGGTTTGTTACGTGGTTAAATTGTGTGTCATAGAAGTTTGGTGTAGAGATTATTTCATCACCCAGATAGTAAACATAGTCCCCAACAGGTAGTTTCTCTGTCCTCATGCTCTTCTACCCTTCACCCTCAGGTAGATCCCAGTGTCTATTGTTCCCTTCTTTGTGTCCCTGTTTACTCAATGTTTAGCTCCCTATTACAAGGGACAACATGCAGTATTTGGTGAGCAAGGCAAATTAGTATCACAATGGGATGGCTTATTAATGGCTAAATTTGAAAGACTGCATGCAAAACAACTAGAATGCTCATACACTGCTGGTGTTAACAATAAAATGATAAAGTTTCTTTAGAAAACTTATAGCAGTTTCTTAAAAGTTAAATGTATACCTAGTGCACAATCTAAAGATTTCACTCCAAGATATTTATGTGAAATAGATAAAAGCATTTGTCTCCACATAACTTGTACATGAATGTTCATAGCCGCTTTATTTATAATAGACAAAAACTGAAAACTACACAAGTGTCCATCAAAAGAGAATAGACAAATTGTGTTATATCCACACAATACTTATTATTCAACAATAAAACTAAATGAGCTATTGATACATGGAATAATAGGAATGAATATCAAGATAATTATGCCAAATATAAGAAATAAGAGAAATATATATTCCATTTATATAAAATTCTAGAAAATGCAAATTACACCTATCTATGGTATCAGAAAACAGATCATTATTGACTTGCATTGAGGAGTTTGTGGAAGTTGAAAGTGGGAGGTGGGGATGGGGGAGGAAACTTTTAATGTTGATAGATATGTTTATTATATTATTTTTATGATTTCATGCATGCATACATATGTCAAGGCTTATCAGTTTGTATACTTTAAATATATATAGTTTAGTGTATCTCAAATATAACTAGATAAGACTCTAAAATCAAAATAAGCAAAATATGAAAGTTCTTCATCATGTCAAAGACTCATTGGGATGCTGGGGAGCCAGGTCTGGAAAACAAGAAGGAACCAGGAAAGTTTGGCAGCTAAAAATACAAGTGAGATCATGTAGTTAGAGCCATTTGATTATAAAGCTTAAAGCAAACCACAACCATTGTGCTCTTATTATCACCACTGTGGGGCCCCAGCTCACAGCCATTATGAATTATCTAATAATTTCCGTGTCACCCCCTGGCTGGGGCATCCCATTGGCATGCCTCAATCATATCTCAGGGCTATAGCCTCCAGACAGCTGGGAAATTGAGAATATCTGCTTCCTTTGCTTCTGTAGTGGGAGCTGTGATCCTGCCTCTCACTATGAACTACACCAAGGGACATTTCTCAACACATAGGAAACATTTTCATTCTGAGTAGCCAAGACAAGATAAAAGAAAAAAAAAAAAGACAAATGACTCTCTAGGCAATCACACGACTCATAATTTCAGAAGCCATAAGAAGCATTCGAGTCTTAGGTCTCTCTGACTTATTCCTGCATATATAGCTTTCTGCAGCACAGACTTCTGACTCTAGTTAGCTAGTGACACAGATGATCTACCCAGTTCCAACCCCTCTGTTATTTACACACTGTGCATTTTCATTTTCAAGATTTTCTCCTTCAGTTCCCTGTGATGTGCTACTGTAGCAGATATGTAATCTTAGAGAGTGTAGGAGTAGATTAAACTTTTCTTTTCCTTATGTCTTTTTTTCTAACCCCTTCTGTTCTTGGAAGGATCCAGCTCATGCTTCTCATTTTCCCAGTTACCATACTCAGCGCTGGTCCAACTCTCCCTCTAGTGGTAATTTGTTTCATCTGCCCATAGTTACCTAAAACTGTATGCTTTAGATTATTGGCATTCAAAAGTTTGACTGCTATTCATAATAAAAAATAAATTTTATATCTCCACACCGTTCCTACATGCATACATAACTAAAATAAAAATTTCACAAAACAGTATTTCCCTAAATTTGTGAAGTATACTGTGGCATTTTCTATTCGATTCTATCTACTTTCCTTTAGAAAATTATGTTAGTTGTTACCCACTGAATTCAACCACCAACAAACTGCAACCCATGCTTTGAAAAACCATGCTTTAGACTATTATTAAAACTGTATTAACCTTGTGATCTACAAATTGGTATTTCTCCCAAATAGAGACACACAGACAAGCACACAAAAGCTTCCTGTGACCAAATACCTGATGACCTGCAAACCTTCTTTTATTTTTCTTTTATTACTTATTTTATTTTCCTAACACATTTGCATATAATGACTTACAAAAATCTTGCAGTGAAGAAACCAGCGTTAAGTTTGCATAATTCAGTGCTTAATTTAACCATGGAAGGCATATTTCCAAAATATACATATACAACAAAATTAAGCAAATCTAGGGGTAGCTAATGAAACTCATAAAAGGACTATACCAAGAGATGAGATTTTGAGAAATTCTGCTTTATACATGAGAAGAAAACTCACAAATTAATCTTAATGCCAAATATACACACAAAACTTAACAAAGATTTATACCGGTAGGCAATGGCATCCTGGAGGTGTACTTTAAAAGCTACTTAAGAAGACTAGACAAATATGGTTTGATGGTAGGAGTTTTGGAGGTAAAGAGGAAATAACTCTGTTAAAGCTAAAAGGGGCGAATTATGAAGTTATATCCAGGGATGTTAGGAAATACAGTAGCTTGGTTTAGCTAACTCTTATCTGGATGCTCTTTGGGCCTGCTATTGCTATCAAGTGATTTTGTCTCCTGCAGTCCAGATGGAGAGTAAAATCAGCGGTAGAGGGCACCATCAGAGGCCCAGGAGCCCATGAGGGAGGATTTGTTGATCCAACTGGGAAAAAGATTTTGTCCAGTTCATTAACTCACAGAGAGTGATTAGTAGAAATGCAAATCTCAACATGTTAAATACATAATTTTATACACAGATTAGGATTGGATAAATGCAGTGAGAGTAGCGAGCACAGAAGCCAGCTGGACAACTTCTGGAAATCTGAAGTACGGTCCAAGGTGATATGATCCCTGGGGCAATATAACAGTATCTAAGGAAGGAAATCTAGGCCAGGAAACAAGCCTAGGCCAGCAGGAGTTGCTAACTCGGACAACAGTTGTGTTCTCTGCAGCAAACACTTCCCGGAGTAGCTTTCTGCTCTCTTTCTCTGACAGCGGGCTCTCACCCACAAGTCCTGCTTAAGAGGCAGGTGTAGCACCCATAATAAGAAGACTCAAATTTTTGGTCCAGGGGACTGGACTGTGGTGAATACCCAGTCTTAGCTGGACTAAACATATTTTTCTGAAAAGGAATTTGTTCACCAAGAATATAATAAAGGTTTTGAATCCTTGGAGTGAAAATCTGGTAATGGATTATCCATGTTTCATTACTCTGTTAGCACTACAAAAGCACGTAAACAGATTGGCTGAAAGAATACGAACCAGATGCAGTGAAATTAGCAGAGACAAGAGAGAAAAGGAAGGAGAGAATAATTTAATTTCCTAACTTTGCTCCTTTTTTCCCTAGTTCCTCGTGCAACTTAGCTATACGCTTAATCTTGGGTGCATTGAGATAAACCCTTGTCCTTCCAAAATCAACTTCTTTTATGTCAGTAAGTTAGAGTGCATGTCAGTGTCTTATATCCAAATAACCTTAATTAAATCAGCCTGAAAGAAGCCAGCATCCTATCTCAGGCAAGACACCTTTGAGCTGTCTGCACCCCAGTGAGAGTATGGATTTAAAAAGGAAATTGTGGAGAATTCAAATACTAGATATAACACAAAGTGTCTCACAAAAATTATAAGCACTGGGGGCTAACACACAAGCTGGGTCACTCCTACCTTCTTTTCCAGGAATCCTGGAGGAGTCATTTTTAGAGATAGAAAATAAGAAATTACAAATGTTAGGGAGAGGGACATTTTTATTAACTGTGTCTGGAGAAGTACAGGTCTGGACTGGCTGGGAGGAATTAAATTATGGAGGGTTCCATGGGACAGAATGGATACTGAGGAAAAAGAGGCAGAAAATGCCTGCCTACCTCTCTTCTGGACTTCTAGACAGAAAGGCTTATGAAAGTTCACCAGAGAAAGAAAATTTATAAAACTCATTCAGGGAACAAAATATTCATGAATAAAGACTATGAATTAAGCAAAAGATTCTCTGTGACTAGTATCTCAGGTATTTACACATTGATCTAGGTGTAGTAGATATTGTTAATTGATTTAATAACAGCTATTCACCTCTAATTTTGATAACGAGATCCCATTTTTGTAGGAAAACAGTATGTTCAGTCACATGGGGATAAATCCTGATTGGTCAAAGTAAATTTTGGTGATCCCAATCCCTTTTCTCGTAGTGGATTTGAGAACTGCAACCCATCTTTGGCCAATGAAATGTAAGATTATGTCTACTAGAGGTTTATGAGAAAAAATGTTTCTCCCTAATAAGAAAGAATGTATGAGAAGAGAGTCTTATTTTTCTCTCTTCTTTGCTTCTTTATTACATGGAAAATTGTCATATCAGGATATGATACTTAGGCTGCTGTGGCCATTTTGTATCAATGAGGGAAAGACCAAGATTATCATAGAAAGGTCAACCTCAAGTCCTGATATTCTTGAGCTTTTGTCAAACCCTAGAAAACCCTGTTGTCAGATTTCTCAAGTACATCAATACATCTCTATGTTATTTAAACTGCTTATGGTTGGATATTCTGTCACAGACAAAAGCATCAAAATTGGTAAAATAGGTGAAGGGAAGCAGATGCATCTAGTGGAGGGAAGAACAAAAAGGCCAAAGTCCTATATTAAGAAAAAGAGCAGAAGATGCTGGTGCTGAAGGTACCAGTATAAAAATAACATTCCTGGCAGGGCACAGTGGTTCACACTTGTAACCCCAGCAGTTTAGGAGGTCGAGACAGTTGGATCACTTGAGCTCAGAAGTTTGAGACCAGCCTGGACAACATGGTGAAACCGCCTCTCTCCAAAAAATACAAAAATTAGCTGGGCGTGGTGGTGCACATCTGTGGTCCCAGCCACTTGGGAGGCTCAGGTGGGAGGATCTCTTCAGCCTGAGAGGTCAAGGCTGCAGTGAACTGAGATTGCACCACTTGCACTCCAGTCTGGGTGACAGAGTGAGACTCTGTCTCAAAAATAAAAAAATAAAAATAAAGAGATTCCTATTGTGTGAGCATTCTCAGCCCAAAATCGGCGCCTACAATGTGTGTACGCAAAGGAAGGAGACAGGGAAATGTTTTAACTTGGGTGGGAGTGGTGGTGTTAATGTGCTGTTCTTGAAGGTACCAGTGGCTTTTGATTCATGTCAAAGCCATGGTATATTGAATCTAACATATACCCTAAATCTGCTTATGTACACCAATGAGGGGCAAGCCATTTGTGGCCATAGTACTAGTCTGATAGTATTAGACAAATTGTCACTCAGTTGAGAAGTTCCTGGTCTATAACTTGGTATGTTAACGTTTAATGCTTTGTAAATAACTGTATATATGTATGTAACATGTATATAACATGCTTTATATCATATGTTACACATTGTTAGATCTAAGAGTGTCATTACATATATTTAATTCAACTGGAAAAGAACCTACAAGCACTAAGTCTGGAGATACCAGAAATAGAGTTCAAAGTTTTATTTCAGGGCAAAGATGTTGGGGGTAGTGAAAAACAAGAACAAATCATTAGCAAAGCTGGAATGAGAAAACCTGGTCGAGAGTGAATGGTTCAAGGAAATTGCTTCAATACCAGCTGTTGTTTGCAAATCTTCTTGGGCTGAAATGAACATTCTGGGTTTGTCTTTCTTAAAGAACAAGGGACAGCATTTATCTGTAGGTCAGAAGAGGTATAGTAGAAATCTAAGCCTAGTTTACTGACTTACAGTCCAATTCCTTTGCACTTCACCCTTATTGCTGAGCTGAAGCTATAGACATGGACAATAATGGTGATAAATAAGTGAGTTCCCAAAATGAGAACCAGCACTGGAAAGACCCCAAGGCTTCCCATAACAAACTTCCTGCTGTGTTCAAAATTCCGTCTCACTTCCCTTTTAAACCACCTTGAAGCTAAAAGCCATGGGTTTCTACCCATGTTAAAGGCATCAGCCCTCCTGGCAGAAAGTACTGAGAGCTGTCAGTATACATACACAAATAGACCTTATTTTCTTGAGTAAATACTATGGCTTATCAAGTCACTGGCTCCCTATTCTTGTGTATAATATTATTTTTCATTCCTGATTTGACAGCAATGAAATGGCAGCAAAGAAACCTTTTATACATGGAACAATTTTACCTGTGATACTCATCACTTCCTCTTTTTGTCTGCAGGTTTCCCATGGATGTGACCCTCTCCTAGGGAATGCTATAACTTTTACATTAAGAAAAGGTAATTGATCTTAGTGTAGTTTGATTTTATTTTCTTTTTATTGTATTTAGAAAAAGCTATGTCAATGGGAGATATGCTCTCTTCTCTTTCCTTCTAAATACATGCATCCAGCCCTCCCCACCAATGTAAGGGACTTTAAAGAGAATAACCTATGAAAACATGTTTTTTTCATGATGGACAGAAGAAGCAAGAAACATACACTTGCTGAACTATCGAAACAACCTGGGACTATTGCAGTTAGCATTGCATTTATCTAATTAGGACAATACACCATAGATCTATCTTCACTACTTTCACAGGATGGAGAACATGGTCACCCATACAGCCTAGAGCACTGGAGGAGCTATTAACACTCCATCTTTGTAATCCACAGCTATACATTAGGCAAATGGTGGGTTGGACTGCTCTGTCATCCACTTTAAAACCAGTGAAGGCGTTGGGGAACAGGATACCAGGGACCATTGTCATTATTTGTTTTTTAATCATGCTACCTTCAAATAGGCTTCTTTTCCTTTTTTAATGCATGGGATTAAAACATTCTCTTTTTCTTTCTTTTTTTTTTTTTTTTTTTTTTTTCAAGACCAGAGTATCACTCTGTGGCCCAGGCTGAACTGCACAGTCTTGGCTCACTGCAACCTCTGCCTCCCAGGTTGGAGAATTCTCCTGCCTCAGCCTCACAAGTAGCTGGGATTATGGGCACATGCCACCATGCCCAGCTAATTTTTGTATTATTAACAGACACGGGGTTTCACCGTGTTGGCCAGGCTGGTCTCGAACTCCTGGCCTCAAGTAATCTGCCTGCCTTAACCTCCCAAAGTGCTGGTATTACAGACGAGAGCCACTGAGCCCAGCCCTGGATTCAAAAGTTCTTAATTCTTCCAGGGGAACAGTAAGAAAATCCTGAAAGTCCTACTACACCTATTAAAGAAATTCCATTTATATTTTAAAATATTCTCACAAAGAAAGCTTTAGGTCCAGAGTTTTCAAGAGTTCTACAAACTACCAAGAAACAGATATTTCTAATCATATACAAACTGTTTTAGGGAATAAAGAAAAAAGCAAACCCTAACTAATTATGTGACAGATAATAATATAAAAAATCTCCACCAAAAGTACTAAATGGACATATAGTCAATTTTCAGGTGGGTCTGGGTTCTTCTTTTATTGCAGATAGGCAGGCTGTCTTGGAACAGGTATAGGGAACTTGCCAAATATCAATTAATACACTGCCTATTCATCTTATCTATTTATTTGAAAATCAAAATCCCTGCATAAACATTTCCAGATTAAGCAAATATATGATATTTGGGACACACTTACACTGAGAAACTATTTGCTGGTCACCTACATTTAAGTTTAACTGGGACTGTGCTTTTATTTTATCTCACAGACCTACATATGCAGCAATGCTGAGTTGTCCCAGGTCCCTGTAGATGTCTGTCAGCATTCCATGCCTGTTCAAATGAGGGCATTTGGCCAATTACTCCATTTTTACACAAGATATAAAGCTAGGAGTGTGATGTCAGTGATGTGGTGAGTAATATAATGATCTAAATATATTTAAATTCATTGAAAATCTGGTCTTTCTTCTTTTTTCATCTAAGTGGTGCTTTTCAAATAAAGCATTATTTATTCCATTTTTTATTTATTCAATAAATATTAACAGAAATCATGCCAAATAATGTCTTACTAACTCCAGTCCTGACTGAGGCGAGAATATGTTTCTAGGCCACAGGATAAAAAACCCACTGGGGCGTTTCGTGACACTAACTTAAGAAAGTGAGTCTATTCAGTCCTGTAGGAACAAGGCAACTAACCATGTAGTTCGTGGAATGATCCTGGCTCTCAAGCCTGTGTGCTACTTGTTCATGGCAAGGTAGGCACAGAAATTGAAGGATTTTAGAAAAATGTATACCAACATGATAATTAATTTTTATTGAATCAAAAAATTAAAAAAACAAAAAGGTCGTACATATGTTTTTGTTTTACATTTCATTTTTTATTTATTTTTTAAAAATTTAATTCCTAGAATAGTTTTAGATTTACAAAGTTATTGTATAGCTGTACTTGCTTCTATTTTCTGAAAGAAATTATAAACAACTGGTATTTCTTTTTTATATGTTTAGTAGAATTCACCAGTAAAATGATCTACACCTGTGTTTTCTTTTGGAAGGATTTAAATTACTGATTAAATTTATTTAATGAATGTAGGCCTATTGAGATTATCTATTTCTACTTGAGTTTTAATGATTTGTATCTTTCAAGAAACTAATTTGTTTTTTCTAAATTACAAATTTTGGGACATAGAGTTGTTTGTAGTATTCCTTTACTATCTTTTAAAAATTATTATTATACTTTAAGTTCTGGGATACATATGCATAATGTGCAGGTTTGTTACATAGGTATACACATGCTATGGTTGTTTGCTGCACTCATCAACACATCATCTACATTAGGTATTTTTTCCTAATGCTATCCCTCCCCTAGGTCCCCACCCCCAGACAGGTCCCGGTGTGTGATGTTTCCCTCCCTGTGTCCATGTGTTTCAATTGTTCAACTCCCACTTATGAGCGAGAACATGCAGTGTTTGGTTTTCTGTTCCTGAGTTAGTTTGCTGAGAATGATGGTTTCCAGCTTCATCCATGTCCCTGCAAAGGACAATTAACTCATTCTTTTTTATGGCTGCATAGTATTCCATGGTATATATTTGCCACATTTTCTTTATCCAGTCTATCAATGATGGGCATTTGGGTTGGTTCCAAGTCTTTGCTATTGTGAATAGTGCTGCAATAAACATACATGTGCATGTATCTTTATCATAGAATAATTTATAATCCTTTGTGTATATACCCAGTAATGGGATTGCTGGGTCAAATGGTATTTCTGGTTCTAGATCCTTGAGGAATTGTCACACTGTCTTCCACAATGGTTGAACTAATTTACACTCCCACCGACAGTGTAAAAGTGTTCCTATTTCTCCACATCCTCTCCAGCATCTGTTGTTTCCTGACTTTTTAATGATAGCCATTCTAACTGGCGTGAGATGGTATCTCATTGTGGTTTTGATTTGCATTTCTTTAATGATCAGTGATGATGAGCTTTTTTTCATATATTTGTTGGCTGCATAAATGTTTTCTTTGGAGAAGTGTCTGTTCATATCCTTCGCTCACTTTTTGATGGGGTTGTTTGTTTTTTTCTTGTAAATTTGTTTAAGTTCTTTGTAGATTCTGGATATTAGCCATTTGTCAGATGGACAGATTGCAAAAATTTTCTCCCATTCAGTAGTTTGCAAATTGACAAATTGGATCTAATTAAACTAAAGAGCTTCAGCACAGCAAAAGAAACTATCATCAGAGTGAACAGGCAACCTACTATCTTTTTTTCATTGGTGGTTTCAGTAGTGATGACCTCTGTATTAGGTTCCTATTGCTACTGTAGCAAATTCCCTGAAACACAGCTGCTTAAACAGCATACATTTATTTTCTTTCAGTACTGAAGAACAGAAGTCGTCAAGACATTTACAGGTCTAAAATCAAGATGTTGGCATGACTCGTTCCTTCTGGAGGCACGAGAAGAAAATCCATTCTTGCCTATTCCAGCTTTTAGAGGCTGCATGTGGCCCTTTCAGCCATCTTCAAATAAAGCTGCATAATCTTTTGTCTCCCCTCTGACTTTCTGCCTCCCTGTCATAAAGACCTTGTGATTGTACTCATGCATCCAGAATAATCACCCTATCTTAAGATTCTTAATGCAATCACATCTGCAAAGTCAATTTTGCCATGTAAGGTACCAACATATTCATAAATTCCAGGAAGAAGGTCTTTGGAGGGAGGCCGTTTTTCAGCTTCCCTTGATCTCTTTTTCATTTCTGACATTACTAAATTGCACCACCTTATTTTATTCATGGTTAGTCTGCCTAAAGATGCCTACATTTTATTGACCTTTTAAATCAGTTTTTTATTTTATTATTTTTCCCATTGTTTTTCTCTTTTTAAATTCATTGATTTCTATTCTATTATTATGTTTCTTCTTCCGCTTGCTTTACAATTAAATAGCCTTTATTTCTCCAGTTTCCTAAAGAGTACGTTTGGATTACTTATTTTAGATCATTTTTTCTTTTCTAATATATTCATCTAATATTATATATTTTCTTCTAAACACTGCTTTCATCATATACCACAAATTTTAATAAGTTGTATTTTCATTTTCATTTAGTTCAAACTATTTTTTTAAAATTTCTCTGTGACTTCTATTTTTCCATGTGTTATTTAGAAATGTGTTGTTTTAACTCCAAATATTTTGGAATCTCCCATCTGTGTTCCTGTTTTTGATTTCCAGTTTAATTCCACTGTGATCTGACAGCATATTTTCTATGATTTCTATACTTTTAAATTTGTTAAGGTGTAATTCATGCCTGGGAATGTGGTCTATTTTGGTAAATGCTCCATGTGACTGTGAGAAAAATGTGTATTATGCTGTTGGATGCAGTATTCTTTAAGTGTCAGTTAGAACAAGTTGAATGATAATGCTATTCAGGTCAACCCTGTTCCTAATTTTCTGCTTACTTGTTCTATCAATTACAAAAAAAGAACTGTTGAAGTCTCTAAGTACAAAAAAGATTTCCCTAGTTCTCCTTGTAATTGTGTAAGTAATTGTCTCTTGCATCTTGTTCTCTTGTTAGGTACATACATGTCAAACATTGTTAGGTCATTTTGGAGAATTGACCCCTTTTATCATTTTGTAATGCCTGTCTTGATTCCAAATAATATTTATATACTTTTCTGAAATCTGATTTGTCTGAAGTTAAAATACTACTCAAGCTTTCTTTTGATTAATGTTGGCATGGTATATCTTCCTCCATCCCTTTACTTTGATCAGACCTGAGGACGTATCTCGCACATCACATTTTATGATAGACAATGTACAGTAGGGTCTTTCTTAAAAAAAATCCCTCTGACAATCTCTTTCTTTCAATTGATACATTTAGATCACCCAAGTTTAAAGTGATTATTGATATAGTTGGAATAGTATTTATCATGTTTATAACTGTTTTCTATAAGATCACTTACTCTGTTCAGTTTTTTTCTTCCCTTTTTATGCATTCTCTGGTTTCAATTGAACAATTTATATGATTCTATTTTATTCACTCTCTTATACCTTAATTGTATTTTATTTTAAATTTTTATAGCAGTTGCTATAGAGTTTGCAATATACATTTACAACTAATGCAAGTCCACTGTCAAATAATATATAGTACTTCACATATAGCACAGAAACTTAGAACAAAGCACTCCAAATTTCTCCATCTCACCCCTTATGACATTGCTGTCATTCATCTCACTTGTTCATGTGCTGCACTCACAGAAGACAATTACTATATTTCCTTTAGGCCAATGGTTATCTATTAGCTTGATGAAAAATAAGGTAAATAAAATATTTCATTTAACTTTTTTATGACTTTTTTAAACACTCTTTAAATAGATCTGAGTTTCAGACCTATATCATTTCCCTTCTCCCAAAAAAAACTTCTTTCAATATTTCTTCCCAAGTAGTTCTGCTAAAAATGAATTCCCTTTTTTGTTTGTCAGAGAAAGTCTTTTATTTGTCATTCACTTTTGAAGGATAATTTTGCTGGCTATAAAATTCTAGTTTGGTCATTATGCCTTCCAATTCGTTACGTAGTTTATTCCCCTAATGGTTTCTGATGACAAATCTATTCTAATTCTTGTCCTTGACCCTCTATGGGTAAGCTGTCCCCCAAACTCTCTGGATTCTTTCAAGATTTTCTCTTAGTCTTTGGTTTTCTGAAGATTGAATAGGATATGCCTAGGATTGGTTTTTTGATATTTATTGTACTTGCTGTTCTCTGAGCTTCTTGGATCTAGGGTTTAGTGTCTGTCATTAACTTTGGAAAATGCATGATCGTTATTACTTTAAATTTTTCTTTTGTTTCTTTTTCTTCTCCTTCTTATATTGAAATTATATACATATTAGAGTTTAAAAATTATCCCACAGTTCTTAGATATTCGTTCTGCTCATTCACTCTATTTTCTCTTTGCATTTCAGTTTGAGAAGTTTCTGTTGAGCTATTTTCAAGCTTACTGATTCTTTACTTGGCCAGGTCCAGTTTACAGATAAGCCCTTCAAAAACATCCTGTTTGGGAGGCCGAGGCGGGTGGATCACCTGAGGTCAGGAGTTCGAGACCAGCCTGGCCTCTGGTCTCTGGTAAAACCTGGTCTCTACTAAAAATACAAAAATTAGCTGGGTGTGGTGACAGGCGCCTGTACTCCCAGCTACTCGGGAGGCTGAGGCAGGAAAATCGCTTGAACTCAGGAGGCAGAGGTTGCAGTGAGCCGAGATTGTGCCACTGCACTCCAGCCTGGGTGACAGACCGAGACTCCATCTCTAAAAAAAAAAAAAATTCCTTTGTTTCTATTATATTGCTTTTGATGTGTAGCATTATCTTTTGATTCTGTTATACAGTTTCTATTTTTCTGCATATATTATGCATCTTTTCTTTCCCATTGTCCATTTTCTTCATCAAAGCCCTTATCACATCAATCATAGTTATTTTAAGTTTCCTAATAGTTCCAAAATCTGTACCATATTTGAGTCTGGTTTTCATGTTTGTTTTATCTCTTCAGACTATGCTTTTTCTTATTGTTCAGCAAAATTTTTAGTTTCTCTTGAAAGCTTCACTTGATGTATTGAGTAATAACAACTGAAGTAAAAGACCTTTCGTGTAAGGCTTTTCATTAATCTCACTAGGATTTAGTTTGTGTTTAATGTTTGCTATAGCTGTAGGTGCAAGAGGCTTAAAATTTCTCTTGTGTCCTTGTTTTTGTCTCTCCTATTGCCTTTGTCATTTCCTAATAATTCTTCCTTAAGTAGTGTACCTTGCAGCTCCTCAATTGTGATCTATTGTCATTAAACTGGATCCCTATTGATGTGGTAGTGTCTGAGCAAGGGGAAGTATCATATAATTTTATGATTAAATCTCAGTATTTTTGTGAGTCTATGCCCCATGGCCATGACTTTCAAAAATGTTTCTTAGGTCTCTTTCTGTTAGGTAAGATGAGAAGGCTAGATGTGGCTGGAGTGGACGTAAATGCACTCATGCTTAGGCATGATACGAAGCTCATAAGGTCTTTTTACCTGGAAGTAGGTCTTTGTTATTGAGAATGCTCTGGGCTGATTTAGAAATGGTTTCTTTTCTACTCTTCCTGACAAAGCCATGAGAGAATTATTTTTGACTCTCCACGAAGAGAACCTGTTGGGATTCCTGAAGGTAAAATCCATGAAGGCGTGAGGGCTTTCATAGGAGTGCAACTTCCGTGAGTTTCTCACTCTTAATGCCAAGCTGCACTCAACATCCAGCAATTTTTCAAAATCACCATTTAAATGTTCCTAACAGCTTGTAGCTCTAGAGGCTTTTGCTCCAGGTAAGCAGAAATGTAAACAACTCTGTGTATTTGGGTGCTTTTCCAGATATTGGGGTATCAACTTGCCCTGCTACCTCAGTTCTCTCATTAGCCCAAAGGAAAGTTGTTGATTTTAAGTTTATTCAGATTTTTCTTGTTTTAAAGAAAAGAGTAACAGTTTCCAAAGCTCTCTATGTCAACACTGTAACCAGAAGTTTAAGTAATTCATTTTTTACTGTATTTTACAAAAGTCACCATGCAAGGTAGATTGCAAATTAATGAAAAAAAAAGATCCTTCACAGAAAATTATTTGAGAAGTTCTGTTTTAAGTAATATCAGACTCCCCTAGGGCTGATTGTGTCACAACGTCAGGGACAATGTGTGGGCAGTGAGTGTGTGGGGAAGCACTGTCTTCATGTCTTCATGACACAAACCCTGTCTGAGCAGGGCCCGCACCTTCATCACAAATACACTGATGGGGACACTCATATAGTAATTTCACCTTAGGCCTGGGTGAAATTGGGAGGAGCCAAGACTCAGTGTTTTTTTCTCCCCCAACTTCTCCCTCCTCTTCCAAAGGCTCTTACTATAAGAATGAAACAAAAGCATATACGTATAAAGTAACATTTTTATTATTATTCTCTGAGATCTCAAGACATGGAAGACAGAGAAAAGCCTGAAATGAAGGTGAAGAAAAAGGAAAAAGAAGGAGGATCATGACAAGGTAGTCAGGTAGGGCAGTTTGGGGAGAATATTCTCTTCCAGGGTGAGTCTTCACACTGGTCTCATGTCCATGATGAGCTGCACGCCAAGCTCAGGCTGCTGACTTCCCACCTGCCCTAGTCCTTGAACTTGCAGACATAGGGTAACTTTGCATCACAGTTATAATCTTTCCACTTCAGAAATCCTAGGGAGACAGAATATAAAAGGCATGGGGCTGGGGGAACTTGTGAACCCAGTGAAGAGGCATCCCAGGTTTTAGCCTAGGATTTAAAGCTTCTCTCTCATCTTCACCAGTTTCTCAATCCAGGAGAATGAGACTCAAAGAAGGCAGAGATGAGAGGAGACGGGAGAAGGCACATAAACACTGCATTACCTAGCTGAAAAGGATTTCCTGAAGGTCAGGAAATTGGGGATGAGGAGTGGAAAGTGCTGGGAAGAGGCAGCTCTTCTGTTTCTTACCTGTGCTTCTTGACAGGCTCCCACAGTGGCCAGGGTTTAAGATGGTGGAGGGATTTTTCTCCCATGCAAAGTAATTCATCACATCAGTGCTACTCCACTCCCATCCATCTCCATCAGGCTCAGAGCCCTATAGAGAAGAGGAGGCAGCCAGGTGAAGAAAATGGCCATTGCAGGTCTCTTTGCATGGCCCCTGAGCTGTAACACCTGATTCCTCCCCAGCATCAGGGATTTTGGTCTGATCTTCCAGATGCTGCCCTAGAGTCCTCTGCACTGGAATCTTTTCCTTAACTCCTCATTGCTTTGGGAAAATCCCAACCAATAAACACAAGAACTTTGGAATCACTCAAGGTAATATGTTACTTGCAGAACAATAATTGGTGTAGCATTTGTGATTAGCCTGCGAACCTCAAAGATAATGTCTATTCTGTATGGGGGCAAAATTTGATCCTATCTTAATTTAGAATTCCCTCAGAATAATAGATACAGACTCCCTGAAGCTCAGATAATTGATTTGTAAGGATTCCCTTGAGAATTATGTAAAAGTTTTACAAGAGTCCGACTAATTTTCTTTAAAGACTAGGGATCTCCGTAGAATTCAGCTCTTCAGCTGCCTCATGGACTTCCTATTCTCCCAAATGTCCCCCAGAATCTGAGCTCCAGTGCTCCCTAAAGTACTTCCTGGGCAGGGACTGGGGACAGGGAGTGCGCCTGGGCAACAACAGTACCTTGAGAGGTAACAGAGAGGGGAGGATATACTCGCACCTGTGTGGGGTCATGGAGCCCAATCCAGATGTATGAATAGCTGTTACTAATGCTCCTCACCAGGGAGGACACGAAGGATCCCTCAGCCCCACTGAGCACAGACACCAGTTTTCCAGAGGGCCGCTTCTGGCAAGCCAGCTTTGAGGGGGACAAAGAGAATGAGATGGAGCCTGAGACCCACTGAGGGAGGGCAGGGAAAAGGTAGGTGGGAGGAGGACTGTGTGAAAGATAAGCGTGTTCATCCTCATTCCCAAGGAACTCTCCTGAAGGAGACCCTCCTCCCCCTGAGACCTGCATGGACTTTCCCCTATCACCTCCAACCCCACATCTAACCACTCACATCTGCATCCATCCAGGATTTTGGTGACAAAAACAAGGCATAGCAGGGGGAGCCATAGGCCTTGGAGCCTTTGGGACAGCTGATCCGTGGAGAGGGCAGTTCCTTCTGGGTTTCTTCACCTGGGGTGGAAGAAAAGGGAGAGAGTAAAATGAAGAGTAGGGGGTGGGTGGGAGATGACCTTGGGGAATATCTAGGTCTGCCCTTGGGGAGGAAGACCACATTCCTGACAGCTCTTCATCTTCCCTTGTGTTTTCAGAAGTTCTTTATCTCAAAATAGCCCTACTAAATGGGCCACCATCTAGTCTGTTATTACCCTTTCCCCTTATTCAACCATTCAACACTCTCTTCACTGTGGGCTATCTCTATATTGGGTCCTCCAATCATTGTCCCTCCCCACATCTCATTGCTGACCCTCCACACTTTCCCACCAGTGTATATTAGAGTCCACTGACTAAATGGAAGCCATCTCATTCCATTGTTAGTGGACCACAGTGGAGCCTCCCACTGCAAGTTAACATGAAGGAAGGAGTGATGATGCAGGAACTGCAGGCAGTTTCATTAGACACCACGTCATTACCTCACGTGACACACAGGAGCCTTCCTCCTTTTCTTGGCTCTGAGGATTCATAGGGAACCCAGTGCTAGAGGCAGAGAAATCTCACCTTGAACCTGACACAGGAGAATGAGGCAGGAAAGCAGCATCCAGGACACACTGGGCAGGGCCATGGGAGGCAGCATAGTGTCTGCGACTTGAGGAGGCAATCGGGTCACTAAAGGAAGTGTGGTCAGCGGGAGGACACACAGATATCCTACTGCCTCTTGTCTTTTTCCTTCTGTAGTCCCCTAGGACTGAAGTGATCTTGGTCACATTCATCATCTTCTACAGTTCTGAATGAGCTGTGAATCTGTGTACTCACCCATCCCTGAGACCTCCCAGTACAGCCTTGCTGAGTCTCAGAGCTCCTGTGCTCCCTGAGGAAGGGACCCTCCCATGCGTTCTCCTGTATTATGTGAGGTTGCCCTTCCACAGGTCTCATCTTCTCTCAGCTCCCACTTACCTCTCTGGTGAGATCTGGTATGCTTTGTCTGGTCAGCAAAGACTGGGTTTTTTATAAAAAGATCTCAGGGATGGTCACTGGAGTGAATAACGGCAATATGTAGGCGGGACAGGGGTCATGGAGAGGGCTTGGCATTGGTTCAAAAAGATTATGCCAAGGGGAGGAGACTCTTCCTGGCAAAGGCTGGGAATTGTTACAGATGTTGCCTTTTTCTCTGTAGCAGGCCGGCACTTTCCCCACAAACAGTTGAAGTTTGCACTTTTCCCACCCTCTTCCAGATATCTTCTTCTGAGAAACTTAAGGGAATAAAGGCAGTCTTGTGAGCCTGGTATTATATAGTTTAGAAAATATTATGATATTACATAGTTATGAGAAATGTCAAAAGTTTGTTTTTGATCAACGTGCCAGGAGCTCACTTCTATAGGCATACATATGAATTCCTTTATACCTTATCTAGTAACATTTAAAATAAATTAATAAATAAAAATTGGGTGGGCATTAAAATTAGATGTGTTGGCAAAGACAATGTATTAGTCGAAATAAAGAAACAATAGAAACCAGAAGCAGCAGCACTGGTTCAGTGTTGCTACTTCAACTTCACAGCAAGATGTAAAAGAAGCTTGAAATAATCTTGTGAGTCATTAGGCAAGCCAGGGTCTTATGGAACAGCAGTTAAATAGATTTGCCTTCCAGCTACCTTTGTGTGAGAAGACCAAGAGATAGTTCCTTGGTTTATTGTAGTTCTGCGCTGACAGTTTGATATCTCAGAGTAGCGTTCTTAGATTGTGATCTACACACCAATGGGGGTCTTCAGGGCCTGTTTGGAGTGGTTGTGCAGTTATAATTTTCATAATTATACTAAAGTGTTATTCGTCATTTTCGCTATGTTGACATTTGCACTGATGAGGCAAAATAAATGGTGGATAGAAGTTCTGGTGCCTTAACATCAATCAAGGCAGTGGCACCAAATTGCATTGCTCATATCCACGCACTTGCAAGAAACAAAATAAAGCCATTTTTACTTGAAAATGCCCTTGAACTTGATGAATCAGGGTAGTGAATTGGCTTCAGTAAATCTCAACCCTTGAATACATCTAGAGGGAATATTCTGTATGACTAAATGGGAAGCTGACATGCTAAAGTATAATGGTTGTCTTGAGGGAAATAATTTGTAACACTGAGTTTTAGTTCACTATTTCATGGAACACCATTTTTACTTGAAAAATAAACCAAGACAAACTTCACTTACTGACATATGGGTCTTTTGTTAACATGTTTTCAAAAAAGTTCAAAGTGAGTTAGTAAATGAATATTTTTAACTTTTCTCTTTTACTATATATTATTATAAATATCAATAGCTCACATGAACAAAATTTTTTTTCGAGTGTCCTCAATATTTTTTAAGAGTGTTAAAGGGTCCTGAGATCAAAACAGTTTGAGATCTCTGGTTAACATCTAGCTGGCAATTTCCAGAAAATATAGGACATGGGGATGGTATTATATTACAACACAGGAATACCATCAGCAAAATTTAGAAGGTGGGAAATTCTACAGGACAAATAAGTACATTTCCCCAGCAAGTGAATTTAAGGAAATAAAACAACATCTCACTCTTAACATGTGAAAAATATATCAATCAAATAAAATGTGTGAACCATGTTTGGATCTTGATTTGAACAAATTAAATAAAAAATATAATTATAAAACAATTGGGTAAAAGTGAGCATTTGATAATGTTAAAGGACTATATCATGTTCAGATGTAATTATAATATTGAAATAATATTATTTAAAGTATCCTTATCATTTAAGATACATAACACAATATTTACAGATGAAATGGTTATTCAGAATTTACTTCAAAATAATCAAGCATGATAGAGATAAAGAAAGAGAGAGACAGATAAAACAAGAGAGGACTTGAGGTCATGAGAGTTGTTGCTTGGTGGTAGGTACATAATGATTCATAACACTATTGTCTTTGGGTTTTTATCTAAAATATTGGTGGAAAATTTTGAGAAAAAGAAAAATTCAGGGCCATCGTGAGAAAGAAATTTGAAGGACAATCTGACTCAAGAACACAGATGCAAAGTTCCTGAACAAAACACAAAACAAATTGAATTCATTGTTTTATATAATAAATGAAGAGAAAGAAGAGTTAATCTTGGAAATGTAATGATAGTTTATTATGATGAACTATTAATGCAATTTCCAAGTTCAGAAGTTAAAAGGGAAAAAAATATATAGTCATTTTAAAAGAACAAAATTGTTAAGTGAAATTCAAAACCTATTAGTAACTGATAAAAAGTCTTAAAAACCAGAGTTAGACAGGAATAGCTTTAACACAGTAAAGAAATCTATAGAGACTCAAAAGTAAACTACTGACAAGACTTCCTTAAAAAATCAGAAATATACAAATGTACCACCCTCATTGATTCTATTTAACAATATCGTGTGATAGAAAGTACACTTAGAAAAGAAAAAAAAATTTAAACAGGGAAAAAGTAAATTAAGTTGTCACTATTTGCATATGACATGCTGTCTCCATAGAAAACCCAGAAGACTCTTCAAATTAGTTGTTAGAATTAATGGATAAATTTAGTAAACAAGAAGAATGTGAGATCAACATATAAATCCCAAATGAACATTTGTATTCCAACAATAGAGTTAGAAAGGGTATTTTTAAGAAAGATACTGTTTTTAATAGGAAGAAAAATATAAAGGATCTAGAAATATATCCGACAAAAATAGTCAAGACCATGTAAAACTTTTTAAACTTTAAAGAAGACTTTAATATACGAAGAAATATATCATGTTTTAGAGAGACAGATTCAATATCCTGAAGAGGTTACTTTTCCCTACACAGATGGTCTGTGATTTATGATAGTTCTACTTATAATTTTTCTACCGTATCATGGTGGGAAAGTGATATGCATTCCCTAGAAGGCTTATATCAGATTTTGAATACTGGTCTTTTACTGGGCTAGCAGTATGCAGTACGGTACTCTCTCATGTTGCCTCAGCATAGGCAGCAAGCACTGCCCTGGTGGCAATACCATCTTGAAAGTAAACAGCTGATACTCCACAGTGTACTGTGTTTTCAGATGATTTTGCCCAACCATGAATGCCGGAGGTGTGCCTGGAGGCTATCTTAATAGCTGGCCATCAGAATTGGAAACTGGTACTTTAATCGTCAAGGGCTTGGCCCTTTCTCTCTTCCTCTTGGTAGATCGTTTTGAATCTCCATAATACCAATTGTACACAGGAGAATGAACTTCACTCAATTTTGTCCAGCAGTCCTCAAATTCCAGATAAACTTGAATGTATGGTGGGAGCAGAAGACATGGGTGTTTATCTTCTATTACCTGACTCTATGTCCCTACCTATTCAAAATGATCAGTTATGAATATGAATTTATCATTACTCTCCCCTTCAAACTTTACTGATGATTTCTCCATTATCTACTCTTCTGATTTCCTATTGGTACACAGAAAACTATCCCAAGGTTAGTGGCATAAAACAGTTTGTTATTACTTCTCATGGTTCTGTGAGGTGATTAGGATTGTCTGGGTGGTTCTCCCTTGGAAATCATGCAGTTGCATATAATGGCTGGAACTGGAGTCATATGAAGCATCAAATGGACTGGTCTTCGAAGATGATTACACACATGCTTAGCAGTTGATCTGAGAGATCTCTGCTAAAGAGGGGACTGCTAAAGAGAACTACAATGCAGTGGCCCTGTGCCTTGAACTTCTTACATCTTACAGCATGGAGGTGTCAGGATAGTAGAATTTCTTTTATTGTTGGTCAGGGCTCCAAGAGGGCAAAGCAGAAGCTGCTGGTCCTTTTGGGCTGGGTCATGAAATAACATAATGCTATTTCCATCATACTCTGTTGATCAAGCATGAGTTTGTATTCTCAGGACCTAGCACATTAAACTCTCAACAATACTTATTTAATAAATTAATATTTTTATTCACAATGATTTTAGCAATTATGTCAGCTGCTTTTAACCTCAAAATGTTACAGGCTGATAAGACTTCACTTTTAATTTTATTTCTTTCATTAAATCTGTTATTTTGAGTAGGTGACTTTATTCCCCCTGGACCTGTGTTTCTTAATTTTCCAGTGATGATGTTGGACAAAGACAGCATTGAGATATATTCTATAATTTTCCTATTATTGATCGGAATGCTGGAATATTATGAATGTGGGTTAAGAGATTTCCTGGAAAACAGTTACTGCTTCCATATTTAAACTCAGACAACCTTTGGGAAGGCCATCTTCTTATTGTATCAGACAGTTTATTCATGAGCAAGCTTTGGAAAAAGTAAACTATTATAAAACAGTCTGGAAATTGAGCCATTACAGAGAATTTTTCACTCTATTATTTTGTATTGGCTATTAGAAATGACTTGTTTCTGAAATGGAAACACATAGACTAAGCTCTCTTTGCATATGTGCATAAATGCTTAAAGAATCATAACCTAGCATTTTAGGGTAAATAACTTTATTCAAAGAATGATTATTTGTTAAGCTCTGTGAGCTTATTTCCTATGAGTCTTTAGAAGAAAGAGCACTTCGCAGAAAGGACTTAACGTGGCATTTGGCATATGTATGATAAGTTACCAAGGAAGAATCTGTTCACTAAGAAACCACGTTCCTTCAGAAAATCTTTCAAAATTAGTAGAATTTGAGGGCTGTTTTCTGTTTCTAACTTCTTTTTAATTTAGGGACTAATCTGAGTCCAGTTGGAACTTATATACTTAAGACACTGGAATTTGATTTAAATCAAGGAGCAGGATAGAGACCACAGGTCAATGCAGAAATATGTTCTATGGAGGAGAGTGCTCTCATGGTTAATCTTGAGAGACCAGTTTACTAACAGTAAAAGAAAAAAATAGAATCAAGAGCAGGAAGAAGAGAGGACATATAATCTGAGGTCTCTCAAGATATCGGATCTTGTGGGTTAGTGGAGTTAGGAACTTTAAGACACTTTGCTCCTTGGGCATCACATTTCATGGCCTGAAGTGAGAACAACAAGGAAAAAGAAGGAATTTTATAGAAAATACTTCTCAAAAACACAATGTGTCACACCAAAGGCTTTCCTCTTTACACACGTCCCTCCTCCTCTTCACTTTATTTTTCATAGATCAATCGTCATTGCTTAGGGGTGAGTGAAGACATGAACAAAATCCCCTTGTAATTGAAGGGAAGACCAGGAGTCAAGGCCGAAGCAAAATGGAGATACTAGTGTGAGAATTAGGCAAGGGAAGTAAGGCAACAAGACATGCTAAAATCAGCTGTAGGCAGAAAAGAAGTGGCAAGATGGGGTTGATCCAGGACAACTGGGGAGTGCCAAGGTAGAACAGTGTGTCTCATCAGGAGACAGAGTGCTCCTAAGACAGATTCAAGGGGATATAGGGGAAAGCGCTGGTTCCAGCACTCAGAAATACTTGCAGCTAGGTGACTCAGCCAGGGCAAGGAACCCAGGTATGCGGGGTGGAGGGGAGTGCTGGGTTGGGCTTCCCAGTAAGATTCCTAGGTCATAAATTATCTGAGAGAGTAGGAATGCTTTAAGGTTGCGCTGCTCTCTTTACTCTACTCATGATGTTCCACTGGGCCTTCTGATACCCATTCTCATGCAAACCAGGCCTCATGCCAGCCTACACAGTGGGCCAGAGGAAGGCATAGTGATTACAGATATGGGCTCGCAAATCAAATAGACCTATTTCACAGGGTTGTGGTGGAAATTAAATAAAATAGTGCATGGATATCATTAAGTATGGTGCCTAGCTCATATGATCACATAGTAAGAGCGAATAATAATATTATATGCAGTGCCTGGTAGCTCCATAACAGACAATAATTTTCAGTGGAACAACAGAACAACAGATCTGCAGATGATGGTTACGGTGAAATGACTCCTCTGAATTATTTCTGCAGCTTCCCTATTAGTTGCAATCATTTTGTTCTGTTTCTTAACCTTAATCTTCAACAATCTACCCTGGGGGACATCAAGCAAGCAATACTTGTCAAGCCTTTTCCATTGTCTATATAAACTTAAGTGCAATATATTTTCTTTTTAAGAAGGTATTCAGTTGTTACAGATTTAGGAAATCACTTTAAGGAAATCACTTTAGTCATAAAGTCAGTGTCACCAGAGAATTGCCAGACTAACATTTTCAGGAGCTCATCTGAGTATAACTACCATTTATTCAGCACTAATTTTGTGCCAGGCCTTGTGCTAAGATATCTACATAAATTATCATATTTAATATACAGAACATCATTCTGCGACAGCTATGCTTACCCTCATATTTCAAACAAGGAAATGAAAATTTGGAGAAATAGGATAACTTGGTCATGGTTCTATAAAAGTAACAGAATGGGGCTTGAAACCCAAACACCAAAGCTGTGCTCGTAATCACTGCTACCGGCTTCTTCTGGAGGGAAGAGATTGGGGAATAAAAAAGAAATAGAGTTTTGGCCTTTGCTGCAAGGCTATTTACTTCGACATCATGAGAGAGGAAATGTTTTTTTCTAAGATATTTAATTTACCATTGGGATGAATCTAATATTTAGAAGACCTAAGCCCAGAAAATCAGATTTCTGTTTTACATGGAGGGTATCGAAAACACCAGGGAAATTCTATAACCAACAGCCAAGGGTAGTTATTTGCTAAGCTACATTAACCTAATGCATACTAAGAAAAATAATGTGCTCAGCGGAGTTATCAGATCCTCTTTACTTACTCAAAGTACAATACCGTCAATTCCTTGGTTCTAGGAAACGGCTGATATTGTTCCTGTTTTCTCTATAAGTTTTTCGGATACTGTGAGCTCAAACTTCCCTCTAACTTATACAATGTCTAAATTGTCTATATCATCCATTATATCATTTTTTCCTCAAAATTATCCCATATGTTAAGCAGGGCAGGTGTTAATCCATTCCATATTACAAGGAAGAAATGTAGAAACTGGACTTAGTTTATGTCAAAATGTACATTAGTGACCAAGTCAGGATGAGAAGTGTATTCTATTCCTGAATTCTTTGTTCTTGATATTCAACTCCACATTATTTCATTTTGAGTAACATTCTTCAGGCATTCAGCAGGAACGAATTAAATTCTGAAAAGACCCAATTAATTGCTCTTTGACTTGGTAGGTTTTTTGAATGTTTCACTCCAGTTGATAGATTCATTAATTTTAGAACACCTTCTTTGCTTTCCACTAATGGAATTCTTAGAAGGTGATTGGTGGTTACCTTCTCTAAGCCTCATGTAAAATTTAAATGTCATTTTATACAAAGATATTTACTGCATGGTATGTTGGTCTAATTAATTTTTGAGAGCAAATAAGAATTGCTCCAAGTCATTCTTGTCTGTAATTGAAGCATGAGCCTTGAAAATGTGGTTGTGATTTCTTGGGTATGTGAATATACCCACATGTGTGAATTTAGGTGCACATGTATGGGGACATAGGTTTAGAATGGTGGTTTTTCTTTGTGAAAATTAACATGTTTCAAGTGTTTTTTAGCTGGTATCTTTTATCTCAGTTGTCTACCTCCAGGTAATACAAGAGCTTGATCACAGTATATCCTAGGAAATTCTCTGAAGTGGGGAGATGAGAAAATCAGCATATGCCTAAAGGGCACAGAACAAACTCAAATTCATGACAGTAAATCCAAGGAAGGGTACAAACCCAAGTCCATCAAATAAAGCTGTCTTTCTCCAAGGGGATGGATTGAGGATACATGTCAAGCTTGGGAGCTACAGTGGTGCTCAGAAATTTGTGTTGTGTTTGGGGGATCTGAGACAATACAAGGAAATATCAGCAATCTTGTTGTCAGAATCATAGAGGGTAGATTTTCAAAACTAGGCTATGTTCCCCTGCAAAACTCGAGTGCAAATCATAAAACCAAGACTGAAACTCAGGCAAGCTGAATAAGCCAACAGTATGGTAACAACAATTTCTTCCAAGGTCATGAGGGACCTGAGGATTTACTCCAACTAAATATTTACCCTTTCTAGTTTAAGGGTATAATAGGAGAATCTGGTGAGACCAATGATGTAGAAATACTTTGGGGAGACTATGATGTATCCATGAACATGCATATGGATGATAGTAACATCTCTCTCTTCAACATGCTTATATCACAAGTTTCATTGTATTCTTATTAGATCTCTTGGGCTTGGATTTTTACACCTTTAAATATACATATTACTTAAAAAAACTCTTGACGTGTTCAAGGTCATCAAGAGAACTGGAAATGTCTTCTACTTCCTTCAAAACAATTTTTTTCTACATAAAATTTTAAGTGAAGCTTCTTGTGTTGAACATTTACGTTTTCCCATTAAATGAAAAGCAGTGGACAGCTCCACTTACTCTGTTGCATTAAGGGGAAATAGCAGTAGGACCTTCAGTCTTTGTACATTTGTTCTCTAGCCTCCTACAGCTTAACACATCTGGTTTGAGGACAGTCAAGAATCTGACCTTTTACCCCACCTGGCTCATAAATGCAGGTACTCAACATTCAGGGGGTTGCATGAATCAATAAAGCTTTCTTCTCTGCAGAGGATAGGACTCACAGTTTATCACTACTAATGGGGACTGAGAGGTGGTCAGGGATATTGCCTTCAAACATGGAAGGCAGCAGGAAAAGCTCCAAGTGTCTGAATTATTTAGCAGAACATGCTTAGTGTGGTGTTCTTGGCTTAAGCTCAAAGCAAAAATAGAGATCCTCAAATCACAGATTCTAATCATTAATCACCCCTCTCTCTACCATAAACAATATCTTGGTGATACCCTAAAATGGGTTTTAATCCTCTCACATGGGGGAGGTTTGTGGTAAACTAAGTGGTTTTTATCCCTCTGGTTATATACTTTATATATGTTTTAAACAAAGTGGTAAGCCCCTTTCTTTCACTGTATAAAGTCAGGAATGCCACAACAGAACAGCCATGGGTCTTCTATTTAACAGCATATTCACAAACACTTCTCACCAGCAAGCGACAGGAGGCCATGGATATGATGCTGTTTTCTCGGAGAGCAGCCTCATTCATACTCATAATACAGTTTTGGAGAAGAGCAAATAACTGAGCTTTGAGGTCATAAATGGGTTTAAATATTAGCTCTAAGAGTTTCTGGTTATGCGAGACTGGGCAAGTCATTTAACTTTTCTCTATTTCATTGGTGATAAAATATTTCAAGATTCTTCCGAGAATCAAAGGCAAACATTGACCTTCCTAGCACAGCATGAGAATAAAGACACAGGCCTTTTACATCTGGTCATTCCAAAGTTCACATTCTAGCTCACTCTCCTACTGATTGTGCCTATGAATTCTGCTCATGTCATCTCAAACTCTAGTTTGTAAATATTTTTTCGCCATAAAATGGTGATGTTAATATCTACCATCTAGGTTCTTTTGGGGGGATAAGCAAATATTTGCTACAACCTAACAGCTTCTGAATCTTGACCCATTGTCTAGCATTGGACACTCACTGTTACTTCCTATACCCCTTTGCCTTAAGTGTAAGGTGCTGGGGCCGCATCCTTGAGGACCGTAGCCATCCATCACATTCCACCATCTGGTCCAACCTTCTCCATCTATAATCTGTGCCTGGGACTATTTTGTTTATTCTTTGCTCCAGAACTCTAGACCCCTCTTTTATTTCTTTGGGGTAAAATTCAAGTAATCTTGCAAACTACGTGACAATGAGAAAAAAACTAGAAAAATATAAAGGTCTTTATGGGTTATCATTCTTTAAGCAAGGACAGTCTCCAAGTGTGTTTATTTATTGCACCATGATAAGCTACATGGATATATTTTTGTTTCTTCCTTGTGTGTGTGTGTGTGTGTGTGTGTGGTGTGTGTGTGTGTGTGTGTGTGTTCGGTTATTTACACATTTTTGAAGGGGAATGTTTTTTGTAGACATTCAAAAGTGACCACACAAAATGCTCACATGACAGCAGAGATCTGGAGATCATTCAACACTTATTTAGCTAACAAACGGGTAGTTCATCCTATTTAAGCTATGTTTGTATGTATGTGGGGATTTTGGGGTAGGGAGTGTAGGCAGGACATATAAGTGTAACCTGAATTTCTATAAGTGTGGGTTCAAATAGGGTTCCATTAGAAATAAAGACTTGAATTTCATGGACTGTTTGACCACCTTTCTAATGCAGGGCTTGCTGGAAAATCTTGCTTCCTGCCACCTCAAGAATTTCTGCAGATTCACTGGGTTATCTGATATGGGTTTCTGGGCAAGTCTTCTGACATTGCATTTTCAATTCCCAGTAGGTTGTCCACTGAGGTCTCCTACCAGACACCACCACTGATGTATAGTTCACACACAGGCAATGTCAGCACTGATGCTCCCATAAAGCCCCCATGGTATCCAGTTGTGGACTATGAAAACGTCCATGCAGAGTGGAGGAGAGGAAGATGGATCTCCCCATCTCACGTTACACCCGGTTAGAGAACTCCCAAAGAAGTACAAAGGTCTCTTGCTGTTTTGGCATCCATTATGCCTGAACCCCACTATTTTAGTGCATTTTATTGAAACAGCTATTTCCACTTCTGGTTGGACACCATCTCTTTCTTATTTAAGAAGATGTGGATCTCAAGAATAGGGCTGGGGCAGGTTCTGTGTGATGTCACCACACTCTACTCATAGTCACTCCTTTTCTCTCATGGCCCACACTTTGTACTGGAGTCAGACTTTTCTGCCTGACCTTGTTTTCTTTATAAGTTATCTCCAAAAAGACTCCTCAGCCCGCTAAAAGTAATATCAGAATGGGCTGGAGCAGTCCCAGATGGATGCTGAGGCATGTTTGAACTTGAGATACAGACACAGTTTAGGCTCATTCTGATGCTTATGGAATAAAGCTGAAACCAAAACCCAGGATAAATTTTCTGTGCTCACCTTGGTAGAGAAGCGACATGAATACAAATTAAAATGCAGAGAGAGGTGCCAGAAATGGGGAGACCAGTTAGGAGGTGAAAATGCTATGCAGATAGGAGAGAATGTGTATCCAAACCACCATCACAATGTTAGTGATGCTCAATATTTGCAACTCATTTCATCGGTGTATTTTTTAAAAAATTTTTATAATATGGATCAAAGAAAGCTAGAGTCATACGGATGTTAGTAATCTAAATTTACATATGAAGAAATTGAATCTCAGAAATGAGACATGACCTAAGTGCAAAAATCTGATGGGATATAAAGCCCTGTTACAATCTAAGTAACAGTGATACGTACACCTGCAGGACAATTTCGATTATGAGAAGTGGAGATTTTGGTTTGGGATATTTTAGCTTAAGTTTTGATAAGAATTTCAAGAGGACTAAATGGGCATAGTAAAATGGCCAGAGCCTTATACTCAGTGAGAAGGCATAGAATACAGTCCTACCTGCAGAAGCAATGTTTATACCCCTATTTCCCGCATTGATATTGTATTGTTCATAATTTCACCCATTCATGTCTCTCCAAGTACATTAACACTTGGAAAGTCCAGGGACTGTATCTTTATCTTTTTAAAATATCACAGTGCCTAACATGGGGCTAGGTACAGAGGTCTTTAAATTGAGGGGGAAATAGACATCAGACAATTCCTTAGTCCCTGCAAATTTTCTCTAAATAAAACTGTCTGCAGCATGTAAAATATCATAAATAAAGGCTATGTGATTTATTGCTCTTGCCATGTTGCAAAGAAAACCTCTAATTATTAAAAAATATATATACAAAAAAAGAACGTGACCCTGCAGCAAAAATACAGAAATACTATGTTAACCTGAAAGTAGACTGTTAGAACTCTTTTAGCAAAGGAGAAGGGGAAACAACCCCAGGTCCCTCACACTGGTATCGGTGTGTGTTCAGCTTCAGGCTGAACTTACTGCACGTTTATTGACCTTTGAAGTTACATTCAACACCTAAGTAATTCCTGGCACAGCTGTCGATTGAGCTCCATTATCAGGGCTGCCAGTATATCCACATGAGTTACTGCATTTTTTCTTCAGCCTTCGAGACTCAATTATCCTGGAACCAGGAAGAGATACCTTAGCACAAGTGGAGGTGATATCCCAACAGCAACGATCAAAGTTAGAATTAGGGGATGGGCAGGGGCCAATAATAGAGACAAAGTTATAGATGGGTTATTCCTCTGCAGGATCCCTTTGCTATCGATCTACTGACTCTTCTTTCGGGTTGAAAGATACCCTAAATTTCATCCAAGTCAACTCTGCCTAAACCAAATACCTCCAATGATGAGGTGCTCACTCACCTGAGCTAGGTGTTTTGAGCCCCAGCCCCAGCCTTTTTGCTGCATCACACTCTGGGATCACCTATTACAGTGAAACAGGACATCACAGGCTCTGGCCAGTGATGAAGGACATACAAGGATGACTTTTGTGATGAGACGGCAAGAGCCTAATCTTATATCCATCACTGTTGATGCAGGGAGGATGTGGCAGGTGTTCTGGAGAAGGAAAGCAAAGTGCGTCTGCTCAGAGACTGTAACAGCAAAATCCAAGATGTGAGTAATTAATCTCTGTTGAGCTTGGAGAGTGGAGGAGAAACTGGGGCAAAGTAACCAGGCAATTCAGTTAGTCTGTTTCCCTTGAAAAAAATAACTCAACATTTTTTTTTTGGTTTGTTACAACAGAGCTTTCTTTATTAATGCTTTTTGTTTCATTGCCTCACAGTACAATTCACCAGGCATGAGGAACTCCTGAGCCCCCAGAAGGATGCGATTTCCTTATCCTTCTAGCTGTCTGTCATTTCAACTCAAAAAGTGAAAAATTGCTTTAAGAGCAATACAAGTTCTTGGAAAAAAAGGCTTTGTGTTGAAGTTTGCTGTCAAACTTGGATTTTTACGTAAAGGCCAGTTTTTCTACTTAGCGGACTCAGGGTCTATTTTTGCTGCTAGCTGTGTAATCATGAGCAAATTGCTAGTTTCCGTTGTATTTTTTTTTTGTAAGATGTGTTAAGTATCAATCTCTTGGATGTCGAATGACTATAAGAGCACATTGATGAGGTACTGCCAAATAGAAATAAAATGAAAGCCATGTATAGAAATTAAAATATTCTAGTAATAACATAAAAAAGTAAAAGGAAACTGGTAAAATTAATTTTAATATTATATTTTATTTCATCTAATATATCCAAAATATCATTTTAACATATAATCAATATGAAAATTATGAATGAGATATTTTATAGCTTGTTCACACTAGATCTTGGAAAGCCAGTTTGTATTTTTTACTTACCACCCAAATCAATTCAGACTAGCCACATTCAGTTGCTCAACAGACACACATGACTAGTAGCTATAGTATTAGACAGTACAGCGCTACATAATTATTAATTATGCTTTAAGAAAATATACATCAGGGCCCTGAAAAGAGACAAAAAGTCATCAATATCATATAGATATTTTAATAATTAAGAGAAAAGGAAATGTTCCTTTTTCCCCCAAGATGATAAATTCAACTGTGGAAGAATAATTTATGAGTTCACTTGAGAAGGATGGTACAGTAAGTTATTAGCAGCTATTAATTCTTCAGGGAATAGGCCTCTCAGAGCTCTTCCTGCAATTGGATTTTAAGGGACAGAAAGATAGAGGAACAGGGAAATAACATTAAAATCTTAGAGAGAAGTAAAGCCTGGAGGTGGAATAAGCAGGCAAAAAAGACAGGCCGAGGGACTCTGCGAAAACCTTGTCAACGTCCCAGTGTCAAGAGCCTCAGTTCCTAAATGGGTCTCCTGGTTTTCTTCTTTCTCTGATTTTTAAATAGTTATTCCATCGTGCCGTTAAAATGGTACAGGATGCACTAATTTAAGGTGTGTTTAACTTAGAACTGTTTTATAACAATGCAACAGGCTTGATGTGGGCTGCTTGTGTTTTTCAATGCGCAGAGGCCTACATGGCAGGCAGCTCCTGAAGACCCAGGCACCTTTGGTTGAAGATACACATTTATTCTTCGGGGAACATGGAAGAGGAAGTGAATAGCTTAGCACTGGACTCAGTCCCTGGGGCCATTACTTTTGCGGGTGACTGCCAGGCTTGAATTAAATGTATTTCCTTGCTCAGTCATCTAGGGCATATCCCTCGTGCCCTTCTCTGCACCTGGGGTTCTATTTCCAGCCTCTAAGCCTCTGTGTCCTTTGGATGCAAATTTACAGCTGCTTTTGGGGTGATGGCCCCACTTCTCTGGGTGTGGGTGAAAAATATCTGCCAAGAACTTGGGTTGGTGTCAAGCTATAAACACAAAAATGTTATCAGGGCCAGGTAGAAAAGTTCATTTATTTTCAAGGAAACTGAACCAACCAAGCAACATGCAAACAATAGTAGGTAGTAATTAGCAGTAATTAAAAAGTAATGATGATGTCTTTTTAGTATAGTCCTGATCTCACCAACGTGAAGTTTAACAGTGTTGTTGGAGTTCTAGATACAAAAGCAGAGCCTCAGTTCCTAAATGGGTCTCCTGGTTTTCTCCTTTCTCTGATTTTTAAATAGTTATTCCATTGTGCAAGTTAAAATGGTACAGGATGCACTAATTTAAGGTGGATTTAACTTAGAACTGTTTTATAGCAATGCAGCAAGGCTTGATGTGGGCTGCTTGTGTTTTTCAATATTTTGTTTCCTCTTGCCTTTTCTCTCTCCTTACTGGGGAAGAAGGTTTTGTGTGTGTATCTAGGGAGAAATAGAACAGTGATTCTCAACTGCAGTTGATTTTTCCCACTCTTTCCACAGACATTTGGCAATATCTAGAGACATTTGCGGTTGTCAGGAATCAAGTAAGGATGCTACTGGTATTTCCTGGATATAGCAATATTGAGAGAAGCTTTAAATGGTAAGGAGGAGCTAACTATTCAGAGGGGGATAGGAAGATTTTTCCAAGCAGACAGGCATCAAGAGCACAGGCAGGTGGATGCAGGTGGCAACAAGCTGTTTGGTGTAGCTGATGTATAAAATATGAAGCAAGGAAGAGCAGCTGAATCAAGTGCCACTCAATTCCTAAATCAGTCCTCTCCAATTTCATTTAAATCTGGTTCAATCCCATCTCATTTGTGTCTCATATGCCTCCTATTTGCCTAATCTTGCACTATAGCCTGTGGGGAAAATGGCACACATGTGAAAGGTGATTTCTGCTTTCAGGTACCCTGAGCACAAACAGAGAGTCAGGAAGCAAAGGGGCCAGGCCAGCTCTGTGACCAGACCTCAGACTACTCTCTACCATGCAGCAGCCTGCAGGCCCACTGACCATTGTCCAAGCTTAACCTCACCTGAGAAGTTTTGTCCCTGCATTCCATGACCTGGAAAACCCTTCCCCCAAAATTGTGCTTGCTAATTCCTTCTCAACCCAGAAGTCACCTCCTCAGCAAACCTTCCTTTAAATGTTTAATATAATTTGCCCTCACCCCACCCTCTGTTTACTGTGTTTTGCTGTCTTATTTTCTTTACAGCACTCATCACTATCTGAGATTACCTTTAGGAGTGTGTTTGTTGTTTGTTTATTGTCTGCACCCTACTACACTCTGAGCTCCAAGAAAACAAGGGTCTGGTCTCTCTAGTTGAGTGTCGTTTCATCAGTACGGAATGTTGTGCCTTGAACCTGCTGACTCTCAATAAATATATTTGAAAAGAGAAAGCATTTGCCTAGGAAATAATCAAACAGTAATTAATAACAATTTCCTGGCACAGTTGAATGGCCCCAGTTGGGCCATTCTGATCATAAGTGGGGCTCATATAAAGGCAGGGGAGAGCATTCTTAGAAAATTCCTGGGAGGAAACTAATAAGTTCAGCGTGTGTAGCAATTCTTCTTTATTTCTTCCCACCATGGAATCACTCCCTCTCCTTTTCCTTATCCCCTTTCTCCTCCTCTGGAAGGAGACAAAGAAAGCAGCCCTCAATTAGAAACGTTAACTCAGTCATCTGCTGGCAACTCTTCCCAGGCAGGGCAGGACAGCTGGGTTCTGAATTCAACCTGGATTTCTAGATTTCTGCTGTTTCGCTTTGCTTCAGGTGCATGCCTGAAGATTCAGGGTCTCTCTGCTTGCCAGGTTGGCATCTGGATGATGAACCACTCTTTCAGGCACACAGAGGGAAAATGTCTGACATAATATGGAAGTGGTGGCCAAGCTCAGGACAGATCATGGGAGGAAATGCATCTGTGCAAACTGCTGACTGACTTGCCCTCAGAGGAAGTGGAGAGTGTTGTGATAAAAGGGACCATGAATGGTCAGATGGAGTGGTATGTTGCTTACGTGCAGGGTATTTGTAGGAGTATGAGCCAAGAAGGTCTTTCTCACACAATTTTTCCCCAGCATAGGAATTTCCAAAAGTCATTTAAAGATAGTGTGTCCAAAGCATATTTTTTCCTCATGACCCACCAATACATTTAATCCCTTCCATCGCCAGTCTTCCTCATTTTCATAAGTGGCATTACCATCTACCTATTAGATGCCAGGACAAACCCTGGGAGGGCTCTTTGATGCCTCTTATTTCCAACATGGTCAATCCACCTCCCAAATGGATCTAGCATCAATCTTCTCCTCTCTATCTCCAACACCATCATCCTGGTCCAGGTCAACATCACCTGGAACCTGACAGTAACAGCCTATCAGGTTTTTGGCTTCCATTCACACTCCCTGTGTTCTTTACACAGAAGCTGAGATTACATTGGAAAGAAATAAATGACATTAGCCCACTCTGCCTACCTTTTTGTTCTATGGTCTCTGGTTGCACTTGGGAAGAGCAAACACATCAACAAACTACTTGCCTGATTTAGTTTGCTTCTACCTGAGGCTGTAACCTCACCTCACACCCCCTTGCTTCTGATTGTCTACTTGCTCTGGATCCTGAAGAAGTCAAGATTGTTCTCACCTCCGGGCTTTGCCTCTTGCTAATCCTTTGGGCTGGCGTGCTTTTTCCCTTGCTCTCTGCATGACTTGCTCCTTCTTATCATTCTGGTCTGTGCTTAAATGTGGCTCACTCAATGAAGTCTGCTTGGAGTTTTCTCCTCTTGGCACATAGTCTCTGTCCTCAGTTACTGTCTATCACATTACACTATTTATCTCAAAGCTATCGTGTAAAAGACTGGAAATGATACTAGTGAAAATGCTTAGTGCAGGCTGGCATTCAAAGGCAGAAGGGTCCCCAAGTTCATGGGTCTTTGTTCTCTCAGCCCTTGTGGATACCCCCTGCTTATTTCCCCCTTTAAAGGAAATCTCTCATGCTATTTTTTTCTCCTTTGTGAAATTGGCACAAGAGTGACTTTATAGTGTGAGATGCACTCTTTGGGCTATTTATGAGGCACCAGGCATTCTGAACTGAGGTGTGGGTTCTTTGTCAGGTGATGGGAAACTATAGCTGCCCAGAAGTTCCTTGCCCCATGGGAATTTTCAACAGTTTGGGAGCAGCCTCTGCCACTAAAGAGGGAGACACTACTCTTAGATAAATCCTTGCCAGGTTATTAGGAATGAGCCTCTGAGGTTATCTGTAGAAAAAAATTTGCTTATTTCTCCTAATACTTGATACTTGTTTATTTATACGCTAACCTGGTTTTTGTCAATCTCTCCTACTAGAATGAAAGCCCCTTTAGGGTAGTAACCCTGATCATTTTTTTTCACTGTTTTATATTTAGCTCATTTCCTGGACTGTAGTAGGTCCTCCTCAAGGAATATTTGTTAAATGAATTGAACTGAATGATGTAGTATCTGAAATGCCAACATAAGGGTACCTTGTAAATAGGACTAATATTAGTGAGATTTAAACATCAATATATTTACATTCCTGATCATCCCTTGTTTTGCATAGGTATCTACTTGGGTCAATCAGTAGCATCTCCTGGTCTAGAACTAGGGACATCTCTGCTCTATGTTGAGGCTTAAAGTCCATGACAAGTCAGTCATCCTCAAGTCCAAGATTAGTTAAAAGGGAAAAGGATTTTCTAAATTTAAAATTTTAAGAGCAATGCCTTGAGGTTTTAGTGATGATTTTTACTATAAAAATAGCATAGTTCGATACAGGATATAACATCAGAACAGAGTCTCCAAAACTGAAAACGGAACTAAATCTTCAGGCAGGGACTAAGGTATTATGATGTCTGATCCCTGAGAAGGATCTCAGCACCCCGCTCCCTTAGGCCTTACACTGTGCTGTTTTTAGGGATAATATTATAAAATCTCTGAGGAGAAACCCAGGAAGATGAGATTTTCCAATGTGGTGCTTCTTTCCTGCCACACTCTGCATGGTGCGGAAGTTGCATATTCATTTAAAAGGGAGGCGTCCAGGCGGATGTACCTCCCACAGTTCTCCGGATGCCTTCGGCCTGTGGGGGCAAACAGGGATCCACTTAGGGGCTCCTGTGTGTTTATGGCAGGATGAGGATATGCAAGAGGCCTGGGTGGACTGGAGGAGGCCTGGGGCTGAGCTGAGCATGCTGTGGTATGTAGCAACCTAGTGACTGGAGGCAAATAGTTAACTTGGAACATGTTTGCCATTGGTAGGAGCCAAGCTAACCCCAGAGAAACTGAACAGGGGCAGCCATGCCTCTTTAGCCACCAGAACACTCCATGTCCAGACAAGGTGGGCAGAGCAGACCCAAAAGCAGTGTATGGACAAGAAACCCTTCCTCAACAGCCAAGAAGCTCCTCAATCTTTGCCTATACCCAGAGCATATAATGAGATGGTAGATAAAAAGTGACCTCCTGAGACAGTAGAGATAGCTTGGTTAGTTTAAACCTTGACTTGTACTGAGTGGGAAATTAGCCTGATGTTGCCATAGACTCCAAGACCAGGCAATACACTGTCCGCCTATTCCGGAGGCCATTGAACAGAAAGACTCACAGATCCAACCACACTCTTCATTTAATAGATCGAAGCACACAAAAGGAAGCAAGGAGAGAATGACTGGGTAGATTAACACTTCAAAGTGACTTTGGAGAGGCTGCAGGTGAGAAACAAGGACCACAATATCTGAATCCTGGGATCCATGATGTTCACATATCCTGCCTGTCTCTAAGGATTGGTCTTCCCCACTGATGATGGACTTAGGAGCACCAGAGTTGAAGTGCAAGCAAGAGGCCGACAGATGGAAGACACCCTGGGCCAACAACACACACTGGCTCTATGGAAAAGACTCAGAGACATGTACACCTTGTCAACAGTTGCACCTTGCCAGATGACAGCCGACTAATTTCTATTTTATTTGTGTTTCTTGGGTAAAGGACACTTAGAGTCAGAATGAGTGTCTCCAATAGGCAGCCAAATTAAGGTCTCATATTCATGAAGTCTTCATGTATGTTTAGTGCTTCTTTATAGTTAACACCTCCTGAATACTTAGTATGCAACAAACTTTTAGCTCTCAGGCACCTCATGATTATTAGGTACCGTTGGATCCTTCCATCCCTTCCTGTGTTCAGCACACACATGCCCTACAAACTAACCTGTTATCTATACTTAACATAACTGAAAATATTTCTATTATCAAAGATGAGTAAGTCTTACAACTCGTCTTCAGTAATGGAAATGAATGTTCTCTAAAAGCAAATGCTCATTACAACTTGATAGCCTATTTACCTGGTAGGTAATTTTTACATTAGAAATAAATAAAATATCTCTGATTGACAAGTTTAAGATTTCCTTTTTCTTTTCTCCTGGGAATGAGAGGCCAAGAGATGGGTGAGAACGTTCACAGACAATGAAAGCCACCCGATTTTCTACTTCTGAGCCGTAAAGAGTCAACAGCATTTTGCAGAGCTGAATGGTGTTTTTACTCACTCTGTGGCATTTCTCTCTTCCAAATCTTGCCCCCTTCCCCCACATGGTGGCAACAGTCACTCCCAGCTCTAGACATATCACCTATTCTAGCTTTGCCTCTGAATATGCAAGGAAACACTCTCCCCTGCATTTGGAGGGTGGACTGAGGCTCTCTGATCTCATATGCACAGGCAACTGCCTCCCCACATTGCTCACTTATTGGGCTGCCTCCTTCCAGAATGAAGAAATGAAAGCATTCTGTCAAGAGAAAAGGTGAGAAGCCCCGGGGCAGTTTTCTGCTACTGTATTGGGGGTGATGAGCCAGGATCTGCTGAGAGAATGCTTATTCTGAAAGGGGCTCAAGCTGGCTTTCTACAAGGAGGCAAGAGTGTTAGGTCTGGGGAGAAGTGGCACAAAAAGCAGAGAAAAGTAGACTTTAGCCTTCAATGTCAAGCATTGCCTACACAATTGCGCCAAAGGCCAGTCTGAACTGTCTGTGAGTGAGAGTGTGATCATATTAAATTGCAGGTAAGATCACTTCGCTTCAGAGCACTTCAGTGACTCCCTGTCCAAGGGACGAAATCCAGATCCCTTATGAAAACACAGCTGGTCTTCTCTAATCTGATCTCACTCTGACCTTGCAGCCATTTTCCCTGGCACAATCCTCTCAACAGCCCCACAGGCCCTTCCCAAAACCCCAGAACAAGGTAATGCCTCTGATATTCTGGTCATGTTGTTTTCTCTGTCTAGAATGCATTTCTCCATCTCTCCCTGCCCTTTTCCACCTGTAAAATTCTCTGCTGTTTACCACTCTTGCAAGAGCCAGTATCACAACTCTTGGAGTAGCTTGCATAGCAGTAAACTGGAAAATGTCTCTCTGTCTATTGTTAACTCATCTCCAAAGCTCCAGAACCACAAGCAGTTGCCGGCACAGGGTAATTAAATGAGTTAATTCAATTGATTTATTAATCCATATGGAGCTGTTGCTGCAAGAGGTCATATCCTATGCTCTGGTAAGGGCTCTTACATCCCAAGACACATTCCTCGTTGAATACAGATTTACCATGCTGGGACTGCTGACCTATTTTGCTTCCCTGAGTGGAAAGTAAAAAGGCTCAGCTCCCGACAGTTCCTTGGCTGGTGATGTAGTAGTAGAACATCATGTCAAAGTCCAAGAAATTGAATTGCACTCAACCGTGGTGGGTGACATGCACAATTAAGGATGTTTATAATTAGCATTTGTGAACACAGTTTTAGATTAAACAGTTATTAAGAGGAGCTCATGAGATTCGAGGGCATCACTTGGTTTCCCTTTTTTCTGGCTAATACTCTTTTTTTTATGCTGGAAATCAATTAAGCGTAAGGAGCAAAGAGGGAAAATTATACATTTGACAGTGTGTTTCCTTTAATGAAGACAAAGCAAGAATGGAAGGGGAAAATGCAACACTGATCTGATTCATGGCTTGGTTGTTATTTGTAAAGAGAGAATTACTTTTTTGTAATCAAATGGACAATTTTTAAAATATTTTAGAGCAAAAAATATTGTTTCAGTACAGTGACAAACGGCATTTTCAAAACGTAAAACAGAGAGCTTTCCATTGATAGCCTTTTTTCTGTGAAATTCAGTTCTAGAGAGAGTTCCTTGTGTATTGGAAAACTTTGATGATAGAGGAGTTCAAAGCACAGTGTAGATGAATCATATAAACTAGGAAAAAGATTTGCAATGTTGCTCTTTATTTTAGGATCCTGATGTTTTTGCATGCTTCTGTAGCTAAGTGTGCTGTCCAAAAATGGGTGCATCTTCCAGCCCTCCCTGACAGTCAACCATTAGGCCTATGGCCCTACCAGTAGGTTTTATCAGATGTTGAATAGCAAATGCTTCTAGAAGGGCCCACCTTTATAACTAATATTTTAATATGAATTTCCAAAATTGAAGCCCAACTGGAAGGGTTAATAGTTGGCAAGGATTCAGTGAAGCCTAAAGCATAGGTTAGGATGATCTATCTGTCATGTATTTATCCAGTGAGTAGGTGAGTCTGTGGTGTCTGTGTGTGTGTGTGTGTGTGTGTGTGTGTGTGTGTGTGTATTTGGGTTTAATGCTGGCTTGGCCCTTTCTTATATAAATGCTGTTTTACAAGAGACAATACAGCATGTTGTTTAAAAGCACAAGCTTTGCAATCTGTCAGATTGATGCTTGCACACTAGCTCTGTCTTTTATTAGGTAAGAGATGGACATTCCTCAATAAGATCATATTTTTAGTAGAGTGCCTGCTATATAACACACCTTCAGTAAATGCTTGTTGTTATTATTGCAAAAAAAATGTCTTCATCTCTCTGGCGTTCTTCAAAGGTCGAGCTTCAAGCACAGGGTCTGGATGATCAATATTTCTGCCATTCTGGTTATGACCTCTCAAATTGGACAAGATGCTAGAGTGATGACTGGCCTCCGGCTCCAGTCCTTTGCTCTCTGTTGACCTCCTGTTCCCTCGCCAGTGGATGCCAGGGGCTACCACCTCAGAAGACTATCATTTAAGTACTGAACCCCCATGATATGTGAACTGCTCTGAGAGCAATCTCTACAAAATAATTTGACTGTATGTTCTGAGACAATCAGGCAATATTTTCAGGAATAGGTAGTCTTTGAAAAGAAACTTTAGTCTTTTTAATAGCTCTGATTGCTTTTTTGTGATTATTTAATAAGTATCCAGTAAAAATAATTAGAATGTCCAAAAAAAAAAAAAGCATAAAGAGCTGAAGGAAAGTATGGATGAACTACAGCAGGGTCTTATCTTGTAATTAAGTCACAGAGTCACTCATCTCAGGGGCTAGAGGAGGCCAGGCCCTGAGAGACAGACCAGCAGAAATCTAGGCACTTATAGCAGGGAAGGCAGAGAAGGGATCACCCTCTGGGCTGCTGGTCACCATGAGAGGGCCCTGACATGTCCACTCCTGGGTCATGCACAGTGTCTGCAGCAGGGAGGAACTACCAGCTGAGGAACGCTTCTCCAGATCACTCCTTCCCTGCTATCCCTTTGGTGACTACAGTAGCTTAAAGTCCTTGTGATATAATTTGGATATTTGTCCCCATCCAAACCACATGTTGAATTGTAATCCCCAGTGCTGGAGGTGGGGCGTGGGGCCTAGTGGGAAGTGTTTAGATCATGCGGGTGGATCCCTCATGACTTGGTGCTGTCTTCATGACAGTGAGTGAATTCTATTTTTTTTTTTTTTTTTGAGATGAAGTCTTACTCTGTCGCCCAGGCTGGAGTGCAGTGGGACCATCTCGGCTCACTGCAATCTCCGCCTCCTGGGTTCACGCCATTCTCCTGCCTCAGCCTCCCTAGTAGCTGGGACTACAGGCGCTCACCACCATGCCCAGCTAATTTTTTGAATTTTTAGTAGAGACGGGGTTTCACTGTGTTAGCCAGGATGGTCTCCATCTCCTGACCTCGTGATCTACCTGCCTCGGCCTCCGAAAGTGCTGGGATTACAGGTGTGAGCCACCGTGCCCGGCCGACAGTCTGAATTTTTGTAAGACCTAGTCATTTAAAAGTATGTGGCACCTCCTTCCCCCTACTGGCTCTCTCTTGCTCCTCCTCTGGCCATGTGATGTGCCTGCTTCCCCTTTGCCTTATGCCACGATTGTAAGCTTCCTGAGGCCTCCACAGAAGCTAAGCAAATGTCAGCACCATGCTTCCTGTAAAGCCTGTAGAACTGTAAGCCACTTAAACCTCTTTTCTTTATAACTTAACCAGACTTAAGTATTTTTTACAGCAATGCAAGAATGGCCTAATACACCTGGCAAGCAGGAATTTTTGTCTTAGGCATGAAGAGGCCTGTGCTCTGAGCCTGGACCACGGATGGAATCATGATTTAGGTTAGGGAACGCCCTAGCTGCCTGTGTAGGACTGTGCTTGGTGCCCAGATAGGTGGTGTAGGGGCTGCCCTTCTGGAAAAATTCCTGGCTTATAAGTCAGAAAAACTAAGGAGACTGGTTGGAAAAAGAGGATCTAGCTATACCACCAGCAAGGGGCACCCTCAGAGCCTTGTCTCAGAAATGATTTGAAGTCATTGGAAGGATGTGGGGTCTGGGGTAATTTCTGCTCTAATAACCAGAGGAAGGTAGGGGCTTTGTTTTCTGGAAGTCCAAGTGTGCAGACAGGATTTTGCCTGGAGTCAGCGGGCATTGTTGAGGACAGAGACAATTCTGTGCTACCTTCCGTTTAGCCTACTCATTTGCCATGTGGATGGCATCCAATAAATAAATATAAATGTGCATCTGTGTCCCTAGACTCAGTTGTAGCAATTGCTTGGCCTCACCCCATCCCTACCCCTCCTCTTACTTCCTCCTCTGTTCTATGTCAACTTGGCTTCTAGCTCTATTGCCTATGCTTTTATTTTTCACCATGTTATTATCCCTCTTACCTGGCCTTAGAAACTGGCTTCCAACACCTGGCCACTTAGGAAAGTACCTTTCAGTCCTACTCTGCTCTTGGGAACCATGCCTGTGTGTCTGTCTCGTCACATTGTCACCCTCAGGGAACCACACAGGTGCAGGTGGGAAGTCAGTCAGAATGAACTCCAAGAGTGCCAATAGGAATGAAGAGAAGAGGGGAGGAAATGTGGGGCACATGTCAAATTTAGGATTGGCAGGATGGGATGATGACTTGGATACAGAGGCTGAGGGAAACTGAGGAAGTTAAGGATCACTCAGAGTTTGCAAGTGTGTTTTGAGTTCTTACCATGTGCCCCTTCCTGTGTTAGGTCATGCCTTGGAAAAGATAGGGAAGAGGAAGAGCTAACCTCCGTTTTTGGAGAACATGGCCTTATTTGGAAAAAGAAAGTGACAGTAGGCAGAAATATAGTATAGTATGTATCAATATGCAGAGTGTGTTGGTAGCAATTTTATTGGCTGATGGTAGCGGAATAGCAAATGGGTTGAAAAGGACTTTGGTTGGTTTAAAAAGTACTGGCTTTGAATTAAGAAGTGTGGGTTTGGGTTCTAAAAGTTGTTTAAGACCTTGGGCAAGTCACTTCCTCCCTCTTAGATTTATTTCTTTATTGGTATAACAAAGAGATTCAACTGGATGTTATTAAAGCTACTGCTTTCTGTGTGTAAGAGCTTTATGCATGTTATTGCATTTATTTTTTTCAGAACAACAGGTAATTTTATCACATTTTACAGATGCAAGAATCTACCATAAAAAGTTAACATGACTTAGGTGAGGTTGTTGGGTCAAGATGTGGATCAGGTTTGTCTGGTTCAAAGCTCACGTATGTTTCTACTATGCTTTCCTGTGCCTTTCTATAAAAAAACAAATAAAATGAAGGAGTGGTCTATGACTGAAAAATGCTCAGACTATGGGAAAGATGAATAAGTAGAAAACAATGCGCACCTGGTAAATCAGTGCAAAACAAAAGTCCACAGTGAGAGGTGTATATGTGGTGGGAAGTGGGTAGTGAGAGGAGATGAGAAGATCAGGGAAAACCAGAGGGAAGAGATGACATTTCATCATGGCCTTGAAGACAAGGGACATTTTGAAGGCTGCAGCAGGGAAAGCTTCCAGGCAGCATAAACAGTGGAAGAAAAAATGCAGAAGTGTGGACACACATGTGTGGTTGTGGTGGAGAAGCAGGCTGTCTGGGACACAGTGAGTTCGAAAGAGGACCTTGGCATGAAGTTCACATGGTTGCAGGCTACTCGCCTTCCTGGTGTGGGATCCCTGATCCACACTCCTGGCCCTTCAACTGCATAGAGCACAGGTGTTGGCACCGCCCTGCTTCTGTCCCCTGGAGGACACTGCTACTTAGCTACACAGCACTGGTAAGAAAGGCAGGAGAGCAAGGATTCAATAGTCTGCCTGCCTGGCACCCAGTTGTAGCCCATCCTTGTTTCTGACACTGGCTTCCTACTTCTTGCCCTATTTCCCCACACTCTGTGACACAACTGACCCCTGTGTGCTTTGGTGATGACCTGACCCTCGCAGAGATGGAAACCTGCTCAACCTGAGAAGTCCTGTGAAATAACCATTTAAGAATATTAGGCCTGTTGCAGCCAGGAGCCCTGGGTGATGGCACAGGCTGTTCTGCTGTGGATCCTTTTTGTGATCTTGGGCAAGACTTTCAGTCTCTGCTTCCACCTGCTCCCAAGAGAGTCAGAACCTACCTGACCTCCTTCAGAGGGATATTTTGAAAATGGAATGAGATAACATGTAGACTTAAGACAGATCTGGGATTGAGATTTGGGATTATACATGTTTGCCTTCTTTGTAATTTGGTTGGAGATTAAGTCAGTTCAAGTAAAAATGAGAATATAAGAGATTTCTGGAAAAAAAAAAAAAGCCCAGTCCAGATAGAATCCTGCATTTCTCAGAAGTAAACACAAGAGGGTGCTATAAGCCTGTCATAAAGCTTGTGCAGGCCTAGGACTTTACTTTCTGATTTTTTATTTTATTTTTATTTTTTGAGAAGGAGTCTCACTCTGTCACCCAGGCTGGAGTGCAATGGCCTGATATCGGCTCACTGAAGCCTCCGCCTCCCGAGTTCAAGAGATTCTCCTGCCTCAGCCTTCCAAGTAGCTGGGATTACAGGCACATGCCACCAAGCCCGGCTAATTTTTGTATTTTTAGTAGAGACGTGGTTTCACCATGTTGGCCAGGCTGGTCTCGAACTCCTGACCTCAGGTGATCCACCCACCTCAGCCTCCCAAAGTGCTGGGATAACATGTAGACTTAAGACAGATCTGGGATTGAGATTTGGGGTTATACATGTTCACCTTTTTTATAATTTGGTTGGAGATTAAGTCAATTCAAATAAAAAAGAGAATATAAGAGACTTCAGAAAAAAAAAATAGCCCAGTTCAGATAGAATCCTGCATTTCTCAGAAGTAAAAATTAGGGATTACAGGTGTAAGCCACCATAACCCAGCCCTTTTCTGATTTTAATGCTAGCTTAGATTTCTGTGCCACCCTGCTTTACTGATGTTTTCCAAGTAATGATTCACAAGGTCAAGTTTATTAGAGGAGTATCATCTGGACTCAGTCTGATTCTGACCTTGTGCAATACTTCTATGAAGTGGGCTGAAGACTTCTTTCCACTTCTAAATCTGAGATCCCTGTTTTCCTTCATGTACCTGAATCTCTGTCCATCTGATAATTGACAGAAAACTTTGCTGAACAAGGTCTCATGACTTACACAGGACAGGGGAAAGAGAAGGATCCAAGATCTAGAATCAAGCCCTGTGGTGGTGGCAGGTCAGAGATTGGGAGACAGAACAACGGCAGTACTGAGAGATGGTCAGGTTTGGGCAATTGAAGCTGAGGCTGTGCAGTATAGGTCAGACTTTCCTTCCACACAGAGGAACCAAGACAGCAGCAAATGGTCCCAGCTGCCCTGATGGGGGTAGGAGCAAGATGGACTTGGATTCAGGGTGGAGGCACGTCTAGTGTGAACAGGGTGTTGCTATCAATTCTACTTGCTGATGGCATCGGGAATACAGTGATGGCATCAGTAAGTTACAGTGACTTGGCTTCCAATTAGTCTGGGGAGCCTAGCAGGATGATGGCAAGCTCCCATTCTTGGCACGAAATCTGGGTCCAGACAGGTTATCAGAGCAGAAAATAGATCAAGAGGACTGAGCTCACAGAACTGAAGACCAACAAGGTCTGTTGGGCCTCAATTTGAACCCTGGGCTATAATGGCTGAACTTCTGAACCAAGAGAATGTGGAGCTCAGAGCATGGCAACCTACGAGCTGCAAACACAGCCTCCCTCCTTTTATTACGTATTGTCTGTAGCTGCTTTTTTGCTGCCACAGAGTTGAGTAGTTGCAACAGGGACGATATGGCGTGTGGTCTAAAATATTAGTATCTGGCCCTTTATGGAAAAAGTATTCTACCCACTGGTCTAGTCTAGATCTCCCTTTTAGGATGAGGATATTGATTCTCAGAGCAGTGAAGGGGCCAGGACAGAAGAAAACAGAGATGAGGTAGACCTCAGGTCACCTGGAGAGTGCTGTGTCTTTATGCTCCTGCCTCACTCTTGCCTGCTGGACACATCTCATCTCCCACATGCATTTGAATGCCAAGTGTCATGTTTTCCAAGAAAGGAAGTTGGCCCCAACTCTGAAAGCATTTGGGGCTTCTGCAAGTGAGTGAGGAGGATGTGTGTGTGCGCAGCTGTGTGTTTTATCATGCTGCGTACCTGCTCCTGATGTCTATCCCCTTCCCTGTAGTGTAGCCAGTGTCTCTCCTCTTATTCCAAGGTGGCTGTATCTGCCAGGTGTTATTCTCAAGCACCTCAAGCCTGAAGAATAGGGCAAGCTTTCTCTTTATTTTATTGTTTTAAAATGTTTAAATTGTAGTATTTAAGGTGTACAACATAATGTTTTGGTATACATAGACCTAACGAAGTGCTTATCACAGTCAAACAAATTAACATAGCCGTCTTCCCACAGAGTTACCTTTTGGTGTCTGTTGAAAGCACCTGAAATCTACTCTTGGCAAATTTCCATGATTTGTTTTCAACTAGGATGTGTGAACTACCATATCCAAGGAAAGAAGCTGTAGGTGGAGTCAAAACCTTAGGAAGGATTAGAAGATGCAGTGAGGGCTGGCATGGTGCCTCACGGTGTAATCCCAGCACTTTGGGAGGCTGAGGCGGGTGGATCACTTGGGTCCAGGAGTTCAAGACTAGCAGAAAAGTTTGAGACCATGCAAAACCCCATCTCTACAAAAAATACAAAAATAGCCAGGTGTGGTGCCCATGCTCATGATCCCAGCTACTAGGGAGGCTGAGGTAGGAGGATCACCTGAGCCTGGGAGGCAGAGGTTGCAGTGAGTTAAGATCATGCCACAACACTGTAGCCTGGGCAACAGAGTGAGACCCTGTCTCAAGAAAAAAAAAAAAAAGAAGATTCAGTGATGCAGTGAAGAGAAAATAAGACATTGCACGCTGCTCCCAAAGGATTTCTGCAACTCAGATTTAGCACAATGCCAGTCTATACTCATGCACCTTATCTTCTGTTCCTTTAATTACCCAAGAAAGGAGAAAGGAGCAGCAGGCTGAAGGCTTGCAGTTCAGATTAATTACAGTGACATTTGTTTGCTCCACTTTAGACAGAGGCTGTGATATTCTGGTGATGCCCGGGACACATGGATGAAGGTAATAACATCATTGTTATCCAAGGGGAGGACCTGGCCAGGAATGAAGGAGATGGTTTTATTGACTTGTCTCCTTGGGACTTTAACTTCCTTTTACACATACATATTTTTTAATCCAATGATAAATCTTCCTTCTACATTTACTAGTGGTTTTATTGATTTACCAGAGACGGTTTGTGAGAATTATAGTCCGTATTTGGCTCAGGGTAAAGCAAAACCTCTAACACGGATTATTAACCACTCATACTCTTCATATCCAAGGCTGTGGTAGATGTCCAGAGAGGACCTCCCTGACCCTGTGCCTTGAGTGTTTGGATGACCACTCAGAGGAGTTTCTGAGGGAGGCTCTGGTGGAGGATGTGCAGATGGACTCACTACTATTTAGAGCACCTCCCAAATTTAAGATGCTGTGATTCTTCTGCATTTTATAGCAAAATAATGCAACTCGCCCTTCAGGCCCCCAAATCAATGCAGCTTATTGATGTAAGAATTCAAAATAAGCAAATCAACAACCCTTGGACCTCAACAACCCTTGGAGCAGCCCTCCTTTAAAAAAAACTCTTTAACATTTTTCAAATTTATTTTTTAATTGACAGATACAATTATATGTATCTATTGTGGACAACATGATGTTTTGAAGTGTACAGACTGTATATTGTGGAATGGTTAAATCTAGCATTACCTGACATAGTTATTTTTTACTTAGCTCAGAGTCAAATGTTCACTAAGTGCCTTTGTGTGGCAGCAAAGCCTACTCATCTGGTCTATTTGCTAAAACCAAATACATCAAATATGCCGCCTTCTCTCAACTTTATTTGATTGACTTTTTTTTCCTTATGAAAGAATCTAAAGGAAGGTTGTATTTGTCTTTATTCCAACTCCCTGTGTAGTTAGAGACCAAAGGGTGGAGACTGGAGAAGGTTACGGACATATGAATAGCTTTTTTTTTTTTTTTTTTTTTTGAGTCGGAGTCTCGCTCTGTTGCCCAGGCTGGACTGCAGTGGTGTGATCTCAGCTCACTGCAACCTCTGCCTCCCAGGTTCAAGCTATTCTCTTGCCTCAGCCTCCTGAGTAGCTGGGATTACAGGTGCCCGCCACCATGCCCGGCTAATTTTTTGCATTTTTAGTAGAGATGGGGTTTCACCGTGTTAGCCAGGATGGTCCTGACCTTGTGATCCACCTGCCTCTGCCTCCCAAAATGCTGGGATTACAGACGTGAGCCACTGCACCTGGCAAGAATAGTTTTCTTAAAACATACTTTAAAATGTAATAATTCTTATGAATAAATTCCTTATAGTTTCCAAAAATAGATATTCAAATTTTTTTAATCGAGTGAGAAATACCAACCACCGTTCAAAAATGTGAAACAGGCACAAAATTATTGGATGTCGGTAAAATATTTAAAGTTGCGATTGTTTGATTTTATCTAACAATTAATGCCTTCTGATGTTACCTTTACACTCTCCCTGATAGCATTAAGCTTTATTTTTCTATTACTATTACCATTATCATTATTGTTTAATATCTTAGGGCTTCCACTAATCAGTCCCCAGGTTTTAGACTTCATCAAGTGGAAAAGAACACAGGAGGAGTCCAATAGATGTGGTTTCAAATTGGGAGATGGCAGTGGAAGTGGGGAGAGAATGAAGATGGAGCTTAATGAGAAGCACCAAGACATGATGTCCAGGAGAAAGGTGCTGGCTCTGAGATGACAGCAGAAAGTGGAGTGGGTGTCAAAGCAGCTGAGAAGGAGGAGGGAAACCCAGAACTGCAGATAGGGCGCTTCTACAGAAAAGAACACTGGAACAGTTGGTGGCTGCTCACAGCAGTGGTCTAGGAGGCCCTCTTCTGGAGGCCAGATCCCCAGTCCTCTAAGGGCTGGAGGTAGGTGGCTTGGGATGGAAGCTGCTGGAAGGAAAGACAGTTTATTCTTGGAAGCCAGGGTGCACAGTAGCCTGTGGGATATGGAGAAGGCTCTGTGGGGTTAGGTGAGGCACAAAAGACTCCTGCAACCTCTTCCCTTCCCCTGGTGGCTGGGAAAGCAGCTCCATGGAGCCTCACTGGAGGTTCTTTAGCCATAGCTAGGCTAAGAGGACATGAACCCCCTTAGGATAAGCCAAGTAGAGCTTCCTTTCAAATCAAATCGTAGCTTTCATTTTCTCTTCCACAAGAAGGGGAAAACAATAGTAATGGACTCATAGGTTTAGTCAATGAATATTTTTTAAGCAAGTAAAATCATGACTACAGACACAAAATGAATTTGTCTCACATTTTACCTAGCTCATTAAGTAAGGGAGACAGGAAGATGTTACAAGAGGTCTAAAGAGGGGGAAAAAAAAGCAGGGCTATTTACAGATTTATAAAATGGCTCCAAGATTATGAAGGAGCAGACAGACCCCTCTTAGATTCTGAATGAGAACCAGAAGGGCGTGCTCTAGTTTTTCAGTGAAGCACACAATTTTCCCTGGAGTTGGTTCTGAGGATTAAGAGTTCTTGCAGGTGGGCATTTAGGATGTTATAAGCCAAGGTAAGCATTGACCAAAAGAGCTAGTATCTTTGGGGAAAACTGGAAGTGGACAGAGAAGGGCATCCCCTGAGGCCGGAAGAGGAGGATGAGAGAAGTGTGTCACTCAGGTTTTTAGGACGGTAAGATATAATCCTAATGACTAATGCATGCTACACACCTCTCATGTGTCAGGCATCGTTGTAAACCTTTCATGCAAATTACTACATTTCATCTTCCCAGCAGCCCTGTGAGGAAGGAGGCACTAGCACAGCATTTTACAGGTGAGCGCACTGATCTCTCGGGGTGTCAGTGGATTGATTTCCTAGGGGTGGCGACGTCGTAACAGTAGTTCAGAATGGCGCCTCCAGGATGGGGTCAGAAAGCGAAGTTTGGGGACAGACGATGATGGCCGGGACCCGTGCTGGCGCAACCAGGGGAACCAGGGAGGGTCCAAATGAGGGCGCTACAGTGGGGGCCGGGCTCAGGGCGCGGGTGCCAGCACCTGAGAACAGCCGACAAGGGGGAACCCTGGGGAGCCCCAGAAGCGGGCAAGCCGGGCAGCGGTCAAGAACAGCTCACCCCGTTGTAGTAGAGAGGGGGGCTCTGCAACACTTTCCTCTAGAGCAAAAGACTGAGGACCCTCGGACGCCTACAGCAGGATTGGGGCTCCCGGGAAGGGCAGGTTAGAGCATCCCTGAGGGGTTTAGAATGGAAAGTTGGAAGACAGCAGGGAGAGCAAGCAGCAGGGAGAAGCCAGGTTCTTGAAACTACGGAGAAGAGGGGAGAATGGGGCTGGGGGACAGCATCTGAGTGCACCTGAGATAGGTCACAGTGTGAGTTAGGGACGAGAGGGAAGGTAGATCTTGGAACCCGGTAAAGCGGTAAAGCAAGGCTGCTCTATCCCCCGGCGATGGCAAGGGCACCGATGCGGAGACGTTGGCTGGAGGCGGAGCGCACCCCATGCTCCCCTAGCAGCATGGGCACGGGACCAGCAACCGGACCTGTCCAGGGACCTGGACGCAGAGCGGGCGGGACACGAGGAGGCCTAGGACTGCTGCGACATCACAAGGAGATTTGGAGCCGGTGTCGGGCATATGACATGGGGGTGTTCCGGGGCCCCGAGGCGCGGAGAAGGGCGCGGGAGGCTCAGAGGGGAGCCAGTGCCTCTGTGGAAGGACAGAGAGCGGCCCTGATCTCCGCGTCTCAGGTGTCTTGAGTGACAGCTGGCGGCGGAGTGCTGTGAGCCGGAGGGCAGGGTAAACAGCAGCGCGTCTGAGGGGAGGCAGGTGGATCCTTGGCCGCCTTCCCTGAGAAGGGAGGGGCAGGCATTTTGCTTAAGTGACAAGGTGTGGAGGGCTGCGGGGCGGGGACTCAGCGCCTCGGAGTCCCGGATATGGTCTTGACAGTCGTCAAGGTCATTTCTTAGTGAGTTGCGGCAGGTAGTGGCTGACACCGGGACTCTAGCTAGCCTCGGCGGCTAAGAAGAGTGGGGAAACCAGTGCCTTTGGCCCTGAGGAGGTGCGGGTTCTATGGGGCCGGAATGGAAACAAAGGGTCTTTAGAGACCTGGGGAGCAGAATATGGGGTGGGGCTTAGAGAAGCACAGGGTAGCCTCTTGGGGCTCGGAGAGATGGAAACTTGGGGAATTCAGAAGAGAATTGGTCAAGTGCAGCAGAGTCCTTCTAGGGCGCTTAGAGCCACAGAATGGACCGCCGAGTTTCAGGATCCCCTCTGGTGGCCGTTTGGTAAAGCGCAGAAATAGTTCCAATGCTTAAATGTTAAGAGGCAAATAACCTTTTTAGAAAGAGACTGGGGGACAAACAGAAAAAAGAACAACGATACAGGACAAAAGATATGAAGACTGGCCGGGCGTGGTGGCTGACGCCTGTAATCCCAGCACTTTGGGAGGCTGAGATGCGTTGTTTCACCTGAGGTCAGGAGTTCGAAACCAGCCTGGCCAACATGTTGAAACTCCGTCTCTACTAAAAATACAAAAAGCTGGGCATGGGGGCTCGCGCCTGTAATCCCAGCTATTCAGGAGGCTGAGGCAGGAGAATCGCTTGAACCCGGGAGGCGGAGGTTTCAGCGAGCCGAGATCGCGCCACTGCACTCCAGCCTGGGCGACAGAGCAAGACTCTCTCAAGAAAAAAAAACCTAAGGAAGCAGACGTGAGATAGGAACTAGCAGAGGGAAGCTGGTCTGCAGCAGGATCCAGAGGCAACCATCCCGCCTGAACCCAAGGTTGGAGGCCCGCCCCACACAAAAACCGGCCCCCCGCCCCCGACGCCCGCAGTTTCCAGGACTGCAGGAACATGCTCGGATGAGCTGTTCCCACTTGTAACTATCATGTACTGTGCAGAACAGAACACTGGCTGAAATGATTTAGAAATTTAAGAAAGACAAGCAAAAAGAAAAAAAAAATTATTCATTTTGAAAAATAGCCAAATGTGTAGAATGAGTTGCAAAAACTATCCCACCTCCAAACCACCATCAACACCCAAATTGCATATATGTAAAACAAGTGAGTGAGGACTTTCATTTCTTACCCAAATGCCATTTTAACTAAATTTCTAGGGTTATCCAACCGCTTTCACTCAAATAACTTCGGCCAAATCACATGTAATATACAAAGGGGAGTCCAGTCCAGGGCTGCACTTGCGTCCTTTCTCTAGCACGCTTTGAAAAAGAAGTTCAGGCCAGGCGCAGTAGCTCACATCTGTAATCCCAGTACTTTGGTAGGCCGAGGTGGGTGAATCATTTGAGGTCAGGAGTTCGAGACCAACCTGGCCAACATGGTGAAACTCCATCTCTACTAAAAATACAAAAATTAGCCGAGTGTGGTGGTGCACGCCTGTAATCCCAGCTACTCAGGAGGGTGAGGCAGGAGAATCGCTTGAACCCGGGAGGCAGAAGTTGCAGTGAGCCGAGGTTTCGTCACTGCACTCCAGCCTGGGCGACAGAGCAAGACTCTGTCTAAAAAAAAAAGAAAAGAAAAGAAAAGAAAGAAAATGAAGTTTGTTTCTGGACCCTGGACCATCCCTTGCAACTGAAAACACAGCGCTGAAATGAGAAGGGATACCGGAGAGAACTCAGCCCTGAGAGGAGGAAAGGGATCCAGTTGGATCTACATCCTCTTTTCGTGTTGATCCAGTAGTTGTTTATCTTCCTCTGCAAGGTAGTGGGAGCCCTGGACCGTTCCCCAGCTGTAGCCATCTCAGGTGCCCATGAAAATGACTGTGGGTGATAGTATCATTGCCTATCCCTACCATGAATGATTTTTTTTAGGGAGATACACATTATCAGTGATGCTCTGTGGACCACACCCCTAATTTTCTGAATGTTAGTTCTTTCCCTATCTACTTAGAATCCAGAAGCAAAGATCCACTCTGCAGAGGTAAGATAGTGTTGTACTGGCCAAATGCCATGTCTCTATTCTCTCTCTCTGTTTCTGTAAATTTTGAATCAGTTCAATCTTTCTTGAATGCTTTTAGTGTCGGCTTAACGTCTTGGTGCTTCTATTTTAATTCCTTCAGCTAGGATCACTTCATTTATTTGTCCTTTAACTTTTAAAACATGGAGACTCTCTATTCCTCATGAATTAGGGGCTGAGATCAGAAAACTATTGAGGGAGATGAGGAAAACAGATATATAAAACAATTGCAGTAGTTGTGACACATGAATGAGTAAAGGTATGTACAAATAAAGCTAGGTGTCATGGGAGCTGTGTAAAGGGACATTTTAGTTTATCTGGGAGTGATAATTTGACCTTTGCAGGTATAACTTGGTCTTAAAGAGGCAGTGACACTTTTAATTGGGTTTAAAGGGTAAATACAACAACTAGAGCCAGGGCAAAGGTTAGGGGAAAGGGAGCAGCACAGAAAAGTAAATAAAAAAATACGTAGTTGATACAGGTACAATAATGGGATGTATTTAATTAGAGCTAGAACTTGGAATGTGAGAGAGAGGACAGGAGCAAAAGACGGGGAGATGATGTTCAAAAGATGCATGGGGTTTTGTACTGCAGGCTAGAGAGTTTCGATTTTGTTCTATAAGGCAGGGGACACCAATTGATGTTTTAGGAAGACATAATTAGCTAGGCTTTATTACTTATTTCTTTTGTGAAATCTTAGGGCACTATGAAAATGGATTTGAGGATGAGGTAGAGAAGGGGCTGGCAGAAGAGGGGCCATTTGGATGTTGTTTCAGATAGAGTGGCTGAAAGCTGTAACAAGCATTGTGAGAGACAGTCACTGTGAGAATGGTTTTGGTGTCAGATAAACTCCCAGTAAGAATTCTAATTCTGTATTATTTTGGACAACTTATTTAACTTCTTTTATCCGAGTTTTCTGTTTTTTAAGATGAGGCTAATGATAGTTGGGATTATTGAATGAGATAAAATATATAAAGTGGTCAGTGCAATGCTTGGCGCATGGTAAGAACCTCCATGCTAGGTTGTAGAGTTGGGGAAAGGTATTAAGAGTAGGAGTTGGAAACCTAGTGTCTTTCCTAGCATCTTCCTTTACTTTGGCTTACTGGTTACCTGGTGAAAAGGAGATTGATTGAAGAGACAAGGTTAGATGAAGTCTGTCTAGAAAAGAGGGAAAATGAGGGAGAGAAAGAAGTAGAAGAGTCTGAGGTTACAGGCTTAAGGTAGATAGTGATGGATGGCGGTCCCATTGTCAAGATAGAAAAATTAGGAGAAAAAGCTATGGTGGGGGTGGCGGATTCGTTTTAGCTTTGAGATTGAGTGGCCTGCAAAATATCCATTTGAATTTGTTTCAGAGGTATTTGAGGCAGTTTAGGCTGGAGCTCAGATGAATAATCAGGGCTAAATGCATGTCTTGCAGTTAGAAGCCTAAGAGTGATCATTGAGACTGTGGGGTAGTATCCAAATGAAAAAGAGAAGAGGTTGAGGTAAGGATGTTGAGGCCACTGATACAGTTAAGGAACCGGTAGAATAAAAAGCCCAATGAGAATCTCTCAATAATGAGCTCACTGGGAGATAGGAAGGGAATAACAGGAGAGGATTGTAGAAATGAAAGGAACTGCCTCTAGAACAAAGCACTCAACTCTGCCAGATTCTGCTGACCATATGGAAAAGTTAGAACAGGACAACAAACACTGAATTCCACAGGGAGAGATCTTTCAGGGCCTTTCAAAATTGCTTTCAGTAAATTACTGAGTAAATTTGAGACAAATAAATGTAATCATTTAGGATTGAGGAATAGATCACTTTTTCAAGAAGCTCAGCTGTAAACGGAAGAAAGATGTGTCTCTAAGTTCAGGACTAAATAGGGTTGAATGTAGGTTTCGTTTACTTTAGCTTTAGTTTTTACATTGAAGGACTAGGAAGACATAATTGGAAAGGTTTAGACAAAGGGGACGGTTGCCTCTAGGAGGGGGGACAATTCTAGAACACAAGTTGAAAGGTAACCTTAGCTAGGCACATAGGTGGGATATGGTCAGTGGTACAGTGTACATATCTGTAGATGTGAAGAAGAGAGAGACTGAGGAAGCCTTTCCCCAAGAGCCTGTACTTTAATGTAATTGTCAAGAACTCCACCTTCGGAGTCACATTTTCTGATTAATAGCTCTGTTTTTCCACAAAACGACGGTGAGATCGTGAGTAGTTAGCTTAACCTTAAGGTGACTCAGTATCTTCATCTTTAAAAGTGAGATACTGACAGTTCTTACTTCCTGGGGCTGTCAGGAATGCTAAGTGAATTCATACATGTAAGTTAATTAAAATTGAGCCTAGCCATAGGCCTCTTCCATTTGCACTACTGTGACTAATTACCATAGGTTTTGTGGCTTAAGCAATATTTATTTTTCACAGATCTGGAGACTGAGAAGTCTAAGATCAGGGCACCGGCAGATCCAGTGCCTGGTGAGAGCACTCTTCCTGGCCTGCAGATTGCTGTCTTCTCATTGTATTTTCAGATGGTATAGAGAGATAGGAGCAGGCTGTTTTGTCTGTTCTTATTAAGGCATGAATCCCGTCATGAGGGCTCCATCCTTATGACATAATTACATCCCAAAGTCCACGTCTCCAAATACCATCACATTACAGATTAGGTTTTGGCATACAAATTTCAGAGGGACACAAATATTCAGTCCATGGGGCTGTAAGAAACCCTCAATACATGTTAGCTGTTATTGGCAGCAGAGATGGTAAAATCTAAGACTAGATCATCTGCTGAGAATTTTTGAAAGAAGGCAGATGGGGCTGGAAGGAAAAGGTAAATCTTTGGGAAGATGCTATTGAGAACAAAAGAGCAACCCCTGTAGGGACTACCGAAGTATTGACATGGAGCCACCCGAACCTGCTCCTAAAGGCTCCATGCTATCTGGCCTCCTGTAGGCACCAGGGGGTCAGGATCTGTTAGACTCCTAGTGATTACTAGAGGCCTTTGAACCAGTACTTAGTCAATCCACTGCAAGCCAGCTTGACTGCTGCTTACTTTGCAGGCCTAGGAGCCAGGAATAAGGCTGAAAGCTTTTGATTCATTTTTAAATTTAATTTAGATATGGATTGGCAGATTTCTTTGGATAGAATATTAGAATTTGCATGAAGGTTACAATGCTAAAGAATTTAGAGATCATGGACCATATGGTTACAAACCAAAGTCTGGCAAACTACTTGGGTTTCTAATGAATATTTCATTGTGTGCACTTTCTCAGATTTATTGACTGTATATACATGTAGTTCGATGAAATTAGAAAGAAAAGGTCAACAACTTTGTGGATGAGAGAATTTCTATAATATTTGTAAATTAAATTTATGATAGCAATGTTTTGTGATTGTAGGTGATAATTACGAAAATGAAGATCACTCACTGGATTCCAAATCCATGTCAGTAATGATGTGTGGGCATTGAGGAAAAGCAAGCAGAAAACTAGCAATGTTAATTATTAAAAAGCAAAGGGCAGTGAATTAATATTGTGACAAACTGGAAATAACAAATAACTTACAATTATCAAAATCATTTCTAGAAAATTAATAGAATGAACTAAATTTTGTTATATGCATAGTTATATATAAATGTTTTACCATAAGGAAGACCCAGTACTATGACATCATTCTTTTATTTGAGAGAGGTCTTAGATAATATTTGAGGATGTCTCATATACCTCTCAGTTAATAACAGAAAACATTAAAGAATAGAAATAACCAAATTGAAATTGGAAACTAGAATCTTGGAAGAGATTTCCACAGTTATACAGTTCATTAAACTCTTTAGAGCTGTGTTGTCCAAACATTACAGGTGGAGAAATCAGTTTGGTTGTTTGCAACCAGAATTTTAAAACATTGAATAAGACAGCAAATATTAGAGTAGTAACAGCAACTGTTCTATGATATTTTCATTTTGTGTGTGTGCATGTATGTGTGCATATGTGTGTGTGTGTTTGTATAGGGCTGTGATATAAAATGAAAAGTTTGAAAAAGAATATTTTAGAATATATTAGGGAGAGGACACTTAGGTAGAATAGGAAATTATAAAACACACATAAAATTGAATTATTAGCAAATCTTAACAATGAATCAATTGCTCAAGCTCTGTGATATAGTTTGGCTGTGTCCCCAACTAAGTCTCAACTTGAATTGTATTTCCCAGAATTCCCACGTGTTGTGGGAGGGACACAGGGGGAGGTAATTGAATCATGGGGACTGGTCTTTCCCATGTTATTCTCGTGATAATGAATAAGTCTCACGAGATCTCATGGGCTTATCAGGGGTTTCTGGTTTTGCTCTTTCCTCATTTTTCTGTTGCTGCCACCATGTAAGAAGTGTCTTTCGCCTCATGCCATGATTCTGAGGCCTGCCCAGCCACGTGGAACTGTAAGTCCAATTAAACCTCTTTTTCTTCCCAGTCTCAGGTATATTTTCATCAGCAGTGTGAAAATGGACTACACTCTGCAAAACAGATTATTAAGTGATCATTGAGAAGTGTCTTGAAAAGACAAATATAGAGGAGTTGAAATACATATCCAAGTCCGGCTCTTTGTCAGAAGACGGCATGGAATTTAGTATTATTACTAGATCTCATGAAAGTATAAGAATGAGATATCTTCTGATCTGAGGAGACCAGAAACCAAAACCAAGACTTAGAAACTGAAAATATGGCAGGGTTTGAGGCAAGCATAAAAATTTCGTCCAAATTTTCAGAGGTTATTGATAAGAGGAAACTTGGACATGCAGGCAAATTTTTATGTTGCTGTCTTTTCTTTTTCTCCCCTCTTTTAAAATAAATGTTTTGGCAAATAAGATGTCTAACATGAGAAGCGCAGGCAGGCTTCTCTTGTCCAAATGGAAAGTGGTATGTAATCTGTGTCATATTTTTTCCTACTGCTTTTTGTTGGGATAGGCTGATGGCTCAATTTATGGAAAAATAATTGCATAAACTATGAGTCTTGAGTGATGTATCAGTCAGGATCTCCAACTCTTCTCCTCTGTATGTAACTCTTTCGTGGAAGTTAGAATACAGTTTGAGGATAGTTTTGATATGGTGTCTGTGTGCTCTTCTAACCCATGAGTTCCTTAGGGAAGAGACCAGTCATGTTTGTTTTTGAGCCATCAGCACTTTTGAGCAGTGCTGACTTCCTCACAGTAGGAAAGCAATATCTATTCATTGACTTGAACAGTTGAATTAATCTGAAAACAGGAATAAAAACCTATCAGAAAAGTGGAAACAATAACTTAACAGTCATAAGGAGTACCAAAGACCTAAAAGTTATCAAACACATACATTGGTTAAAAATAAATGAAATGCACCTGGCAACTGGTTTAACTCTTTACTTAGTTGTTTTCATGCCTTTGAATGCTTGTTATTTTCTTCTTCCTTAAAAATAATGGGTGACTTAATCAGGAACACTGGTGTCTGATAAGTGGTGTACTTGACTTTTCATTCTTTTCTTTTTTTTCTATGAAACAGATTCTGACAGAGACCCTTCATTTTTGATCTATTCCTTGAAGAGGTGGCATTGCCTAACAATTTTAAGCCCAGTGCCTTTGTTTCCAGAGACTTTTACCTACGTTAAATGCTGTGGCTAAATGCTGTGGCTTTACCTATGTTAAAATGCTGTGGTGGTATTTCTGCAAGTTATAGAACAGCTCCAGTCAAATTGGCTTTGAAATAAAAGGAAAATAGTAGCTAACTGAGCTATAAAGAGTTATCTTATAGGGTTTTGGAACAGTTTGTTCAAGATCTCAGCTTCTTTCTTTTGTGAAGCTGTTGCCCTGTCCATTTTTCTATGCTTATTAGCTTATCTCTCAGATTTACTTTTATTATGGTTAAAACATTTTCAGCAGTTTGAACTCTTACATGTGTGTACTGAAATGTCTGAGTGAATAGAGTGTATCATTGACTTACATTTCCCAGAAAAAGGTTTGAAATTTATTTGTTCTATTTGTTTGGAAGCCTTGGATCACATGATCACCTGTGGACCACTCGTAGGAGTGAGGGAAAAGGATTGGGTGGACAGGCTTAGACAAAGTTCAGTATTCTTTCCTGGCAGTTGAGAATGGAATCACATTTCTTGCAACAATATTGGCGAGGAAGGGAAATCAGGGCGTTTTCTTCCTCTTTTTTTCTTGCCATTTATATGTTGGAGAAATAATGCCGTTTGTTCTGAAAATTTCTACGATTCTTGATTTGGCCGATTGCATCCTCAAGGTGTTATTTGACACACTTTCCAATTCCCTGTGATTCCATCGTGCTGAGCGTGATGATGAGTGGTGTACAAAGAATGAAGAGTCAAGTATGCCACTTATCAGCGTGGGGGTGAGGGAGGAAGCAGATCATGACTCAAGTGCCACATATCTTATTTTTATTTTTACTCTGATTTAGTAGATTTTTTTAAAAGTGGTTTTTATTTGCTGTATGCCCATAGTACAATTTTCAGAGACTTAAAATGCTTCTCATTATGTAAATTTCCCCAGTTATGACTGCTTTGCTGGAAAGTGAGTCCATAGAGCTCTGCATGTCACCTTTTTGGAAGTGGAACTCGATGTTATGCTGGATATATTTGAACTTGCTTTCTGCCATCTTTCTGATATATAGTTGTTCCATTTTTGTATGCATTTTGCCTTGTTTGGGTTAAGATTTTTTTTTTGTTTTTTCGTTTCTTGCTTTATAGAATTTTCTCTCAATTTGTATGGAATGTATATAGGATATTTCTTTGATTGATTATCTTTGAAATTTTAACATATATGTTTAGCTTAAAAAGTGTCAAATTAAATTAGTCGTCTTAAGTGGGGGTGGTGATTTTGTCCCCAAGGTATGTTGGGTAATGTCTGGAAACATTTTTCTGCAACTTCCATGTAGTGGATAGAGGACAGAGATCCTGTTAAACATCCTACAGTGTGCAGGGCAGTCCCTCACAACAAAGAATGGGCTAGCTCCAAATTTCATTGGTGCGAGGTTGAGAAAACGTAAGTTAAACAAGAACTGAATCCCCCATTTGTATTAATATAAGGCACTTAGAATGGTTCTCCTTCCTTATTTACATACTCTTTTTGTCCAGTATTTTAGTTCTGTCCTGTATTATTGTTAAATCCCTCACTCACACACCCATTGTTTTTATCCCTCTAGTTCCTGTTTACTATTTATAGGTTTTGAAGCTTTCCCTACATTCTTAAAACCAGCCGAGCTACAAATGCAGTCAGTATCCTTCCTAAGATTTAGGTGTACTATAGTGACAGGGCCACTTAGAATACCTAGTCAACTGTAACACCAAGATAGAAGTCCCCTCTGTCTCTTTTAGCATGCCATACAAAAGTATACTCAATAAAAGATATTTCATTGTAACTATCATGCCTGAAGTTCACAGGTTAAGGAAGGGGTGAATGCACCATGTTATTTTGCAAATTGTGCTTTGCAATGAAGCTTATGCTGGCAAATGGTCAGCACCAGGAAACTCTGGAGGATTGCAAGGTAACAAATACTGGTGTTTTCTGATAAAAGTCAAGTTGGTGAAATCGGCCTGTTCTACTGTGTTGCCTACATAATTTGCTTGTCTGTGCAGCCAGATTTTGAGTTCAGATTCTTCAAGATAAAACCACCTCCATTTCTTCTAGACACTGATGGATCAACTTTATAAAACACCAGTGTATAATAGCAAGAACAGGTGCTTGATTCTTCCCTATTAGGGGCCCATCTTGCCGAAGGATGGGTAGTCAGTGCTGTCACTGGGTGCTGTGCAGAGCTGTCAGGTGTAATAGCTCATCTTTGACTTCCTTTGTTTTGGGAACCTATTCTTGTCAGAGTTGGAATAAGTAATTTGAACACTTTAGTTACAGCCAGCAGAAATGGAATCAATACATGCCAAGATTAACTTCAGTGATTAATCCCAGAATCAATGAACCAAATGATTATCATTTCTCTCAGCTGAAAATTCTGGGATAGAAGATTGTGATTAAAGAGCTGGGTTAATTTTCATCGGCTGGCTTCTGCAGCAGACGTAGCTGAAGCCACTGGTTTGTTTTGTTTTTTTTTTTCTTTCACTTCCTTTGCCTTGCAATTGCTCCAGCAATACCTTCATGCTGCAGCCAATTCCTGTTTCACACGGTGGGGTGTTCAGAAGCCAGATTTGACAATGATGAGAGGCAAAGTTGACTTAGCCTGGGATGCTAAATCTCCAAGGAAAATGCTAACCTAGTGAAACTTCTAACTTTTAAATCAGAGTGATTATTCTGACTCTGTTATGGGTAGGCGGGTGTTCACTGTCTTTCAAAGGAGAGCAGAAGGAGGCTGGAAGAAAAGCTGGGGATATAGCAATTTCAGTAGAGGTGCTTCCAAACAATGACACTAGGCATAATGTATCCCCTGCAACTAGTAGGACTGTGGGGTTACCATGTGCCAAGCATGGTGCTCAGTGTTTCATGTATCTTTTTTTTTTTTTTATTTAAAGATCATATCAACTCTCTGTGGCAGGTGCTGTAAATATCCTCATTTAACAGATAAGTAAACTGAACCTTAGTCACTGCATTATCTTTCCCTAAAACACACATTTAGCTTAAACTCAGGTTTATCTGATTCATTATCTTCTGGTTTCAGTTGCTTAAGATCATCCAGATATGGCTAGGGGAGATGGCTCTTTTTATGGGTTCAACTGTGTCTCCCCACAAAGATATGTTAAAGTCACAACTCCTAATACCTCAGAACATGACCTTTTTGGAGATAAGGTCATTGCAGATGTAATTAGTTAAGATGAGCTCATAATGAAGTAGGGTGGACCCCTGACCCAATATGACTAGTGTCCTTATAAGAATACATCCATGTGAAGACAGACACAGATGACAGAGGATTGGAGTGAAGCATTTACAAACCAAGGAATGCCAAAGATTGCCCACAAACCACCAAGCTTCAGAGTGAACATGACCCTGACAACACCTCGATTTCAGACTTCCCAGCCTCCCAAACTGTGAGACAATACATTTCAATTGTTTTAAACCATTCAGCATTAGTGGTACTTTGTGACAGCAACCCAAGGAAACTCTTGGGTTAAAGGCATATGCATACACGTGTTATTGGAAAATGTATTAAAATGAGCAAGCAACACATAATGCCTAAAGCCCTCTGTGTATAGAACACAATGTCCAAGAGTGATGGCAAAGTCACAAACTTGGTCTGTGTGCTTGGCTAACAAAATGCTTGTGATTTATTTCTCATATACTAATTGCCAGGCGTTATCTGGGCTGAGAGTCCATGTCACAAGATGAGCTCTAACTCTGGAGCCAGACCTGCTTTGATATGAGGCTTTATCATATCTGAGCATTGAGACCTTGGGGGAAATGACTTAATCTGTCCTTTGTCTCGGTTCCTTATCCGTGAAATGGGGAAGATGATCCTAAAGAGGTTGTTGTGGTCATCAGGTAAGCTAATTCATATAAGGTGTTTAGACAGTGCTTGGCATATAACCAAAGTTATTGCTGTGCATTCAATAACTGTGTGAGGTGGGTAATGTGATCCTAATTTTATGAATGAGGAAATGGAGGCTTAAAGGGGCTAAGTTATTTCTCCAGGACCGTAAAGACAATAAGTAACAGAAGGGGCATGGAACCCCATGTTCATGTCTCCAAAGCTGGGAGTACTTTCGTCCCACTGCACTGCCTCCCAAACCAGAGCATGCAGCCTAGTCTTGAAAATAAGGAGCTGGTGCACATCAGAAGATTAATATGAGTACGTGCAATATGTACCAAATGAGTCCCATGGGTAGCCTGACCATCCACTGAGAGTGTTCTTGTCTTGTTGGGACACATGGAGGTTTCTCTCTGGAGGAAGTGGGATTTCCTGTCATGTGACATGGTTGAAAGAGCTGGTCCCCTCTCACCATGTCAGAAGCATCTATCAGTCTGACTTTAAGGTTCAATAACTTTGGAGAATACTGTACTTGAAAGAGAGGGGAAGAGCACACAAAGGGGAGGGGAAGTTGAAGACGGGTAAGTTCCGTTTCATCTCCCATTAGGCTTATGAAGTAGGGTGATCGGAGACTGGATATCAATATTTTTAAAAGCCTTGTTGGCTAGAAATGTCATGATTTTTTTTCTTCTTGCTGTAGGGATGGAATAATCCGCACCCCCTAGAGCCAAACATAACATTTCAGTGGACCCTTTTTTATGCAAAGCCAAAGCCAAAATCTAGCTTCAAAATGGAAACGTTTAAGACAATGTGGAACTAAATGATTTGCTTACATAATAATCTATATGCCATTTTTATTGTGGACCAAACTTCAGGTTGAAAAGGGAAGATTGGCATTTCACTCTTAAGTATTATTTGCCAGGGTAGACACACATATCAATCACATACACTGAACATTGGGATGGTGGGATGTGTTAAAACAATTTGAGGTTCCAGAATCAAAGAACACCATCTGTGAGAGTGAAACACAAAAGCCACTTCAAATAAAATGTTCCTGAACTCTTAGCCTCAAATCACTTTGTTGATAAAATTACTGAGCTTGTTCCATTTATATCCATATTAACTTTTAACCTCTGCACCATTCCAATAGTAAAAGATTAATCACACAGACTAATGATGCGGATTAATGAGGGAAAATCTGAATCACTGAGAATACCAATGCCAAAAGTGTTGAACAAGAATGCAGTTTTATTATTTTCATGTGGCATATATACAAATACTAAGTAGTAAGTTCCAAGTATAAAGCTTTTTTAACAACCCCACATGATATAATGTATTGAAAATACTTCCACATGTTGAAAGATTCCTTGTACACGTAAGTGAATTATTGAATTGCTGAAGGAAGCCTTAAGAATCTTGGCTGCCAATTTTAGTCAAGATCTCTTTTAGTTGCGTGAGCTTGAGTATACACAGAGGAATTATCTTGAAATTTAACTCTACAAGACCCTCAACATTTAATCAGACATTCACAATTAATAGGTTAGTAACTATCAATATTTTCTGATATATCTAAGTATGCTGTCCGAGAAAGTCACCATTGCTTTGGTTTGGGAAGGTGTTCCTTTGTGTAAAGAAGCAGAGGACCAGCAGGTGGCAGTGTATCCCCACCTGTGGGAGGAGAGTTCCTTGGTCATGCATGAAAAGCCCCCCGCTCAGGCTGGAAACAAATAACATAAAAATATTTCTTTACTCTGTGGAAAGTGGAAATTCATCAACCATTTTCTTTTTTTCTTCACACAGCTGTAGAGTGTTGGTGAAGTACCTCCTCTCAGAGTCCTTGTCTTTTGGGGTGACACGGCCCTGCCAGCTCACAGGTCCTCGGGTGCCCTTGCCATTTCCCAGGGCGGATATTGCAAAGTCCTGCCAGAGACCACTCAGATGCCTGTGTCACAGTCGCCCAATATGAAGTGTGTGCTCTCCAGAAAAGCAGTATCCTCCAGCACACTCTCGGGTTAATAGAAAGGGTGCTAGGGGAACACAAGGGATCCCAATTCCTCACTGCCTGAGATGATAAAACATCCCTGGGGTGATGCTCAGCAATGCAAAGACATGAATGAATAAGCTGGAAGGAATCTTGGAGTTCCTGGCTATCCTCTTCATTTCAAAGAGAAAGCAACAATGGCAAACCAAAATTATCCACCCCAGACCACCCAGCTCATTATGTGGTAAAGGCAAGACTAGCACTCAAGTCTCCTTGCAACCCAATTAATCTTTTTTCCCATACGTTTACAATGCATTGGTATTAGGCAAAGAAAAGTTCGGCCGGGCACGGTGGCTCACGCCTGTAATCCCAGCACTTTGGGAGGCTGAGGCAGGCAGATCACCTGCAGTCAGGAGTTCGAGACCAGCCTGGCCAAAACGGTGAAACCCTATCTCTACTAAAAATACAAAATTAGCCTGGCTTGGTGGCGGGTGCCTGTAATCCCAGCTACTCAGGACGCTGAGGCAGGAGAATCACTTGAACACCAGAGGCGGAGGTTGCAGTGAGCTGAGATCACGCCACTACACTCCAGCCTGGGTGAGAAAGAGAGACTCCATCTCAAAAAAAAAAAAAAAAGAAAAAAGAAAAAAAAAGTTCTGAACAGGTCAAGGGAAAGGAAATGCTTTTGTTGACTGGTTTCTGTATTCCAGGCACTGTGCTTTTTTCTTTTGTACGCACAGTCCTTCAATCCCCAGCTGCTAGCAGATGTGATTATCTTTTCATATATTCATCACCTGAAGTGCAGAGGGGTTGCATGAGTTGCCTGAATCACTTGGCTAGTAAATGGTGGTAGAAATTTGTGTCTCACACTTGCAGAGAGAAGCAAGAGTCAGTTTTTAGAAGTCTTTAAGCCCTGAGCAGGGAGGAATGTGTAAGGATTAGAGGACCAGCATCAAAGGTTGGCTCCTCCTTTGTCTTTGTAAATACTACTCTGCCTTTCATGTTGTGCTTTCCCCAGTCCCATTTTACATTGGAATCTTCCCACAAAACTTTCTCTGAACAATCCATCTCAAAGTGCTTAATCCTCTGAACAAATGTATTATTTTTGCTTATCAGGCATGTATCATTTACTGCTTTTAAGAAACAATGATCTCTTTGTGTAAAAAATAATATTTTCTTCCAGTTTGATGATAGGTGATTACAACTATTCTGATTGCATGATGGATTAAATATTTAAGAAACCAGTTGGGGTTTACAAAAATAGAATGAATCCCTTCAGGGAACATTGATAATACTCTCTTAAGACTGATATTTTCTAGTTCTCTATGTTGAGAATCTTTTAGAATGGGGATCAGTGCCCTCAACTCTCCACAAGTGTTGAACTAGTGACCTGGTACATTGGTCGGGCTACCCTTGACAGCTGCAGGCATGTGGCTTTTCTGGAGAAATGAAGCAACTGTCAACTTTCCCATAGTCTAGTTTCTATAATTCATGCAGTGTGCACTGTGTAGAAGGTGGATCCTGGGATAGCAAAACCAGAGTGACTTAGATTATATAGGCAGTCATATGTGGACTGGCGTGTTAAAATTCAGTCACCAATGGAGTAGCTTAGAGCTAACTCCTCCCAACAAAGGAATTGCATGTTGAATGGCAACCATCATCACGCACAGTAGAAGTCTCTTTTTGAGGAAGTATTTTTTCTAGGTAAAGAAAGAGGAAGTGGGCCATCGGTGGTTAATTTACTGTGTTGAGTAACACTGAAAGTTTCCTAGTTCCCAAACAGGGTGGACTAGTGAAACTAAGGTGATTTTTCTGCTCATAAGGTCACACTTATGTGTTATACTACATTTCTGGGAATCTTGTCATAAATCTGCATCACAAAAAGTAACCTGTATCTATCTCTCTAAATCCTGAGACTAAGTCATATACTAGGTATTTTATTCCTTGAAATACCAAAATCAGAAAAGGTAGAATGGAAAAATATATAGCTTTAGAATCAGACAGGAGTGAATTTGATTCTTGATACTGGCATACATTAGTCACTTGAGCTTACATATCACATCAGATCTCATTTTTCTGCCTATGTGCAAAGTGAGGATAATAACATCAGCGTTAAAGAGGATTGGATGAGGGAATGTTAAGTTTGTGAAGCATCTAGAGTAGTACATGCCATTTAATAGTTGCTTAATATAAAACAATAACAGTTATATTAACCAATGAGGCAAGGCCACTTGAAAACGGCTTGCCATTGAGAAGAGAGGGAGAAACGGTCCTATTTTTTAATGGCAGGCCAGTTGCTCACTCACTTGTTCTTTCATTCATTCGCTCACGCACTCACACACAGTATTTTACAAAACCTGAGCTAGGTACAGTTATTGAATGACAACGTGGTAATTTCTTAACTTTAAAAATGAATTATATTGAGATATAATTTTATATTATACAAACATATTTTCAAGATAACAAAGATTAGAGAGAATAAATAAAAATGGAAAATAGAGAAACAATAGGGAACATCAACAAAACCAAGAGCTGGTTCTTTGAAAAGATCAACACATTTGATAAACTTTAGCTAGATTGTCTAAGAGGAAAGAAGATTTGAATTACAATCAGGAATGAAAGAGGGGATGATTTTACAGAAATATAAAAATAATCTTAAGAGTGTACTATGAATAATTGTACACCCAAATTGAATAATTTAGATGAAATGGACAAATTCCTAGAAACATACAACCTACTGAGACTGAATCATGAAAAAATAGAAAAGCTAAATAGACATAGACCTAAAACTACTAAAAAGACTGAATTAATAACCAAAACCTTTCAAGAGAGAAAAGTCCAATATTAAATTACTTTACTGGTGAATTCTACCAAATATTTAAGAATTACTACCAATATTTCTCAAACTGTTGCAAAAATTTGAAGAGGAAGAAATGCTTTCTAACTCATTCTATAAAGCTTTTCCTCTAAGAAGCAAGATAAGGATGATTTGCTTTTGACACTTCTTTTCAACATAGTACTGGAAGTCCTAGCCAGAGCAATTAGGCAAGGAAAAAAAATAAAAAGTATTTACATTGGAAAGGAAGAAATAAAATTATTTTTGTTTGCAGATAACACATTTTATATTTAAAAAACCCCAAGATATTACAGAAAAACTGTTAGAAATAATAAATAAATCAATAAATAAACAAATTCAGCAAATTTGCACGATGCAAATTCAAGACACAAAATCTTGTGTTTCTATATTGTGACAATGAACAATTTGAAACTAAGAAAATAATTAGAAAAAATTAAGTAAACAATTCAATTTATAATAGCATCAACAAGGGTAAAATACTTAGGAATAAACCTAACCAAAGAGGAAAAAGACCTGTACATTAAAAACTACAAAACACTGCTGAAAGCAGTTAAAGAAAACACAAATAATTAGGACTACATTCCATGTTCATGGACTGAAAGACTAATATTGGTAAATTGTGAATACCACATGAAGACCTACAGATTCATATAATCTCTATAGAAATCTTGATGACTTTTCTTTCAGAAATAGAAAAATCCATCCTAAAATTCATATAGAATTTCAAGGAACCCTGAATAGCCAAAACAATCTTGGAAAAAAAAATGAAGTTGGATATCTTATACTTCCTGCTTTCAAACTTACTATAAGGCTATGGTAATCAGAACACCGTGGTACTGATATAAAAGCAGACACATAAGCCAGTGAAATAGAATACAGATCCAGAAATATACCCTTGCATATATAGTCAAGTGATTTTCAACAAGACTGCCAAAAATATGATGAAGAAAGTGTAGTCTTTTTCTGCAACAAATGGCATCAGAAAATCTAGATATTCACACATAAAAAAGTTGGATTTTTACCTTACACCATATGCACAAATTAACTCACAATGGAAGGAAGGCCCATATACAAAACCCAAAACTATTAAATTCTTAAAAGAAGACATAAGGTAAAAACTTTATAACATTTTATTTGGCAATGACATCTTGGATGTGATATCAAAAGCACAGGCAACAAAATAAAAAAAATAGGTAAGTTGGATAAAATTGAAATATTCTGTGCATCAAAGGACACTCAAACTGAGTGAAAAGGCAACCCAAAGACAATCCACGGAATGGGAGAAAATATTTGTCAATCATATATCTGACAAGGAATTGATATCCAGAATATATAAAGGACTCCTACAACTCAACAACTCAACAACAAAAAGCTCAGACAAACCAACTTAAAATACGGGCAAATGATCTGAATGTATATTTTTCTAAAAAATATACACAAAATAGCCAATAATGAAAAGATGCTAAACACCTGAAATGCAAATCAAAATCACAAGTAGATACTACCTCAAGCCCATAAGAATAGGAACTATACATAGATATATAAGTATGCATAATATATTTACATGTATATAATATCTATACATATATAAATGTATTTGAATTTGGTAAAGATGTGGAGAAATTAGAACATTTGTGTATTTCTGGTGGTATAGCCACTACGGAAAACAGTATGGCAATTCCCCAATATATTCAAAATAGAATTACCATATGATTTGGCAATTTCATTTCCGGATTTATAAGAAAATGAAATATGATATACTCAAACAGGTGTTTGTACACCCATGTACACAGCAGCATTATTTACAATACACAAAAAGTAGAAGCCACCCATATGTCCATGCACAGATGAATGGATAAACAAAATGTGGGGTGTGTGTGTGTGTGTGTGTGTGTGTGTGTAATGAATATTACTGAGCCTTAAAAAAAGAAAACTGGCACATGCTACAATATGGATGAGCCTTGAAGAAATTATCCTAAGTGAAATAAGCCAGTCATAAAAGGACAACGTTGTATGATTCCACTTCTATGAGGTACGTTAAGTAATCAAATTCTTGGAGGAAGAAAGGAGAATGGTGGTTGCCAGGGGATGGGGAAAGGGGAGAAAGGGGAGTCAGTATTTAACAGGTACAGAGTGTTAGTTGGAAAAGATGTAGAAGTTCTGGAGGTGGATCGCTGTGATAATCTCACAGCAATGTGAATGTACTTGATGCCACAGAACTGTTTATTTCAAAATTGTTAAAATAGTAACTGTTGTGTATATTTTACCATAATTAAAACATGTCGGCCGGGCGCGGTGGCTCACGCCTGTAATCCCAGCACTTTGGGAGGCCGAGGCGGGCGGATCACGAGGTCAGGAGATCGAGACCATCCCGGCTAAAACGGTGAAACCCCGTCTCTACTAAAAATACAAAAAAGTAGCCGGGCGTAGTGGCGGGCGCCTGTAGTCCCAGCTACTTGGGAGGCTGAGGCAGGAGAATGGCGTGAACCCGGGAGGCGGAGCTTGCAGTGAGCCGAGATTGCGCCACTGCACTCCAGCCTGGGCGACAGAGCGAGACTCCGTCTCAAAAAAAAAAAAAAAAAAAAAAAAAATGTCTGTTTGCAAACATAGTGGCTCAAGCATACTTGTGACTAATGGGCAACTTGTCTAAAGTTATAAAAACAGACCTATTCTATGTGAATAGTTTAATGAGATTGACAGATATATACATCTGTGTAACCACTAGCCATCCATGTAACCACTGTTCCAGGAAAGATATAGAACATTTCTATTACCTGATTATTTCCCACATGCCTCTTATTCGTCTATCTGACCCTTATCTTCAGCCTTAGGCAGCCGGTAATCTATTTTTCAGTCGCTGTAGCTTAATTTTGCATATTCTAGAACTTCACATAAGTGGAATCAGAGCATATGTGTTCAATTGTATCTGTCTTCTTCCACCTGGCATAATATTTTGGCTCTTATTCATGCATTTGTGTGTATTAACAGTTTGTTCCTTTTTTATTACTGAATAGTATTGCAGTGTATGAATTTACCACCATGTCTTATCCATTCACCTGCTGATAAACTTAGGTAATTTCCAGTTTTTTATTATTATGAATAAAGTGTTCAAGTATTTGTGTTGATCTATGTTTTTATTTCTCTAAGGTAAGCACTTTGAAATGGGATTGCTGAGTCATATTTTACATGTATGTTTAACTTTATAAGGCATAGCTAAACTATTTTTGAAAATATTTGTACTAAATTACATGTCCACTATGTATGAGATGGTGCAATGTATGAGATTACCAATTGCACTACATCATTGCCACACTTGATATTTATAATTTTAAAAATTAATTCATTTAAGTAAGTTTGTAGAGGTCTTTCATTATGAATTTAATTTGCATTTCCATTGTAATTAAGGAAGTTGAGCATTTTTTCATGTTCTTAATAGTCATTTGCTTATCTTTTTTTTGATGGAATGTCTGTTAATATGTTTTGTCTATTTCTTAATTCTGGGTTATGTATCTTCTCATTGTAAAGTTGAACTAACTTCCTGTCTATTCTTTTGTATTGTCAAAGAAGCTGTAGGTTCCTTGTCAGAGATGTAAAGCAAATGTTTTGCCCAATTTCTGTCTTACCTACTTCTTAATGGTTTTGTCTAAGGAAAAAACTTTTTTAGCTCTTATGAACTTGGAATTTTCAATATTTTTTAAATGATTCCTGTTTGTTTGTTTGTCTTTTGTGTGAGGTCTAACAAGTATTTCCCTATACTAAGTTGATGGATACTTTCTTCTATGTATTTTTTTTTTTTACTTTTTATTTTTTGAGCTCTTAGAAATAGCACTATAATCTATTTTGAGGTAGATTTTGTGTATGGTATAAGGTAAGAATCAGAGTTTACTTTTTCTCTAAGTTTATAGAGCAACAGTTGATTAGAAGATTATCATTTATCAATTGAAATTTTGGGATGCCTTTCTTGACTATATGTGTCCAGTTCAATTTCTATACATATACCTATATTCAGGTAGTCTTGACTTCTGTAGCATTATGGTAAGTTTTGAAATTAGCTAGTGTGAGTCCTCCAATTTTGTTCTCTTTTCCAAAATTGCTTTACCTATTTTAGGTCATTTTCATTTTTATATACATTTTAGCTCATCATTGTTTACACAAACCTTCTGAGATTTTTGACTGGGATTTTGTTGAATATGTGAATCAATTTGGGGAGAATTGAAATCTTAACAATAATAAGTCTGTCAGTTCATGAACATGGTGTATTTATATGTTTATTTACAACCTTAATTTTTTTTCAACAATGCTTTGTAATTTTTAGTGTAATTTTTAAAATATTATCCTGAGTAGAATAATGAGGGTGGATGTCCTTGTTTCCTTCTTCATTTTTTTCAGTCTTTCACTATTATGTATTCTGTTAGCTATAGTTTTTTTTAGATCATATTTACCAGGTGACATTCTTTTCTACTCCTACTTTTCTAGAGTTTTTGTTATGAATTCACAATGAATTTTGTTAGATTCTTTTCTACATCTGTTAAAATAATTAGGTGGTCTTTCTATTTATTCTTTTAGTATGGTGAATTACGTTGATAACTTTCAAATATCAAACTAGTTTTAGATACCTGGTATAAGTCCCACTAAGTCATGATGTATTATGTTTTTAACATATCACTAAATTCAAGTTGTTAGCATTTTCTTAAGAATTTTTTTGTATATATCTATATTTATGAGAGATAGGAAACTATAGTTTCTTTTTAATTGTGCCTTTGGGTATTAAGATAATACTGACTTTACTAAATGAATTGTAAAGTATTCCTTCATGTATTTTTCAATAGAGTTTGTATACTATTGGTATTATGGTATTTTTTTAATGTATATACAATTCACCAAAGAAGCCATATTAGTCAAGCATTGTTTCATGAGAAGGTTTTTTATATAAAAATCAAATGTCTTTAATAGATATATGTTATTCAGGTTTTCTACTTTTTGTCAGTTTTGATTATTTGTGTCTACTAAGGTATTTGTTTATTTTATCTAATTTGTTTCATTTTGTAGCTGTTAAAATCCTGGAAGACAGGGAAATTTTTTGTTGGTGAATTAGATATACACTTTAGTTGTAACTACAGATTATCAAATTAATATGTTCATTTCTATAGTCACTTCATTACTGGTCCCAGAACTGTCTGTTGCTATGGTATCAGGTCCCTGGGATAATTACAAAGAAGGTAAAGACTGTGTAGCTCCAGTTTTCTATATATTTTTTGTAAATTGTGATAAAATACAGAACATAAAATTTACTATTTAACCATTTTTAAGTATACAGTTCATTGTCATTAAATACATTCATATCACTCTGCAACCTATGTAATTTTTTTATCAATATTCCAGTGTCTGGATGGGCAACTTGAAATACAGATGAAACTTATCTCAGAACTGAATATTTTGTATCAGAAAAAAAAAAAAAAAACTCCTCATTTTCCCATTAACCTTTGACTGTCCAGGGAGGACCCTTATTTCCTTTCTCTTGACATTCTGTGACATCCCAGTGTGCTTAGAGGAACAACGACTTTGATGAGTGATGTGTGTTAATAGTTACATTTGCATATCCAGAATGGATTAGAACAGTGGTTGGCAAAGTTTTTCTGCAAAGGAACAGGTAATACATATTTTAGGCTTTCTTGTCCACATGGTCTCTGTCACAACTACTCAACTCTGCCATTGTAGTATGAAAGTAGCAACAAACACTACACAAATGAAAAAGTGTAGCTGTGTCTTAATAAATTTTTTTTTTACAAAAACAGACTATGGCCAGATTTGGGTTGCCAACTGTAGTTTGTGAGTTCCTAGATTAGAACATTGACATTGGGCTGGGTGCGGTGGCTCACACCCACCTGTAATCCCAGCACTTTGGGAGGCTGAGGTGGGTGCATCACCTGAAGTCAGGAGTTCAAGACCAGCCTGGCCAACATGGTGAAACCCTATCTCTACTAAAAATACAAAAAATTAGCTGGGCGTGGTGGTGGGTGCCTGTAATCCCAGCTACTCGGGAGGCTGAGGCAGGAGAATCACTTGAATCCGGGAGAGAGAGCTTGCAGTGAGCTGAGATCGTGCTATTGCACTCCAGCCTGGACAACAAGAGTGAAACTCTGTCTTAAAAAAAAAATTGAGATTATATAGGTCCTACATGTAAATAAATAAAATGGATTTGTAGGTTATTCTTTGATAAAGAATAGCAAGGGTCTGGGAGAACAATGAGGTGCATGTATTAATCAATGAAGGACTGACTCCAGATACTTGCAACATAAATAAGGGGTACAAAACAGCTTTATCCCCTCCTTAACATTTATCCTTAGGCTAATTGTTGGCCCATTGTTTGTTCTGTTATGTAGGCTCAGATTTTCTCAAATACTGTCATAAGTTAGAAGATTATCTTCAGCTATTACAAAGAAAAACCTAAATCAAGTGCACCCAATTAAGCATTATAGTCACGCACCATGATTTACTCAATTAAGTGCAATCCTCACATGGTTTATCATCATGGAGTATATTCAGTTTGGGATCACTGTAATTTTTACTATGCTTCTGGTCATATCCCTCTCAGCTAATGGGCATATTTTTGCTGGTTTGTTTGACAAGTTCAAACATGAGAGTTTATGAGAATTGAAACAGAGATTTTTGGACCTGCTTCCACAAGTTAGAAAAATAAAAGATTGTCAAATATTTGTAATGATAAAATATCCAAAGCTCTATTTCATTTGTCATTGAAATTCCATTTTAACAAAATCTGTGAAATAATAAGGAGAACAAAAAAGGAAAATCAGCTGCCAAGAGCTGTTTCCTGTGCTGTCTCTAGCTGGCCTCGTCAGTCTCTTTCTACACATACACTGAATTCCCCTAAAGGAGGATTTTCAACAGTCTGGGTAACTGAGTAGTTATCCACTCTAGCTGCACATTATAAACATCTTGTGTTGGGGTAAAACACTCTCTAGTAGAGAATTTTAGCCCAGGCAGTCATTGGCAGCTTATAACACGCAACCTCTGATTGGTTTTCTTTGGTTCCTACGCTCCACTCTCATTCCCATCAATCTGTGTGACCTCCACTCTTTACAAGGTTGCTTGAGTAGCAGTCATTTTAGGTACCACGTGAAAACACTTGTCCCTGATATCATTTTTGGTTTCTTCATTTTACCCTCAGCTTGTCTTTCCACTATGTAGGTAAATACCTGAGATTGCCTGCTTGGACCTAATTTAAAAAACAAATATTGGCCAGGTGTGGTGCCTTGTCTATAATCCCAGCACTTTGGGAGGCTGAGGCGGGTGGGTCACCTGAGGTCAGGAGTTCAAAACCAGCCTGGCCAACATGGTGAAACCCCATCTCTACTACAAATACAAAAATTAGCCAGGCATGGTGGCAGGTGCCTGTAATCCCAACTACTCGGGAGGTTGAGGCAGGAAAATTGCTTGAACCCAGGAGGTGGAGATTGCAGTGAGCTGAGATCATGCCACTGCACTCCAGCCTGAGTGACAGAGCAAGACTCCATCTCAAAAAAAAAAAAAAAAAGAAAAAGAAAAAATATTAGGGTGTTCATCTTTGTTTCTATCCAATGCTGAATAAAACGTAATAGAAATCACATATATTCATGTAGGTGAAACACAGAAAGTTTAGTGAGCCAAGAGGAAAAATAGGAAAGAGTGGACTGATGTAGTAAAAGATATAGTAGCTTTAGCAGCAGGTAGATTGCTGTGGATGGAGGGGTGAGGGGCATTCAGCAGTGGAGTAGTGTCATAGCCCTGAAGAAAGAACTACAAAAGCAAGTGCAAATGAAATATTTGAGAACCCAGATAAATCAGAGTAGTAATTACTGTGAGTTATGATAGAGAACCTGATTCCTTGTTCAGCCATTCCCGATGCTTGATGAGAGGAATGAACTCAGAGTTGGGAGGAATGTGGCGATCTCGGCTGTGCCTGGCACTTCTGAAGTCATTGATTATGCACAGGGTACAGAACTGAGGAATGGCGAGTTAGTCCAGATGTCTGGGGATGAAGAACTTTCCAGTAGCTTGTTCTATATCCAGTGCCAAGGATGTGAAGTTGTGGATTGCAACCAAACGAGACAAAGGAATGGAATGTATCAAAGCCAGAAATTTGATACTATTTATAATCCTCATAAGGAACCAAATAACAATATTGGCAGAAAACACTAATGAAAGGGCTGTCATGGACTCTTCTTTTATCAGTATATTACTCCTTTGAATGTTAGCTTTCTATCTCCATTCCTGTTTTGCTGCAACACTGTTTTATACCAGATATGACATCTATATATTCAATCACATGGAAGCCTTACTCTAGATAAGAGCAATAACCTTCTTACTCCAAAAAGTATTCTTCTTTTAGAATTATGTTGCCTTCGAGCTACATAAGCATCTCGTCAATGACTTTGTGCAGCATTAAGACACTTTTTAACAGAGCCCATGAGTTCACTATTTAAATCAGTAAATTCCAAGTGACCATCTCTGATAACCTAAACTACCTCGCTAGTCTTGGTGTCCATTTTGGACCATGCGCTAACATTACTCCTTGCAAAAGAGAATCCCTGATGGTAGGGCTAGAAAAAGTTCAAGGTCTGAAATAGAGTTCACTTTTTGAAATTGAAAACTAAAGGAAGAAATTCTGTGACTTGACCAAAGACCAATGTACATCCATGTTTGATCTGCACAAGAAGCAAAGCCTTCAGACTCCCCAAGTCTTTAATTATATGGCTCTGTTTCTGCAAGAGGTGGCTAGAAAGCCAAATTCATGATTTAACATATAAATTTCTTTGAGAAATATTTAAATAAGTTTGTCCAGATGCATGGGTAACAGCTAAATAGCCGATTTATTAAGTTAAGCCAGGGATATTTTGAATTCATAATAAAACTTGAGAGGACAAAGGAGGTTTTTTGAAGCTTCTTTGCTTGTCTTGCCATTGGATTCACTTTGAATCACAAATTGTGTTTTGTGGCTGCTATTCAAGAGGTGTGTTTGTGTTTGTGGAGCCCAGCTCTTGCTCTTCCGTGAGCACAGCTACAGGAGAGCTGGGATGATCCAGTACCCTGTTCAGAAGGACCTTGACCCAGCTTTCCCCACAATGGCTGTGACTCACCTTCTCTTTGCCACGGTGTCAGTTTTCATTACCTTGACATTTCTCACGCTTTGATGTGTGATATGAAATGGTAGCCTTTGGCAATAGATGGGGAAATGAGGCTTCACGGGGACATGGAGCACTTGCCAAAGGAAAAGTGTGGAGAATGGATGTGACAAGGTTATTTAGATTGCCTTCTTAAGGAGTTTCAACTCAGCTGTATATAATGATGTTACCAGTTGCTGTATCTGCTTGCTTGTTATAAGGGGTATCTGTGTATCCCCTTGAGAATTTGTCATGGATGCTTTTGACTTTACTGCCTACATGAAAAGTACTGCCTAGTAAGGAAACAAAGTAACCAGTCACGTAGGAAAACTTCATCACCACCATTAAGTTCCATTTCAATTGCTAAGACCTAACAATTATAATGGTGCCGTTTTGTTTACATGTTGCTATTGTTGCCTCTTTTTTCACAGGTTTTATTTTGTTTTGTTTAGTAAAGGTCCTTATGCCCTAGTCGAGTTAAAGAACTCTTTTTGTCTCTCTGTTGTGTATAGTCAAATAATAATAAAAATATTCAGATGCTTCTTTGGATTTTTTTTCCACTAAAGATCTAATGAAAAGAACATGGGCTGGAGCACAGAGATTATAACCAGAAATTTAATACAAGCTTCCAGAAGGGAATATGAACCCACTTTTGATCTGGGATGAGATTGCTGTCTAGTGGGATGCAGTATGAGGGTGGGGTGTTAGCAGTAAGCTGTTTTAGACAGGTGGGGAATGACAGCATGATTCCAAATGATGGATTTGTTTGGTATCAGGAGTCTGTTCAGCCAGTAGCTAGAAGAGCACTGTGTGTGTGTGTGTGTGTGTGTGTGTGTGTGTGTGTGTGTGTGTGCTTATAATTGCCTGAAATTTGACTTCTGTTCCTGTATTTGTTTTCTATTGCTGCATTACAAATTACCACAAGCTTAGGGACTTAAAACAATACAAATGTATTACCTCACAGTTTCCACAGATCAGGAGTTAACTGGATCCTTTGCTTAGTTCCATCAGGCTGAAATCAAGGTGTTGATTGGAGCTGTCCTCTCATCTGAGATTTTTTTAAACCTATTTAAAACTCATATGGTTGATAGCAGAATTCAGTTTCTTACAGTTGTAGTAATGATACCCTTAGTTCCTGGAGGCTACCTTACTGCTTTTCATAGATAATTCACCTACAATAGCAGTTTGCTTTCTTGCTTCTGGCCAGCAGGAGTATATCTCCAATGCTTCACTTCTTTATAAAGGCTTCACCTAAGCAGATCAGGCCCACCCAGGGCAATCTACCCCTTGATTAGCTTAAGGCTAACTAATTGAGGGCCTTAATTACATTTGCAAAATCTCTTCACCTTTGCCATAGTCTGTTGACTAAAAGCAAACTACAGGTTCTCATCTGCACTCAAGGCTGTAACGCCAGGGACCAAAGATCATGGGGCAATCATACGATTCCACCTCTCATGGTCTCCATTACTCTGAATAATGGATCCTACTCATTGCCAACTCCAGCAGCCTCTTCTCAGATCTCTCTTTCTGTATGGACCGCTGCTAACTACTCTCCAGATCAGTCCTTCTTAAAGTTTTCTAATGTTGCTTTTTCCTAATTTTCCTACCAGAGAGGTAGTGTATGATTAGAGAAAGTACATAATCTTTGAGACCAAACAGAACCTAGTCTTAATCCTGGCTGTGCTTCTCATCAGGAATCATCTGCAAGTTGCTTGCTGCTGCTGTTTCAATGATGCTGCCAGGAATTAGCAAATGCAAAGGAGTTTCTTCCTCTCTATTTCCCAATTTCATTCTTCCTTTAGTAACTTCCATTGGCAGACCCTAAACAGAGAGTCTGTTTGGCAAGAGAGTCTGGGAAATACAGATGGCAGGCTCCAGCCCCAGCATCCTGAACAACATAATAGAAAGTGGGCATGGAGCTGAGAGACAATAGGTAAGTAATGGGCACAGTTATTTACCTATTGTAAGCAATGGTAACACAGTTGAGTAAATACATCTGAGGCCCAGTTGGGGATAAGAAACATTCTCTTCGGGTACAAGTTAGCTTCAAGTCACAAATACAGATTATTCTTTCCTTCCAAGGTATCTCTCTGTCTTCCCCTCAGACCTATTGGGCCACTTAACAGTTACAGCAAGTACCCATTTTAGGGGCCTGCTGGGTACCACCCCAAAGCATGGAAATAAGTGAAAATTCTAAGTTCCTTCAAGGGAAATTTTAGGCACCTAGCTACCCCTGAGAAGGAAATGAACAACTTGATAAACAAGTAGGTAATAGTAACTTAAAACAATAGCCAAGGAAGTTAGAGTCATGAGAATGTTTGGTTCCCTGTAAAAACTAAAGATAACATCTTAACGTATGTCCCTAAGTTGTTTTTCAGAAACCCAGACCCCCACTAAATGGATTCGCTGGCACATAGACCTCAGAGAAGGGGGATCTGAGGACTGAACTTTGACTGCTCTTCTTTGTTTTAAATTTCTTCCTGAGGGTCTTGGAGGAGGTCACATCCAGGAGCCAGAGCTAACAGTCCTTTCTGCTGATCCCAAATTTTTAGACAAGGCTTCATCCCCTTAACCAATCACAAATCAGAAAAATCATTGAATCTACCTATGACCTGTAGGTACCCCACTTTGAGATGTCTCACCTTTTCAGGTCAATCCAATACATAGCCTCTATGTATTGATTGATGACTCTACCTGTAACTTTTGCATCCTTGCCTTTAAAAACCCTTACCTGTGAGCCAATGGAGAGTTCAGGTCTTAAGCATGAGCTGCCCAACTCTTCTTGCTTGACGCCCTACAATAAATGCCGTACTTTCTCTAGCTTCAATCTCAATGTCAGTGTTTGCTGTTTCAGGTGTGCAGATCCAAGTTTGGTTTGGTAACAACAATGACTTTCCACTTGGCATTGCATGAGTTCAGCACACAGACTGTGGCCTCCTGGGTCCCCCTTAGAGAGTTTCAGCCCTTGACCTTTTCCAGGATCACTCACTAAACTGTTTTTGGAAGTTCTGCCCTTCAGGACTCTGCAGTGTCTCTGCCTTCCCCACATCCCCACTCATCTTGTACTTTGAACTGCAGAGGCTTGCATGCACCAGGCATTGTAATAGGGATTGCAGTAGAAGCAGAACCAGTTCTGACACAGCTGCCATCCAATGAGACTGCTTCTGAGGTTGCCAATTACCTGTGTGACCATGTGATATCCTGACCCACTTTAAATCACCAGCCAGCAAGGCTGAAAGAGATCAGCTTCCCAAGGGTTAATCCGCTTGTACATTATTCTGCTCCTTTTCATTGTGCCTTTTATTGCTCTGGGTTATTGTAAAGGTGCAGAGATTAATTAGCAGATTTAAAATCTTGAAAGAGTCATTACATAATTTTAGTCATCAGCAAACCTTGGGAAAACTTAAAAAATGAAGGCACTATATCATTTTAATTGGAAATTTAACTGGGTGCCTTTATAGAACATTTTATTGCTTGTCTTCTTAACAGACAGCTGTCGTAATGTGTCCTTAGACACTGGAGTTCATAGCTGGGATGCTCCTTGGGAGATCTTGTTCTTATCTTGGAGTGAGGAGGTGGGAATTGCCTGTAGCAACCAGTATCATTAAGTCCAGGTAGACCCTGCTTTAAGAAATCCTAGTATCTGGAAGATAGAATATGCAACTAAAGTATATTAGGGGTTTATTCATGTTACAAAAAGAGTTTACCTTCTAACAAACAAAATAATTTGACATTCTACAATAGTGCTCTTTTTTATGTTATTATAGAATAATTAGTAAGGATGATTTTTGTGTCAGTTATTCCAGGGACATGCCCTCTGGGTTCTAGAAAATCCTGTCACATCCGCAGATCACCATCCTCACAGGGCTGCGGATTGTGAGCAGGTTGATGAATCAAGTTAGGGATTGAATTGCCTCTCAGCTGCATGGGCACACTGCTCTCTCATCAGTACCAGGCTGTCCTTCTCCTCCCCAGCTTGCTCTGCACTTCCTCAAGGGTGATAATAGGAAATGGGTAACCTCTGAGGCTCCATTACTTGCTCTTAAGGAGATAACGCAGGTCCCTTGAAAAAGAAAACAGTGAAAGTTAGGAAGAGAAGATAATCTATGAACAAAATTTAAAAAGTAAATGATGGCTTTAGCACAAACTCGATGGTTGCTGTTTTTTATTTGATGTTTATGCTTTCCCAAAGTGCATCAGATCAAGGTTACCAAACCCTCCTGAATCCCTTAACAGGTGAGAGACAGATCTCTTGGAGTTAAATTTGGCTTCTGAGAGATAGTCTGAGTCATCCTCCTCTCCCTCCGACCACCAGCACCCCATATTCATTCAGATTTCACCAAATTTGCTAAACGTTAGAGGGGAGGGGCAGTTCAAGTTCCCACATTGTCCCGTACATATTGCTCTAAATTGCGTGTCTGCATATGGTTCTTTCTTCTGTCTGTTGCCAAGATAACTGTCTAGACTGTGGAGAGGCTATAGGGGCAGGGCACAGGCAGCCAGAACAAAAGCCTGATGACTGCCTTTAGCTTGTGCCTGTTGCTCTCCATTTTCCAGCTCTTCTGGGCATGACTTTCTTCCCATTTCAGTCACTGAGCCTGTGTGTAGGTGCATGTGTATTTTAGTTTCTGTTTGTCCTTATTAGTATGTGATTTAATTATATCGAATGGTTTACATTACTTTTTTTTTTCTTTTTTCTCCAAAAAGTAAAAAAGGACTGAGTCAAACACAGACCCTAGAGTTGCACTTCATTGTTTGTTGTGCTTTAGGTAACAACACTTGTATTCCTAAGAAAATACTTTGAAATATATCCTTTGAGGAAAAGTCATACTAGTTTGAGAAAAGAACCATGTTTATAATAACACCGACAGTCATGTATGAGTGAGGATATTTTCTTCTCTGTACAATTACTGTTTATCATGTTCTTAAAATTAATTGTTATTATTAATGCTAATTATAGAAAAATAATTCCTAGCCCTTTTGAAAGTTTAAAAATGCTCAAAATTATTTAAGACACCAATGCACAGAGAAAATCACTAGCCATTAATTATGATTTTCTATGTTTCCAACCATTCTTTTTCACCCCCTTTCTCAATATGAACCCAATTCTTTTGGCCTTGGGATTGTGCTTGGATTCAGGAGTGGGTATAGTTCTGTATCTAATATAGGCACAATCCCAAACCTTAATCTGCATGAGCATCCACTGAGATGCCACTTGTTCCCATCTGGTCTTCATATATCGGTTCACAGTAACAAAGGTCACTGCTGCCTTCTCTTGAATACAAACTCCAAAGAAGCTTCTGTTCTGCCACAGTCTGAGTGACCGACATCCATAAGAAATAGCTTGCTCTCCCCCATAATATGTTGGGGGCAGATGGTGTGGCTATGCTGAGGCCCTTTCAGACATTGGACACCTAGTGCAAACATTTCTTCCAGTGCTGCCCCCTGCAAAACCATGTATCTTGCATTTCACCCATCACCCTTTAGCAGCTCTGCCTTCTAATTAGACTGAGCTCTTTTGATGACCTTTCCTACTTAGAGGAAGCCATGTCTTCTCATATCTCCTTAGAATTAAGTGATTTTCCCCAACATTTTATTTTGAAAAATTTCAAACATATAGAAAAGTTTATTGAGTTGTGTGGTGAACACATATGTACCTATCACTTAGATCCCAAAGTTGTTAATATGTTGTAATATATGTTTTATCTTATGTCTATCAATATATTCATCCATCTATCCATCTACTAATCCATTGTTTTAGGGTAACATTTAAAGTGAGTTGCAGGCATCACTACCCTCATGGTGGACAGCACTGAGATGATCCTTACCTCCTGATATTCTCACTCTTGTGTTTCCCCCTCCTACATTGTATCAAAGTTGTCTATGTGATCAGTAGAATATGGAAGAAATAATGGCATGTGACTTCTAAGTCTAGATTTAAAAGGCACTAAAGCTTCCTTTTTCCAGTATTTCTTGGGTTGCTCACTCTGGGGAAAGCTAGCTATCACGTCACGAACAGCCGTCTGGAGAAACCCTCATGATAAGGAACCAAGGCCTCCTGCCAACAGCCATGTAAGTGAGTTGGGAAGAGAATCCTCCAACCCCAGTCAACTTTTCAGGTGACCACTTCTCCTGCTACCACCTTGACTGCCACTTCCTAAAAGAACCTGAGCTAGAACCAATCAGCTGATACAAAATTCTTCTCCTATACAAACTGTAATATGAAAAATGCTTTTTATTATTATTATTATTATTATTGAGACGGAGTCTCACTCAGCCACCAAGGCTGGATTGCAGTGGTGCAATCTCTGCTCACTGCAACCACCATCTTCCAGGTTCAAGCGATTCTCCCGTCTCAGCCTCCTGAGTAGCTGGGATTACAGGTGCCCACCATCATGCCAGGCTAATTTTTGCATTTTAGTAGAGACAGGGTTTCACCATGTTGGCCAGGCTGGTCTTGAACTCCTGACCTCAGGTGATCCGCCCACCTCGGCCTCCCAAAATGCTGGGATTACAGGCGTGAGCCACCGAGCCCGGAAAAAATGTTTATTTTAAGGTACCACATTTTGGGGTAATTTGTTACAGAGCAATAGGTAACTAATACAGCATTTCACCTTAAATATTTTTAGCATAAATAGAATTAACAAGAATTCAATATGTATTTCTTGTTTTCTTTTGAGGTTAATTTTACATAAAAATAAAATGCACAAATCTTAAGCCATTCAGTGCACTTTGACTAATACACATAGTAAGCGACTCAGATCCCTCTATCATCAACCCTAGAAATTTTCCACACAACACTTCCTAGTCAATTTCTGCCCCATCTCATAGATGACATTTATTCTGATTTTTAGAGTCACAAATTAGTTTTGTCTGTTCCAGAAATTTATGTAAATTGAATCGTATAACTTGTACTATTTTTGTGTGGCTCATTTCATTCACTGTATGGTTTGTGAGATTTGTCCATGTAGTTGTGTTTATTAGAGGTTTGCTCATTTTTACTGCTGAGGAGTTTTCGATTGTATGACTATACCACAACTTGTTTATATACCTGTTGAAAGATATTTGCGTTGGTTTCAGTTTGCACCCTTATAAAGGAAACCGGCGGCCGGGTGCTGTGGCTCACGCCTGTAATCCCACCACTTTCGGAGGCTGAGGCGGGCAGATCACGAGGTCAGGAGATCGAGACCATCCCGGCCAACATGGTGAAACCCCATCTCCACTAAAAATACAAACATTAGCTAGGTGTGGTGGTGCATGCTTATAATCCCAGCTACTCGGGAGGCTGAGGCAGGAGAATCTCTTGAACCAAGGAGTCGGAGGTTGCAGTGAGCCAAGATCGCGCCACTGCACTCCAGCCTGGTGACACAGCGAGACTCTGTCTCAAAAAAAAAAAAAAAAAAAAAAAAGGAAAATTGGCCTACAATTTCTTATGAGTGTTTCTGCAGAAATATATTTTTATTTTTCTATATTAAAGTTGTAGAAGTGGCATTGCTGAGTCATATGACAGTTACACGTGTAAATGTATAAGAAACTGGCTCATCTTTTGCCAAAGTGTCTGTACCATTTCACACTCCCATTCATAATGTGTGAGAGTCCCGGTGACGCCACATTCTTATCAATACTTGGTATTGTTGATGTTTAATTTTAGCCATTACAATGAGTATGTGACATTTTTCTTCTGTTTGATGTTTCCAAACTTATTTAGAGGTGTTATTTTCCCTTTTGACTACACAATACTGCTTCTTTTCCCTGATTCACACTGTATTTTATATATTCACATGTAGGTTTTACCATATTTTGATTTACTTTTAAGTTTCCTATTTGCTCATCTTGAATTCAAAAGTGATCTATTTAGTTTCTACTTTTGCTTACTTTCAACTTGAGAGGGATTTGTCACCTTGTTTCAAACAAAACACCATTTCCAAGACAGTGAGCATGTTTACAAACAAGTCCCTTCATATCACCTCCTGTTCCTTGGACAGAATACCAAATTGCTGAGCTGTCTAGGTTAACACAAGACATCCTCAAGCATGAACATGGTTGCAGGTGTAAACCCCTTTAGAGAACTGTTCCCCGCAGTAGATATGCACAGCCTTTATTTCAAGTTCTACTGTTTTGAAAAAAAAAATAAAAGAAAGAAAATCATATTTATCATGCTCATGCCTGATGGAAGAATATTTTTTCAACTTTTCTCTTTTTCCTTCACTCTTATTAAAATGAGTCTTGGAGATCTACAGTGCCAGTATGTACACTTACCAAAACACTTCTGTTTCTGCCTCTCCTACAGATCCTTACCTGTTAAGGCATAATGCAGATGACAATTTTCTATACCATCATTCCTCCTTCTAGACTGTTTTCTGGGAGGATTTTCTCTTCCATGTGTCTTACATTTGATGCACATTTCTCCCAGCTTTTGATGTTATTTATTAATTTTTTTTAGCCTTCTCAGGCATGTTGCTGAGAAACTGAGGGGAGCTCTTAAAGGGGACTTTCCCCATGGTTTTTAATTCCTCTTTAGTACCTCTAGATTACATGAATTTGATGATAAAGGCTATGTCATACTCCTATTTTTATTACATTTCCTAACATGCAGGTGATTGCAAAAAATAAGGTTACTTTTGTTTGGACTTAACTGAGTAACTTTTTCTTATTATTTATTTTTGAGGCAGGATCTCACTGTGTTGCCCAGGCTATCCTCCAAGTCCTAGGCTAAAGGAATCCTCCCACCTCAGCCTCCTGAATAGCTGGGGCTACAGGCACACGCCACTGTGCTGGCTTGATTTTTCTGGATAATGAAATATCTTTTAAAATCCATATAGCAGCAGATTCATCACCCATTACTGTCCCCATGCTCACCAGCATTCTCACTGTGACAATTGTGCAGCTGCAGGGAGGCCACCACCTTCCTAATCTCAACGTATATACCTTCCACAGCTTCGTGCTCCTGTTTCTCACAAGCTGTAGTAATCAAGTTCAGAGTTTTGAATTTCATACTTTTAGAATTTCAATTTGTAAGTTTTGCATTATTAGATTTAACTCATTATATTGTTATTAATAAATTTAATTTATTACATTTAATTCAACATTCTGAACACGGTTACTATACAGAAACTATGGAAGTATAGTTCATAGAAGGAATGTGGGCAGACGGTCCGCATGGGTATGTATGTGAGAAGTCAGGGGACAAGCACAGTGGAGGTAAGGTTCTCAGACTGCAGAGAGGGGGAATTGTAAGCATGGAAAAATGTAGAAACCGGATTCTGTAGAGAAGAATTTGAGCTCAGTGTTGGTAATAGTTGATGTTGCTCTGTGGTTTTCAACCATAGTTTTCAAGCAACTATGGTTAAAAAATCCTGAGGCCTGGATTAAGGCTGCAGGTAGTCGATATAGCATCTTTGTATGAAAACACACACCCACACAGACACACACACACACACACACACACACACACACGTATCATGAGAAGGTGCACTCCTGGGTGCAAGGCTTGGTCAGCAGGCACACTTTTGTATGAATTAGAAGAAAGCATTCCTTCTTCTGGGCGAATTTAGCCTAATCCAAAAGTACAGGCTGGACTTCAGGCCCAAGTTGCCTCTATGACTGAGGATCTTTGTATGGTGAACAGCGTATATGTCTGTGAAAGCTCTGTCATGACCCTATCCAGACCAGATGCTGCTTTATTTCTGGGATGTGGAACCTGGGAAACTATTATAAAAATTCTCCCCAGGTGATGAAGATGCAAAGGAAGAATGACAGGCTCTTACATAGACACAAGGCAAAGAAGCTTGCGGTACTTCATTCATTCTCTATGTATTCGTTTAGCAGTTATTTATTGCTTATTTAACACATGTACTTTCAGGAACCTCATAAGTTAATCCATTTTCTGCAGTGGTGGGACTTCTTTGGAAAGTTTATGTAAAAATATCTCTACTCATTTTGTAGGCACAGAGGAGTTGCTACACAACCTCTGAGAGGTAAAGTAACTTCTCCTTACACACTGAACACTGCAACACTGTTCTCTAGTGAACAGTAACCAACTTCTGGCTCTGCTGGGTGTTTCCTTTCAAGGTCACCTTGAAGCCGTAGCTATAAAAGGACTGACATAATGAGGAACATATGTCCAGGAAAAAGCATTTTTTCCCTTCGCCCCCTTCTAGATTTAAGACCTTAGTACTGAAATTACCTGACTATCAGCAGAAGGATTAAACTTCACGGTGACAGACTTAGAGAGAGAGAGAGAAAGAGACATTCTTTTGGCCTCAGAGTTTATTATAGAGTTTATGCCATTCCAGAGTAAGTGCCAACATTTGGGGGAGTAGTTTACTTTATTCTACAGTCTCTGATGGAAAAAGCTCCCCATTACCTCCTCAGTGGAGTGCCTGATTGATTATAGTAACAATAAATAACACGTTAAAGAGTGATAGATGTTGATTCATTTTATGACAATAAAAGTAATATTGTTTCATAAATATTAGACACACTCCCAAAATCTGGAGATAGCCACTGTTTACAGTTTAGTATTTTTAAAAATTAAATTAGTATATCATACAGGACATGCATTTTGTAGTCTATTTTAAGACTATGTTATGAGTGTTATACTTCCTTAAATGTGCTTTAAAAATATGGTAAGTTGCTAAATGCTACAACATTATTAAGATTCCAAATATATACATTGCCAAGTTATTGTCCAGAAATCTTAAATATTATCTCTGTCATGAGTGTAGGAATTCCCCTTTTCCACTACCTTCATCATTCTGGGAATTGTATTTTAACCTTTACAATGTTTGAAGTGACAATGTACTTCAAGTTTTTATAATGTTTATTTCTTATTACTAGTAAGAAATATTTTATATGTTTATTGCTTTTGGTTATCCTACGAATTATTGAAAATATACATTGTAATTTTAATTTTTTTGGTAATTTTATTATTGATTTATAAGGCTCTCTTTTATTATAATAATTTATTCTTTTTTATAATACATTACAGATTTCTAGTTTGTCTTTTAAATTTACTAATATTTTCCTCAGGTAGAAGAAATATTATTTAATGTTTTAAAATCTATTACAATTTTCCTTTGTGATTTTCACATTTTGAGTTTACAGTTAGAAATTGATTCCTTGCTTTTATAACAGAGATTCATCTGAATTTCTTTACCAGTTCATTTACATGTACTTTTTATTTTAACTACATAACTCATTCTAGAATCTATTTTGATCAATGGTATGTGATACAGCTATAGTTTTATTATTTTTAACTTTTAATTTCATTGTAATTTATTAATCTATCCATTTCTACTTCATGACATATTATCCTTGTCTTATATTAAATTATTTATTAGAATAGGCTGTTTCAGAGCTTTCTGTGCTGTCTTATTTATCTGTCTTTCAGATCTGATGTCAGATTTTATTGTTCATCAGGTTAAACTCAGTTCTTTTTTTCTTTTAAATATATCTTTGTCTATATTTTATTTTTTTCATATATGTATTTTAGCATAATTTTTTTAAATCCCTCCCCTCTCCCCACCCAATAACTTATATTCTAATATTGATCCTCACTCTTCTAGAATATTAAAAATGTAAATATTTCAAATTAATTTCATTATATTAACAAGCACATGAACAAACAGAGAGCGTAGCTCCATTATACTTTGAATGGAGATCTAAGATTCTTTGCAGAAGAAATGAAAATTGAATATACGTGACTTCTGCGCCTGGTAAAGGTGGAGTGACAAGAGCTGCATTCCGCTCTTGCCTGGCACAACTGGAAAAATGGACAAAGCATGAAAATATTTTTAGAAATGTATAGGAAAGACTTAGCATATTAAATAGAGACAGAGAAGGCATTTAAAAGTCCCAGACTGAACTTCTATGATGAAAATTTTAACTAATAACAGATTATGTACTTCCGAAAGATGTATTAGTGAACTTAAAGACATGCAGTAGAAACAATCCGAAATGAAACACACTGAGAAAAATATTGAAAAAAAAAAAAAAAAACACAGAACATCAGTTAGCTGTGGAACAATGTCAAAGAGCCTAATAAATGTGTAATTGAAGTTCCTGAAGGAACAAAGAAGGAACAGAAAAGTGTTTAAAAATATAATGATGAGAATATTTTCAAATTTGTCCAAAAACTAGAAACCTATAGAGAGTTCTGTGATCCTGCTAGCAAATTATCCAAATTGTAAGTGATTTTGGGAACCTACTGAACTTGCAGCTTATGTCAGATGTGAGAGGCACAGAATGGTTAGGTAATTTCCCCAAGGTCACACAGCCAGTAATTTGTGGAGCTGGCATTGGAAGCCCCATTTGTCCAACTCTAGATCTGGAAATCTGAAATGATACTATATAGTGTGAATTACATCAACATATTTCCTTGTGCAAAAATATTCTTTTTTTCCAAACAATTCTTTATAATGTATATTTTTCTATTAGTATACTTTTAGATTTGATTTACTTGTGTATTATGTAGAACTTCTACATTGCGATATGAGATTGGTACACAGCTTTCTTTTACTGTGCTTTGTAACTGGTTTATTAGGCTAACTTGAGTAAATTAATTGAAAAAGCTTCACTGCTTTTTGTGCTCTGGGTAAACTTATATATGATGGAAGTTCTTTGGTGCATGACTATTTAAAAGTAATGTCCCATTAAATCACCCATGCCTTCAGTCTTTTCCAGAGGTGGATTTTCTTATCTATTTTTTAAAAATGATAACTTTTTCAATACTTTTCCCGGTAACTGGTTTCATTCAGAATATCTACCTCTTTTGCGTAATTTTAATATTTTGTGTGTGTATGTGTGTGTGTGTATTTTCTATGTGTGTGTGTGAGTGTGTGGATATATTTCTATGTATATACATGCATAGACAGTGTGTGGATATATTTCTATCTATGTATATATGCATGTAATCTTTTCACATTTTTCAAATTTATTTTTGTTAAATTGTAATTGCACATAGTATTCCTTAATTTGTTTTAATTTTTCTTGTGTCATATTTGTGTTTGAGGGATTAAGTTTATACATTTATTTTCCTCCAGGCTTGTCATGAATTTATATGTATTATTTTTATTTTCACTAAAAATTTAGGATGACACCAATAGGAAATTTTGCATGAGGTGCTAATTTTCCCTTTACTTTACATTGGAATGAGATGTCAAATTGCTTCACTTTTATTATTATGATTTTTATTATTATTTTGAGACAGAGTCTCTCTCTGCTGCCCAGGCTGGAGTGCAATGGAGTGATCTTGGCTCACTGCAGCCTCTACCTCTTGGGTTCAAGTGATGCTCCTGTGTCAGCCTCCTGAGTAGCTGGGATTACAGGCATGTGCCACCATTCCTGCCTCATTTTTGTATTTTTAGTAGAGACGGAGTTTCTCCATGTTGGCCAGGCTGGTCTTGAACTCCTGACTTCAGATGATTCACCTGCCTCGGCCTCCCAAAGTGCTGGGATTACAGGCATGAGCCACTGCACCTGGCTGCTTCACTTATCATTTATTGATTGTAAACAGCACTAGCTCAGTATTATTCAACCCTTCTTCTGATGGCATTTACATTCCTTTATTGGTTGTTTGCTGACTCCTTGGTACTACATGAGAAAAGGACCCATGGGCCCTGATATTCAATAAAGTTCTGGTCCCATGTTCCGGGTGTCTTAAGGTAATAAGAAAAACTCAGGAGGGCTCTTTACTTCAAATATCTCTCTGATTGAAAAGGGGTATGGTAGAATACAACATTTCTCTCTAATACGGGGTGAGTTTATTTTACTTTCAGAGGTACTCCAGCACCCTCAAAGGACTATGGTTACAGTAAAACATGTCTTGTCACTGGCAATGAGAAATAACTTTCAGATATATTGAAAGTTGTTTTTTGCATTTTAATACATCAGTTTTTAAATTTATCCCTGTCTCTTTTCTACTAGTCTTTGGATTCATATTCAGTATTACATCTTGAGTTAGAATGCTTTTTTCCTTTGGAATGAATATCTCTAACTCGTGGTAGCTCCCAACAAGGTAATGATTCTCTGAGATCTTCTATTAAAGAGTTGTGGCTGGAGTTCAACAAAAGGAAACAACAAGAAATACTTTTGGCAGAAGACTCACCATCTTCTCCTTTGGCTACTGCTGGTCTAGCTATGAGGAGCCACCATCACAAGAGTTAATAAGAAGTCCAGCAGGGTCATTTATAGAGATATTGACAAATATCTCACTTATTCTACTTCTCCATCCCCTTCAAGTTAGATGTAGCCATACTGCCTTTGGCCAGTGAAATGCGTTCAGAAGTTGCAGTGTTGTTTTTCTGTTCTGGGAAAGATATTAGACATTTCAGTACTCTTCTGAAAGATTATTAAATCCCATGTCAAGATGTCCACTCTTCCCTCCTGGGTACTTGAGTGGTAACAATGATCAGAGCTCCTTTGCTGACTCATGTTGAAAATGTAATGTTGATAATAAATAAACATTTACTCTTGATATTTTCGAGTCAATTGTGACTGCAGCTTATTCTAGCCTATCCTGACTAAGATAATGTGCAGTCACTTGAAAATTTAAACTTAAATACATATGAATAATCTCCTGAACTTCCTCGATTTAAGTAACGAGGGGCTTTTCAATGTTATTATATCCTTTATGTTTTTATCATCTTCTTAGTAAGATCATAAGACTTGTCAAGTCTTATTTGACATGATAGGATGGTGATTAAAAGTATGGGCTTCAGAGCCAGTCTGCCTGATTTTAAATCCCAGATCTGCTATTCAATAGCTGTGTAAGTCATAGAGTCACTCCGTTCCTCATTCTTCTCATTTGTAAAAAGGAGAGGACAATTTCACTCAACTCACGGGGTTGTTAAAAGGATTAAATGAATTTATACATGTAAAATACTGTGATCAGTAAGTGTCACAGAGAAGGAACTCACCAAATGTTTGTTATTATTATATCTTTTTATCCATCCACAGTCCTTAACCGAGCTTCTTGCACACATTTTGTTCAAATTTTTGATTTAGCAAATGTGTCCTGCCTCTAAGTAAAATTAAGTGAATTAAATGTGATTAACTGAAGGCACGCGCACACACACACACACACACACACTGTGTAAAAGCAATTGCGGTTTTTGCCATTACTTTTCATCTTTACATGTACATAATATGTATATATAGAGAGTGTGCAAGAGTGCTCTCGAAGTTTCAGACAATATTCTGAAACTTCAGTTTTCTTAAGCAGTGCTTAAGTAGTTCTTAAAGACTGAGCAGGATCTTCTGGAAGATTATAGGGAGGCAGCAGGGATGAGGAGAGGGAGCAGAATGAAGGTTGAGACACTTCGATTGTTCTCTCATTGGCTTCCTACTTGGTGTCTGAATGCCAGGCTTTGCAGGTGCTTCTTGGACAGTAGACATGACCCAGATCTCAGAATTTTCCGTTTGACTTCTTCCTCATTTGACTTGTACACAACACTCTTGAGCTTAGTATTCTGTGGCAGACTCAACATTTCTATGTTGATATGCTATCTCAAAGGCATCTAAGCTCATTGTATTCAAATTTGTGATTAAAATCTCCCTGCCAAATGCACTCTTGCCTCATTTTCTTCATCTTACTCAGTGGCACCAGCATTCATCCAGATCATAAGGCAGGAGTGAGGAATCATCTTCACGCCTTCCCTTTCTCTTACTCCTCATACCTCCAATTCATTACCCATTTGGGTCAAATTCTCTTCCAAATACCCCTTGAGTCTATTTTCCTTTATATCCACTGCTAACATGTTTGCTGCATGAGGCCATCATCTCCCTTGGGCAACAATCTAACCTTTCACTCTGCCTATGTGCCTCCAGCCAGAGCTTGCTCTATAGTGCTCTCCACCTGGAGTCGAATGACCATATGGATATAGAGTCTCCATGATCCTGTCATATCTCCTATTATAATCTTCAAAGACTTCTCTTGTTCTCAGGATGAAGAATAAAGTCCTTAGTGTAGTCATCAAGGCACTGTGTTGTCTTGTCACTGACTGACTCTAGTTTCATCCTGTCATCCTGTCTCCTTTACCTCCCGGTAATTTTTTTTTTTTAGTTTCTGAACTTGCTCTCATTCAGGTATCAGATAAAACATCCCTTCCTGTAGGAAACCTCCCTGACTTATCTGGCTATAACCCATTAATTTTAATCATTGGTATTTACTTTATGATGAGACATTTGATGCCTTTAGTTATGTCTGCAATATTTGATCCAAAACCAGAAAAAAAAATAGGGAAAGTATTGTTTCCCTGGTTATATGTGTTTCTCTGCTATGTTCACATTGAAACCAAAGGATAATGTCAAAAGGTTGCTTATTTTCAATGTGTTACCTGACTTTAACTGGATATCTCTGAATCTCATTCTAAGGTCTTCCTTCCTTCGCGATCATTCCATCACAACAGCGTCTTTTACACACCCCTTCCCTGCTCTGTGCTCTTGTCCCCAGGGAGATAAGACAGCAGCAGCTCCTCAGTTTTGTTGTCTTAGGAGGATGTGTGAGGTCTGTTAGATTTTTTTCAGAGAAAATTGTTTGCAAAACAGAATTTTTTTTTCTTAACATTGGCCACTGTGTGCCGTAACTTTGTCTTTATATCCTTTTTCTGTCTTATCAAGTATGCCTTCTCACAAGTACAAGCTGACTTGGTAGAGGTAGAAGTAGAGATGGGAATGTAAAAGGTAAGAAAAGGTCAGAGGAGAAAGAAAAAGAAATCCTCCTGTTATATACTGACTTATTATAACAGATTTTAATCTGTTTATTTGAAAATAGTCTGCCTTCCCCACTAGACTAGAGGGCAGGGATCTTCTCTACTCTCCTCATCATTGTATGTCTCATAGATAGCACAGTGCTGGACAATAAGATGCTTTTGTTGAGTGACTTAATAACTATGGAATGATGTTTCCGTACAACTAAAGTATTGACTATGACCCACATTGAACTTCCAGCATTGCTTGCTCCTCTTTTAAGAGACCTTTCTTAATAACCAGTATTCAAAACTTTGAAAAGAATCCATATTGTATATTTTATTAATTTTAATTTATGATTCATAGCTGTCAGGAAACACTGAGAACAGTATTATTTGTTTGTTTTTATTGATTTAGATTTTAACTCACATTTATAATCAGTAGCGAATGAAAGATTTTCTTTTCCCCGAATTGCATGTGTTTCTCTGATATGTTGGCTCATATATAGACAAATGTGGTCATTTTTTATTATGATTTCTAGGCACTTGTATATGAGGACACATTGTGTGTTATAGTTTTGAGAAATAACATATTGGGAAACGAAATGTACAGCTTTGTCTATTTGGCACCTAGTGTCTGGTGACTGATAGTTTAATAGGAAATTCTGGCAGAGCTTACCCTAGATCATGGGACAGTTGTCACCTGTTTAGATCTAACATCTAATACATTACTTTACAGTGTAGATATTTACCCGAATGCACATCAGTGGGCAGAGCTCTAAAAGTTGTATTTTGTTTTTTTGTTTCTTATTTTTACTTGGTACCTTCTGCTGTTGCACAATGGCAAAAATGAGTCCGGGCACAACCACAAGTTTTTTTCATGCCCTTCTTGGATTCACAGGACATGAGAAAGATGTAATTGGGTGTAGGTTTGCAATTGTATTTTTTTGCTATAGAATCTTTTTTTTTCTATATTTGACTTGATTAAGATCTTGTTAAAATAGAACAAAAAAATTAGGAAGAATAAAAAAATTAAAATCAATATTAATAATATAAATTATCTTGGTTGGGCAAGGCTGATATTTGTTTAATTCCAATTTATTGTTCTTTTTCTGTATATATGATAATGACAAGAGTACCTGATTATTAATTTTAACACAAAAAATACTTCTGTGCCATGAATAATTGTTATTTTTAATGAGAAAGGGTAAAACTGATGCTGTCATTCTAATCTCAGTGCTTTCAGCAGATTTGCCTGTTGTCTTTCAGTTAAATAACAAAAAAATCTTTTTATATTGAGCAACAGTAAAATTAGATGTTCTTTCAAGCCTTTGGGTATTACTGGTGGTTTAAAGTTTTTTGTTACTAATTTTTCTTTTAACTCTTTTCATCCATTTAATAAATATTTAGGTATATAGGGACTATACTTAATAAAACATTGATCATTGTGTGTTTATTAAAGAAAATATACAAATCATATTTTTGAAGTTGCAATTCAACTTTTGATATGTTTAAGAGATGTTAGTAGTAAAGAGAAATTAAAAATCAAATAACTAATTATATCTTATTTTTTAATAGAAAGCAAATATTACCAGTAATCTCAATACCCAGAAATAATTACTGTTAATATCTTTGTGTACACAAATACACATGCACACTTTGTGTACTTTGTGTATTTTGTGTACATCCTACCAAACACACAAACGTGCATATCACACTCACAAGGCCTCACAAACAGTATCCATCCTATGTAATTTGCATTTATACTTAAATTTGTATGATTCATAATCTTTAAATTCTTCTACATAGAAAAAAATTAGTGTGAAAAAATTATATGATGTAGATATACCATAATTAATTTCACTAATTCCCTACTCTTTGAAATTTGGAGCATCTTTGATGTATTATTATCAACAGTAATGAATCAAGGTATTTTGCATGTACAGTATGTCAAGGCTCTATTTTTAAAGAAAGACTACCTCTTCCAACATTTAGAAAGCTCTGGGGATTTTTGACGGGAGGGGAGCTTACTTGTCAGAAGAGACTAAAATCCCTGGGAAGAAAATATGTTCCAATGAAAAAAAGGAATGAAGCTGACCATCTTGGTCTAGTTAGGGACCAATATTTCAGAAAAAAATGTCAAGAGAACTCAGAATAAATTCAGTTCTTTGGATTCAAATATTTCCCTTAGTGCATCTCATGGACTCTAGGTGGAACTCTAAGGAGAAGGATATTGGCACAAAATGCAGGCTTGATTTGCACTAAATCTCACTGAGACCTTGGGCAAGCAACACTGTTGGATATCCAAGGGGACAGAGAGTAACTAGGAGGAGAAAGACATTCCCTGAATTTTTTTGGGAACGTATGATTGCTACAGGGCAAGGAAGGCTCCAGAGCCTGAAACTACCTTTGCAAAAATTATGACAGTGAGAGAAATCTGACATAGAAAAATTATGACAGTGAAAGAAATCTCATTTAACTGACTCCATTTTGCTTCTAACCTCCAAGTTGCTTTTGTTTATTCCTGGGCAAGGGCCAAACTAACTATGGGAGTAATTTAGTTTATAGTTTAAAACCAAAATGATAACAATCCCTTCCTGAAACTAACCCCCATCTTGCTTAGAGACTGAAAATGCCTTTTTAAAACTGACAAATTTGCCACAAGTTTAGATTTATGGCTCCGGAGTCAGTTAGCCAGAGGTCACAAGGTTCATAACCTCCCAATTGCTCCAATACATATCATCACTATAGTAAAACCTAAGATTGGTGTTTAAGGTATTTTTCAGACCCTGCATTCTGATGGACCAGCCGGTTGGTGCCACCTGAATTGGTAACCCATACCAAGAGACTCATTCAACTGGTCTTGTGATCCCACCCAGGAAGTGACTCAGTACAAGGAGACACCTTTGACCTCCTATGGTTTCATCCCTGACCAAACCAATTAACATTCACAACGAATTATCCTTGAAAAACCCTAGCCTCTGAATTTTAAGGGAGGCTGATTTGAGTAATAAATTTCCAGCCTTCCACTTGGCAAGCCCATCAATTATTAAACTCTCTCTACTGCAATACCACTGTCTCAGTGAAGTAGCCCTACCTGTGCAACAAACGAAGACCCTGTCCTGTCAGGTGATTACAAGCCCACAGGGAAGCTTTGGTGCTCATCCTTCCCAGCATATTGGCAGCACTGGGAGATGGCAGCCATGTCCAGAGACGTGGCAGCTTATTGGCAGTATATGGAATCCTAACAAGTCTACTCTCCCTTAACATTCTCAGAGAGCCATGCACTTAGAAACAAATATAACTCAAGAGGTAGGATCAGGAGATGAAGAGCATGACCTGTCCCAAGTGGTAGTAAATACAACTTTAGAGAAACTTTTTAAAATTGTAAAGTGTATTGAAAATATGTCTTTATGGTTTCAAGAATAATTATAAATGACCAACTGGTTCTGACTTTCCAGATCGAGACAGGACATTATTTGTATTGTAAGGCTTCTTGTGTTATCTCTCTCACTTCAACTTCCAGCGTTAATCACAACTGTGAATTAGCATCGTTTTCCTGCTCTTTTTTACAGATTTTAATACCTATGTAGGTATTCCTGAGGAATATACTACTTGGTTTTGCTTTAGCTTTACTTGTTTTAAAATCTTTTACTATATGCATTATTCTGAGATATGCTTTTTTGTTCAACATTATTTCAAATGTATGGGTGAATATCTTTTTTTATTATACTTTAAGCTCTGGGGTACATGTGCAGAACATGCAGGTTTGTTACATAGGTATACACGTGCCATGGTGGTTTGCTGCATCCATCAATCCGTCATCTACATTTAGTATTTCTCCTAATGCTATCCCTCCCCCAAGCCCCCCACCCCCCAACAGGCCCCAGTGTGTGATGCCCCCCACCCCCACAGTGTCCACGTGTTCTCATTGTTCCACTCCCACTTATGAGTGGCAACATGCGGTGTTTGGTTTTCTGTTCTTATGTTAGTTTGCTGAGAATGATGGTTTCTAGCTTCATCCATGTCCCTGCAAAGGACATGAACTCAAGAAACTATCATCAGGGTGAACGGGCAACCTACAGAATGGGAGAAAATTTTTGCAATCTATCCATCTCACAAAGGGTTAATGTCCAGAATCTACAAAGGACTTAAACAAATTTACAAGAAAAAAACAACCCCACCATAAAGTGGGCAAAGGATATGAACAGACACTTCTCAAACGAAGACATTTATGCAGCCAACAAACATATGAAAAAATGCCCATCATCACTGGTCATTAGAGAAATGCAAATCAAGACCACAATGAGCACCATCTCATGATTGTCAGAATGGCAATCATTAATATGTCAGGAAACAGCAGATGCTGGAGAGAATGTGGAGAAATAGGAACACTTTTACACTGTTAGTTCAACCATTGTGGAAGAAAGCATGGCGATTCTTAAAGGATCTAGAACTAGAAATACCATTTGACCCAGCAATCCAATCACTGGGTATATACCCAAAGGATTATAAAACATTCTACTCTAAAGAAACATGCACGTGTATGTTTATTGCAGCACTTTTCACAATAGCAAAGACCTGGAACCAATCCAAATGCCCATCAATGATAGACTGGATAAAGAAAATGTGGCACATATGCACCATGGAATACTATGCAGCCATAAAAATGGTGATTATCTTTTGAAGGTTAACCCAAGTTGATGCATGCACTAGCAACCCATTCTTTTTTCTATTTTTTCTGTTGAATAAATATTTATTTTACTTATTATTCTACTGATGGTGGACACAGTAATTATTTCAGGTTTTTTGTTCTTACAGACACTGCTCTTATGGGCATTCTTGTGGGTGTCACTGATATACATATCACAAGATTTTTTCTGTAAGGTATTTACCTATGATGTACAATATATTTTCTAAAGAATATAGATATGAACAGAATTTCTGGCTCTTATAGCATGCACATGTTCAAATTCAGTGGGTAATGTCAAAATGTTTTCTAGAATGGTCATAGTACTTTATATACTTATCAGTAGTGTATGAGTTCTCTCATTTCTCTACATTTTTGCTAAAGTTAGATTGTTGATTTCTTAATTTTCGCCAGTCTGGTAGGTTTAGAGTGATTCTCACTGTGGTGTTTTTGCTTAGAATGATTATTCTTTTTTAAATGAAGTTAATTTTTTAAAATATATTTAAGAGCCACATGCATTTCCCTTTCTGTGAGATGCTTTTCTCTCTTTATTGAGCTGTTATATTTTTCTTACATATTCACAGGTGTTCCACATACATTCAGTTATAACTGTTGCAAAAACCTTCTTTCTGCATTTTTACTCCTTTATTTGCTTTCTGATGAACAGGGTTCTTAATTTTACTCTACTAGCATTTATCAATACGTTTATTAGGCTGGGAGTGGTGGTTCATGCCTGTAATCCTTGCATTTTGGGAAGCCACGGTGGGTGGATCACTTGAGTTCAGGAGACGGACAGCAGCTTGGCAACATAGTGAGACTGTGTCTCTGATATATACATAACATATATGTTTTTCATATATCTATCTATCTATAGATAGATAGATAGATAGATAGATAGATAGATAGATAGATAGATAGATGAAAAAAATAGCTGGGCCTGGTGGCACATACCTATTGTCCCAGCTACGCAGGAGGCTGAAGTGGGAGGATTGCTTAAGCTCAGGAGGCAGAGGCTGCAGAGAGCCACGATCGTGCCACTGCACTCCAGCCTGGGTGACAGAGTGAGACTCTGTCTCAAAAAAACACATATACATATATGTATATGTGTGTGTGTATGTATATATGTGTACATATATTTTTTTTTCCTTAATGGTTTGTACCTTTCCTTTTGTGTTTTAAGAAATCTTTCTCTATCTGTAGGTAATAATAGATCCTCTAAAATTTTTTAGTTTCTAATTCATCTTAAATTACATTTTGTATACAGTGCAATACAGGGGCACAATTTTACTTTTTTCCATATGAGTTGCAAACATTAACACTTCAATAATTTAATAGTTAATTTTATGTTCATAAATCTGGAATACCTGCTCTGATAGAAATCTAGTTTCCAAATATGTAAAATTTGTTTTGGGACTTTCTAATTTGTTCTATTGGTCTTTTGTCTTTATCTACAAAAATACTACATTAATTTGGCTTTTTGAATTTCTATTGCTGTTTGGATTGGAACTGCATTGAACCCATATATTATGTTGGGGAATATTGATATCATTGTATCATTAATGTTTTCTGTAGATGGACATCTATCTTTATATACAAACTTATTTTGGTATTTTAAAATGTTATTTAGGTTTATGTTTTTTCCATGAAAAATTGGCATATTTTTTAAAACTTATGCCTATGTTTTAAATATATATATGTGTGTGTGAATGTGTGAGTGCATATGTATATATATGTGTATGTGTGTATATATCTGTATATACAGATATATGTGTATATAAATGTGTATATGTATTCTCACATACACACATATCAGTAATGTAATTGACTATTGTCTATGTTTTAAATACATATATGTGTGGGTGGGTGTGTGGGTGTATATATATAGATGTATATATATATGTATGTGCATATACATCTGTATGTACAGATATATATGTATGTATATATACATGTGTATATACTCACACACACGCATATCAGTAATATCATTGACTACTGCTGGCAGCATGCAGAAATGTAATAAATTATTAATTAACCATGAATGCAGCAACTTCACAAAATTCATTTGTAAATTTTCATAAATTATCCCTGAATTATTTTGAATTTTCTGTTTAGATTACTACATTACTTTCAAACAACAACTACTTCATTTTTACTTGTCAATATCTTTCCTTTTTTGTTTTTATTTGTCTTTACTGCATTGCTAGGACATTTAACATAATATTGATTAGAAGAAGTACACTGGGCATTACCTACATTGTTTTCTGTAGCTTTGTTTGTTTCTTTGTATTTGTGAATCCTCTTTGATTGTGAAAATTCTCTTCCATCTAATTTTCAAGAATTTTGTTATAAGTAGATGTTAAATTTTATGAGAAGTTTAATTTTGTCACATCACTTCAGATTACTACATATTTATTCTCCTTTAATCTATTAATATAGTGAACCAGTTTCTTCAGTTTTCACATATTAACATATTAAATTATCCCTGGATTTGTGCAGTTAACCCAAGTTGGTAATAATGCATTATCTTCAAGATTTCAGTATTCCCCATAGGATTTTTGCAGTGTTGTTCATGAGTGTGATAAGCCTGTAATTTCTTTTGCTTTGCCCTTGTTTGGTTTTGCTATAAAACCTATTTTAGCCTCATCAGTGAAAGAAGGAGTATTTTCTCTTTTTCTATCTCCTTCAAGAATATAGGGAAAATTGGGCCACGTGGGATAGCTCACGCCTGTAATCCCGGCACTTTGGGAGGCCAAGGTGGGCAAATCCCGTGAGGTCAGTAGTTTGAGACCAGCCTGGCCAACATGGTGAAACCTCATCTCTACTAAAAATACAAAAATTAGCCAGGTGTGGTGGCACGTGCCTGTAATCCCAGCTACTCGGGAGGCTGAGGCCGGAGAACTGCTTGAACCCAGGAGGTGGAGGTTACAGTGAGCCAAGATGGTGCCACTGAACTCCAGCTTGGGCAATGGAGTGAGAATCAGTCTCAATAAAAAATAAAAAATAAAAAAATAGGTGAGGCTGGAGTTATATGTATTTTAAATATTTGATAAAATTTATTTTTAAAGGTATTTGGGCCTGAAATGATTTTCAGGAAATATTTTAAATAATGATATAATTCTGAAAAGACAGTTCTCTATTTCTTCTGACATACATTTGTTTATGTTTTATTTTTCTGGTAATTTATTAGCTTCATTTAATTTTACAGATTACTTGGCATGTTAGGTTATTCATAATATCCTTTAATTGTTTAGCATTGGCAATACCTGTTTCTTGCGTATCATTTCTTATTCTACCGTTTTTGAGTTCTCTTTTTCTTGATACATTTCAACAAGAATTCTTATCAAGTTTATTTTCTTGATAAACTTATTGGATTTAATAATCTTATCTTTAACAATCTTATCTTTTTATTTAGTAATCTTTAATAAACTTATCTTATTGGATTTAATAATCTTTTTTTAATACATTTAGGGTTTTTTAAAAATTAAGTGTTGATATTTCTCTTTGTTTCCTTACTTCTACTTTCTTTGAATTTATTTTGAAGTAATTTTTTTATAACTTCTTTGTATACTAGAGGCTTGGTTTATAAATTTTGAGTCTTTTTTTCTTTCTTAATGTAAGGCTTTAAGGCCATATATTTTCTAAAGTACTGCTTTAATTGCATGCTACTAGTTTTTTATTTAATATAGTAATATATTAGACCTACTCATTCTATTTTCTTTATCACTAAGCTGTCATATTGTATTCTCTTTATTGATTTTATTCTGAGTATTTCTTCAGATCTATTTTTAGTTCACCAATTTCTCTTAATCTAATGAGTTTAATGTGCTTAATTTCTAGAAAATCTATTTTGTATCTCAAATCTGCTTTTTACTTACAGTTTCTTGTTTTTTGCTTGTATTTTCAAATTTTGACATTGTATTTTTATTTTAAACATCATGTGTAATGTTTTGTAATTGACAACCCTTATATTTGAAGTGTTTTTCTATTTTCACTATTGCTGTTTCTGCTGGTTCTCCCTCCTTGTGTTTTGTTTCACTGTGTGTTTTTGTATTTTTTTTTTTTTTTTTTACTGCGAATAGCTCATTTCATTGGAATTTTATCTATCAAAATTCTTTAATGCCTAGATTGAAGTTCAATTTCCTGTATAGGATTTACATGTTCCAGTCTCCTGGGAAACTAACTATCTTGATTACTGTGAGTTGTCCACTAAAGAATTTTCAGACTACGTAACTAACATGAATTTGGACCCAAAACTCACAGGAAACAGGCTCAGAAAAGATTATTTACTTTTATTCTAAGTGCCAAGTTAGAGAAAGGCAATTTTCTTTATTGCACTTTTCTGTTTGTTGCTCTTGCTGTTTGTTATTCTTTTTTACATAGCAGATTCAACTAGTTGCTATTTATTTGTTGTTCTTTTTACATAGCAGATTCAACTAGTTTTTTTTTTTTTTTCAAGGATGTCTTGTTGTATTTCTCTATATGGCAAATCCCTAGAATTTTTTTTTTCTTGGTCAGTGCCCCATGCAAAAGTCAAAGCAAAACTCAACATATTCAGGGTATTAAATAAATCCACAGGGTGAAATTCAGCTTTAATTTGAAGGTTCTTATTTTTATTTTTATTTTTGATCTATGGATTCTTTCTGTAGCAGCTCAGCAATACATTTAAAATCATAATTTTTACAAAAATTTACTCACTACCAGTGTATTAGTTATCTATTGCTACCTAACAATGTTATCACAAACTCAGTGACTTAAAACAACACACGCTTATTAGCTCACAGTTTCCTGTGGTTGTGAGAATTAGCTCAACTGCGTTTTCTCCAAGCCTGAAGAGTGTCACCAGGGCCAGTTTTCAGATGGGGCTGAATTGGGGAATGATCCACGTCTAACCTCCTGTGGTCATTAGCAGGACTCAGGTCCTGAGGGCTTCAGTTTCTCGCTGGCTGCCAACTAGAGGCTGCCCTCACTTCCTCACTGACTGTTGCCTGGCGACTGCCCTCAGTTCCTTGCTTCACTGCCCTCCCCAACTTCATCAAAGCCAAAGAGGGAAAGTGTCTCCTAGCAAACATATGATACAATCTTAGGTACCACGTTCACAGAAGCAACTTTTGCCATATTCGGTTGGTTAGAAGCAAGTCACAGATTCTGCCCACACTAAAGGTGAGGGGATGACACAAAGGTGAAAGTAAAGCAAGTGAGGATCAGAGGGGCCACCTTAGTGTCCGTTTGCCACAACTGCTTTTTAACTCTCTCAGAAAAATTGTTCAGAGTACCTAAAACCACTTTCTTCTAGAACAAAAGCCAGCATGAGGCACATTTGAAGAACTACAAAATAACTGAGGGTGAGAGGTAAGATTTGAAAGAAGCTGAAATTGTGGAATAAAGTGGGAGAAGCAACAACTAATGATTCCCTATTAACCACATGTAAGGCCTCCAGTTTGATTTGGTTTTAACCAATGCAAACGCCAAGTGAAAATGCAGTATAAACGTATTGTTCAAAATGTGACACTCTCTTAAAGAATTCTTGTGCCAGCTTCCCTATTTTCCTCCTTGAGCCTGATCTGTTGTTACAATCATGTAAGCCATAGTTTTTACAAGATTTTCAAATGGTCCGTGTCCTCTATGTTCCGAGAAAACACTGCAAAGCCTCAGCTGCTCATTTCTCCCCTGTCACTTTTGCTCATGGGCAGAATTCTTTATAGCACATCAGACCCCTGCCAGCAATGGACACTGTATTTATACTGATAATTCAGGCTAAAACAGAAGCATGATCAACCCAATTCCCTTTGCCTCACTGTGGATGATTTTAGCCAAGTAATTTATAGTGGTCAAAATAACCAAAATCACTATTTATCTTTGTGTATATTTACACAGCTTGAAAACAAAACTACCAAACCCAATAATTCCTTTGTCAATGGTTATACCCCTAGAGGCAAGCTTTCGACCTAGATTTTCGTGGTGAGACATCCCTGGCAAAATGATAAAGACAGTGACATTTACTTTGTGTCCTTCTATTTCCCTTTCCGACATCTCTGTACCTCCTTTTGCTTTACTTCTGAGTCACTCATGCATTCCATCTCAAAAGTCTGAAGTCACTGGTCTTTCTGACTGCAGTTACTGTTAGAACCTTAATTCCTGCTAAGGTGTTAGCTGAAAATAAGTTAAAGTGTTGCTGCTTCCAGTAGCATTTGCATTTAGCCAACAATAAAAAATAAAGAATTATCAATTCGATAATTTTAAGTAATGTGACTTCATGGGAGGGGATAGATTTACTTTCCTGAACTCCTCAAACTATACAAATGTATTTTCTTATGAAACTAGTGCTAATAACAATAGCTACTAATTTTGGGGTGTTTAATTGTCTGCTTGCCATCCAGCCAAACTCTGGATAGCTTATTTCAATAAACATCCCAGATAGAACAATGTGGTGGGCACATTTATCATTTCATAGGTCAGGAAATTTAAGCTTAGAGAAGTTAAGTAACTTGCCCAAGGTCACACAGTAAGTGAAATATCTAGATCTGTATGGCTCCAAATCCCATCTCTTAGAACATACTATTCTATTGAAGGCAGGTAATATTTTACTATTGACATTCATATAGTAGAAAGTGTCCTCTTATATCAGGATCCTGATCCAGATTTGTGTCTAATTTCCTGCTTGAATTTAGCCAATTCCTTTATGCTTTTTCAGGCCTAACATTCAGAGAAAACTGAACTAAATGAACCACGAATTTCTTCTTTCATATGTAATCCCAGCATATACTATTATAAATTACCTTTCATATGTCAGACACCAACTCTAAACTATCAGATTGCCCTACTAAATTTATGCACAGAAATGAGAAAGTGATCACAACTTATTGAATTGAGGGCAAGATCAAAATTTCCCATTAAGGAGAGTATTTCTTTGGCTTCTGTGAAACATGCTGATTGCTATTATTGCCCATACATTTTGAGTTGTTTGGTTTCTTGACTGTTAATTGAAATGTAATTTCATTTGCATAATATAAGACTAGTATGGCAATTAACACTCTTCTTACTAATTGCCACCCAATTAACCTGCTTTAGGTGTCTTGGTGTCAGTGCAGCATCTAAATATTATCTTCGCACCTTAGCTGATTTGTAGGGCTGTGATTACCTTTTATGGCTTATAAAATTTAAAATTAATTGCATTGCAGCTAGAGCTGTGGCTCAACCTTATATCTCAAAAAAGGTCCATTAGGTAATTATTTGATAACTAATTAAGTTTTAACCATCTCACTAAATCAACTTAAAATGTTCCTCTTATAAAGTAGATTTAAAGGGTCACAAGAGACTCCTGAATGTTCAGCCTCAGAGTCAACCTTACGACTCAAATTGTCCCTTTATGGCTTTTCAGGAACACCTATCCATCATGGTTGAATTCCTTGTCCTAGGGTTAGAAACCTCTTATGCCCAATTTTAGAGGCAAAATGTTGACAAAGAAAAAGTGTCTTATTTTGAACTGGAATTAATGACAACTTCAAGACCTATTCCCACCCTAGATGTCGTTTATGATCTGTCCTGAGCTGCTTGTTCCTGCCCTCCCACACTTGTCTCCTTGCTGTGCTTTGCCAGAGAGGTTTGCGACAGAACAGCCAAGGCATCAATCCATACCTCCTAGGGCTGGGTTTGGTTTGGTGGATTATAGATAATCTTAAAATTTCACTGAGTGAATCTCAGCTCTAAGCTTTTGAGCCCAGGGAGTTATCAGTTATCTCAGAAAATGCTGATAAATGTTATCAAAAGAAGAATAAATCCTAAATCCTTTGTATTAGAAAAATCATTTTAAATATGAGATCAAAGAAAATAGTATATTTTCAAATTCTAAAAAGTGAGGGGAATCACAGATGTAAACACGGCACATCAAACTGAAGATGTCACAAATATAACTTAAAACTCAAAAAGTCCTCTCTACTCTGAAACCTTTATCCAAATGGCTATTCATTTTTCTAACCATTAGTAGGTGGCCATTTGAGATATAATTTCTTACATAGAACTCTATAAATTTTTCAATTATAGAAATGAAAAAATGCTCTGGGCCTTCGGTGATTCATTAATTAATTGATTCAATACATATTAATTTAGTACTATTATATTTTAGACACTGTACTAAGCTTTGAAGATACAGTGCTGAGAAAAAGACATTCTCCCAGACCTGAGACTTTTGGGGAAATATTAGGAAACAGAGTCATTAAATGAGTGAGTGTCAGGATTATGAAAATAGATGCCTACTGTACTAGTGAGCCAGATAATGGGAGATGAGATTAGGCCTCACTGCTCCAGAAAGAAAGCTGCCTTAAGTGCAGCACGCCAGCATGGCACATGTATACATATGTAACTAACCAGCACATTGTGCACATGTACCCTAAAACTTAAAGTATAATAATAATTAAAATAAAATAAAAAAAGAAAATGACATCTAAGCTGAGTCTGGAAGAATGAGAAATAATGCATTAGATGGGACACTTGGTGGTGCTGGCAGGGCCTCTAGGATTGGCAAGGATGTTACAGGCAAAGGGAGCAGCAAGCCATAACTTTGGCCCACAGAGAGACTGTGGCACAGGAGCCTAGAGTAGTTCAATGTGACCTCAGAGAAGCCTACAAGGGACAGAGGTGGGAGACTGATGTGGAGGCGTAGCCAGGGCCGCCTTATGCTGGGCCGTATAAGCCATGCTAGGAGTTACATGGGGTTAACCATTGCTAGCGGTTAACCCTCAAGTGTAAGGCAGCCACTGAAGGATTTTAATTCCATATGTGATGTGGTTAGAAGTGCATCTTGAAAGGATAGCCTTGACTACAAAGGGAGAAAATATTAGAGACTCTTATGACTTTTCACTCCTATTCTCTGGTAATATTTTTATTTCAAAATCTTTGGCTTAGTGAGCTACCTCCAAGACATTAGAGGGAGGTAAAGATCATACCGTGGCTGTAGCTATGAAACTACAATCAGAGGAAATGGGGAGAATATTTTCAGTTGTAGCTGAAAGAATAAATTATAATATCATAAATGTTAGCTTTGAAAAACTGAGGCAGTCTATAAAATTATAGGCTCCTATTACTCTTAATGTAGTGCCACAAACTCCAAGAAAGTTCAGTTGGAAAAGAACAAAAGAGAGAAACAATGCATTATAATATTACTAATAGTATTCCATATTTACGTAGCAATTAAAGATTTTCAAAACGTCTTCACCACAATTATTGGACATAATTATCATAACTTTTACACGTGGGCTGAATAAATATTTCTATTTCTGTTTGACGGACCAGTACCTCTACCTTTTGCTTTGGGGAACCATTTTAACTATTTTAAGCTATGTGGCTTGTATAGAAATGACCCACTTTTCAGTCTCTGGAGTGGGGCCTAATTGATAGAAGCCAATCAGCATCAGTGATTGGCTCACGGACAAGACGATGATAAGCTAGATATTGCCAATAAAATGTAAAGGTATATTTCCTGAGGACTGTTTTGTTTGGGTTTTGGTTTTGAGAGAGAGAGATTCTTTTTTTGTTTAGGGACGACTGCAGGAGACTCTTCTCTTCCTGTGAAGAGGTGTGAAAAAGAAATGTGAGTTTTTGAACTGTGTCAACCATTCTAATCAGCTCAGAAAAAGTTGCTGGAGCTGCTGGGAAATCAACATATGAAAATTGAAAGTGAAGTTGAAATTATGGAAGGCAGGATGGAAAAGAAACTTGATCTCTAGTGACATTGTTTGAAATGTTGATTGAATTTTGCCTGAAGCCTGGGTTACCTGAGGACTTCGCAGTTCTGTAAGCCAGTAATTTTTTCTTATTGTTTAAGCCAGTTTGAATTGGATTTTCTATCACCTTCACCTGAAAGAGGCGCAAGCAATAGACAGTAACCAGAGATAACTGAAGCAAAGGGTGAATTCCTTATGTTCAGTGCAAGAGACAGAAATAGCTGTCATAATAATCAAGACAGAAAGTTATTTTTCCTATCAAACTCAAGAATTTTAGAAATAATCAATCCAGGTCTGGCATAATGCTCTCGGGGAACCAAGATCCTCTATCTTTTGCTCTGTCATGCAAAATTTCCATTCCCAAGATTACCTCATGGTCCAAGATGCTTGTTGGAGCTCCAGCCATTATGTCTACCTTCCAAGAAATAGGAAAAGAGAGGAAAAAAGAAGGCATGCCTTCGTCGTGAGGACACGTTTTAGAATTTATGCATATCACTTGTGCTTACATCCAAACGACTCAAACTTAATTGCACAGCCCAACCTAGATGCCTAAATATATATGAGAAATACAGATTTTATTCTGCTTGGCAACAAGGCAAACTAAAATTGGGGCCCTATTACTTCAGAAGAAGAGAACAAATAATAACTGGGGACAATTGGTACACACAGAGACAGAAGAATATTAGAAGTTCACAGAACTGAGAGGAGAACCAGGCATGGAAAAAGGCAATTTTGGAAGGCTAGGAGGTAAAATCATAAGAATGGTCTTTAGGGAGAATGCAATGGGATTCATCTGATACTTTTATCCATGTCCCCCTGATCAGGAGTCAAAGCTCTGGGCAAGAGCAAGTAGGCTGAGCGTGGATCACATGCTGTCCTCATGGTTGTGCAGAGGTGGTGAGAGGAGGAACCTGCCCGTTGGGCTTCTAGGCACCTGGGTTTACCTTCCCACTGTGACTACAGCCAGTGAGGGAGAGAGAATTCTCCAAAACAAATAGGGCACTACTATGTGAGGAATGAAAGTTGTAAGGTAAATTAATAATAATAATAATAATAATAGTGGTAATAATAATACTGTGTTTTCCCCAGGAAACACAGGTAGCTGGAGTCAAAACCAGGAATAGGACCCAGCTTTTTCAATATCCAGTTCAGTGCTTTTTCCATTTTACAACTCTTTCTGAAGTCTGTATCACTCATAAAGGGAGCTAAAATATTACTATTCCTACTGCTGCTGCTGCCACTTTAATAGGCATTATCTCATCTTAATTTTTGTATTTTTTTTCTCTTACCACAGCCCTAGGCTCTAGATAATACATATACCAGTATTCTTCAGATAAGGAGACCAAGGAAAAATTATGACTTGCAGCAGGACTTGAGCACAGAGTTTTAAAATTTCTATTTCAGTACTTATCCTACTAGGACAATGGTTCTAAACTGAGGGTGTTTTTCCCCCTGCTATTCCCTCTCATTCCACTAGAAATGTTTGGCCTTCTAGGAGACATTTTGGTGGTCACAACTGGTTGGAAGGTGCTACTGTCATTTAGTGGGTGGAGCCAACAGATGCTGCTAAACAATGTACAGTGTATAGGACAGGACAGTTTTCCACAATAAAATGCAAATAAGGCCAAAGATGAGAAACCGTGTATTAGGGCAAAGGAAGGAAGGTAGAATATTTATTTTCTGATAACTTTTAGCACAGAGAGTCTAGCCCAGTTCTCTTTTGTGGGTAAAGAACATACATTAGCAAGCATATGACTCCATAACATGGTGCTGCAGCCCAGTTCTGAAGCCTTTTATCTTTTAGTGGGTGTTGTGGACACCCAGAGCAGCCCCATTGTATCAGTGTGGGATCAGTGTGGAAGCCCCATTGTATCAGTTTGGAATCATGCCTTTTCCACTTCTCATGACCCTGTAACATAGTGGGTAAGATAACAGCCTTTGGGATCAAACTTGGATTTGCGTGCCAGCTCTGACATTGACTAGCCATGTGGCATTGGACTAGTACTGAACTCAACTGTAAAATGGGAATGACAATGTTTGCCTACCTCAGAAGTGCCATAAAGAGATTAAATTAAATACAGCCTTCAGAGCATTTGACACATAGCAAGTGCTTAGTAAAATTTAGATATTTTTGGTTATTTAGTAAACTTGCTTTGGCCTACTTAGGAAAACAAAATTAAACATTGGTTTGACACTGTATCCCCAAATATATTAATGTCAGTTCATATCAGGTCATTTTTCTCTCTGATCTCTGTATTTCACTGCCTCATCCCCACCAGGTATATAACAAAGAAATATCACAATGTTGTTTTACTGTTATGAGAGGAATTTTTCACATGTTTTTGCTTTTACTTTTAAAAATGTATTTCTGGGCTGATAAACTTTTTTTGAAAGTTCTGAGGAGCAGCTCAAGTGTCATGAATGAAACCAGACAAGACTCTGATGTCCATTCATTTGCCTCCATTGAAAGTGGGTTAATGGAAGTTTCAGTGTCACCAACCACAAATTCCCCCTTAAACCAGAGAATAGGGCTTGTTGCTTTCAAGGTTTCTTATTTAACTCTTCACATACTCTTTGATGGCCTTGCCGTAAATTGTTTTCAACTTTAAACAAAGGTATAACGGTAGGTGAATATATCAACACTTAAATGGTACTGGCACTCTAGGCGTATTCCTGAACCTGAAGGCTCATGTTTCAGACAGGACTTCATATGTGTGGGAGCAGTCCTCTCATAGAATGGGCATCACAGAAATTAGGGTACTACATAGGAAAGAATGGAGAAGGAAGACCAAGGAGAGTTTTAAAGTATAGTTGGCATTTAATATAGGTCTTGGTAAATACGATGACATTTTTATGCAGTGAAGATGTCAAAAGTCACTATAGACAGACGAGAATCCTAAATGTAAAGATAGTCTGGGACAGGCTTGGGTAATGGCAGAAGTTAAGGTATTCAGCAAGATATAACTTGGCAGGGTGAGTTGACAATTACAGGGCAGATGAGAAAGAAACATTAGGAGAAAAGAGTGAGACGTAGGAGGTAATGAAAAAAGAAGCCTTCTCCAAGAAAAGTATCATACATCATTTTGATTCAAATGGCCTGGACCGCCTGTGTACACTTATTTTGCATTCTGACACTCAGTATGCTGCTCACAGCTTGAGTGTAGGGCTTGGGCCTGGAGAGAAAACAAAGAGTGGGCAGAATGTACCCCATAGAGCATGTCCCATAGATGATGGGTATGCCTTCTGACTCTGAGCAGCCTCAGTCTATTTAATATTAATGGGCCAGGCATGGTGGCTCACACCTGTAATCCCAGCCCTTTGGGAGGCCAAGGCAGCTGGATGATGAGGTCAGGAGGTCGACACCATCTTGACCAACATGGTGAAACCCTGTCTCTACTAAAATACAAAAAATTAGCTGGGCGTGGTGGCGCGTGCCTGTAATCCCAGCTACTTGGGAGGCTGAGGCAGAGGAATCACTTGAACCTGGGAGGTGGAGGTTGCGGTGAGCTGAGATCATGCCACTGCACTCCAGCCTGGTGACAGAGCAAGACTCCATCTCAAAAACCAAACAAAAAACATTAATGAAAGAAACACTTTAGATCAAGAAACTAGGATGTAAATGAAAGCAATACAATTTAATGTAAATGAAAACTGTATCACTCTGACTTCATGATAGAAATACATCGATTTATCTAATGAAAAATAATGTGATTTAAAAGGATTCATTAATATATGCACTATTCACAAACAAATGTTCATTGAGGTTTTGTTTTGTTTTGTTTGAGACAGAGTTTTGCTCTTGTTGCCCAGGCTAGAGTGCAATGGCACGATCTCAGCTCACTGCATCCTTCAGCTCCTGGGTTCAAGCAATTCTCCTGCCTCAGCCTCCCGAGTAGCAGGGATTACAGGCATGTGCCACCATGCCCTGCTAATTTTGTATTTTTAGTAGAGATGGGGTTTCTCCATGTTGGTCAGGCTAGTCTCGAACTCCTACCCTCAGGTGATCTGCCCGCCTCAGCCACCCAAACTGCGGGGATTACAGGTATTGAGCATTTTATTGTAGGCACTAGGCTAGGTGCTGAGGACAGAAGAGTGAGTGAAAGATATATTCCCTGCCTTCATACAGCTTACTGTCAAGTGCAGAACACACACGCACATACACACACACACACCCTAAGGATGAATGCCATGGATGAGTATTTTGGAAGGTAAGTACAAGGTCCTATGGACATGTATTAATTTTGTATTGCTGTATAACTAGTTACCACAAATGCATCAGCTTAAAGCAACATCCACTTAATAGCTCACAGTTTTGTAGGTCACAAATCCGGGTGTGGCATGACTAGGTTCTTTGCTCAGGGTCTCATAACATGGCTAAATCAAGTCATTGCGAAGCTGCATTCTCATCTGGAGTTTGGGGTACTTTTCCAAGCTCATGTGGTTGGTTATAGCAGCACCCAGTGTCTTGCAGCTGGAGGAATAAGGTCCTCATTTCTTTGCTGGCTGTCAATGACGGGGTGGCTCTCAGCCCATATTCCATGCCATATGGGGCCTCTCCACCTCCAAAGCCAGCAGTGGATGATCTCTCATTTTAAATGCCCCACATCCTTCAAATCTCTTTCTTCAGGAAGAGTCTAGTCCTTGTTAAGGGCTCATGTGAGTACCTCAGGTTTACTCAAGATAATCTGCTTTTCTTAAAGTGGATTGTGTCATATAACCCCATCACAGAACAGACTACCTTATCATATTCAAAGGTCCCAGGGATTATACACAGCATGTACTTTAGGGGGAAATTTGGGAGCCGTTATGTAATTCTGCCTACCACAGGGAGTATATAAATAGGATATCTAACTTAGATCGGAGTGCAGGCATGAGTAGGAACAGCCTCCTTAAAGAATGATAATCTTTAGCAAAGAGAAAGGTCACTGATTCAGGCCTAAACAGCAGAGTGAGGCACTGCCTTTACATTTGCAAATGAGAGTGGTAGAATTTGCCAAATCTCTGACTCTTCATTCATATCCATGCCACCTTGTTCTCTGCCATGACTAGCTGATACCTAAATCTTCTAGACAAAATGATCCCATTTTCTTCACCTGTGTTATCCACCTAAAATCAAAGGGAGACAAAGTCCAGGAAGCCCTGAAGAAGGTTGCAGAAATTGAGGGTCTCCACCCAATCCCACCATCAGACCGCATCACCTCTGTTTGGAATCTTGTCCAAGTTGGTACCCATTGAAACCGTTTTTCTGACTGATATTTAAGTCTGTGAGGAAAGGCTTTGCTGTGTTTCCTCTGCAGAGAAAGTGCCCAGGTAACAGAGATGACTCAAAATCATGTACATTAGCAGTCAGATCAGACAAACCAAAGCCTCACGGTGTGCCCACGTCGGAACTCCTTCTCCTAGCATTTTTCTGGGTCAGCCTGGATTGAGACACACTGGCCTTTAGAACTTGAATAAAATGCCGTTTCACTCATTGCCATCTTCGATAGTTGGTAGAAGGTGATTGCAGTTCCAAGTGGTGTCACCATTTTAGTGAGTGCATTGTGAAGGGATAAGTAAGCAGAGATGCAAAACCTCTTCCACTTCTTTTCCATGAAGCACAGGTAATTCATTTACATTTGACTATATTCTAATAGCTGTAAATTCATCCAGCTAAGAAAATGAGATGACCAGACCATGCCCCCTTTACTTTGGTGTCTGAGCATGATTTGCTGAAAGCTGCAGTATTAGACAAAACAGCTGATATTACTGGCAGGTCTTTGGGAGCACTATCTTTTGCTTTTAACTTCATGTAAAAGAAAAAATAAAGATGAATAAAATTGCCTTGAATATTTCCAATAAGCATAGGGGCAAAAAGTCTTTCTCACATGTAGAGCAGATAGTACCAAGGCCCTGTGCCACATCTGAAGTGTGTCTGTCCCTCTGCATTTGAAGTATGTCACGTTGTTTAGTGTGAGCTTCCCCAGCTGAATCCTAACAATGAACTCAGCCCCATTACCTCCATTCAATCCTCTTAACAATCTGTGGGGTATAAACTGGAGTTACCTTTATTTGAAGATGAGAAGGTGGGGGCCCAGAGAGGTTAAATAAGCATGGCTAGTCACACAGGATTAAACCGCATTCTCAGGAGCTTCATGCTAACCCTACTCAGTTTTCTGCTGTAGGCCATCTTCCTATCTCAATAACAGCTTAGATCTGTTGAGCACTGACTATGTGCCAGGTATCTTTTTAAAAAATAATTTCAACTTTTATTTTTGATTCAAGGGGACTTGTGCAGGTTTGTTACGTGGGTATATTACATGATGCTGAGGTTTGTTGTACAAATGGTCCCATCGCCCAAGTAGCGAGAATAGTACCCAATAGGTGGTTCTTCAATCCTTGCCTCCCTTCCTCTTTCCCCCTTCCAGTAGTCACCAGTGTTTATTGTTCCCATGTTTATGTCCATGTGTACTCAATGTTTAGCTCCCTCTTATAAATGAGAACATGTGGTGTTTGGTTTTCTGTTTCTGCATTAATTAGCTTAGGACAGTGGCCTCCAGCTGCATCCACATTGCTGCAAAGAATGTGATGTGCCAGGTATCTTTTTAAGGGCTTCACATATATTAGCTTAAGTTTTACAATAACCTTGTGAAGTGTTGCTGTTATGAGTCCCGTTTTACCCATAAGAAAACTGAGTTGTGAAAATGGTAAGTAACTTATCTAAGGTCAGGCAGCGAATAAGGTCTTGAACCAGGTAGTCTGGCTCCAGAGTCTTCTACACATTCCAGGTTTGTACTCCCCTATTTATGGCTGTTTAATTTCTACCTTCCATTAAGAAGAAATTAAAGGCACGCCATGCAACCACGTTGATTCAAAGTATTACTCAGCCTCCCAAGAAAGGTGATTTCTGAGTATATTTTCAGAGTAGTTTCGCTGTAGAGATGATGAGTTTTTTTTAAAAAAAATATATGATAAAACCACATACTCTTGTAGCTATTAATGTGTTTTAGAGAATTATAGTGAATATTTGATTATGCTTATTTGAACATGGATTTAATTTTTAATTAGAATGTTCTCTTGGCTAATTGCTTAGTAAATCTACCTTTAAGTAATAAATGATGTTTGGGACATTATTGATAATAAGCCAAATATCCTATTACAACAGCATTTTATATTATTTAAATGTAAGTTCTGTGTATCACTAAATTGAATTTTAAAAAACTTATTTAAAATGAAATACATTTTCCTCTTAAAATTGAACAAAAGATGATATTTACTTTAATAACCATCAGGAACGTTTATTAACAGTATGTATCTCCTGTTGATGTGGCATCCTGTTCACGGCATTTCTTTTATATTCCTAAAGAGGTTTTTCCGAGGCACACCAACTATGTTTTCCCTTTGAATAACATATGAGCATTAGCTTTTTTTCCCGAGTGTCTTATTTCTTAGTTCTCCTAATTTCTGTTTGTTTCTCTTTCAATTCTGTATGTGCTATTTAGATACTGCTTGCTTTGCAGTTATTTTTACTCAGGGAGGTAAAACTTGCAAGCATAAATCCCTCTAGAACCAGGTTGAGAGAAAGACCTTAAGGTTGGGAAGATTTTATATGGAAGTGGCTTTGAATTTTTTTGAGTGTAGTCCTTCTTCTGATTTGGTAACCCTGGGGAAAGGTTTAGCCAATGCGTTCAGTAACAAATGTCAGTTTTGGTTTCCTTTCTGCTGCCAAGTATAAGTTGAGAGATTCATGACACAAAGAAAAATAAAATAGTGGTAGCCATAAGAATATAAGATTAATGGGAGTTTTTGATGCAGTATACAATTTGAAGCTACTAAATTATCCATAGCCAGGCTCCAAGAGGTAGTGTGGGCATAAAGCTTTGCTGAGAGGATGAAGAAAAGGACCCCATTTCTTTACAAAACACATACTACTCTAATCAGCTACTGTATGAAATGCTTTGACAGGCAAAGTTCCCCTCCCCTTTCTTTCTTCACAAGGAAAGCAGGGCATTAGCTTTTGTGTACTTGACTGAGGAAAAGTCAAAGACTGCAAATCAAAGTGATTTGTCCATAATCATATTGCATTTTCTTGCCGAAGGGTATATTTTAAATGGAGGAATGGCAGAACTCTGCAAGGAAGTAGGGCAGTGCTATGGAGGAGTACACTGCCTTCCCCCAATTCAGTGCTCCAGCGTGGACCTCACACGTATGTCTTTAAACGGAAGATGTTCCCTAAAGCATCTAGTCCTTTAACACATTTTCAAAGGGAAATGTCTTGCACCCATTTAATGTCTTAAAATGGGACAAAACTAGGTTCAAATTTGGTAGTAAGGAAAGAGCAAGGAAATCGTGAGGGGAAGTTTGGAGACCTGGGATGAGATTTTGTTTAGGGAGAAGGTTCTATGCTGCTGGCACTGGGCTGTCCTGAGGACTCCCTCTAGTTATACTAATTGGCTCACACTGTGTGTGTGTGTATTTGTTTGTGTATGAGAGAGAGAGAGAGTGTGTGTGTGTATTTTGTTCCTCAGAACTCCTTTCAAAGTCATTAGAAGTATTTATAATCAAGAATCTCAAGATAGTTACCTTACCCTACTTAATCTATTAACGTTAATTTCCTTTTTAAAATACTCAACAAGTATTCAGCTAGAATCTTAACATCTCCATTTAATTTTAGGGTAGTCTGGTAAGAATGCTCTGCCTCTCTACCCTCGCAGAATTAATTATCTTTTATTAACTTATTCATCAAATGTTTACGAATGTCTTTTGTTACCAAGATAAGGAGTTTTCTCTTATTGCACAATTCCTTAGGGGCTCAGGGTAATATAAAAAAGGCAAAGATATTTGTACAACTTAGAAGGTTTTATTGAGCCCTCAGAGCCTGTGAACCTCATGAGAGCAAGCAATGTGATGTCCCAAGCCTCATTCAGAGGAGGAATTTCAGGGATTTTATAGAGGTGTTCACTCATTATTACAACGCATTCTCTCCACGTCCTCTCAATTGCTGCCACCACACAAACATTGCCAGACCACCATTTACCCATAATGAAACGACAGATTTACTATCAAAAGAAGCAAGAGAGTCTTCTGGTGATTTTAGACTTAAAGATCTTGCCTTTTGACTTGAATTTCTTGGCATTTTAATTATGTACTTGGTTTTCAGCTCTTGATCAACCTGTTCTCTTCTAATTCGCCAGTGGTGTCTTTAGAGGTGGAGTACTGAACAGGGCACACTATTGCATGTGACAGTGAGAATCTTGCTTCGAGGTTATAGGCACTGTGATTTTATTTCAGTAACTGACTTGTCATTGCCTACTTTGATATCTCCACGCCACGGTCTGCAGAGACCTATTGCCTTCCTTTCCACTGTGTTCTCTAAAGTGAACTCTTGATATGGATAATTGACCGTCAGTAATTTTCACTCCAATACTGTTGCACTTAGTTTTTGGTTCCCAGAGGAGTTTTATTTGTCCCTATTAACATTTCATATTATTCAGTACTTGCAGGCGCTGATTCTGCAGTCAAACCAGTGAGATCTTATTTCTCATTTGCTGCCATTTTATAATTTGGTAAACATTTTCCCTTTTGGGATATTAATACAAAGCAGCTACTAGTTGTACAAGTGGCTATCAATCCATTAAGCATTTCCCACTGAGTGTATGGTTGAATTATGTATACTTTAAAGTTACTCATTCATGTTTCTTCAACTTATCCACAAGTCTAATAAACAGGCCTTGTCCAATGTCTGGCTAAAATCCAAATGCTTTATGTTTACACAAATATCTTATCAATCTAATTATCTTTCAAAATGAAATACAGCTTTGGGGTACATAGGGATGCATTTTTATGACTTCAAAGGAGGCTTATGGCAGTAAGGCCTGGTTGAACTTCGGTTGATTTACATTCAATTTCATGAGTCTTTCTAAATCAAAATCCAAATAATCTTACATTGAAAGGAAATCCTCCTAGAGTCTAGTGCTATTCTATGTATATATCTTAATTTTTAGCAGTATTTTTTGATAGTACTTTTTGCCTTTCCCCTTGTTCTAATTGACAGGAGAGTGTTTATTTGGGGATGATTGCATTGCATTGGAGACACTATTTTAACCCAGAAGTACAAGTCTCTATATTTCTCATGGTGCTGTATCTTACTACGTAAGTTTGTACATGATAGAGGAGTCAGACAATAATGGGTTCAAATATCATTTCAAACACTTATTGGTGGTATAATATTAAACAAGCTACTTGTCTTAACTTCAGTTTCTCAAATGGAGTTAATATTCACTTCAAACTTACAGGATCACTATAGTGTTACATTTGATTAGAGAGACAGAGAGAAGCTCTCAATCTGCTAGTATGTTTATGATGATTGAATCCTAATATGTCCCTCAGTGTTATCCTTTTAATTTAGAAAAGTAACCTTCATAGGATTACACATAGAACCTTCCCAACATGCATGACTGCACTGCAAAATGTGTGAATTCAGCAAAGTCCTTCTGAATACCCTTGGATCTTTGTGGAGTTGGAAAAAGACCTGGTTGCATTGCCACGCCGCGTGCTGTGATGCAGTGGAATGTGCTGACTGCACTGGCTGTGCTGTCACACTTCATCCTCTGCCATACATCAACTGCATTGAAGAAAGCATAGTTCCTCTTGGTTGAGTGGCCTTTGGTTATCATTGCACTTTGTCTTCAATTTTGATGTCATTTCCTAAACGCAATTCACAATCATTCATGCAATAATGGCATCTTATAGTTGTAGAACATGTCTATACATTTTTTTCCATACTACTTTCTCATCTATTATCATATTTGCTTCACACAACATCATTTAATAAGTTATTATTCATCCATTACTGATGAAAAAACTGAGGCTCTGACAAGTTAAATATTACGCTTTAGTTCACATCATTTAATTTTTATTGGAGACAGAATGTTGATTCAGGGCTGCTTCCAAATATCATAGTATCTTTCTTTTTATTGTCCTTAGGTAAACTGCAAATCCCTTAAAATGAAAAGGCAGAGTTTTGGTGATCTGGCTTTCTCCTACCCCATTCTATCTTCTCTCAATCCATTCTATGTTCTAAATATTTTGACTGTTTTTCAACCCGTGGAACACTTTTGCTATTTTGGGGATTCAAGTGAGATATCATTTACTCTGGGAAGTCTTTTCTGAACTTCCTCTCAGTTATCTCTGGATTCCATAGTTTTCCCATATATCCTCAAGACATCCTGTTTATCTCATTTTATAATCTGTAATCAGATGTATTAAAATTGTTATTCATTCTCTGCCCACTAGTGCGTGTCTGGCACATAGCACAGTGCATGGCACATGGCAGACGCTGTACTTAACATACACTTGTTGAATGAATGAATGAATGAATGAATGATTTACTTGTTACTGCTCTACTTGCTCTCCAATGCTGTTGGCACGTCCATCTTGCAGAATCGTGACCCCAAAGTCATTAACCCTCAATAAAAAGTATGGCCTATGTGTGTGTGAGGCCAAATAGATGGAAGAGATAGAAAATGCATTACAGAGCATGAAACTTCTATGATGACATAAATAAAAAATCCTATGACACATAGATGTTTCTTTAGAAGTCTTTTTATTTTTATTTCCTCCAAATTCATAAAGACTATAGGCTTATTGGTTAAAGCTGTAATTTTTGCACATTGCCTATTCATATTTCAAACAAAGTGCTTCTGCTCGTTTGAACTCTGCTGTTCATTTGAAATTTATTTCCCGAAGGCCTAATACTGTGCATAGCCCATAGTATGTGTTCAACTCAATACCTGTTTAAACAAAAAAAATTGTTTAAAAAATACTACTTACCTTCACATGTATTCGCTTTTTAAGCTGAGTATCTAAATTGGTTGCTATGATGACAATTCTCAGCGTTGAGTTAGGTGTTTCATATCATAGATGCATATTTTGTGACATTTTATTTCAGGATATCCAAAGAGTGACTATTGTATGTGGGGGATGGAAATCACCATGAGACACAAATACCTCTTACTTTTTCACATAATACTAGCTTTTTGTATTTCTATAGGCTTTTAGCAGGAGGAGTATTCAGGTTTTGTGCAACAGGTTTATACAACTTTGGGGGTCCTCTTTATGAAAAATAATACAGAACTTTGAAAGTAAATATAGGGTCTTTAAAGTGACCTAGGGTCGAGTGGCAATGAGGTGTCCTGAAGCTTCAACTTCCTGCACTTCCTGGTCCATTTGCTTATTGTCTGAGCTTATTGTCTGTATTATTAGATCTGCCATAAATCCTTTATTTACTTGAGCAGGGGTATTGACTGATTCAATGATTTTGCTAAGATGCAACAAATTTTATTTTTCCAAGATATGCTCTCCAATATTTAGCCTCCACTTTTAATGTTGCTTTAATTTTTTAAATGTCTCTTTACTTACACTACTTCTTAAGAGTAGACCTGCCGTTATTCTTGAAACGAGCTGAAATACATTACATTACATCTGATCTGCAAGAGGATACAGTGGGAAGACTCATTTTTTGAAGGTCAATAGACTTCTAAAAGTCTCTGTGGTATCTTTTAGAAAATTAGTATTTCAGTGCAACTAATGGAGCCCATGGCACCTATGAGTGGACCTGAAGTTATTGTTTTAAGTGCCTTCAGTATGCATGTTGTGTCATTATGGACACAGATTTGATAGTTCATATGGGAGAGGTGTTTTTTGGATAAATTTGGCCTGTGTAGGGGTTGGTGGTAATAACTTCGAATGTTTACATGATTATTAAAGCTAGATGAAATTTCACAGTAAGATAATTGGGGACTTCAGCCTACAGTTCTCTGGCATAAGTATCAGGTCTTTTTGGCTGATCAATTACCAATCTGCCCCACTGCCATCCATCAGCTTTGGTATTTGAAAGTACATCTTCAATTCTCTTATGGTTTCTGAGGAAAAGTTCTTTTGGGGCTTAGTGTGGTGGTTCACCCCTGTAATCTCAGCACTTTCGGAGGCCGAGGCAGGTGGATCACCTGAGGTCAGGCGTTCAAGACCAGCCTGGCCAAACCTCGTTTAGTAGAAACCTCATCTCTACTAAAAATACAAAAATTGGCTGGGCATGGTGGTGGATGCCTGTAATCCCAGCTACTCAGGAGGCTGAGGCAGGAGAATCACTTGAACCTGGGAGACAGAGGTTGCAGTGAGCTGAGATGGCGCCATTGCATTCCAGCCTGGGAAACAGAGCAAATACTCCATCTCCCAAAAAAAAAAAAAAAAAAAAAAAAAAAAAAAAGTTCTTTTGGGTGGAATCTTTTCAAGAAAATGCAGAGCTAGACCCTTTCTGTGGGATCCTCAAATGGTCCTCAACAATTGCATGCAATTGCACCAATGTAGTAGAACTATAGTAGTTCACTCTCCAGAAGGCCCTATTACTTTTCCTCTCAGAAGTCACCTCAAAGCGAAAAGGAGAATGGAATGCAGAAATGAAAGTTTAAATGTAAGCAAACAAACAAACTAGGTGACATTCACAACAATGTATCATATAAAAGGAAGGTTAGACAAGTGATGTGATGTGCTGCATGGACTCCCCACCCAGGAAGTAACAGCCTGTTTGCTTAATTTCTGGGAGACTGTCCTCAGCTCTCAGTCTCACCTGGTTAGCCTTGGCCAGAGTTGGCTATCTCCCCCAAGATCACGTCCCTTTCTGGGGTAGCCAGCATCCTGTGACCTGTGATGTGGGTAAGGGAATATAAAGGCCCGGCTCCCAACTGCAATGGGGAACAGCTTTTATGCTCCAGCTGAATTTCAGAGCTCCTTATAGGGTCAGCTGAATTCTTGTTATGCCTTTACCATAACCTGATTTCTCTCTCTGCCTTCCCTGCATGTTCTGATTCTGAGTTCAAACTTCCTGCACACTGATTTTAGTCTCAGAATTAACAACTTTAAGTGAAACAATGTAAAACAAAACCAATTTTACCATGGGCTAACTGGTGTAAAAAAAACATACTCCAGTGGCATATTTCTGGTCACAAAAACATCACCAAACTTCTAAATAAAGACCCAACACATTTCTAATGTTAAAAATTGAGCTATACATATATTTAAGAAAAGAAGAATCAAAACAAGTAAGGTAAGGATTTACCCAATTTTGGTGAATTGGTGAATGAGAGCAGTCATGGTGGTGATAAATTAAATCAAGGAATCGGTGTTTACAAAACAAAAATTTTAAAGATCACTTCCTTCCACCAAGAAGCTAGAAAACAACCAATAACAAATATGGTGGCTTGCTAAGCACTCTTGGACTACATTGTTTATTGTAGTGCATTTGTAGAATTATAGTATACTTGACAAATGTTTACTTGTCAATCATTTGTATTCATTTTTAAACCCACTTATTCCATTTCAGGGTGGAGGTGGCCAGGGCCTATCCCAGCAGATCAGGGCACAAGAACAGAACCAGCCCTGGCCAGGACACCATTCCATCATAGGGTGCACTCATACACTCACACTCACTGAGAATGGGACTATATAGACAAACCAATTCACCTAATGGGAACATCTCTGGGATGTAGGAGGAAATTAGAGTACCCGAAGAAAACCCACTCAGACAAGGGGAGAATGTGCTAACTGCACACAGACCGTGGCCCTGGCCCGGAATCAATTTTTTCTCATCAATATTATAACAACGATGTTGAAGGAAACATTCAGGGGCTCAGTGAATAAACAGAGGGCTTGCCTTCAAGCAGCTTACCATTTAATTGTGGTTACATAGTCAATACATAGAAACCAGTAAAAGATCTCTCCATCTGCACAGAAAGTATATAAGGGGTTATAAACAATAGAGAGTGGGTACAGAAGGGGTTATAAAAGGCAAATATTGCTGTGGAAGAGAACAGTTTTAGGAAAGAGGTAAGTCTTAACCTGTGTTTTGGAAGATGACTAAGGTTTGAATAGGAGGAGCAAGGTGAGTGAGAGGAATAGGGACCAAGCATGGGAGCAGTAGTGGGCTTAGAGTTCAGTAAGAAGACTGGGATGGTAGCAGCAGGGGACTGAGTCTGGAAAGTATTTCTATTTGGATATTAACATTTCTCTTAACCTTGTACAATTTGCTCTGAGCCCATAAGAAATGCCGTGAAATCTCAACTTGAACATTACCTCCACATTTATAAATAATGCCCTTAATCAATGTTGTTTTTCTTTATTTTCTTTCTCCATTAATGGTGGAAGTTAGAGCTATTGTCCTTGTGGAATAGTAATTTATCTTTGACATCAAAAAAGCTGATATGCACACCCCAGATGTTACTTTTAATGCTTTTATTAAAATGCAACACTAGACTTCTCTTGCATTGCTTATTTCAGATTGCTTATCCTTTGCATTTTGATGATAAAATATTTTATGACAATGGTAATTTAGATTGGTCTCTCCACATAGTGAGAAGGAGTAAAAATGTTTCATTTGAGCATTTGTCCGTGAGCAGTTTCGATCTACTTTTGGGAATTGTATTTTTCTTGGTAGCATTGATTGTTTACCTTAATTGTCTGTGATGGATTTGATTTCAACTCTCCTGGGAGGGATGATTGCTGAGTCCACTTAAAATTATAAATCACAATATGGAATGCCTTGCTTTAGACTTGAAGATAGCCAATAACTCAGGATTTTGTTGTGGCGCATCTGTTAATAGCATCACCACATCTCAAAAGGCCTTTTTGTTAAAATTGTTCAGTTAGGGTACTACCTGTTTCTTGGCTGAGAAGACTGAAACATAATACTAATTTGAAAGTGTATATTTTGGCATGTTTCATAATATTAATAAAGGTAGGATTTCATATACCTCACATTTTGGCAAAGAAGAAACACAAATCTGAGTGCACTTATTCTTCTGGGTTGATGGATAGAAAAAATGAATGTTCAAAAAGAAATTATAGAAGTGACTTTGTTGTAAGTGATAAAGGTCTATATGTCTTTTTCATATTATAGAATGTAATCACTCTATTTCTGGGATAATGAATAAAATAAATTTTATATCATGATTTTCTATTAACCTATTTTAGAACTTATTGAGAAATATGTATTTATTTACATATTGTATTTATTTAAGTATTGTATCTATTTATAGATTATATCTACATATGAATTATTTATATCGTAAAATAATACATATAAAATATTGAACTGCTAAAATTCAAAGAGCAATAATTTTTTAAAGATTGATAATCTTGCCCCCACAATAGCAACACAGATAATGTTTAAATGTATATTGTAGTCTGTTTTCTATGCTTATCTATGTATATTCTACCCATTTTTATCTCAAAACTCAGTACTGTACATTGTTTATTTAGTTTTGTAAGCTGCTTGTATCTAGTTTTGTTTGAACATGATTCTACCTCTGCACACCTAGACCTGCTTGCAAGATAAATGAACAGTACAGACAGACGTGGTCAGGTAGCCATAACTTGGATCAAAATATATGGAGTGACTTGTTGGGATAATGTTGGGATTTGGGTTAGATAAGACTTGAGAAAGTACTGGAAATGTTGGTAGGTGATTTCTCTTGCCGTAGCAATTATTATGTCATGTGTTACATCAACAAGCTTGGCATATCAAAAAGAATGGGAACAAAAATGTATGGAAAGAAAACATCAGGGATATCGTAATTTAGTAGAATTAATGACACAACAAAACAGGATATTCTTTTAGTGTGATGTGTTAAAATTTTCAGTTTCTTAGGGAAAAGATAAGAAAATGTAAAATTAGTGGATTGGCCTATCACAGGGTAAAATAGATGAGTATAGGTATCAGATGAGCTTTGGGCTAATGAGATACTTTACAGCTGGGTTAAAGGGTGGGGAGTAGGGGGATTCCCACAAGGCTAATGAACCACTGACCACCCTTGATTACAGCTTTCAGAAGAATTGAACTATAGTAAATGGCAGAGAGTCTAGCACAATTAAGTATTTCTAAACCAGGACTGAAAATGAAGAAATGATCACCATAGGTAAGGAAGGTGGGTTGAAAGTACATATCAATGGGATATGAGAACTTTAGAACTGGAAGTGCCTTACTGTGCCCTTTCATGAGAGGGCTTCCTCACCAGGCTGGCTTCTTAATTCTTTTTCTTTTATGGGGCCTTGCTGTGTTGCCCAGGCTGTTCTCCAACTCATGAGCTCAAGTGATGTTCCAGCTTCAGCCCCCCAAAGTGCTAGGATTACAGGCATGAGCCACTAAACCCAGCCCAGGCTGGCTTCTGCATGAGAATTGAGAGGGGTCTTCCATTCCTGGAGGTCACCCAAACTCCAGCCACTACTGTGGAGAGATGGAGTCAATAAGATCAGATTTGTTATTTAACTTAATTTGACCTTTGAACAATGTGGAAGTTAGGATGCTGACCTGTTGCTTAGTAAAAAATTCACAGATAACTTTTGACTTCCTCAGCATGTAACTACTAATAGGCTACTATTGACTGGAAGCCTTATCAATGTCATAAACAGTTGATTAACACATATTTTATATGTTATATGTATTATATACTATATTCTTACAATAAGATAAGCTAGAGAAAAGAAAATATTATTAAGAAAATCATAAAGAGAGAAAATATATTTACAGTTCATTAAGTGGAAGTGGATCATCATAAAGGCCTTTATCCCAGTTATCTTAAGAAAACTCGCATTAAATGAACCCATGCAGTTCAAACCAATGTGTTCAAGGGTCAAGCGTATATTTTGTTTACTTGTATAAGTCTTAGAAAGTTGTATATCTCATTTTAAATTAACACTGTGGTTATATATAAAAAATATTTATGCAATCTTTCTAAAAATATGAAATGTAAGAATGCAATAGTATCTTTTGAATTCCATCTACCTATATTGAGGGCCTTAGGTCTCCCTTATTTATTTATTTATTTATTTATTTATTTATTTTATTTTGAGACAGAGTCTTGCTCTGTCGCCCACACTGGAGTGCAGTGGCGTGATCTCGGCTCACTGAAACTTCCACCTCCCGGCTCACTGAAACTTCAACCTCCCGAGTAGCTGGGATTACAAGTGCATGCCACCAGGCCCAGCTAATTTTTTTTTTCTTTTGTATTTTTAGTAGAGACGGGATTTCACCATGTTGGTCAGGCTGGTCTGGGATTCCTGACCTCGTGATTCGCCTGCCTCAGCCTCCCAAAGTGCTGGGATTACAGGTGTGAGCCACCGCCCCTAGCCACTCCCTTATTTTTTTTATTTTTTTATGTTTTTATTTTTTTGAGACAGAGTCTCACTCTGTCACCCAGGCTGGAGTGCAGTGGCATGATCTCACCTCACTGCAATCTCCGCCCTCCAAGTTCAAGTGATTCTCCTGCCTCAGCCTCCTGAGTAGCTGGGATTACAAGTGCCTGCCACCGCACCTGGCTAATTTTTTGTATTTTTAGTACAGATGGGGTTTCACCATTTTGGCCAGGCTGGTCTTGAACTCCTGACCTTGTAAGCCACCCACCTCGGCCTCCCAAAGTCACTCCCTTATTTCTATACCTCCTGTCTTGATTCCAGATACTTGATAAGCTGGGAATTTACAATTTGATCAGAATTCTTAAATGATTAGTTTTTTTCATTACATAAATTTTCTGTTATGGATATTATTTAACATTTGTATTCACTCTTGAGCTCACAACTTTACTTTTTGCTTCTTAACATGGCTATCACCAGAATAATTCTGGTGTGGTGCAGGGCTGAGCATACCAGAAGAGCCAATTAGTACTCCTCATGATATTTAATGAAAAAAGTCCGTTACAAGGCACTGGAAGACACATCTCTGCAGGCAGTCTCCTACATTTCTCCTAATAATTTGTGTTTCTAACTGGAGAGAAGAGACTATAGTAGATGCTTTTATTTCAGTATTTCAGCTTCCCTAATTGTGGTGTCAGAAAGAATCTTGGAGGCACAGAGATAAATTGCAGACTAATGTGAAGGGAAGCTGATTAATTCTTGAACATTCAATAAGTTGAGTTTGCAGCTAGATTTTTATATGCTACAAAAGTGGAAAGTGGTAGGCTGATTTTCATGAGCAAATCCGTGTCTCTATCTCAAACTCAAGGAGCCTTGGATGCCTGAAGGATTGGTGCCACCCTCATTATTCAAAATTTCACTTAGTGTTTTGCCATGTAAGGTGAATTACTCTAGGTGGTGTGGGGTGCCCTTTGCCCTTCTATTAAGGGAGGTTATTATATGTGAATGAATTTGAGGAAACTCCAGGGGCCAGCTCACAGGGAAGAGTGGAACAAAGAGAACCTCAATCAAAAGTAAAGTTTCTGTGATATTTTAATGAGTCACGATTATTTTCTATCATGTCAATTATATTCCTTTCAACTCAATCTTCTGTTCTCATGTGAGAGGGCTTCAGTTACAATGACCCTTTGAGTTTGTTCTTTATTTGTAACTCATAATTTCCCAGGAAGGAGGATTGATTTACTTGTTTGCTGAGACTGACAAAGGACATGCTTAACTCAAATATTTCTGGATTTTCCTTTTGGAACTGTTGCTTGGAGAAAGTGTGCATCCTACCCTTATTCTACTTCATCCATTTCCTTGTAAAAAACTGATATTTTAAGGTCTATCTTCTTGCTTTCATGAATTTCTGAATTTCTTCAGAATCTGTAGTCAAAGGGATATGGCTCATTAGGCCTCCCTTAAACTTTAATATTTCTCTCAGGAATTCAGATCAGAGAAATGTAATTGCCATATTTAGAAAGGTCAACCTGGAGTATTGTTTTTTCTTCTTTGTTTTATAAAGAACAAGTATTTACTTAGCTTGCTTGAATAAAGAGAAAATGGAATGGGATCTGAAAAGTCATTAAAGATGGAAAAAGCCCTAAAACCTTGCATCTCCCCCATTCCCCACCTTCTGCTCATTCTAGTTCACTTTTAGCTTCTATCTCCTCTGTGGATCTCTTTCCATTAGCAGCTTTCTATGCTTACGCATAGTTTCTACTCAAGTAGTTTAAACTTGTGAAAGAGTTAACCTCAGCTGGTCTGATTGATCTCTTGCTTACTTCTGGAGCTACAGACCCTTGGCCAACAGTATGAAATATTTTAACTAAAAGCGTATGATGTTCTGTGACTATGCATCCATGAGTGGGATATGCCAGCCTGTCAGCATTGTTTAATCATAATAATTGGATTTATGACTTAGGTCAGGGAGACTTCAGTGATTATGGCTGGTCAGACAGCTTATTCTTTGAGAGCTTCATCATGAGCTGAATTTGGGCTTTCTGGCACCGAGGTGCTTCGCACACACCCCAGTGATGGTTTGGAGCGAGTCCTGTGCAACACAAATCAGACAAGGGAGAACAAAGGGGCCTGTGCCTTAGCTCCTTGGACCTCTGTCAATGCATATTCTTCCCCGGCTGTTGAACTATATCCTTTGCCTGTAATAAACCCTTTGAGTCCTTCCAGCAATCAAACACTGATGGTGATTAATGTGTAAATTAACACAGCTTGCCATGGCCCCAAACTCTCCTTCACAGCATCCTTCACTTTACCTCCTATTACTAATAGGCTCAAGTATTAGTGGCTTATATTTACAGGGAAGACTTATTGGCCCAAATTATCTTTTTTATTACATGGAATAGATCATAATTTCAAAAAAAACAAGTAGATTATGGATTAACTATTCTTGGGCCAGATCCAGTCTTTGGGCAATCACCTGTGACCAAGGATCCAAAGTCATGCTGTGCAAAGAAAGCATGGCCTCCTGAGAACCAGGAGTTGTGAACCAGGCAGTTTTACTTTCACAGAGATGTAACTCTGGAGAGTTCTGAGGATAGGTTATACAACGGAAATATCCATATGTATATGCATTTCATGACAGCTGCCTACTTCCTTAGCCAGCACCAGAAGGCTCACACTGCTCTGGTTCCTTAGCACCTAGTAGGTTTCCTGGATCAGTAAATGCTTATCAAATGAGTGAATATGTCTAGATTATATTGGGCAGAAACTGATGACAGTTTGATCAAATGGGCTCATAGAGAAGACTAGATAATTCAAGATGAGAGATAGGGATGGATGGTTTAAGCTCATGGTATAAAATTGGTTTTGTTCATTGGTTGATTCCAACACTGGGAATTTAAAGACTAGTTTGGACATAGACAAGATATAGCCAACTAGGAATGTGGCCACAGATGATGTCAAAAATTTCTTATCTGAAAATCACTGAAGGTTTTGGAGGAAGGTCTGAGTTATTCATTGCTATAGGTAAAAAAGGAAATGGAGGGCGTATGACCAGGTAATTGTGATTGCTTTGTAACCATGGCAGCTGTGTAGATGTGAAGACCAGGGGCCAAGATAAAAAAGAAAAAACAAATGGTAAAAATAACTATCTTAAATGAGCATTAACTATGTGCCAGGTACTATTCTAAGAACTCTCCTTACATTAACTCATTCAATTCAAAAAAGCCACTTGACTTTGATGTTTCTTTTTTTATATTCCTTGTTTTACAATAGAGGAAACAAAATCAGAGAGGATAGGAAACCTGTCCAAAGTCATATGGCTGATAAGAGGCAGAGTGAAGACTGGACCTGAGCAAGTTTGGTGTAGAAGCCTGTGCTCTTAACTGCCATCCTAGATTCTTTCTTAAGACTTCTTCTGAGGTGAGTTTGAGTAACACACATTTTGATAAAAGAGTGGCTTGAGACTTCTTTTGTGCTGGAGATATGATAGAATAAACTTTTGAGACATTAGCATTTCTGGCTTTCACAGTGACCTTGTCTGGTGCCCACAAAATCCAGCTATGCTATTCTGTTGAGTCATGCATTATATTCTCAATCTGTCCTCCAGCATCTCATTATACTCATCTTGCCATAGTAGAGAAATTATTTTATAAATTGAATACTGTAGATGTAAAACATTTTTTGTCTCTTTTAAGTCCTATGTTTATTCTGACTGGGTTTTTTTTGCCAAGGATTTTAAATCCTGAGGCTTCACATCATCTTGACGTAAGTATATTCTTTCAAGATCAGTCAAGTGTTTTCAGTATTATCAGATTAGACTGTCTGATTCTGTAATTTCTTCAAGGATGAGGCTGGTATCAGAAGGAACTTGAACTCTTGAGCCCATTCTACATCATTTAATAGAAGCAAATCTCAAAATAGCTTTCCTAAGAAGTCTAGTATGTTATTAATAAGATGATAGTTTGCCTTATTTTTCAATTCTGTGTTTATCTTATGAAAGAATGACAACTTCACAACCACTTTACTATATCAGCACAGTAATAAGAGCTGCCAATCATGTAATGCCTACAATGTGCCAGACATCGTGTTGGGCATTCCCCCTGTTCCCTCAATAATACTCTGAGGAATGAGGAAGGTTTTAATAGCCCTCTTTTATGAATAGTAAAACTGCTTTAGAGAGTAACCTATTCAAAGTCACAGAAGGATGAAATGAAGAAGCTTGAATGTGATCTCAGGTACCTAGGACTCTAAATCCCATACTCTTAATTATTACACTAAACTGCTTTCTCACCTTATTTATTATTGCTACAATAACTCTTAGAAATGAGACATTTACAAAGCTTAAAATATTATTTTATTTAGTCTTTAAAAGAGTTTCAATAATAGTTAGGGTTCATTATAGAAGGAGTAAGTTCCTGCTCCATTGCCCTTGGTACTGTGGGTTTAGTATTTGTATTGAGTACAGCCATTATGTGGCAAAGCATCTCAAAGCCATTTGCTGAAACCACAGAGATACTATCAGTGTGAAACACCCAAATATTTACAATATATTTTCTTCTCTTCCTTGGATAAAATGCTATCATAAAACATCAAAATGCCCTCCTAAAGATAGAAAATAACTCCAAAGAGGGATAATTGGATGTATTAAAGTCCTAAACACCTCAAGCCTCATCTACAAGCTGAGTGATAAACAACACTGTTCTCTCCTTTGAGGTCTGAAAGAGTTAATTGTTTTTCAAACAGGGAACAGTTTACTCCCATAGAGCAGGGCGATTAGATGACAGTGGATTTCAGAAGGTTTTATGCTTGAAATACTTGAACACAATGGAATTTTATCTTCCTCTTACAAAATGTAGCTTTATTTTTTCTTTTCTTTATTTCTTTCCTTACACATGAATGATAGGCTATTAAAGGTATTCTTTGGGGGGAAATATTTTTGACTTACAGTGCTGTGGAAAGTTGATTTAATCAACAAAATGCCAAGCTGATAACCACTCTCATTTCCTTGCCATAGAAAATAAGAGGAATAAATTCAAGACAGTAGGGCATTATAGGAAAATGCCTCCAGACCTTTTGTCACTAATGTAGACATCTTTAATAATGGGTAATAGTGTCTCCCTTTGATGAAAGGGTCAAACACATGACTGCGTACACAGTGTTTTTTAGACAGGTATTTTATGCAAACTGCCTCTCAAATATTCACTATCCCTTGACTGATTTAATAACTCAGTTAGGTTGTCATTTCTGTTGGTTAAGAATGTGTTATTTTTATAGAAACACATATACCCTTAAGAGATTATGTAATATCCTGATCCCCAAAAGCATGTACCTTAATGTCAACCTATTTAGGTTTTGGTGGAGGATATCTGATGTTTATTATAGTGAATGGCATAAAACATATGATGAATAAATACTTGCTAAAGAAATGAATGAAAGGGGGCTGATGACAAGGCAGATACCCAGAGAAAAGGTAAAACAAAGGAGAGCCTGAGGGCTCCGCTTGGTTGAAATGTTGCCTATTTCTAATTCTATTTCTTACACTCACTCTAAAGATGCAGCTCACTTAGCCTTTAAGAGAAACAGGTAGGACTAAACCCAGACAACATTTCAATTAGATGAGAGCAGACTGAATGCAGAGAGCTAAGGACAAAGCCAAAGTTATGGAATATGTAACCCAGACCTTTAAATTATGAATTAGGATTCTTCCTTTAATAAAAGAAAATCTGCACCGGAACAGTCAAGGCAAAGAAGACTTTAAAACTATTGCAATAGGGGTCAAGGCTAATAAATAGAAGAGAAAAATTCAACTCAACTCTGCTCAGAGAAAAAGCAGAAGGATGTTTAAATGCTGGGCAATCTAATGGAAAAGTGCTACAGGACAGTTAGTGAGGAGGTTGGTTAGTGTGATTAGACTATCTGTGTTTGCTAGTTGTCTCTTATCAAAGTTAGGCTCTTACCTTACAACAGAGACTAAAGGATAAGGGCCGTATCTTTCTTAATAGTTATATATCAAAGGGATGGCTCCCAGGTTCTTGTGAAAGTCATTCCTGGGTTCTAAAAGATTTACATCTCAAAGGTGCAGAGAAATTATTCACAACTGCAAGTTTTCTGAAGTAAATCCTGTAAGAAAAGGAGATCTGGGACCTATAGACAGGAAGAGGCCTATCTAAAGTTTAGTCAAGTTGAGGGGAATGTTGAGGCCATCTTAATCCTCCTCCCTCCTTCCTTCTTTCCCTTTCTCCTTCCTACTTTCCTTTTCCTTCCTTTTTCTTTTATCTCTTTCTCTCTCTCACTCTTTTTTTCATTTGGAAAACTATTTTTAAGCACTCAAGATGTAGGAAAATAAAAGTTTACTAATAAATCAGAGAGGAAAGGACACCATTTTGGGTCCTCAGGCAACATTTACTCTTGGCTTTCTCTTCTTTTTCACTGCCTGATAAGATACCTCTTTGTTTCCTACAGACATGGTCTTAGGGGCCTCATGTTGTACTACTAGACTGTGACCAAGCAAGGGTGTTACCTCATTATTACTAAAATAATAAATTTATTTTACACATGGAAAAATATATTATATGTCTTTCCCCATCGTTTTTTGCTCCCTACCGTCAACCAACCTTTAACAACACACAACTACTCATTGCCACTTTCTCCCTCTGCCTTGAAATGTGTAAAGTGTCTCTGAACAAATGTGGACAAATTCTCCTGCCTCACTGTTAACAATCTTTATCCATTTCCACCCTTGGAGCAGATAGAGAAGTTCTCTTCCTTGCCCCTCACAATTTATGCCAGTTCTCCTTGAAATCATAAACTAGTATGAATGGCCAAAAGCCAAACCAAGGACTCAAATAAGAGTGTGTGTGTGTGTGTGTGTGTGTGTGTGTGTGTGTGTGTGTGTGATGGGGGAAGGGGGTTATTGAAGAGGCAGGAGACTTGGGCTACTTGTGTGAATACGGAAAAGGTAAATTAGAATAAAATAAAAATAAACACATCAACCATTGTGTTTTATTTAACCTAAATTGTCCTTGGAAGTAAACATTGAGACACACAAACTGTAGGAAGCTGTATTTTCCTGGCTCTTTTTTCCATCAGATAATGCTGAAATCATCCATTTCCCCTAGTCCTCTTCAAGAATGGCCTTGTCTTCTTTGCCTGCTCTGTCTTGGATCCTGCCATTGTCGGAGCTGTGTGCCCTGGGCATTCCAGTAGGGCCACCAACCCTCTGGAGGTGTCTGTTATTTGTCCCCCTGGAAGCTGGATCCCATCCTTGCTGGAGCTAAGGTACTTAGCCATCAGTGTAGGAAAACAGTAACACAAGGCTCTCTGCTGAAGACCGAATCCTCATTGCCAGTCCCAGTGCCCCAGTTTATCTTAGTACTTTCTCATGTTTATTTCCTCTAAAGATACTTCTTGCCATTTCAATCTTTTTGGAGTTGTAGCTTCTTCATCTCCAGAACCAGATTCTAGCCCATGGGGATGGGCTAGAGCACAAATCTGAGTGACACACTCCATGCTATAATCAGAATTGCTTCTCTCCTCTCACAACTCATAGGGAGCTCTTCCCTGAAGATGACGTTTTTATTAGCAATCTTATGCATCCTTCATACAAATATATTCTTAGCAGAGATTCCAGGAATAATCCTCCAGATATTCCCAGCAGGGAATATGGCTAACACTTAAGATAAGTTTCCAACACATAAATATGCTGCACTTTTCTTCTGCAGCCAAGTTAGCAAAGATGGAACGCTACAGCTCTCTGCTCTCCTGTTGATGCGAAGACTACAATAAGGCAGTTATTGCTAATGATGAGATTCACAATGGGAGCAGGCTCACATACTTGAAATTTACTGTTTCTGATGTGTGTGTACTATCCCTCCGGGGTGTAGCGAGCTGAACAAAGGTTGAGAATGCCTGTTCTAATGAGTCTGTTTCTGAAACTTTAGAAGCTCCCATAGTGACTTAATCACAGATATCACAGCTTGTTCTGAGAGTAGTACAGGCCATAAATTCTTGAGAACAAACAAACAAACAAACAAACAAAAAAACCTTGAGTGTTGGGCAAAATTATAATAAAATACTAATAGTGAAATGGCTATTAAGATAACCACTTTCTTACCAGCTTATTTTGATAGAAGGACATAGGATACGGAAAACAAATTTATGTCTGTGTTGCCAACAGAAAGCTCTTCTTTTCTTTTATATTTAAATAAATGATGATCTTCTACCTAGTATCCTGGTATAAATATGTGTTGGTTAGGACTCTTTCTGAAATAAATGGTATATTAGTTTCCTATTGCTGCTGTAACAAACTACCACACATTAAGTTACATGAAAGAACACAAGTTTATATCTTATAGTTCTGGTCAAAGATCTGAATTAAATCAAGAGGGTTCCTTCTAGAGCATATAGGGGAAAATACATTTCCTTGCCTTTTCCAGCTTCTAGAGGCTCTCCCTGTTCTTTGCGTCGTAATACCCAAATCACTCTGACCTCTATTTCTGTCATTACATCTTCTTCTCTGATCCTGACCCTTGTACCTCCCTCTTATAAGGACTATTGTCATTATTTTGGGTCCGTTTGGATAATCTAGAATAACCTTCTGATCTCAAGATCCTGTTTAATCACATCTGCAAAATCCCTTTTGCCGTGCAAGGTAACATAGTCTCAGGTTCTGGCGGTTAGCACCTGGACATCTTTGTGGGGTGGGGTGGAATGGGGGGGCATTTTTCTGTCTGTAATAAACCTAAAACCCAACTCAAGCTGGAATCAATCACAGATGGGATGTTGGGGCTAATGTAATTGAGAAAACCAAATGAAATATATCTTGACCAATAATTTAAAACCATATCAGAGATTCAGTTTGGTTCTGTCTTCTGCTTTACTGATTTTAGGATCAGCCTCATACAAAAGGGTAATGGTGGCAGCAGCTCCAGAACTCATATCATATCCTCCCATGTTAAAGTCAAATGAGAAAAGTCTGTCTTCGCCCCAGGATTCCCAGCGATGCCTCCTGATGTGTCATTGGCTCGGATTGCATCATGTGCCCTCCGTGGACTTTGTCCAGATGAATGTTTTAGATTCCTTGTCCCCAGTTACCTCATCTTTAAAATGAAGACAAGACTCAGAGTTGGCTTTCCAGGTACAAAGGAGCAAAGCATTAAATTGCAAATAAAAACAACATAATAGCTTAGGAGAAATGCTGAAAAAAAGATTCATCCTTTTTGAACAGAGGACTGTGCATTCCCATTTTGCACTGGGCCTCTTGAATGATGTAGCCAGTCCTAATAATACTTACAGGGTTGCTATGAACATTAAATGAGTTAATAGAAGTAAAACATTAAGAATAGTATTTGGCACATAGTAAGCATTCAGTAAATGTAAACTATCATTGTTACCATAAAACATCCAGGGACTTTTTAGAGCGAACATCTCATTGGATTTTTCTCAGACCCCAATTGTCAGCATCAATTTGGCTGTTTTTTTTCCTCAGGTCACTTTAAATAAAGTAACTCATTATAAATCTGGGAGAAGGGGGGTTTTTTAATTGCAAAAGAAATTTTATATTTTCTTCAATATCCAACAGTCATGCCAGCTGTTTTATTTCAGGCTACCAATGGGAAGCTACTTAATGAAGTTTCTTATAGTTTAATGATTTGTGTGGCATAAATTATTTGTCTTAATGTCATTCCTGGGGCATTTTCCAATTGTTTCGAAGAGTAAGCAGTAAAAAAAAAAAAAAAATTACAGTGTGTTTCCATATTCCCACAACACCTGGTGAGAAATAATCTGTTTCCTCAATTGTGGTTCCATCATTTATTTTACTTTTATTCCTTCACAGCAAGATCCTTCAGTGCTTATTTACTTATTGCATATATGCTAAAGATCCCAATAATTGCACATCCAGCACACAATTGAATCTACTGAGATTCTCATTACACCTCTCAAAAGTTCGAGTAAGGAAAATGTTAGAACGAGCATTAGTGTGAGCATTAGAGAGTCATGCTTTCTAGGGGAAATAATTTAGCCATTGATGCAACTATGTTAATGTGAGTGTTGCAAAAATATAATGTGGTTATCAAAAGAGTTGGAGGTTAGATAAGATGAATGCATTACAGGACATGGTGAAGTCAGAGATTAAGCTTTACAAACATGACAAATAAAACTGATTTGCTTTTTATGACTTAAATTGCTAATTAATATTTGTTCAGTTCTAGGATTCATTGTGCTTGAACAAAAACATGAACTGGTTAGTTTTTTCCCCATTCATTTTGTGGCAGGTCATTAATTTGGTACCAGTAGAATATTGTATTTGTAGTATTTCATATTGTACTGCCTACGATGCTGTGGTTATTTTTAAAAAGAGATTTTTTTCAACTAGTATAATGACTATATTATGCATTCTGATTGTCTTAATTTGCACATATTGTTGATTTAAAATTGCTCTTCAGATTTTTTCTCAAGTATATTTTATTCCTAACAAGGTTTTGAGTTTTTCTGAAGCAAACAAAAATATTCTTTAAAAAAAAAAAAAAACTCCCTACTGTCATACATAAAGTGCTGAAGACTGTGAGTCAAAAGTGCTTCATTGAAAAATTAAACAAACCTTTATACAACATAGATTATATAGTCAATCATTATGCATGTAAGAATGGACCCTCTTAGTTTTACCTGGCATAACCTGTTGAATTAGAATTCATTACTTTCCTGAATGCCTCTAAATTTTTTTGGAACAATAACAGTTTTTATATTCTGTGATAGGTAATGAGTTTCACCTCTCACAAAGTAAAAGCATTCAAATTCCTCTCACTTTAGCCTTTAGAAAATAAATTACTAAGTACCATTAACATAATACTGTATAATGAAGTCTAAGGCATCTTACGGAGAAATTCTTCCTTCACTTTTTTCTTCTTGAAACTCAGTCAGGAATCTGAGAATTCCTGTTTTTCAAGCAAACATATTTTCCTTTTTTTTTTTTTTTTTTGACAGTAGGGCAGAGTAATTAAGGAGACATGTTTCAGGAACCAGGCTGACCTGACACAAATTCTGTTTCTAATTCTATTAGCTATGAAAGGAGATCAAGTTATTTAACCTAAGTCACAGTCTCTTTCCCTGTAAAGTGCAATTAATTATAATACATTTATTTTCTTGTGTGTGTATGTTTGCATGTATTAATGAAATAATGAAAGTAGTATACAGCATACTCCTGTTAAGGTAATAAATACTTGTTCAGTTATTACTGGTTCTGCCTGATCATAGGTAGGAGTGGATCAACTTGAGAACTTTACTTTTTAGGTAAAGAAAGATGAAAGTATGACACAACTTTGGTTCATGATTTTACAAGGGCTAAACAGTGAAGTGACCAGCAAATCACATAAAGTATTTTGTGTTGTTTTCTAGAAGGATTTGAGATGACTGTCAGCTAAAAAGCATTTAACTTCTTTGAGTGTGTGTGAATACTGGTCAACCATGTCATCATCTGTCTTTAGTCAAAAGAAAAAAAAAGATAGGGTGTGTGTGTGTGTGTGTGTGTGTGTGTGTGTGTGTGTGTGTGTGTGTGTACTTTCCTCTCCAAGGCTGGAAGGAAGAAGCTGAAATGTTCTCAGTGCTGCTTGAAAGGGCCCTGGTTGAAAACCTTTTCTACCTTAATCACAGGCTCTCCTTGTCAGCCTCCCTTTCTTTCAGTAATCATCCAGTTTACTGTGGGCAAAAGCTCATGACTACTGTGTCCTTATCTGTGCCACCTTTGACTAGGAGAAGACAGGGTTATCTGTATGTTTGGGCATTAAGGTAGTGAGCATTGTGGGTATGATAGTCCCTGTTAATGAGCAGGTGATTTGCTTAGTGGGTCTCTTTCCTAAGACTGGGTATGAGTATTGGCAATAGGACCTGACTACTAAGGGTTTGCCCTAGTCTGAAGGGTTTAGTAGGATTTTCAGCCCTGACACTAGGACAGTCCCCCACATTAGATCTGCCTTCATATTTTTGGTTCGTCAGTGTATAATTGGTGGGGATTTTTTCTTTAGTTCGTGGCCAGTGGAAACCTGTTTTTTCTTCTCATCAACTTCGAAGAAACCACTTGAGATTTCTTTTGAATGGTAAGGTATTTGATGATAGCTTATGGAATTTGTCCACCTTCCTTTCATTCCTCTCTCAGATGTGTGGAATATAAAAGTTATTCTCAATTATATATTACACGTCTTGTATTCCATTCATCTAGCCATACGGCAGTTCTCTTTAGAATACAAACATGGAAAATAATATATTTCCCTTCCAACTTCAGATTGCTTGTATCAATCATGTTCTTACTAAACTGATTTCTGACAGTCTTTTATTCTACCTTCATTTAGCTTCTTGCTGCACTTACTGATGAAGCCAAATATGTTTTCATGGCTTTCTTCAAACTCTGTGATTTGTATGAATTGTATTTCCTTTCCTTTTTTGCTTGGTTATTGCCCTCGAAATAGTGTATGACTTCAAATCTTTTCTTTTTCTCACATTGGGTCTGCTTATTATCATTGTCATTATCATTATTATTTAGCTTATTATTTTCAGTTTCCTTAGGCCGCTGTTTTTATTCCTATTTCTTGCCTTTTTTTTTTTAACCTGTAACTCCACTATTGGTCTCCTTTCTCGTTTATTTTTGTCTTTGGCTGCCTTTAGCATTCTCCCCCAAATTTTAATGACGAAAGCTGAGGCAGGTATAAGTTTGGTGAGTTTCAGTAGCTAGATTTGCTTTTCTTTCCACTTGTAAAAAAGTGCTTCGATTTATTCTTAATTATAAAACACAGAAGACGATTGTAAACTTTTAGAAAATATAAAGATACCTGAAGAAAATAAATATCAGATCATATTCCAACTCTTAGAACCTATTAAATCATAGACTGCCTATATAACTCTGAATCAGGCAAACAGTAAGCATTTAATGAATGCTTAGTGTTACTGTCACTGTTGCAATTAAACAGTAATGAAAAAATAATACCTGCAAACTTTTATATTTTACAATGTCTTTATGTAACAAAAAATGGTAGTCTTTATTTTCATGATGCATCTTTTGCCAATAAGGATCATATTGCATAATCACAAAGGTCATGATTTTTACAGAAAGGAAATCCTATGTTATTACTCTATATGCTCAGTACATTTGGGTTTTTGCAGTAATAATAATAACTTTGCGTGATTTTTCAAACTAACGTCTGACTTCTCTTATGCTAGTGGCTAAAATTTGCAAGACGTATAGCAAGATGGAATGATTATGATTATTTCTAACTTTAATAACCCTTTTAAAAAGCCAAGGCAACGGAAATTGATCCTTGATTTGGCAATGCCCCTTCTATATACAATATTCTAATATCAAAAGCTAATATTTATAGAGTCCAGCTGCCAAGGTCCTTTCCTTATACCCTATAAATGAACTTTTTTCTGGCCGGGCGTGATGACTCATGCCTGTAATCCCAGCACTTTGGGAGGCCGAGTCAGGTGGATCACCTGAGGTCAGGAGTTCAAGACCAGCCTGGCCAAAATGATGAAACCCCGTCTCTACTAAAAATACAAAAATTAGCCAGGTGTGGTGGAGGGCACCTGTAATCCCAGCTACTCAGGAGGCTGAGGCAGGAGAATCACCTGAACCTGGGAGGCAGAGGCTGTAGTGAGCTGAGATTGCACCTGGCAACAAGAGGGCAACTTCCTCTAAAAAAAAAAAAAAAAAAAAAGAACTTGTTCTGTAAGAAGCCGGCTGATAATTATTTTCAGCCTTGTGGGCCATATGGTCTCTATCACAGCTACTGAACTCTGCTGTTGTAGTGTGAAAGCAGCCACAGACGAGATGTAAGCAAATGGACTTGGTTGTGTTCTAATCAAACTTTATTTACAAAAGCAGGTGGTAGGCCAGATTTGTCCTGCAAGCTATAGTTTGCATGTATATAGTTTGTGCGTGTTCATTGCAACACTAGTCACTATAGCAAAGACATTTAATCAACCTAAATGCCCATCAATGATAGACTGGATGAAGCAAATGTGGTACATATATACCATGGAATACCATGCAGCCATAAAAAGAACAAGATCATATCCCTTTTCAGGACATGAATAGAGCTGGAGACCATTATCCTTAGCAAACTAATGCAGGAGCAGAAAACAAAATACTACATTTTTCAATTATAAGTGTGAGCTGAACAATGAGAACACATGAACACATAGAGGGGAACAACACACACTGAGGCCTATTGGAGGGTGGAGGTTGGGAGGAGGGAGAGGATCAGGAAAAATAACTAACGGGTGTAGGCTTAATACCTGAGTGACAAAATAATCTGTACAACAAACCCCACCCTTAATTCCTGGGTGACAAAATAATCTATACAACAAGTTATCTACATAACAAACCTGCACATGTACACTTGAACTTAAAATAAAAGTTAAAATTTTAAAAAATGTTACAAAGTACATGACAGACTAGATATTCTAACCAGTTTTCCAACCAAAGTCTGTGATGTTCCAAAGCCTGCAGCAGTTTCTATGTTCCTAAAAATGGCTTGAATCACTCATTTCTAAGGTGACAGTTCACTAAATTTGTTACCACCCCCAAAGGGATTTAATTGCTTAAACAACTGAGCATTTAAAGGACTAATTTTCTCACTAATTTATAGTTCCAGTAGTAATATTAATATTTTTGTTTCTTGCTCTCTTAGAGCTCTGCTATGGAATCTGGGACCTAGAGTGATAGATAGTCTAGTCTTTCTCTTTCTGTACTTTATAAACTATCTCTGAATAATGAGAATAATGAATGAATTTTTCCTTTATTATTTTCTGGGCTTTCCAAACATCAAATATAATATGTTCTCCAAAACACTTTTTTTAAAAAGGATGAAACAAAATTTGTATCATACCTGGATCCAATTACAGGATAAAATATTCACAGATGATAGGTAACTTAGTTCACATGGAATTTGTTTTAGAAAACTATTGGTTTTCTTGACCTGCTGGGATTCAGTGGAAAGAAAATAGAATTATTTTGATCTCTCTGGCTCCATCACATACCAGTAGCATGAACTGCCCTGATTCTCAGCACCTTTATATGTAACATAGAGTTAATAATAATACCGAAAAGGATTTTGGTGAGGATGAAATGTGAAAAGTGCTACGTTAACAGAGATACTATGCAAACATTTATGTCACCCAGATGTACCTAAATATTTCAGCTTTCTGGAACAACCCTGTCTTATAAAATTTAAATTAAATGGCCTGAACCCCATCTCACATATGAAGGACTACTCGTGTCTGTCTTCGTGTTACTAGGGTTTATCCGTTGTTGTTTTGAAAAGGCTAACATTACTTTTAGTTACTTCTTGCACTCCTTGCATTTCCTGTTTGTGCTTTTTAAACTTTTTTCAGTATTGAGCATTCATACCTCTTGCGGCTGTTGCCTTTTCTGTGATTTTTATGCAGAACTAAATGGAAACACAGCTCAAGGTGTGCACATTAAACTTTACAGAAAAGATAGGTACCCAGATGCATCTCTCAAGCCCACCTTCCTATCCCACCTGCCAGTTTTTAATCTCTCCCAATTTCCTTCTTGGTATTTTTCTAGGCAGAGCAATTCAGCTCACTCTTGATGTCTCCTTCCACACTCTTCCCACTGCTGGCTTCTTTCTACATTCAAAATAGCAATTTTTTTTTCTCAATTAGAAGATATCTTTCCTGGCCGGGCGCGGTGGCTCACGCCTGTAATCCCAGCACTTTGGGAGGCCGAGGCGGGCGGATCACGAGGTCAGGAGATCGAGACCATCCCGGCTAAAACGGTGAAACCCCGTCTCTACTAAAAATACAAAAAAGTAGCCGGGCGTAGTGGCGGGCGCCTGTAGTCCCAGCTACTTGGGAGGCTGAGGCAGGAGAATGGCGTGAACCCGGGAGGCGGAGCTTGCAGTGAGCCGAGGTCCCGCCACTGCACTCCAGCCTGGGCGACAGAGCGAGACTCCGTCTCAAAAAAAAAAAAAGAAGATATCTTTCCTAGAGAGGAATTTCCATTCCCCTAGTAGGCAAAATTAACAACAGTCACAAACTAGTTTTTGCCCCCTCTGTGATTTTGTATTAATGTAGCTTAAGGAGAATATTATTTTTTTCTTTCGCTGTAGCTTGTGTTTAGTAGCAATCAAAGTTAAATAGGGCTCCTGTAAAATTTCTGATAGCTAGAACTTTACTAACTCATCCTTTCAGGTAGATTTCTGCATTCAACTTTTAAAACTTTTCCTTACTGAAGTGTAACACACATAAATAATAGTAAATAAAACAAAAACATACAGCTTTCTGAATTATGTTGAAGCAAACACCCTTATACCCATCAACCAGGTCAAGAAATAGACACTGGCATCAACCCCGAAGGTTTACCTTGTGATATTGTGAAATGTATTTATTTGGTCTTCGTCCCAATCCTTGGAATCTCTAAAGTGATGTCTTTTTGTATCCTAATGAGTTAACTGATGCTAACTGATGGCTACTACTTCCTAGGTAGCTTCATGATGGTGTCTGGTCACTAGAAAGGCAGAATTAGAGGGTTAGAGGGTTGGAACTTTCATTCCCATCCCCATCCTCTGGGGAGGGGAGAGGAGCTGAAGGTTAAGTTGATCACCAATGGCCAATGGCTTAATCCATCATGCCTACAGAAGGAAGTTTCCATAAAAACACAAAAAGACTGGGTTCAGACAGCTTCTGAATAGCTGGAAGTTTCTGGCACACATGGAAGCTCTTCGCCCCTTTTGCCATGCTTTGCCGTATGCCTCTCTTCATCTCTATCCTTTGTATTGTCCTTTATAATAAACTGGTAAATGTAAATAAGTGATTCCCTGGGTTCTGTAAGATGCTCTAGTAAATTAGTCAAACACAGGGAGAGGGTTGTTGGAACCTCAATCTATAACCAGTTGGTCAGAAGCACAGGTAAAACAACCTAGGCCTACTATTGGCATAAGATGTAGGGGGCAGTCTTGTGGGACTGAGCCCTCAACCTGTGGGTTCTGATGCTGTCTCCAGGTAGATAGTGTCTGGATTAAATTGGAGGACACCTACCTAGCTAGTGTCCACTGCAGAACTGATTGCCTACTTATTGGTGGGAAGAAATCTCCACACATTTGGTCACAGACATTTTCTCTATTGATTGTTGTTGAGCGAAGGAATAGAAAAAACAATTTGGGTTTGTTTTCTTCCTACATAACCCATAACTTCTCTCAATTTTACTATTATGTTTGCAAGATTCATTTATATTGTTGTAGACAGCGCTAATTCATGACTCTTAACAGCTACTTATAATTTTATTGTGTGAAGAAACCATGATTTCTCTCTTCTTTTGAGGATGTATAGTTAAGTTGTTTTCAGTATTTTGGCTATGACGAGTAAGGTTACTCTGGGTTTATATTATATTTGGGAGTAGATATTGTCAGCCTTCAATTATGCATTTATACAACTGTAGTAAATAGTGATACTTTTTTTTTCTTGATTACTTACTCAAAGTTTTCTTTTTCTCTGCAGACCTAAGCTTCATGTTCTGCCTGTGTGATTCTGTCTTCACGATTCTCATGTTCAATTACCAATACTCAATTCTGTCTTCTACTAAGTATGTACAGCTCTAAAAGACACACCTCAGTATGGGCAATGTTCTCTTAAACTGTGATATCCAAAGCAACTTGTCTTTGCTAAATGAGTACACTTAGCTTGTTTGGAAGAAACTGTCATTTTACTCTCTAAAGCTTACTTCATAGGAAATGGGAAACCATTTTTCTCTTCCGTGAATTTGAAGCTTTCATGTTATTGTATATCCTCAATTAAAGAAAATGGGCAAAATTATACTCAGGCTTTGTGCTGTGTCTCACTTTTCTGCAGCTGGTAAGGCAAAATACATCCCCTGCATGGTGCAGGCAATTGTAAAGAAAGTAGTTAGGGAGAAGGCAACATACTGCTGAAGTCATAACCAAGGCCTGTGATTTAGGGAATCTATATTAGAGGGAACCGCAGGGAGTCAATTGCCATCTATCTGCCTCATACACATTTTAATTATACCACTAACTTTGGCAGGGAGATGTCCTCTAACCCTCTGCTAAGACACATTCTTTGTAAAATTAAAATTGTTCTCCTAGGAGGAGGTATATGCATAGTGAGATGCAAACACAAACACAAGTCCTATTTATTTGAAAGTAACTACTGAAATAAGATGAATCTGGAGGAAAAAAAAGGTCTGCATATCTGTGTGTGTGTGTATGTGTATATATATACAGACACAAAATCATGGCTTTCATCAAGAAAATTAGAAAAAAATAGCCAGGCTATTTCCAGAGATCAAATACGAGAAAGCAAATCTTTACAAAATTTCTACATGAAAATGACCTTCCATGATTTCTGCTTAACTTTGTTTCTTGGTACCTAATAAAATTTCAGTTTCAATTTCAAGATGGAATCATTTTAAAATAATTTAACTATGCTTTATCTCAAATTCCTATTGAAATGACAGAAATATGTTATATATATGTATATGTGTACACACACAAACACACATACATACATAATAAAAAAGGAGCTTCTCCCCTTATTTCCAAACGCCTATTACCTTTCTACTTGATATTTCAACAGTTATATAAATGACATATCCAATTTAATATGACCCCCTCCAAAACACTTGCATTTTGCAAACTTACCTTTTCCATGAACTTTCTTTTCCTCTACTCATTCTCATTTTAGCAAGTAGGATCTCCATTCTTCCACTGACTCATTCAATGGGCTCTACCTCAGACTGTACTAATCTAGTTGGCTTGACTATCGTAATAACCTCTTGCCACTGCCACTAACCATCTCTTTGAGTCCATTCTTCACAAGAAGCCAGAGTGATTCTTTAAAAACAAGTTAGATCTTATATTTCTTTTAAAAATCTCCCAGGGACTTCAGAACACAATCTAAAGTTCTGACCCCCCTCTACATCTCTGATGCCACAACCTACCATGCTCTTTCTTGCCCTCTCTCTCCCAGCCACACTGACCTTATTGCTGTTTTTGGAATAGACTAAACATGATCTTCCCTAAGGCTCTTTCCATTTGCTCTTCCTTCTGCCGGGAGTTCCTTTCTCACAGATAAACTCGTGACTATTTTCCTGGCTTCTTTCAAGTCACACAGAGAGAGGCCTTCTCTGACCAAAATATATGACAGCATCTTCCTTCTTCATTTCATCGAACCATCCTTCAAGTTTTAGTCTATTCCTAAGTGTTTATGATCTGCCTCTTCCTATTAAACTCTAAGCTCCTTAAGAACAGAGACAGATTTGATCACTGTTGTAGTCCTGAAACAGAAGTGCCTGGCACTTTGTAAATGCTCAATTAATACATTTTGAATAAATGAAAAAAAAATCAGTACTAGACAGGAAAACTACTGAGTGTGCCAGAAACACTGAGGATAGCATTATATTTTGGCAAGATTAGTTTGGCAGTCATTTCAACAGTTCTGTGAGCTACCCACTATCTTACAAAGTAAACGAATTTAAAAAGGCATCTTTTGTGATTAATCCACTCAAGTCAGTATCTTTTCTTGTAAGAAAACTATTGACTATTCATAAAATTAATTCTTGAATTGTTTATTCAAGAGATTATCTCTCTTGCTTCAGGATGATGGCTCTGAAAATGCAATGAGTATCAAGAGATGAAACTTTGTTAGTGTGTGATGCACAAGACAAAACAACCAAATAAATTATAGCTAGACAATGATTGAACAACGTTACTAATGATGACATGGCTAGTGGCCAATCCATAGAAAAAATGATAAGATTAAACATTTATGTAGTGTTTACAGAGTCTTACCCAACTTTAAGCACTTCATAGAAATTTATTTAATTGATCTTCATTACGATTCTCTTCTTTAAAACGAGGCAACTGAGGCACAGATAATTAACAGCTTGCCTACACCTAGTTGATGACAGAGATAAGATTCAAACCCTGGCAGTCTAGCTCCAGGGTGTATGCTCTTAAACACTACACATTCTGACATGAACGACATGAGAAATTAAAGGATTCTAGTGTGAGATGGTTTCTTCTAACTGTTCTGGACAACTTAAATTAAAAATGATGACAAGCACAAAGTCTTACATTCAAGGCAAAGATAGAAAATCATGGAATTTCTGTGTCTAAGTGATAAGAACCTTGTATCAATTCTAGCCACAGGGCTGAGATAGCTGAAACACAGACTCAAAATTCAAATCCATGGGTAGCTGTGAGTTGCTGAATTCAAAGCCTTTCTATATTTCTTATATGAAAGATAAAGAATTATTTGGGGGAAAAAATGGCACCCTAGGAATTATAATGAGGCCAGATGGACTTACTTTTGCTCAATACCCAGGATCAGTTATCAAGAAGCAGAAAATGAGCCCACATTATAGACAACCCCTCACATCCCAGTTATGCACAGAAATAGAATACTGCAACAGTATAGCCTCATTCAGAATATGAGTGCGAGAGGCACATTAGTAGCAGAAAGACAATAGGAAACAGAAGTCATTCCGGCCAAGTAGCAAATCTAGTTTTCCACCCTGCCTGGAATAAAGAGGTAGCTTGAAGTTCAAAGATATGCTGATTAATCAACAATGGTAAATAATTTCCTTGGATGGTCAAGGTTTTGAATAAAGCAGGATGACATAATTGGTTACAAGGACATTTAGGGAAGAGTGGTGTGGTTCAATCTTTCAGAATAGGCCCAGAGTGTGAGGATATGTGTGAATACATGGAAATATTCCCACTGCATAGAAAGTGCTCAGTTATGTGGATGAGATTATTTGTTCCCCAAATGTCACTTAGCCTCTTTCCTCAGCTATCCCAGCGCTTGCTCAGTGGTTTCATACATAATAAAGTAACCGTGGAGTGTATTCATGACCCAACCGAATGGATTATGGCCCAATTGTCAAATTTCAGTTTTCAAACACTGAATCACAGATTTAACACTACATCTCAAAGTGTCATGTGGCACACAAGCTACCCTTTGTTCTACATACAAAATCTATTTACCTAAAACACTGCCATGATAGACCTATTTGCATGCTTTACTTATTGCCATGATATCACCCTATTATTACTTCTGCCCAAGACATTCTTCAGGCAGTGAAAAAAGTGGGGCAATGAACTGATCTTCATTAGATTCATTGGTTTTAGTTTATCTGTATCTCATTATTTATTTACTGTAGCTAATCAAAATGACCCTAACATATGGGTAGAAAGACATACAGAAGACTCAGTTACAGTGCCAGATAGAAGACAACCCTTTGTAAGGTTTGAGTCTGTCTTATAGGGGTGTTGAGATTCAAAGGAGTCAGTAAACAGCTACCCTCTTCCCTGCCTGAGTCCTGTGCCAATTGAGAGAGAATGTGGCAAGTGCTTCCTTGACAGAAAGCCAGTTAAATTGCAAGCACCTGACATTCTGTAGTGGGTTATTCAGAGGAACAGTCCTGGGGAATCCGGGCTTTCCCTTTATTTACAATGACATGTGATCTGCAGGCAATTCTTGTGTGCTGGTCACCATGCAGGCTCTATCTTGCAGAAATTCCTCAATGTTCCTGTCAGTCACCCTCGACAGTTTTCCAGTCTGACATAGTTTGGTTTTCATTTCTTCAAACGATGTTCATTGAGCATTTACAATATGCCAGGCATTTTTCCTGTCCTAGGAATATAAGAGTGAACAAATCCACTCTTGTTCTTAGCAAGTTTTAATTTTAATGGGAGAAACCAGAATTTTAACACATGGAAATTGACTGTTTCAAAAGTTGAAAAATGCTTAGATGAGATGAGGAAGGTGTTAGCTAATACAGCTCTGTCTGAGTAAGACTCACTGTTAAGGTGATATGCAAGGAATGACTTAAAGGAAACAGGACAGATAGCCATGTGGCTATGTGTAGGAAAGAAACTCCAGGCAAAAGGAACAGCAAATGAAGGAGACTTAATGGAGTGTTTAGGATGTTCCAGAAAGAGCAAAGAAGCTAGCATGGCTGATACACAGAGCAAAGAAAGTAGGTAAGATATGAAAGAGATGTAGGTGGGGATCAGGCCTTGATGATACAGCGCTCTGAAGCCACTAGGAACTTTTGAACAGAGGAATTTATGACCTAACTTGTTTTTAAAGGTTCTCTCTGGCTGAATGTGAAGAAGAGATTCCTGGAGGCAAGTAGAGGTTGTGGGGTACATGGCCAGGGGAGGACTTCATGATAATCAAGACAAGAGATGAGGGTGGCTTTGACTAAGTGGGTACAGTCTATGGTAGAACCCACCAAATGGGTAAGTGGAAGAGTGGAGATGCTATTTGCAGATCAAGTGGAACATGTCATTCCTATGACTGATAAATACAGCTTGGAGGACACATCTTATAGTGAAAGCCAAACATCCAAACATAACAGGCCTTTTAACTCCATACCTACTGGCCTAGGAGTTAAGATGGCCTCTAGAAAAACATTTAGCTGGGTTGCCTTTGCTCACTGACTTGAGGAGAGGGGGGAAGGAGAAAAGAAACAGATTACAGACCCATTCACTCCACTTTGTGGGAGGATTTATCAGGTGAGACTAGAGGCTAAGTGTGTGATTATTTTGTTTATTTAATATTTTAATATGTGTTTATTTAATATTTTTATATAGAAATCAAGAGTACAAAAGAGGCAGTCCATTGTTACACAAAATGAAAGTGGACTTGTTTCCTTCACTATCACATTAAGTAAGTCAGTTATAAAATTTTGATTTCTAATTCCAGCTACTCAGCTCTGCTGACTTAGCTATCTGGTCCCTGAGACAGGAAGGTTTTCATTATTAAAAAAATTAATTGGGAGATGGAGGTTACCACCTGAATTCTTTGAGTTTCTTATTCTACATAATTCACAGGGTGAAAAAGAGTTTAGAAAACTGACTGGCATGTTTGAATGCGCCTGATTGTCAATGGACAAAACACATTGATGACACACAGTGAAGGCAGGAAATAGTGTGTCTTGACCCCAGGGGCACTTCTGAGGAAACCTTCTAGCTTAGTTGTGTTCATTGGTCAAAAGTAATGAAAAATTACTCAAATATCAGAATCACTAAGGGCTCACACCATCCAGGAATACAGTTTTGAGTCACTTCATGTGGTGGAAACAATTTATCCCCCCAAGACCATTTTCCCCTACATCCTGGATGCATAATTTTTCTGCTAGACACATTATTTTTCAGCCACAATTCTTATCAATGTACTCTCTTTTCAATATCCTTCTCTCTTTCTTTTTTTTTTTTTTTTTTTTTTTTTTTTTGAGAGGGTGTCTCGCTCTGTCACTCAGCCTGGAGTGCAGTGGCACGATCTCGGCTCACTGCAACTTCTGCCTCCTGGGTTCAAGCAGATTCTCCTGCCTCAGCCTCCCGAGTAGCTGGGACTACAGGTGCATGCCACTGCACCCAGCTAATTTTTTTTGTAATTTTAGTAGAGACAGAGTTTCACCGTGTTAACCAGGATGGTCTTGATCTCCTGACCTCGTGATCTGTCCACCTCGGCCTCCCTTTATTGAGATTTGATTGAGACATGAAAAATTTTACTTAATGAATGTTCACAAATCAATGAGTTTGGAGATAAGTATACACCTGTGAAACCATCACTACCATCAAGGCCTTAAACATACCCACCACTTCCCAAAGTTTCCTTGTGCCTCCTCTATCATAATAATAATTATAACAACTATTGTTATTATTATTGTCTGTTAAAAACGCACATACACACAGACAATAGGATCTATCTTCATGATATTTATCTTACAAAACAGAAGCTTTATACCCTTTAATCATCATCTCCCCCATTTCTCCCTCTCCCCTAACCCCTAGTAACCACCATTCTTCTCTCTGCTTCTATATGTTTGACTGTTTTAATTCTACATGTAAGTAATATAATATAGTATTTGTCCTTCTGTGACTGGCTTATTTCACTTAGTATAATGTCTACCGTTTCCATCCATCTTGTTGCAAACGGCAGGATTTCTTTTTTATTTATTTTTTTCTTTTTTGAGGCAGAGTTTCACTCTTGTTGCCCAGGCTGGAGTGCAATGGTGCGATCTCGGTTCGCTGCAACCTCCGCCTCCCGGGTTCAAGTGGTTCTCCTGTCTCAGCCTCCCAAGTAGCTGGGATTACAGGTACCCGCCACCATGCTTGCTTGATTTTTTTTTTTTTTTTTTTTTTGTATTTTTAGTAGAGACAGGGTTTCACCATTTTGGCCAGGCTGGTCTCGGACTCCTGACCTCAGGTGATCTACCCTCCACAGTCTCCCAAAGTGCTGGGATTACAGACGTGAGCCACCATGCCCAGCCAGGATTTCTTTTTTAAAAAATTTTTTGGCTTATTTATTCTATATCACAATGCATATTTTGTAGTTGCACAATTTTTAATCTTAATTACCTAGCCCTGATATGATTTCTTAATTTCTTTTTTTTATTTCAATAGGTTTTTGGGGAACAGGTGGTGTTTGGTTACATGAATGAGTTCTTTAGTGGTGATTTCTGAGATTTTGGTGCACCTATAACCTCAACAGAGCAGGATTTCTTACCTTTTTAAGAATGAATAATTTTCCATTGTATGGATATATCATATTTTCCTTCTTCAAGAAACTTCTCACCTCACTGTGACTACCAATCCAAAGCTATTATATCATAAGCCATACCCAATTCCAAGAAATTCCACTCCTGAAACAATGGCATGAAAATCATTCAGCCTGGGTTTGAAATACCCTACAACTATCTGCCCTGATTTCCCCCTTCTGAAATAAGTATTTTTCAAGGTTGTGTTATCCTTTGCTTATGTAGATTTAATTGGTTTAGCTTTCCATGATCCACAGGTTTTTCTAGTGGTCTTTTAGGGAGGCGAGAGTTGACAAACAGAAGACTATTCTTAAACTTGGTTCTCTAGCCCTTCCCATAGTTATGTCAACTTAAACTTCTCGACTTCATTTATGCTTAATCAGCTAGCTTCTATTAGTTTGCAACTAAGACACTTGCTTGATACACTCATATATTGAGGGTGAGGTAGGAGGAGCACTTGAGGCCAGGAGTTCAAGACAAGCCTGGGCAGTATAGCAAGAGCCCATCTCTATATGTTTAAAGGAAGAAAGGAAAACCTCATTAAATTGCACACAAACAGTGGCTGAGCAAAGCAATCACTCCATTGTATCCCTCAAAGGTAAGGCATGCTACATGAAGTGAAATCTTTATATAGCGAGCTCTTTAAAATATCAATTGTGCAGTGGCTCACGCCTGTAATCCCAGCACTTTGGGAGGCCAAGGCGGGCAGATCACCTGAGGTCAGGAGTTTGAGACCAGCCTGGCTAACATGGTGAAACCCTGTCTCTAATAAAAATACAAAAATTAGCTGGGTGCAGTGGCGGGTGCCTGTAATCCCAGCTAGTCGGGAGGCTGAGGCAGGAGAATTGCTCGAGCCTGGGAGGCGGAGGTTGCAGTGAGCCGAGACCATGCCACTGCACTCCAGCCTGGGCAACAGAGCAAGGTTCTGTATCATAAACAAAACAACAACAACAACAAAATATCAATTGTGCCTGGTAGAGAAGTGATGTAGGTAGCTTTAGGTTGCATAAATAAGAAAAAAGGAAAAAAAAGGAGCAAATAGAGAGCTCTCTCAAGACAGTAGTGCCTTACTAGTCCCTCTAGTGCCTCCCTCCCCTTTATCTCCTCGCCTGCTCTTATGACCGAAACCTGAACTGATGCAAATGTTCCAAGCATATTTCAGTCCTAACTGTGGGGGTTGTCGGTCAGAGGTAATCAGTAGAGAACAAATATAAATCCTAGGGAGAACCCTCATAATAACTCATGCTCATATGTTGTCTGACTGCAGTGTTTCTGTTAAGTTCACAACAGGTCTAATGGGTAAAACAGACTGTCAGCAGGTTGAAAGAACAGCATTTGAGATAGTTGATGGGCAGGAGAGAGCACTTTGGTAACTAACATCAGTTTGCCCCTCTTAACGTGGGTAAAGAATGAATCCACAGAGCTGTGATGCTGGTTTTCCTATAACTCATAATATTTGACAAAAACTGTCTGAACCCCACTTTAAGGATGTAAGGAGGATCAAGCAAAGTCTCCAGAAATGTAAAAATATTCTGTTGCTTGAAAGATAAAGACTAGACTGAAAAATTAGAGCAATTGGGCTGCTCTTTTATCAATTTATCCTGTAGCTTGGGAAACATTTTCTTCTGTACAACTAGTTCTTTCCTCAGCTCAGGAATATTTTGCTCTATTTTATCTTTGTTATTTATTAGTTCCGGCTTTTTCTTCTGGATCACATATCACTAAACATGTTGGCTCTTGGGTCTCTGTCCTTCAGTTTGCGATATGCTCTTTCATGGATTTTGACTCTCTTTCTTAGAGAGAGCTCTTCAATGGATCTTCCGTATCATCAAGCCTCTTTTGTGGAATCAGTTATGCTTTGTGCTGATAAAAATATTAATTTAATTATTTAATTGTCCTTTGATTTATGCTGCGATTCTTAACTTACTTATCTCCATTTTCTTTCCTTTTCATAATTTTCCATTTGCTTTAGTAACCCCAGATGCCTGAGGTTAGTAAGTTTTTGGGGAGACATAGCCATTGATCATCACGGCAAAGGAAATCACATCTTTTCTGTTGCTTTTTGAGATTGAAGAAGCCATCTAACTAGGGGTCATGAATAATCTGTGACTGTTAGTTTGTATCCTCCAAGAAGAAGCAGACCCCAATATGGGGTTACACATGAAATAAATGTATTAGAGAAAACATCTGTGAAGAAGAAATGGGAAGGTGCTGAAGAAGGTGGAGATAACCTTCAAGCCACATTCTTAATGCAGGTCTGATCCCATTGAAGGAGAGACAGAAGGAAGGAGGCTTGGGCAGGAAAAGTCTCAGACTGCAGCACGGTTCTAAGTAAGTGTCAGCCAGGCCAACTGGAATTCCACAAGCCAAGGTGGCTTGCCAGAGGAGTCCCATGTCTCCTCTGCACTGGTGTTCCTGAAGCTCTTAGGCATTGGCTGGGAAGAGCTCATGGGTGTGAATACAATAGTGAAGTCAGAAAGGCAGCTGCTGGGGCCGCCTGTCAGTTATGCTTCCACTTGGAAGAGCTGAGTGGCACATTTCCATGCCTGTCACAGAGACTTTGTTCAAGCTCCTTCTCTGTGCTGTGCCAGTGATGAGATTGCCACCTTTCCACTGGCTTTCTGCCTGGCATAGCTTTTAGCAAATCTTGGCAGCATCATTCCTTTCAAATGCTACTTATTCTCCCTAGCAAAGTGGAAGTCCAAGGAGGCTGTCTTGATGTCCTGGGGTTGCTTTTGTGTCTTTACCACCATAATACTGCACCTTTCATGATGCTGTCGGAGAAGGAAGGTTAGAGTAGTGGCTAAGAGTTTTTGATTTCAAGTAAAGAAGCCCTAGGTTCAAGCCCTAACTCTTCCATGTACAAGCTACTGTGACCTTGTTCAAGTGATGTCACCTGTCTAACCTTCATAATCTTTGTGGCCAAAATGGGTCATAAAACCTCTTAGAGTTGTAAGGATGAAGTGAATACATGTATTAGCACCTCATGAAGAATAAACATTCAATAAATATTACCTATTATTGTTTCCTAATGCTGCTGCTTTACTCAGGATGATAGATTCTAAACTGGTCTTTAGTTCTTTCTTTCCACATTTTTACTTGTACTTTATCTATTAGAAGTCCCAACCTCTAGAAGCAATTACCTAATGTCATTCATATTAAGCAACAAAACAGAGGACTCGGACCTGGGAATGTCGGATATGAAAGTCTGTAGTCTTAAAGGACATTCTCTTTACCTTTCCTGTGGTTTTGGTGTTTGAATAGTATTGAGTCATCTTTTTCTAGATTGCTGCAGTGCCTATACCACCTTCCCCACATCACCCCCCACCACCACCACTTTTATGCTCTGTCAGTCTAGATAATAAAGACCTGGAGTGTGGGGATTTGTATTTCTGACTTCATTTTATCTATGAATGTCCGAAGTCCTTTAGAAACAGAATATTTAAATCTCAAATGACCATTTCTGGGTTCCATACTCATGTGGAGGGAGAGGTTATTTTCTCAAGATCTATTCAAGAATTGGAACAATCGTATCCATTTTCTGATGTGAATTACATAATATGTTTCTATAGCTCTAGTTTGCTAGGACATCTAGGACTGGGCAGGCCTAATATGAATGATTTCCTAGATGACCAATTTCTTGAAGTGAGAGATCACGTACACTATTATTTCTCAACAAGGTGCTGCTGACATTTTGAACCATAGAATTCATTTTGTATCATTGCAGAATGTTGCCAGATAATTAATAAGCATCTTTAGCTCCTACCGACAAAAGCCAAGCAATGCTTTCCCTACCTTATTCCCCAAGGTACTATTTCCATACATTTCCTACCACCTCTGGGTAGGTGTGCTGTGGTTCTTGGTTAGTGCCACTGGATAGGTTAAGCAGTCCTTCAAGGAAGGGGAAGGTCTTGAGGGGTGTCCACAGTTTCTAAAAGAGATATTATTGATGGGAACAGAGCTAGATATTTGCCTGAGATATCAGAAAGATTTTGAAGGAGGTTGTGAGATGAAAAGGAATGGAAACAAATCTTATTGTCAGATATTACATGTCTGATTTATTGGTCAGACTTAGTGATGCATCCTTGCCAATAAAGTATTAGGTGACATCTGGGAAGAAGGGTGTTTTGTATTCTTTTATGTGATGGTCAGTGAGGTGTGGCCACAAGAGGAGACAATGGAGAGGTTCAGGAAAAAATGAAGGTTATTATACTCACAGGTCCTAGAAGACAAGGAGGCACAACGTGCCACACAGGGCCACACAGGAAAGACACCAGGGTGGTGAAAGGGCAGAAGACAGGAGTGAGAGGATGGTTTCAGCCATTGCATTTGTTGGGGTCAGCAGGAAAGGCAAGGTGGGGCAGGTTGAATAATTTAGGATTGGCTTGTTTGAATAACTGGCAGGCTTTGGGCTATAGGGGTGGCCCCTACTTGCCTGCTACTTGGCCCTGGGATGATTAAGGCAGAGGACTGTTACCTCTTGGGGTGGTGGGCCAGGTAGAGAAGGTATGGCTCTGGTGGTTATTTTGTTTATCAAAGGCATACTCCTGCTGGGTCCTTTACTATCTCTTAGAATTGGCTTAATCCGGGGAGAGGCAGTCTCTCCCCAGCTAAGAAGGTTTTTTAATGTGTTAAAACATCACATTGTATTTATGCATCAAAATATCACCCTGCGCCCCATAAATATATACAATTATTATGTACCAATTACAAATGATAATATGAGATGGGAAGGGAAGGAGAGAGGAAGAAAAGTTGGATAAAGGGTATAAAAACACAGTTTGATAGAAAGGAATAAGTTCTAGTATTCCATAGTATAGGAGGGAATTCATAGTTAACAATAATTTATTGTATATTTCAAAATAGCTAGAAGAGAAGAATTGCAATGTTCCCAATACAAAGGAAAGATAAATGTTGGCGGTGATGGATAGTCCTATTACCCTGCTTTGATCATTACACATTATATACAGGTATTAAAATATCACATGTGTTTTGTACAACTATTATATATCAATAGAATTTTTAAAATAAATTATAATAAAATTATAATATACAGTAAATTAAAAACATATTCACAATATAATGGGGAAAATTCCAGGGCAGATCTATTAGCAAAAATGTAATTGTATGTAATTTTAATAGAGTGTTACTATAATCTGAGGCCACCAAAATTTCTATAACCACATTCAGATTTTCTCTAGTTAAGATCTAAATAAGTTTCAGGTTATTGAATGGGTTTTCGAAGCCTAGACAGTATTTTTCCTCCCAGAGGACTAGTGCTTTGTCAGAAGGTTTTTAAATTCCCTGAACTTCAGGTGTTGTTTAAGAGAAAAGGGTCCATAATAAACATTTGAAGTTTAATTAGGAAATTCATGCATTTTAAATTCCCCCTTGTTCATGCTATTTGTCGGAGTACTTGTGTGAAGGAACTGTCCTTGGAGAAAGGGAAAGAAAAAATCTTTTATTAAAATTGAAAAACCTTCATGTTTATCATTCATATTTACTTGGAGACCAAGTATGAAAAGTTTTAATGTTGAAGAACTTTCCACCAAGTTTTTATGAGCAAGTAAAGCAGGGATATGAAATTGAGTTGTAACCTTAACTATGAAGTTGACTGTTGCAAACGCTATTATACTGGGATTCTGTTATATCAGTGGTTTTATTTGCACATTCTCTGCTGTATATTAAAAGCTACCTTTCTCATTGTGCTTATCTCTTAATGGTAAATACTTTCAGAATATCCTAGCTGTTAATAGCAAAAGTTTATCGAAAATCTTCCTCTCCCAGGGTGATGTGGTAAAATTAGTTTCATTATCATTAGTTTGCTCATTTAAAAAATGTTGGAACGCTTGATGGTGGTAGTAGTAGGTAGGTATCAGCTTCAAATCTTCCCTTAGCTGTGCTGCACAGAATTTCAATTGTATAGGCTTCTTATTTGAGAAATGTTTCACTTCCTGGCAAATTTAAATAGTCATTTAATGCTATTCTTATTGAAGAAGGCCACCTGGAAATCATGCTCATTTCATGGTTGAATGTCTGTATTGCTGCCACTGCTGCTGCTGTTTAGAGTGGAAGGGACTGATGCTATGAAGCTGTTTAAAAACCTAAGCTAAGGATCTGAGTGTGTTTGCTTATTTTTTTTCTTTCCTCCCTTCTCTTTGATTTTATTCAAATGTAGATGCTTTTGACTTTCTCAATATTGTAATTTTCATTGTAGTGTCAAAATCTTGGATGTAAACTAAATGATATAAACATGTAGGACATTTTTTTGTCTGAATATCAGCTACTGAGAAAGATTATGACATTTTTTCTGTGCTGTTTTCTCATTCCTTAGGGCAAAATATTTTCTAGTTAGGAATGAAGCTCTTTGAAGAAGGACAATGTTTTCTACAGGTTTGTTGAATTAAAACATTAGCCAATTAGAAAAAAAAAATCACCATTATTTAAAATAGTATAATTATAAGTGTATGTTACTTGAAAACTGACATCTATTTGAAATGCCAACATTTTGAGTGTATTGAAATGATAAAAATATTTAAATATATATTTATTAAAAAATAATGAGAACATATGCCAGTATTTTTTCCTCTGTGGTCTAATTATATATAAACATATTCAATAGGAAAAATAAAATTTGATACCTTTATTAATATTTCAGAAAAGAAAGACATCAATGTAATATTGTGAAGTTGTAGGGATTGCAATAACAAAATCTCATTATATGCTAAGAGTTGTGCTACATACATAGAGAGAACTAAAAAGTTGTAATCACATGCAGCGTTTTAACCAATTTAATGTAAATAAGAAAGAAGCAATGTTAGAGCCCTTTATTCTGAGCTATCTCTGAATCTCAACTTTAAGTCTTATTATCAGAACTGGGTAACAAGTGAACCCTTAATCTAATAAGAATGAGAACCCATGTGTTATTTAGAAGTGTTGTTTAATCTCCAAAGAATTAGGGATTTTCCAGCTATCTTTCTGTTATTGATTTCTAGTTTAATTCCACTGCGGTCTGAGAGTAGACGTTGTATGATTTCTATTCTTTTAAATTTTCCGGTGTTTTTTATGACCCAGAATGTGGTCTATGTTGGTGAATATCCCATGTGAATCTATGAATAATGTGTATTCTCCTATTGTTGCATAAAGTTGTCTGTAGATGTCCATCATGTCCAGTTGATGAATGGTGTTGTTGAATTTCACTGTCTTTATTAATTTTGTGTCTGTTGGATCTGTTCTTTTCTAATAGGAGTGTATTGAAGTCTCCAGCTATAATAGTGTATTTATATATTTATCTTCACAGATCTATTAGTTTTCTTTCACATATTTTAATACTCTGTTGTTAGGCACATACATGTTAAGAATTATTATATATTCTTGGAGAATTAACCCCTTTATAATTACGTAGTGCTCTTTTTTATCCCTGATAAATGTCCATGCTCTGAAGTCTGCTGTAACTAAAATTAATATTGCTACTCCTATTTTCTTTCAATTCATGTTTTTAGCTTGGTATAATTTTCTTCATCCATTAACATTTAATCTATGTGTGTTTTATATTTAAAATGGATTTATTTTAGACAATATATAGTTGGGTGTTCTTTTATCTTCTGACTCTTTATCTTTTTATTGTGTGTGTGTGTAAATATGTATGTATATATACACATACATATCTTTAATTTTTATTTCAATAGCTTTGAGGTAAAAGGGGTTTCTTGTTATATGGATGAATTACATAGTGGGAAATTCTGAGATTTCAGTGCACCCATCAGCCATAGTGTTCATTGTATATAATATGTATTTTTTTTTTTTTTTTTTTTTTTTTTTTTGAGGCAGAGTCTCGCTCTGTCGCCCAGGCCGGACTGCGGACTGCAGTGGCGCAATCTCGGCTCACTGCAAGCTCCGCCTCCCGGGTTCACGCCATTCTCCTGCCTCAGCCTCCCGAGTAGGTGGGACTACAGGCGCCCACCACCGCGCCCGGCTAATTTTTTGTATTTTTAGTAGAGACGGGGTTTCACCTTGTTAGCCAGGATGGTCTCGATCTCCTGACCTCATGATCCACCCGCCTCGGCCTCCCAAAGTGCTGGGATTACAGGCGTGAGCCACCGCGCCCGGCCAATATGTATTTTTTTATCTGTACTCTTCCTTTCACCCTCCCCCTTCCAAGTCTCTAAAGTTCATTATATCACTGTGTATGCCTTTGCATACTTATAGCTTAGCTCCCACTTATAAGTGAGAAAATAGAATTTTTGGTTTTCTACTCCTGCGTTACTTTACATAGAACAATGGCCTCCAGCTGCATCCACATACTGCAAAATACATTATTTGGTTCCTTTTATGCTGAGTGGTATTTCATGGTGTATATATATAACGTTTTGTTTATCCATTCATTAGACAATGGGCACTTAGATTGGTTCCACATCTTTGCAAATGTGAATTGTGCTGCTATAAGCATACATGTGCAAATTTCTTTTTAATATAATGATTTCCTTTTGGGAGAGTAGATACCCAGTAGTGGGATTGCTGGATCAAATGGTGAATCTACATTTAGATCTTCAAAGAATCTTCATACTGTTTTCCATAGAGGTTGTACTAATTTATATTCCCGCTAGCCACGTATGAGCTTTTCCCCCTCATCCACACCAACATCTATTGTTTTTTGACTTTTTAGTAATGGCCATACTTGAAGGAGTAAAGTGCCATCTCACTGTACTTTTAATTTGCATTTTCCTGATGATTAATGATGTTGATCATTTTTTCATATGATTGTTGACTATTTGTATAGCTTCTTTTGAGAGATGTCTGTTCATATTCTTTGCCTACTTTTTCATGGGATTATTTATTTTTTTCTTGCTGATTTGTCTGAGTTCCTTGTAGATTTTGGATATTAGACCTTTGTTGGATGTGTAGTTTGCAAATAGTTTCTCCCATTCTGTGGGATGTCTGTTTACTCTGCTGATTATTCTTTTTGCTGGGCAGAAGCTTTATAGTTGAGTTAGGTCCCATTTATTTAGTTTTGTTTTCATTGCATTTGCTTTTGGGGTCTAAGTCATGAAATATTTACATAGGCCAATGTCTAGAGGAGTTTTTTCAACTTTGTCTTGTAGAATTTTCCTGGTTTTGGGTCGTATATTAAAGTCTTTGATCCATCTTGAGTTGATTTTTTTATAAGGTGAGAGATAGGGATCCGATTTCATTCTCCTATGTGAGGCTTGCCAGTTTTCCCAGCACCATTTATTAAATAGAATGCCCATTCCCCAATTTATGTTTTTGTATGCTTTGTCAAAGATCAGTTAACTATACATATTTGGCTTTATTTCTGGGTTCTCTATTCTGTAGGAACCTGGTAGAACTCCAGGAGGTAAAAACTCAAAAAATCACTGGAGCTCCCAAATGACTGGACTCCAAAATGACTGAGCACCCCTGGAGTTTTTATATCTCAGACTTGTCTATACTGAGCCTCCAACTGTGTGTCAACTACAGTTCAGGACTTGCTGCCTGGCACTGGTTTCCACAGATTTTCAGCTCATGAGTATAGGGAAGCTCAAATTTTCCCCTGAAATTTTGATAATTTAGTTGGCTGAAATAAACTGTCAATAGACAGATTAATAGGAGAAAAGGCATAGAAATTTACTATGTGCCAGTGAACAGCAGTCCCATAAAATATCAGACTCAACAAAGGACCAGATGGTTGAAGCTTATATATCATCTTCATAAGACAGAGGAAAGTGGGGGATATAGGCAATTTTTAGAAGAAGAATCAATTGTTTTTAGGGGAAATGAATGGGCCTAAAGAACAAACAGTAGCCTGAGACAAAGTTCATCTGGGTTCTGAGTGTGGTGTCCACATCAGTCTTCCTTCCTGGAATATACATTGATTTCCTCTGATTAATGAAGTATCTAAGGAAGGGTATCACAACAATTGGATATTTCCTGAAAGATTCAGTCTTTAGGCAGGGAGGGTAACTTCAGAGAAAGCCCTTCCTTTATTTGCTATTCCTACTTTATTTGAAGTCCAAAGAGGATGTTTTGGGGCATCATTTTTAAGTCTCCACTAGGGTTTCTGCTTTAGTAAGTTTTGATTGTCTCTATTTTCCTCTTGGTCTCTCTAATTTGGGGGACAGGGATTTGTCTTATGACCTCATGTCTCTGATGGATCTAAGACAATGTATTCAAGTTTTAGTTTGTTCAGCTTTTTATTTGTTATTAGGATGAAATGATAACTTTCAGGTTTCTTATATATAAGACCAGAAGCTGAAAGTCCCGCTGTTGTTTTGAAGAAATTTAATGATATGTCTGTGAAGGATTAGGACTTCTGGTTTTGGCCTCAATCCAACAGAATAAACCCCTCCTCAATTTTGGCTTTATAGAACACAGCTTACCTACTTCTTCCCCATATTGATAAACAAAATCTACATATGATATACCCAACCATTGTACTTGGAAACTTCAATATGATATACGTGATCAGCATACATAGAAACTTCCATATGACGTTGCCAATCAGAGAATATAGGTTCTTCCATGTGATATACCTGGGCAGCATACAGAGAATCCTACTATATGACATACCCAACGAGTGTACATAGGACCTTCCATGTGGCATGCCCAACCAGTGTACATGGGACCATCCGTATAACATGCCCAAGTAGACATTTAAATTTAGGTCAATAGTCTCATTTTCATGACAAGACTGTTGGGAAAGCACTTTAATAGGAAAAGAGGAATCCTGCTAGAATTTAATCAATCTAATCCTTCCTTCACAATTATGAACTTATATCTAATGAGCAATAGGTATGCAAGGAACAGAAACAGCAAAACAGAAAAGGCCCAAGACAAGGAAGTAGAATACAGACCTTGAAAAAATGAATAAATCACACATTAAAAGATATGTTTTATTATTATTATTTTAAATATGGAATGCTTCACAAATTTGCATGTCATCCTTGTGCAGGGGCCATGCTAATCTTCTCTATATTCTTCCAATTTTAGTATATATGCTGCCAAAGCGAGCACAAAAGTTATGTTTTTTTAAAAAAATAATCTACTTAGTCTCTTCACAGCTACACAAGAAGATATCGCTTTTTTTTTAAGAAAATGGAATGCATCAAGAATTTACATGCCATCTTGTGCAGGGGTCATGCTGATCTTCTCTGTATCATTCCAATTTTAGTATATGTGCAGCTGAAGTGAACACACATATTGCATTTTTAAAGAAACGTAGAATGATAAATGAAAAGGGGCAATAGGAGAATAAGAAAAATTCTTAGAAATTAAAAGTATGTGATTATCAAAGAGAAATCAAAAGAACACTAAAGCTTTAATGAAATAAAAAGTCTGCCAGAACAAAAAGAAAATGCAATATATTCACTCTAGCAAAACTTCAATCAAAACAGTACACTGAATGTATTGTCTTCAAGGTTTTTAAAGTAAATTATTTTAACTAGCATTCTGTATTTAAACTGAGTAACAATTAACCACAAGGACAAAATTAAGAATTTTCTGCATGCAAGATATCACAAAATTTACCTTTAATGCACTTATTGACCAAGAAAAATAATTAAGAATATGTCCTAGGAATATTAAAATATAATCTAAACATATAATCAAAAAGAAAAAAATAATGTATAATTATGAGAGGAGAGAAATGAAAAGAAAGCTTAGAATACAAGGTGTGCAGTAGGCTTAGATAGCAATTCACAACAAAACACAAAGTGAAATTGTGTTCACTTTCACAAATTATGTATTTGAAAGCTGAATGAACTTAGTGCTATGGTGCAGGCATAGTATCTTTTTTTTAAAGTGGAAAAATGTAAACAAGGCATTGAAATTTCAGGAAAACCCAAAAGTTGTTTGAGTAATTGGATGTCTGAATTCTGGAAAAAAAAAAAAAAGTCAATTATTTAACCTGGTAGTATTCAATCCATGCTAGAGCTAACAAACAATTGGGAAGTGGAGAGGAAAATAAAGAAAGGCAAGGGAATGTGGGGCCACTGATTTTTTTTTTTTAATTTTCTGTGGCAGGAACTGAAGACACATTTTGTAGAAGTTGATGGATTAAGAAAAAGAAGTTGCATTTTATTACCTATCCTAAAGATAGAAGGTGATCTGAACATTCTAATATCACTTGCCAAGACTGTTGGAGCATGGGGAAGAGAGGTATTAGAAATGTAGATGAGCTAAACTTTTGTATTTCAAAGTAAGGAGTCCATAGTTACTATTAGATATTGGTTAACCAAAAACACATATGGAAAACAATATATTATTTGGAGAGAAATAGTTGAAGATGTTTACCTCTAAGGAATGATAATTGGAAAGAACATAAGAATTTTGTACCATCTGTTTAGTTTGAGTTTGTTGATTTTTTTTTATCATGTGCATTTATTATTTATTGTAAAAGTCAGAGTCCTGTCATGAAGTGAAGGCATATTCAAACTGAGTAAACAATGGAGCATTTAATTAAGGGATTATTTATTATAATTTTGGTTTCTCCATCTCTACAAACAGTAGATAGTGTTGTATCCTGGCTTAGTAACAGTAGGGGCCATTACACTTCCTAGGTCTGAAGGATGGGAGGGAGTGGTCACCAGAACTGGGAATATTATATAAGGTACATGGATAGAACAGCCTGACAAGAAGGTGGCATGTGCAAGAGAAATACAGCCAATCTATAGTGACGTGGAAGAGAGGAAAGACACCAATGGAATAATTACCCTGACTCCATTCTCCTTTCACTCGTCATATTTTGCAGGTTCCTCGCATGACTGACAGCTTAGAAGCCAGAGGTCAAGGGAGCCTATCGATCAATGCACTCCACGCAAATATGTCCCAGGAGCAGGATAGAACAAGGTGTAAAAGGGTGGGACTCTATCTAGAGGGGCAAAATGAAGATATCGAACACATTGACATGAATAAAATATGTACAATGTCATTATAATGTGTCAAATTTGCACAGAAAAATAATCATAAAATATTTAATGTCATAGTCAACTACTGGTGGTGTTTTATGCCAGCTGCACTTTAGCTGGTTAACTGGAGGATTTGAGTGAAAATACTTCTTTTTTTTTTTTTTTTAAGAGAGAGAGAGGTTCAGGAAACATCTGAAGGGGAATGGGCAAGTGATGCCTGAACGGTACTGGCAGAAGATAAATGGTATGTTATTTTAAGCCAATAGAAAGCTTAATCCCATGAGGGAAACTCTGGGAAATGTACACCATATGAGTCAGAATTACTCCAAGAATGAGGGAGCTAGGACACTTAGCTTCCTGAACCATTGGGTGTGATCTGCCCCTGTAGGCAAAGGGCCTTCCTAGGATCTAGAAAAAAAGACTCCAGGCAGCTAGATGTAGATACTGGCCATTGGATGTTTGTCAAAGCAAAAGAAAGATCTGAAGGGTAAGGGAAGGACATTGTTGGTGTCTATACTTTTGGCCAATATGCCACAAGTACAAATGCACCAGTTACAGTGTTAAGCATGACTGCTTGAATTTACAACCAGCTTTTGAGGATATGGATATGGAAGGTGTTCTTAAAAGTCCCATCTTATTGTCGTGACAGCAAAGATCATTATATAAGTCTGTTATTATTTCAGGCAATTAAAAAACTGTCTCGTAATTATTTGAGTCACATTTCTTTTTAATATTTTTGACAGTCTGTAATTTTAGAATAACACTCTCAAATACATCATTTGCCATATTTTAACACATTGGAGTTACATAATCTGTGTATCAGTGTACCAGAGTGAATTTGGTTTTGTGAAGACCTCAGAAGAAAAGCTTACCTGCAATCTCCATGTCTAAACTTGAATAGATTAAAATGTTCCCTTGATTAGGAAATGTGTAGCTCTGCTGTGTTTATATTTGTTTGTTTTAAATCCAGGCTCATGAATGCCTACTTGTGTAAAACTGTACAATTGAGTGCACTTCTGTATTAGGACTTCTCTGTGCTCAGCTCAATCCCAGATAGGGCTGAGGAGCATGCCTGAGACTCATGCCATCACCCTCATGAGACAGCACATAAATGTATTATGTGTTTCATCATGTCTCATAAGACTAAAGTTTGTTTAACACTTATTTTTTTACATGCTTAAATGTTTGTGTTTGGACTTCTAAGTTATGATAGTGAGTTTTGATTGATTCTTTTTCCTATTGTTGCATTTTAAGAATGTGTTTTTCCAGGTGAGTTGAAAATCTTACCATTGTTTAATTACTCAGCTAATATTTGTTGAGTGCATACTATGTGGAGGAAACTGGTCTAGTGCTTGGGATTCCTCATTGAACAAAAGTGATAAACATCCCTGACCTGCTGCTTACATTTAAGCAAGGAGGGTGAGTCAATAAATCATGAATACATATAATACATTAGAAGGTAATATATGCTGTAGAAAAGTGATGACATAAAGCAGAAAATATTGGAAATGCTAGCATCAGGGAGCAGGGTGTAGTATTAAAAGGTCAGAGTGGGTCTCATTGCAAAGGGTAGATTTGAGCAAAGGCATCAGAGGTATAAAGAAATTAGGCATATGAACATAGGAGGTAAAAACATTTTAGGCAGATGTAATAAATAATTTCAAAACTGAAAGACAGTCTTGTATCTTTAAAAAGTGTTTATCTTCTGGTCAAAAGGCTCATTGTAGCTGTTTTGTTGAGGGGAACTGTGGGAAAGTGTGGCTGGAACCAGGGAAATCAGTTAAGAAGTAGTTCTATTCATCCAAGAAAGAGATACTGAGAACTTGAGTTAATTTAAAATGAATACTGTTTGCTAGGGAAAAAAAGAAATTCTAAAGAAAAATTTGCCCGTGGGCCAATTAAGTTGATCAGGCTTAATATGAAATAAGCATAATGGCATCTGTTCATTTTCAGCTCACGGTGACCAGTTTAATTGGGGTTTCTAAAATGACAAGAGAGATTCAAATGCCTCAGCTGGCTTCCAAGTCAAGAAAGTGTAATGGTGGCTGTTTCTCATTATGGTTCTCTTTTTAAGGTGATAAAAGTCACCTAATTAGTTTGACTTAAATAAAGGATTTTACAAACTGACAGACTTCGTTTTGAAACAAATTAATTGAGTGTACAAAATGACTCTGCTCTTACCTAGTTTTTCAAGCTGAGAACCAAACTGCTAACATGTATGGGAATATAGCACTTTGCTGGGTTTTTTATTTTAATTTACATTTTTTGAGTCTTTTTTGCTATTGTTGCTGTTTTGATATGTGCCCAACTTGATAGTGTATGCTGTGGAAAGGCTAGGAAACATTTCAACCCACTAAGTCCCTCATCAATGGGAAGGAGCACTTTGTATTGTACAACAGAAAATAAATTCTGCTTATCACCTGCTATGGGATATTTATAAAAATTTACTAAGGATCAATTCACAGAGAAGTTCCTAATGCATTCTAAGAAGAATTCTATCAAAATGTAAAAGTAAACCTAAAAACTTCAACTAGATAAAAACACATCTAAATAATTATTGAATTTAATCTGAAATCGTCTCAGTGATTTACAGAAGGTTGATAATGTTCACCAAATAGTATGTAGAAGAATAAGCATAAAAGTTTTCCTACTAAAAGGCAATAAAAATAAATGTTAAAATATTGAATCAAGGCATTATATTCAAAGACAAAATAAAACCTATTTAAAATAAGACAAAAAAGAGAAACAAGTTTTATAAATAAAAAATATTATTCAAAAACAAAACCCAAAATCCCATAGCAAATTTTTAGCAGAAAAAAGAAGCACATACTGAAGCTCATACATCACCAAATAGCCTGACTAAAAAAAAAAAAAGTAAAATAAAATAAATAAATAATGAAGGGTGGGTGGGTGTGTGTGTGAAAATACATAACAAATTACAAATTATAACTAAAAAGGAATTCTAATAACAAATACTGATGAATTTAATAACTATTTAGACATGTACTTTATAATTAAGCTAATATTTTTCAAAATCTGGATGACATGGATGATTTTCTAAGCACTATAGAAATTTTTTTTGATAAAAATCCTGAAGCAGCCAGTAATTATGAAAGTAATTAAGAAAGTTGCCAAGTAACTAATCTTCTAGTCCCCAAAGTTCCAAGCCCATATAATTTCATGGAAAAAATGTCATATTCTATTCAAAATAATTCACAAATATTCAGAAAGAACTTGCCAAAATTCTTTTATAGGAGATAGCATAGCACTTATTCCCAGCCTTGATAATAATAAAACCAGAGCAGTATCATCTGTGCCTATAGCCAGATAATCCATCAAAACAAAAAAATAGTAATAAATAAGTGTAAAAGATGAGTCCAACCGTAATATATTATCCAAATCACCACACTTTATTGAAGTATATAAAATAAGAATTGAGTAAATGGAGAGACAAATCTTATCTTTCTATGGGAATCCTCACTATATTAAAGATGTTTGTCCTTGTTAAATGAACTTATATTTTATTATAAAGTAGAGTAATTTTAGAAAATTACCCTAAATTACTATGTGACTTCTTATAACTACAAAGGGATGAGAATTGTCAGAAAATATTAGAAGAAAAGAAGACTAATGGATAGAGACTGACTTTAAAAGATCAAAATATATTATAAAACCACAATAAATGCTTTTGGTGCCATAATAAATAGGTGAATCAACGAATCAGGATTGAAAATGAAAATACAGATAATTAAATTTATATTTCTGTCAACTTTGCCATATAAAATAGATAACATTTAAAATTTGTGGTTAAAGAAATGGTGACAGGACTGTCAGCCTGGTATTTTTGGGGGTAAATACAATTAAATTACTACTTTATATATCACTACAAAATATATTTTAAATTGAAATAGATTAAATATATAATCAAAACTTAAACATATTAGAAAATATTCAGATAACTAATGAAAGATCTTTAGCTTCTAATCTATGTGGGGAAAGACTAATAGGTTTTGCAACATTAAAATAAAAATTTCCACATGAAGAATAAATATACAAAGTAAATTTAAAACATATAACAATCCTGGAAAACATATTTGCTACATATTTAATAGAGAATTCATATTTTACACTAATAGTTGCAATAATTTTTCCCCTAATCCTCCCCACATCCTTGGAGCAGACTTTCCTAATCAGTGTACTCTGCAGCTCTGTTGTGTCATGATGAGTTTGCCAGTAGACTGTGATGTTGATTTCCTAGGACACTGAGCAGGGTCTGAAGTAGCGAACTGCAAACAGTTTCATATTTTACCCTCGTAGATCATATTATAATTTCTTTGTGTGCCATTATGTGAAAAAGAGTAAGGAATACTGCAGGATTAGAAAATACTGCTCACAGCCTGTCATTTATAGCTCTAAGAAACATATGATTTCATCCCCTTGACCACAGACGACTGAGTTTGTGTCAGCTTCTGAATCAAGCTGAGCCAAAATCATATTCTCTTTTTGTGGAAATTTGGAATTGAGAATTAGAGATTAAGCCAAGCAAAAAACTTCAAGGACTCACAAGCTGTAGGACCATTCAGAATTGAAGCCAAAATTTATATCTTGGCAACCCTAACCATACAAGAGATGAAGATTTGGTTTGTAGTGCAGTATTCTGGAGCCAGACTGCCTAGTTTTGAATCTCATCTCTACCACTTATGACTGGTATAACCTTAAATAAAATACTTAATTCCTCATTTTCCTCATCTTTGGGGATCCTGATAGTTCCTACCTCAAAGGACAGTTGTGAGGATTAAATAAATTGCTTTATGAAAAGAATGTAAATGTGCCTAGCAACGCTTTTTTTTTTTTTTTTTTTTTTAGCGGAGTCTCCCTCTGTCGCCCAGGCTGGAGTGCAGTGACGCAATCTCGGCTCACTGCAAGCTCCGCCTCCCGGGTTCACGCCATTCTCCTGCCTCAGCCTCCCGAGTAGCTGGGACTACTGGCGCCCGCCATCACGCCGGGCTAATTTTTTTTGTATTTTTAGTAGAGACGAGGTTTCACTGTGTTAGCCAGGATGGTCTCGATCTCCTGACCTCGTGATCCGCCCGCCTCGGCCTCCCAAAGTGCTGGGATTACAGGTGTGAGTCACCGCGCCCGGCCGCCTAGCAACACTTTTAACCATGATATAAGTATTCCTACTATAATGTTGTTATTATTATCATTGTAGGTGGAGGAACAAAAACTTGCCAAGAAAATTAATCTTCAGAGAAAAAACATGGAAAGACATACACAAAAAGTGATTCTTACACTGTGAGAGAGAGGCTTCTTGAAGTCTTGTAAGCTCTGATATGTGGCCAGTGAAGAAATAGGATAATGCATGGAATGTATCATTATAATAACAACTTCTCTTTTTCTACCATCTACAGAAAACCTCTTTGAACCAAATTGAATAGAATTTCTATTTCTTGCATTGGAGAAAGCTGGTAATTTTACAAATCAATTTTAAAAAGATGAGCCCTCTGCCCACCCCAAATGTACGTGCTCAGCAAAAGGAGGACAATATGTATACAGGTTAATAATATTTAATAAAAGCAATGAGAAATAAAAATGCCATCTTACTTTTTAAATATCAATTTGGAAAACAATCTACAGACTAACACTTAATGTTGATTAGGGGATAGGGAAATTAGCCCACTCATATGACGTTTTCTCACCAGATAATTCCACTTGTGAGGAATCACTCCGGAGAAATAAGATGCTCAGAAGAGGCTAAATGAGAATAGTCACTATGGTATCATTTATAAAATAAAACAACAAATTGAATATTAAAAGCCATTGAATTAAAAAATTGTGATGTATTCGGTGAATATTTTGCAGCTTTAAATATGATACTCTGATTTGTAAATAATTTAGTATACTTTCAAAGGCAAACCTGATCTTATAAGACCCTATGAAAAATAGATTTATCTAAATTGTCTGTGAATACATATGTGCAAACACACACACACATAAATGAGTACACATGCATACATATGATTATCAAATATATATTTAAACATATACATATCTACATATACATACATATATGTGGGTATGTGGGTGTTTGCACATTATGTGTATTGACATAGAGAATAATTTTGTAAAAGCATATACCAGGGGTTGGTAAACTACTTCTTTTAGTCCAAATCCATCCCACTACCTGATTTTGCAAATATTGGAACACAGTCATATTCATTTGTTTATGTATTATCTTCAGTTGCTTTCATGCTACAGTAGCAAAGTTAAGTTGTTGAGACAGAGATTACATGCCTGCAAAACAGTAAAATATTTACTATCTGGCCCTTTGGCAAACAGAAAATGTTTGCCAACCGGTATTATAAACCACAATATTGTGACTATGGGGATGGGATTTCAAATGATTAAATACTTTTCTTTTTTCTTAGGTATAACACAATTTATACGTAGATCGTTTTCTTGGGTAATAACTTTTAAAAATGAAGAATAATAACTAGCTATCATTCATTTAGAATGAGAAAGACTCCTATAATTTAATTTTTACAAAACCGAAAAAATTTCTACTTGGTTTTATGCATATACTAATTCACAATGAAAATGTGTTTTGGAGTTTTACAACCATATGTGTCATGTGAACAGCTACAGCAGCAACAACAAAACTTTGTAGTTCTAGCTTCATATGTTTAATAGAAGTAGCATTTGCAAAGAATTCATGGAGATGTTGTGTTTTTGAGGAACAGAACATATATTATCTCAGTTTTATTTAAAAATATTTTTGTTTTCAGGCTGCCCTATTTGGATTGTCTTAATGCTTGTGATAGAGAGTTGCCTCTGAGGTCAAGACGTTTTTGAGGTTGCTATCTATAGAAGATTTCCTTTTGAAGAGATTAGGATTTTATGCAGACACCAAAAGATCTGAGATGGCAACTTGAAGAGTTTTATATTATAGCATTGCCTGGCAAGAGAAAATAGATGCTAGCCAAGAATAGCATCTGGTTGATTTGGGCTAGATTATGCTTGTTAGTTACATCAATTACTCTTGTTCCAAATCCTTTCTAAGTGGTCATGCTGTCTTTTCTTAAATTCCTAAAGGAGGCTCTCCAATGGGAAGAAGATGGACTGATAGCCTAATGTTCCATGTGGTTATTATATTCTTCATTATGAACAATGGTAGTCAGATTGCAGTAATCTCATGTGAGTTTTGAGAGTGATTTCGTTTTTCTGAGGCTATTGAGTTTGAGAATTGAGGAGGGGAGGATCAATCCCTGGGGCCGGAGTTAACCACAGTCTAAAGAGTTCCTGATCATTAAGATGTAGTCGGTGCATAGGGAAAAAATGTGTTGTCATTCCAGAATGTAAAATTAAGATAACTTTTTCAGAGTTGTTATTTACTCAACACTTAATGGGTAAAAGTTTCTAGCACCCACTATGAACCAGTAGCATACCACCTTGATTTAATGATAATCAGTGAATTATTTCATATAAATAGAGATTGTAGTTACAGTAGAAAGAGCAAAAATATAAAAAAAAAGGTTTTGGGAAGGAACGAATAGTAGTTTATAAGTCAAATTGTATTGAGGGAGAGAAGCTGAATCTCCAATACAATCATTGTAGGCCTAAGTTGGAAAACAGATTTCATTTCTAAATACAATCTGTTAAGGAGCAGTGTTCAATAGGCAGAGGGTGTTGGAGATGATTGCCAAGCTCCTTCCAGGCTCACTGAGAAAGCATGCCCTGATTGATTAGTGATACTTCCAGGGTTTAAGGGGAAGGATTGTACATGAACTATGTCTTTGCTAACTTTCCATGGAGGTAAAATTTACAATGAGTCAAAGAGAATTTCCATGGCCTAGATTATATGAATCTCTTAGGTCTAGCCTCACTTCTCAACCAACTTGTTTTCTTTGCTCCACAAGCAATCACGTGATGACTAATATTGGCTTCTCAGATACTAACTTGCTTGGAGAAATGATACTACAAGAAGAAAATATGAGCATTCTGTTCCACAAGAACAAATTACCCACCTACCCACCCCATCCCCAAAATTTAAAGAATAAAATTAATCAGGGTGTTCTGTTCACTGCTCTCATGGATCAGAGGACAATTTTTAATAATTCTGTTTGGTCCTAACTTGCTCAGGTAATGAAGCTTTTTTTTTTCTTCATCCAACTATCCAGCTGACAAGTGGACTGATGGCCAGTGCATTTCTTCCTTCAAACTTTCATTGTGGGTCAAATGTGGATAAAAGTGTTTGAAATTGACTCATATCCTCCAATTACTCCCTCCATCATGGGACTAGATGAGCAACCTGAGACAGGTCCATCCTGGTACTAAAGAAATGAAAACTTTACTACAGGGTCATTGGTCAGTGATGCTTTCAGGGAAAGATTTTTATCAAAAGGGGGAAATGTGAAAGTTGTCAGAATCAAAATGGAGTCACTTGTGTTAACAACAACAGCAACCCTGACAAAGAGTAAGAAAAGATCATGAAGAGAGGGTTCTCATGCATAAGCACCTAATAACAGGAACTATCACAAAAAACTCTACCAAAACCACAACGTTGCACAAAGACAACTGCAATTTTACACAAAAAAACATACGACTGCGAGGAAGCCGGGCATGGTTTTTCATACCGTAGACTTTGGGAAGCTGAGGTGGGAAGATCACTTGAGCCCAGGAGTTTGAGACCAGCCTGGGCAACAAAATGAGAACCTGTCTCAAAAAAAAAAAAAAAAGAAAAACTTTTGTGAGGACATCTGTCCGGCAACTGTCTTTACAGCTTCAAACTGGCATTACTCTTGTTATTGACCCTTATAGCCAAGGATATTTATCTCAAAATAATTATTTAATTCTTCTATTTTTTTGTCTTCCTTTATCTCCCTGAATATGCACATAGTTTATTATGGCACATGTGTTCTCATTGCAATGACCTATTCTTGAATAAATATTCTTTTCTTTTAGAGACCCTGTCTCTCTTATTAAGGTTAACATTTCTAACTGCTTAATACCTAAAACTGCTAGGTATTTCTTTTGACCTAAGATTTACATGAAGCAATTAGTGAGGCACTAAAGGGCACCATGAAACAAGAAAGACTGGGGATATCTGCACGTCAGCATTACATTAACAGTCTCATTTATGCCTTTTTCTTTGGTGTAAACTTGTCTAGCTTTGGTCTCTTTCCCAGAGGTCCAGCAGGCTAATCATGAACAAAGGTAAGTGTCTGAGGCATGGTCTGTTTGGTAGCATCATTCAGGTTTCACACTGGCTGGCTGCCCTGATAAGACTCTGCTTGGTAGCCTGTGCTATTTCAGTAAAAGCCTACCATGACCTTCAGCACCCAGCACAGTACTCTCTCAATAAGTACTTTTTGATAGACATGTATTTGTTATATAATATAGCTTATATAAATAAAGAAGATCTAGGATGTGTGTGATCACTAAATTTTTCTTTATAATAAAGTGTTTTTTTTTGCTTTCTAATTTTCTATTATACTCCACTGATGTGAAAGTTGGAAAAGACAGTGTTCCCTCTCCATCACTGTCCTTTATTTGTTTTTTCCCTTGTGATCAAGATGTGTCCATCCTTGTAGCTAAGGCCAGCTTAATTGCCAGAGGAGTTTTGCCTGCTACTGTGGAATGCAGAACTGGACAGGATCTTAGAGACTGATTAGGTTCCTCCCTTCATGTTTTTTTTTTTAGAAAGACCTTAAAAAATTGAGGGCTTTGCTCATGGCCACTTAGATTCCTACTTTCAGAGCTGGAACATATACATAGCTCTGATTTCCAGTTTGATACTCATTCAATTACACTGCCATTGGTTTCCAAGTGAAATTTAAGCTTATTTCAGTCTTTTCAAAATTCTTGCAGTTGATCAGCCATAATTTTGTTCTTTCAATTTGAAGCAGCTTATTGCTTCATGTTTGAGAGGAAGCCACTATTTCATCCTGAAGATGGTTCTTTTGTAATGGCAGGCTAACAGACTTTTCTCTTTGAGTTTAGGAAGTGCTTGTGAAAGAGGGGTGCTGTGTGCCATAAATATAAATGGTTATATTCTACTAAAACAAGCTACAGCTTATCACATCTGATATTTTTCGTGAGTTTGCATATAGATAGTATGAATAAGGAAATGCACTTTTTTTGAACTCTACAGCTGTTCATAAAATTGTCACAGAAATTTGCATTTAAAATATACATATAGGGAATTTGCACACATTTATGGAGCTCTCTGAGTCCTTAAGGGGTAGAATTTAATACCTGCCTGCAAATACTTGATTATATGCTAAGAAAAGAATGGACAGCTGTTATATGTGAGCCTTAGTTAATTTGGGCTGCATGAGCTTTAATAATGGACAGGTCCTTGGAATTGACATAATTCTAAAAATATAGGATAACATCATACTTTTTTTCTTACAATATAGCAGAGCTAATAACATATTATTGGGTTAAGGCGATTTCTATGATTTCACACTTTTAAAAATCAAAATTTAAATGAAAGTTCAGCAAATGTATAAAATGAAATTGTTTAAAATAAATTATTTACATAAGGCATCTGGATTTAAATTAGCTTTTGTAGGCTGTGGACTTTTGCACGTTTAAAACTTCTGAAACTGACTGCATTATTCCAAAATGAGTTTGACTCCTGTCCAGCATAGAATATCTTGGAGTGGAATGTTTGAGTGATTGCAGGCCTGGACACGTTTTTACTTAGATTAATTACTGGAACAATCCAAGCAACTTATTAAGTAGATATTGAATAATTGTAGCTTCAAAAATTACTTTCATATGCAATATCTCTTGTCAGAATTATCATCAGCTTCCACATGGCAAGTGAGTACTTTTCTAACATGAATCCATTTGATTTCCCACAATCCATTCTACAGAGTTGACCATCTCTCCCCCTTAAAATACTCTTCCCTCTCAGCTTTCCTTTAACCTCCCTGGACATCTTTCTCAATTTATTTTGCTGTTTCTACCTTTACTTAAATTCTAAATGTTGGAACAGACATCTCAGTCTCCATTCTGGAATACTTCTTGTATCATTTCTCTCCTTGGTGATAGTTTTCATGTCTGTAAATATGAAATATATGCTGATGATATAGACATTTTCATCTTCACTCCACAGCTCTTCCTTATATTTAAGTCATATATTTCAGTTGTCAACTCATTAGGCATTATATTAGTCTGTTCTGGCTGTTATAACAAATACAACAAATACCTAAGACTGGTAATTTATAAATTACAAGAATTCATTGCCCACAGTTCTAAAGGCTGGGAAGTTCAAAATCAAAGCATTAGCAGAATTGATATCTGGTGAGGACCTATTCTTTGCTTTGTAGATAGTGCCTTCTTGCTGCCTTTTCATATGGTGGAAGGAATGATTAAGCTCTCTTAGGCCTCTTTTATAAGAGAATTAGTCCCGCTCATGAGGGCTTTGCCCTCATGATCTAATCATTTCCTAAGAGCCCCCAGCCCTTAATGGGGACTAAGTAGCAAAATATGAATTCTGGGGGGACACAAACATTTAGATCATAGCAGACATCTCAAAAGTAATGTTCAAAAGTGAATTCCTGATTCTCCAACTCCAACATGCTTATCCCAGTAACTCTCCTCTCACTAGCATCATTACCAACTAGTATGTGAGCAAATGCCTCTCATAGTCCTCTAGTAATTATGCAATAATGTTATGTAAATGCACGTTCTTTGAGGTAAGGCAAAATTGTTTGAACTCAACTCTATTTGAAATTAATATTTTTACCTTAGCTTTTATTTAATACTTCTCTTCCCATCTTTATCTCTTACTTCATAATACATTCTGTAGATGCCATGTAGTTTAATTGCACATTTTAGATGAATTCGCAAATTTAGAAAAGAATGTAGCCTGTTTGCATTTGTTGTCATTAATGGTCTTTTTGGTTCCTTGCAGCATGTTATTTTCTGTCATCACTCTTTTTCTTGTTTTCTCCTTACTGCATTGGAAATGTGGGGCTCTAATGGGTGCTGAGGAAGTGCATTGCATTTCTGCTCTTATTTTTTATTCCAACCTTGGCACCCTGTCTAAGGGTGAGGAATAATGATAATTGACCACTACAAATTATCCACTTGCCAATGCAGACTCCTCCCTGATGTGAGTCCTGTGATTCTTAAATTTTAAATATGTGGTTAATTGTGTTAATTTAAATATGGGGTTAAATTTTAAAAAGTGGTTAATTTTGTAGTGATTGGAGCTGTCCATAGAGTAGAAGGTAGGAGTCGAGTAGCACACTTGGGCAGAGATCATGTCTCCTTTTGGTTTCCAGGTGTCTTCAATGCCTAAAACAGTCCCTAATTCACAGTGAGTCCCAACAAGACATTGTGGGCTGAATGAATGGATATAATAAGTTCATTTGTCTTTTCCTGTGCCTAGAAAAGCAAAGGCTCATGTTGCCCCTAGGCATGTCAGCTCTAAGCAATGGTGGCAATATCCTTGTTCGTATCCTAGGCCATGATTATCTTTTCCCTGGTAAGTTTCTTCATGGATACAAGTGCACAAGAAGAAAGGAACAAGTGCATACATATTATTGAGTAGAATTTTTGCTCTAAATTCCAGTTCTTACCTCTAATAAATTATGTAATTATTAATAAATCATGACTAAGTAACTCTCTCCCTGTTCCTCTTCCCTCCTTCCCCACCCCGGCAAACCCTCCAAATCACATCCCAGCATTTCTTATTTTGATGGAAGGTAATAGTTTGTAAATGCACATCTATAGAGGTAAGGCAAAAATTCCAAGGTTCTTGGTTTCTTTCATTACAATTTTACGTCACCCTGAGCTGACTCTAATTTTTAACAAGAATGTTTACATCCTGTTTTAAATTTCGTGATTGGTTTCTTTTAAAAAAAAATTCATTCCTATATTTTTCCTTCACCATTTCACTTCGTAGATAATTTCGGTTGTATCTGGAAGATGAGAAATGGAGATAAGGAAAGGAGAAGAAGAAACAAATATAAATAAATGTTCAAGCTGCCACTTTTTCCTGTAGGTGTTGCTGAGTATCTGTGTTGTGTGCTGACTTCAGCATGATGCCTCCCTTATTCATCTGCCTAAAATGGTTTGCAGCCCCATGAACCAGACTGGGACTGGTGGTAAGGCTGACCCTGCTGGCATCTTTGAATTAAAAAGCAACACAGCAAACAACAACAGTGAGCAGCCTGTATCCACTAGGGAGCTTCTTTCAAATCTTATTTTTTTAATTAATAATTTTTAGTTTACTGAATGAAACAAAACTTGCAGCCTAGTCTGCATCAATGCAAAATAAGCCATCTATAGCAAATGATAAAGAACTGGGGAAAAAGGAAAAATAAAAAAAGCACTAGAAACAAAACAAAACAAGATTCCCTCGGAAAAAAAATCAAAACATTATTATTTAATTTGGGAAGTTTTATTTATTGGAAAGGTTCTTTCAAGGGAACTTTTCTGCAAGACCAAGCAATGTATGTATTTTTCTTTGATAAATTACAATTTGCATTGTTACAAAAAACACATGGGGACTAATCTACTTTGCTCTAGGACAGTTAAAGAAAATGTATTTTATCCTCACAAATCCGGTTAAGCCTTCATTTTATTTCTAAAAGTTTAAGGAAAGTCTAGTCTACCAGTTATAAAAATGAAAATCAGTTAAATTCTAATATGAACATTATTTAGTTTATAAAAATAGATTTGAGTTTAGGAAAAGTTAATGTTGAACAACTAGTAATTTTGACTTCAGTTCAGCAGGTATAATGAATTCCTTGATTTTTCAAGCCTGACCCTGTTTCCTTGGTTAACAATGACAATTTAGGCCTTACAGGAAAAAATGTAAGAAATCTTTTAATTGACCTCTTTCCAACTAGGTAAGTTACTTACTAAGAGAAAATAAGTCTTTATACTATTGATAGCTTAAAAAGTAACATCCTACCATTATTATAAAGGACTTTCCCAAGAACTGCTTTATTTCCCCAATCTTATTTGGTGGAAGTCAACAGAAGTATCTAGCGTTCATTTCCAACATCAGATCAAAGCATCTTAACACAAAGCCAAATAATAATAATAAAAAAGAAAAGAAAAACAAAGAAGAAAACCCTTAACTCCCCCAGAGAAGAAAGAAGAAAAGGTTCATTTCCAGAAGAATTTTCTAGAATTTTCTAGTAGTGCCATAAAGTGTAAATATACTTCTTCAAGGAACATATCCAACCTAAATCTGAACATCTATTCCTCTGGATTTTCCATTTGCATAATTACCAAGTAAAAGTATCTTTAGTTTTAAATCTGTTTAATAAGTCACTACACAGTTTGCTTCAGAAATGAAATGATGTGGTTAGTTAAACACATCTCAATTCTTCAGATCCAAAATCTATTATAAAATATATTTTAATAGATGAATACAATGGATTTAAAACTTTATTTTCTGATGCCAATGAAATCATCTACTGATAGCCTAGAAATAATGAGACAAATGTATGAAGAGATTTTAGGATTCTTTATTCCAAGGACAGAAAAGTCTATCATAATCCATTTCACAATGATGTTGACTGCTGCACTATGAAAAGAGCCAGACTTCAGATATGGAAGGGTGCCTTTCCAGGATGAGTATGCAGATAACTTACTAAAGAGATTTGTCAAAGAAGTAATAAGCAAAAATCAATGCATTACTCGTTAATTTATAAATCAGTCCCTATAGATCCTGAGAGCACAAGAGGCCTAGCTTCATTCATAAGATTATAAAGCTCACTGTTGTGGAGAGAGATTTAAAGCCATATTTCATCCATTCATTTTTGTTTATCGTGTAGAGAAAAGATTTAGATGTTCAATCGAGATGAGAGGAAAAGCACTTGGGGAAAATTCAGTGACGTTCCGACAGTTTGATGACGTGTTTTCTGCCATGAAAGCAGTAGGAGTAATGCTGTCTGGCATCGGTGGCAAAATTTAATCACTCCGCCACACAGCAGAGCCTCTGCGGTTTATCAGCCACATTGGTGCTTTGCAAGAAAAGGGCTTTTCTTCATTACGACGATGTCATTAGGAGTCTGTTGACATGTTCTTCATGTTAACTTTCATGATATGCTTTTAGGTAATACATAGCCATTTTACCTTCATTTTCACTAATGTTATATTATTATCAAGGTGACCAGGGATAAAATGAAAGAATTTAAGACTGTGGATATTTTTGTAGTTCCCTTTTGGAGATCATTGGGCAATGTTGCATCTTTTTGTCCTGGAGGGAAAGGGTGCCCCTACTGCTCACGTTCTGAAGGAACTTACCTGAGGACACCGATGAGGCTTACCTTTGCATTTATTTTCTTTTCATTCTGAGTCCTTGGAAGAGGAGGCTAAGGGTAAAGCTTGCAAAGACCTGAGGAGGTCCAGCACTGAGGGTAAGTGTTCCCTAGTCCTGTAGAGGTAGGTTTGAAATGGTCAGTAACACAAACCTTTTACTATTTGCTACAGCTTTCACTGCAGTAGTGGGGAACTGTGCATGGATTGTTGGGGACAACTAGCATTTGTGGCCATAGTTCTAGAGTCTTTTAGTAGGCTCAAGAGCAACAAGGACTGATACTTTAGGCTCCAGAAGAGCAGAATTTCTGTCCTTAAGCCTGACAGGGTCATCAACAATAGCCAACCATGGCTTTGGCTGGCTCCACTAGAAGAATGATCCCTTGGGGGTCATTTCCAGGGGAGACAGCAATGTGGTGGTGGTAAAATAAAAACTCTAGAGCCTTTTTCAGAAAAAGTACATGTGTGTTTACTCGTTTACTAAAAAGTATTTAAAATTTAAGAATCGTAGGACTCACATCAGGGAGGAGTCTGCATTGGCAAGTGGATATTTACTGAGCACATAATTTGATATTCAAAGATGAGTAGGGCAGAGTCCTTCCCTTGAACTTACTGATTCACAGGGGAAGTGGACACATAAGCAGATCATTTCTGTTTAAATAAATGGCATAATAGATATAGTGGAGATAAAAGTAAGGGATTAGACAATTAACTGCTATGAGCATTTATTTTCTCATCTTTAGAGTGGGGCTCACAATAGCTCCAAACTATCGCTGTGATGATAAAATGAAGGAATAAATATAAAGTACTAACCACAGTGCTTGAAACTCAAGTTTTCTTATCTGTAAAATAATAGTTTTTTTCACCTCTAAAATACTGTGATTTCTTGAGGTTTTGGTGAAGCCTGAGTGAGGCAATGTGTGTAAGCACTTAGTACATTGCTTGGCACATGTTAAGCACTCAAAATTGTTCGCTATTGCTCTTGTTGCTGCCATTGCTGTTCTCATGGCGCAAACTCACGGCAGGTGATTCAGTGTGTGACACATTTGTTGGGGTAGGAAGAAGGAGGCTGTCAAAGCAATCTTCCCAGAAAATACAATATGCAAGGTGATTTGAAGAATGAAGAGCTGTCTGACAAGTGAAAAAGATGGAGATAAGGCATTCTAGTGCATTCAGTTCTCCCATGCAACTTCTACCTGTAGGATTTATACAATGTCTTGTCTCTGAATATTTAACTCCTGGATGAGCCAGTAGGACAGGCCTTTAGAACTATGCCGGCAGCTTTGCTGATGTGAATGTGTGTGTAACTGTGCACAGATAACATGCTTAAAGTTAGAAAACCAGAATTTTTATAACATTAAGTGAGAGCTATTAAAGACAGGAAAAGAAAAAGAGAATAAAAATGTGCTTTAGTTAGTATCTGGGTTATAAAATACAGAAATTCCATCAAGTTAGTTCAAATAAGGAGGTATTTACGATGTGGAGACATGCATAGCAATAATGAAGAATATAAGGGCCCACAGTGAATTCAGGCCTGAATAAAAGGCCTGACATTTTTTTCTTTTTCTTTTTTTTTTTTTTTTTTTGAGAGGGAGTCTTTTTCTGTCACCCAGGTTGGGGTTCAGGGGCGCGATCTCGGCTCACTGCAACCTCTGCCCCTGGGTTCAAGCGATTCTCCTGCCTCAGCCTCCCGAGTAGCTGGGATTACAGGTGTCTGCCACCATGCCTGGCTAATTTTTTTTTTTTTTTTTTTTGTATTTTTAGTAGAGACAGGGTTTCACCATCTTGGTCAGGCTGTTCTTGAACTCCTGACCTTGTGATCCACCCGCCTTGGCCTCCCAAAGTGCTGGGATTACAGGCATGAGCCACCGCGCCTGCCCAAGCCCTGCCATTTTAAAGAGATTCATGTTTCACAGAGTTTAGCCAGAGCTAGATTGCATAGGTTTTTTTACATGTCAATTCCACCTGTCATATATTTTCTACAGTTACTCCAAAATTCTGCCATGCCATATCTTGGTATTGTTGGTGATGTTTTGTGTTTTCTTCTTATTATGTATTCTTGATGGTGCTTTTGTGAGATACCATCACAAAATCATGACGGTTCTGGGGGCTGCTAGCCATATTACAATTTTAAACCTATTTTCCTAGGTCTCTCTAAAACTTTAATTAGTGCTTATTTTATTGCTGTATTATATGTGAATTTATTTGTTATTAGTTAAGCAACTTGGGTATAACTGTGGTGCAAGCAAGCAATTTTGATTAATTTTATCTAATTTGGTGCAGTAGTAAAAGTGAACTGTTTTCCAACAATTCAACCATGGAAGGGACAATGTCAATAATCTTCTTTTTTACTTAAGGGTGGTCCAAAGTCTGGTCTAGATTTTTCATTACTTATTGTATGAAAACATCTAATGCTGAATTATAACCTATAAACTATTATAACCAGAAGATTCGCTGTATGCATATGTGGTGCATTGTTCATTCACCCTACAACCCGGTAAGGGACCCTCAGTTGCACAACACTAGCTTAGAAGAAAGCAGGATGTAAATTTGTGCAAATACTGAAGGGCTACTTTGAAAAACGAGGAAGATGACTATCTCTCTGCTTTCGAGGTTGCTGGTTTTAACAAAAGGTGCTCCAAGTACTCTTTTCACTAATATTTCCATTTACATGCAGAAAAAGTTCACATGTTAAGCCATTTCTTTTCAGAAAGAAAGACTCCTCCAAACTCCAGATTTAACACCCACTGCTGTTTGGCAGTTCACACTTCTAGGCCAGAGAGTCATGTCTTATTCTATGTGACTACTAGAAACTCATGTCTTCACCTAAGCAAATAGCAGGCCCTCAATAGATATTTATTGCATATGTAAATCACAGCAAAGTGTGGGCTCAATCCTTCTGAATTAATTCTTCTCTCTCTTTTTCATTGTTGATAGTATCATGAGGTAAACAACAACACCTATAATGTTCTAGTTAAAAGACCAAATGGACCCTCAACTAACTATGGAACCCTGATTATGGTTCTCTTTGCAAGTAAACCAGCTAGGAATAACTTTTTTTTTTTTTTTTTGAGACGTAATTTCGCTCTTTTTGCCCAAGCTTCAGTGCAATGGCATGATCTTGACTCACTGCAACCTCCGCCTCCCGAGTTCAAGCGATTCTTCTGCCTCAACCTCCCGAGTGGCTGGGACTACAGGCGCGTGCCACCACTCCCGGCTAATTTTTTTGTATTCTTAGTAGAGATGGGGTTTCACCGTGTTAGCCAAGATGGTCTCTGTCTCCTGACCTCGTGATCCACCCGCCTCGGTCTCCCGAAGTGCTGGGATTACAGGCATGAGCCACCGCACCGGCCCCAACTAGGAATAACTTTTTGCAGAATGCTGCCTTGGTAATTTAGCTCCTTCATGATGGTCTCTCTTTCTCTCTCTTCCCTCTTCACAAGTGCATGATAGTCACATTTACTCCAATCCTTGAAAGTATACTTTCACATCCAAAAGTTACTAAGGACTTTCTTGAAATGGATGGTATATAATGAAATGCTGTCTGCTCAGCCCATAAGGATTTCTGAAAAAAGAGAACCTAAGCAGTAATTTTGGATTATACTGCAATAGTTCATTCCATTGATGAAATCAATAGCTACTCTGGTCGCTGAATTAATAATGTTGAGTTTGCGTGTAATGTAACCAACTACCACAAGGGGGAATAAGCGTCTCTGTGTAGGTATGGTGGGAAACTGCCCAACTTTAGGCGCTCCATGTGAGTCTTTCTCGTAGGAAAAACAAACACTAAATAAATCTGGATATTAAAACTAAGATAAGTAGTATCAAACGATACTAAATTATTGTTGTATGCATTACATTTCAGGATTTCAGAGCTAGAGTAATTGTGAAGCTGTAATTAATGATTTTCAATGTTGTCCTATTCTCTACCTTCCCTTCCAGGTTTAACCTGGGATTTCCTAGTTTTTGTAACCTATAAGAACTAAATAATAAAACACTGGACACTTTTGAATCTACACATAAAACCCTGTATACTGCTTCCTTCTCACGATAATCAACTCCAAAGCATGCATTCTGTGGGACATATAAATGGTTCATAGCCAAGTAGGCTGATAGATTGCAAGATGCAACAGAGAACCAGAACAAAAGAACAATAGGCTTAATAGCTCTGAAAAGAAAAATAAATTTCATTCTTTTTATCTCCTGGTTATATACACAGGCACATCCAAACTCCATGATGTTCCCATGAAGGGTTATTTACAAGCAGAAATTTATACATTTAAAAATTATGTATGATAATTTTTATATTTCTTAATTGAAAATAAAGACAAGGACAATGTTATTATGAAAGATAATACAAAGGTAATAGAACAGAATTGTAGAACTTTTTTCAGAAAAACATATGTAATTTTTATTTAATATCAGTTAAAATAGGTATGTGAGATAAGGATTGACCTGGAAAGACACTCAGAGAGAAATAATGCTGGTTAAGTATCATGGAATGAGTGACTTCTGTGCAGTTTGCTTGCTGAGAAACCACAATCTTGATTCAATGGTTTGTTGAAAGTTGATATGGCTTATCTTTCTATCTAGAACAATTTCTGGGGTTGTTGTTTGCTGTGTATCTTTATGGAAGAAGATGGAGAAAGAATAATTAATTTAGAATGATTACGTTGCTGTCTTTTTAATATTAATTCATTCATGTGATAAATGATTACGAAGGGCCCCCTGTTTTCGCTGTGCTTAGTGCTGCAGACTAGGATAAAATCCCCAGCTCCCACGGAGTTAATGTTCTAGTTGGATGAGATAAAGAGTCAACAAAACGGCGGGGCGCGGTGGCTCATGCCTGTAATCCCAGCACTTTGGGAGGCCGAGGTGGGTAGATCACCTGAGGTCAGGAGTTCGAGACCAGCCTGGCCAACAAGGCGAAACCCTGTCTCTACTAAAAGTACAAAAATTAGCCAGGCATGGTGGCGGGCGCCTGTAATCCCAGCTACTCAGGAGGCTGAGGCAGGAGAATTGCTTGAACCCGGGAGGCAGAAGTTGCAGTAAGCCGAGATCTTGCCACTGCACTCCAGCCTGGGCGACAAGAGTGAGATTCCATCTCAAAAAAAAAAAAAAAAAAAAAAAAAAGTCAACAAACCGCAATTGAAATATATACTATTGTACATTGTAAACAATGCTGTGGAGAAAAAGGAAGCCGGCAAAGCCACTAGGGTTACAACTCAACAGGCAAGAGTGAAGGAGATTGTGTGACAGGGAAAAGAGTACAATATAAGACTGGGAAGGTGTGTGTGGAGGGTGATGTATCAAGGAGCAAGTGATAGGCCCCTGCAGAGACATTGGCTACATTTTAACCTTTGGAAATATCAATTGTTCTGCAGTCAAGACCCAAAGCCAACAAAGCCATATATAACTGGAGAATGGTCTTTACTGTGGTGAGATCGGGGTCTCAATTTTTTCATTTCTGCTGAGACTCGTGTTTCTCTGGCTATTTTTGTTTCATGCTTTCTTGCACTGATTTATTTCTGGGTATCAGGGATATTGTGACTAATGTCAGAGAATTAATCACCTCTGGAATTAGTTCTAGTTTGTATTTTAATAATTTCCTCATCATTCTATATTATTTTAATAGACAAATTACAATTGTATAAGTTTATGAGGTACAATATGATGTTTTATATACACGTGTAGACAATACAAAATAATTAAATAAAGCTAATGAACGTATCCATACCCTCACTTTTTTAAAATCATTTTTTGTAGTGCAACCTGTGAAATTTGTACTCTTAGCTACTTTGGAATTATTGACTATGGTCATTTTGCTGTGCAATTGTTCTCAAAAACATATTCCTCTTTTCTAACTGAAATTTTATACCCTTTGACCAACAACTCCTCAGTCTCTCCTCCCACAACAAGGCCCTTGTAACCACCATTCTACTCACTACTTCTATGAGTTCAAATTTATTAGATTCCACATCTAAGTGAGGTTGTGCACTATTTCTCTTTCTGTGCCTGGCTTATCTCATTTAGCGTAATGTCCTCCAGGCTCAGCCGTGTCACCACAAATGATATAATTTCTCTCCTTTTTGAGGCTGAATAATATTCCATTTTGTACATATACTACATTTTCTTTATTCATTCATCCATTTATGGACCCTTAGGTTGATTCCATATCTTTGCTATTGTTAATAATGCTGTAATAAATATGGGAATACAGTGTAAATTGGGGGAAATTTACATTCCCACCAGCAGTATACAATGGTTCTATTTTCTCCACGTCCTCCCTCAATACATGTTATTGTTCATCTTTTTTATAGTAGCCATTCTAACAGGTGTAAGGTGACATCTCACTGTGGTTTTAGTTTGCATTTCTCTAATGATTAGAGGTTTTGACCCATTTTTAATAGATCTGTGTGCCATTTGTATGTCTTCATTTGAAAAATGTCTGTTCAGCTTCTTTGCTCATTTTTAACTGGGTTTTTTGTTTTCTTGCTGTTTAGTTGTTTGAATTCCTTATATATTTTGTGTATTAACTCCTTATCAGATGTTCGGTTTGCAAATATTTTCACCCATCCTGTGTATTGTATCTTCACTTTGTTAATTGTTTTATTTTCCTCATCACTTTTGACTTTCCTTCTATTGTGGCTTCCAAAAATATGCATTATTTTGGACTAAATCATTAAATCATTTTTATAATGGACCTAAGATAGAATTTTCTTATGAACAAGGATATGTTATGGACCAAGGAACAAATTTTGCTTCACTATTGATTTCTTCTGAATCCAGGGGTAGTTAGAGTGATCCTTGTTAGGGAGATCTGGGAATACTTGCAATTTTGCTTTATAATATCACAATAGTAGATCCATAAATCCCAACATTTTATTTTTCCTGTCTCAATTCTCTTGCCAGATAATTTATAAGTTATACAGATTATGAGATAGGCTGTCTTCATTTAAGTGAAAAATGGGGAGAGATTTACAATGAGTAAATAAAAATATTTGATAAAATATATCATTACACAGAAAGAAATGTAATATGCATAAAATATTTTAATTTTTATATTAACATTAGCTTTTAATTTATATAGTATCTGTTTCATAATACATAGGATTGTTAAAAGCCACATTCTGGAATGGTTTTCCTTTTTGCGACATGCTGAGGAAGAGACTGAAGTCGGAACTGCCGCTCTGAGGTTTTGGTCTTCCTGTCCAGCTATTAAGGCTCTCTGCTTAACTGCAGTGGTAGAAAAGTCACTTATCTCCATGCTTGTGAGAAGAGTCACTTCCAGCTTGAATTCAGGGTAGAAACTACACCCAATGATGACACCTCAGGTAGAATACAATTAAGCATTTCTTGTTTGTTGTGGCCACATTTTAATCATTTCATGCTCAGTATCTGAGCATTGGTTCCAGAAAACCAATGTACAAGCCAGCTTTTTCTCATTTTCTACCCTACGGTACATGAACTGCCACTCTAGCTGCCACCCAGCATTGAGAGAACTGGTTTCATGATGAGTTTTCCCCACAGTACTTCTTTTCTTGGTGTTGAAAGTATTTAAAGAACCAGGCAGTCAATTACAGACTCCTACCTAGAATGCTTTAATTGGAGAGCACTGCACAGAAAAATATAACACAACCTGTAAATGTCAAGCTATATTTTTAAATACATTTTGACATTAAAATCATGCAGATTTATACAATGCTTGATAAAAAGGGACAAGGGACAGCAGTTCATTTTTATTTTGCTATAGTTAAGAAGGCCTTGGTTTCACACAGGGAGGAAAAAACAGGACTTAGCATTTGGAGTAAAAACTATATGGTAGGCATGATGCAATGCATACGCACGTATATTAGCCCATGTCTTATGGGTTAGGTTTTAGAGTCTTAATAGGTAGATATCACTTTATTCTACAGATAAGAAAGTGGAAAAATGGACAACATACTGAAAAAATAATGCTTGGCTTTTCATATTATATACAAAGAAGATCCAACTTCTTGTTCACCCAGGAGCTCTATATTTTCTCTTCTATAATTAGCAAAAGTTTCTTCATTAATACATATGCTGTAATTATATGTGGTTTCATAAATAAACCAGTCAATTTTATTTTATTTTATTGTACCTGAAGAGAAGATTCCTTCCTCTGCTGTAATATCTACAGAACCAAATTCCCTTTTGCTTTTCTTGGAGAGAAGCTTAGTAGTTGTGACAATGGACTAGAGTCCTGCTATGCTGATCAAGTTGGAATACAATGAAACCAAATGAAATATCTGACCCTTGTTTATAGTCCAAGGCAAGGTGCCTAATCAGACCAAAATTTTGCAACACAGCATGACTCTGTTTACAGATATCCTCAGCGCTGTGAGAACAATTACGATCTTATAAATGGTAACTCTTAACCCATTCATGGGCTTTGCATTTAAAACCGTCTATCTGCAAAGATAACTGCAAATCAAACTAGGTTTTTATGTGTGCCCATTAGTGTTTAGAATTCTGTAGTAGGCATAATTCTAAAAATTCCTGCAAAGCTTTCAAGCCTCCAAATTCACAGAACTTAAGAAAGTGATGAAATATCACTCCCGTGATTGTTTTATGCTATATGGTATGGTTGACTTTAAAAAAAGAGAGCTTATCTTGGGACTTGTGATCTAATCAGATGAGTGTGTAAAAACAGAGAACTTTCTATAATAGCAGTAGATAAGAAAGGCGGAAGGAGTAGTCAAAGATGTTTGACAAATGAGTAAGTTTCAGTGCACTATTGATGGGTTGAAGATAGTGGGGTATCCCTGAAGTTGAGAATAGGCAAGGTCTGCTCCCGCAAGAAACCTGGGACCTTAAACATATTGTCGTTAAGGAATTGGATTCTGCCAACAATCTGAATATGAGCTTGGAAGCAGATTCTTCAAGTATCTGTAAATAAAAGCCCAGTCAGCCGGCACCTTAATTAAGAATTTGTGGTACTTAAGCAGAAAACACTGTGGAGGCTGCCTCTTGTCTGACCAACTGAACTGAGGTTAATTAATGGATGTTGTTGTTTAAGCCACTAAGTTTATGCTAATTCGTTAGGCAGAGATAGAAAACTATTACAAATTCTTTTTTTTTCCAACTCTTTGGATGGCTGAGCCAGTTTCATTCCTTAAGTTCCTGACCATGCAATTAAAGAGATATCTTCCATTTACTCACTATTTTATCACTCTTTTTATTTTGGTCATAGTGCTTATCACAATGTCAATCTTTAATAAGCTTTTTTGTTGATTTATCCCCGAGTGGATTGTAAAATCTCTGTAGAAAGTATCTTATTTTTCTTGCTATACCCCTCCGCCTAGTAGACCTAATCTTTATTTGCTGAATTGAGTGAATAAACATTGCTTTCAGTAACTTGATATCTACATTAAATAAATAACCTTCTGAATAATTTGAAGTATATTGAAGCATAGATTCTACTATTCTAAATTGTGTTGTAATGGTCACTTATACATTTTAAATGTTTTGGCAATTAAGTAGATTCCGAAAATCAATGATTATCTCCCAGATCTTTTCTTGACATTTTAGTGACATTTTAATATTTTCTTCCATAAATAATTTAGCTATAACATGATATTTGCCTTTATTTATGTAGAAGGAGGCCTTCCTGGTTTTTCTTGTTGTCACTCCACTCTTTTAGATATATGATATACACACAAAACAAATGTTACAATTTATTTTAGTTTATGAAAAAATGGGTAAACATACAAAGAGATGCTTATATCAGAAATGAAATATTGTGCTGTATTTAGGGTAGTGTTCAGAAAGAAAAAAATCTTGGGTAGTTGACTTCAAAGAATATAAAATTATACGAATTTATATTTGAGACAAGCTGGAAACATTCTACACAAAACAATAGAATGTTATGTCTTTTATACTGACTATAAAAATTAAAAATACATCTTTTTAAATTTAGTAAATGAGGCTAACAAAAACAGATACTGAAGGCTGAATGCCAGAGTAATGTCCATGCCTAGAAGTCAGTGGTATAATAATTAGAGCAGACAAAATTGAGGTGAGATGAGGGATTGGGAATAGATAGTTATACTCACTCATCATTTGATATTTGCACTATGGAATAGTGAGATTCCCTACTGCGTAAACGAGAGGTCACTGGCCGTGGAACATTGTGAACAAGGTCCATAACATCACTCAGATCCGTTTGTTAATGTGTCACAAAGAAAATGACTTGGGAAATTTTCCTGAGAACGTGAAGTAATATAAAGAAAATTAGGGCTGGGCATGGTAGATCATGCCTATAATCCTAACATTTGGGAGGCCAAGGTGGGAGGATCACCTGAGCTCAGGATCTCAAGACCAGCCTGAGCAACACGGCAAAACCCTTTATAAAACAAAAACACAACAAACAAACAGAAGAAGAAGAAGAGGAGGAAGAAATCATTGCCAGCCATGCAAAAAAAAAGTGCATAATCCAATTTTCAATACTATTTAGAAGAGTTATGTCAAGTAGATCTATTGCTCTTTCCCCTCTCCATTTACCTCCCTAATCCAGGACTTTAATCTTTACCTATAATGAAATTATCCTCCATTTCCATCCAATGATGTGCATTTTTTGGCTCCATATGTTTTTCACTGGCTGTTCCTTCTGCCTGGAATATTCTCTTCCGTATTCTAAAATTGCAGAAAACACCTGGTTTGTCATTAGAAAGGCCTAGTTCAAATGTCCACTTAATAATAATTGCATGAGAATAAAACAATTATTTAAACGTCTTGATCGTGTGTTTCCTCATCTTTGTAAGTGGAAGTAATGATGATTTCTACTGTATTGCTTTGCTAGTGCTGCCATAACAAAGTACTACAAGCTGGGTGGCTTAAACAATAGAAATGTATTGTCTCACGGTTCCAGGGGCTAGAAGTCCAAAATCAAGATGTCAATCAGGTTGGTTCCTTGTATGGGCTATGAGGGAGAATCTGCTCCATTCCTCTATCCTAGCTTCTGCTGGTTTTCCACCAATCTTCGGCATTCCTTGGCTCCTGGCAGGATAGCTCTAAGCTTCACAGGATGTCCTCCCTGTTTATCTAGCCCTGATTCCAAATTTCTTTTTTACAAGGACACAGTCATATTGGATTAGGGGCCCACTCTACTCAGGTGTGACCTCAACTTAACTAACATTAACTCCTGTTTAATTACATATTTATTGACTTTATTTTCAAATAAGGTCAGATTTTGATATACTGAGGGTTAGCACTTCAACATATACATTTTGCGGGGACACAAATGCAACCATAACACTATATCATTGGACTGTTGTGAAGGAAGACTCAATAAAATAGCTTGTGTAAAGTATTTAGTCCAATGTTTAGCACACTATAAATGCTGAAAAAATTACCTGCTATTAAAAAACATAAAACATTTTATTTATGTCAAATGTTAGATGTAGTTTTATCTGTTTATTGCTAGCATTTTCTCTTTCTCACACACACATACACATACTCACAAAGGAGTTCACTCTTTTACTTTTTATGTAGCCAATTATTGACATTTTTTCTTTTGTGTGCTTTCTACCTTTGGCAACATCACAGTATCTTTCTCCACATAAACAGGGTAATGTATACCTCTTTTCTACCAGCCTCTATTTTATTTCCTATTGCAAAAAATTCTGTGACAAGAAAATCATTGACACAAGTTACATTTTACAAGTGACAGAATTCTGTTCATCTTTTCTACATTTTAACTGTCTCAACCTGAGAAAGGTATTTTGAAAGCTAAGCTCATTATCTTGAAAACCAACTGGATTTATAAAATAGTTCATTTGGTAGGCAACAGCCTTGGTCAACAATGCAATACCTTTCCATACAGAGAAGGCACGTCCTCACATCCAAAGTTCCCCAGACTTTCCACTTTGCAAGGACTTGCTTGTAATAGTCTCACAAGAAATTGCTTTTGGTAGAGAATTCACTGTAGGCTGTCAAAACAAATGTGAAACTTTCTGGCTTGAAAGTCATGGTTAATACACATCTTGTTGCTACAGTGACAGCTGGAACAGGCAGAGTTGTCCATTATAAAAGGATCAACAGTAGATGGATTTTAATAAAAAGTCCTTGGAGGATCATGAGGTCTTAAAGTGCTGCATAAACACCCAAAATTAAAATAACAAAAATAAAAAGAGGTCATACACATTTCAGTACGTGTCAACTATATATGCATGCCTTTTGTTTCTTTACTATAGATCTCATTTCCATGTAAATGCACAGGAACTGTTCAAACATAAAATAATTTAAATATTTTATTCCTAGACCACATCAGAGACTCTGGTAGCAGGCTTCCAAAACATGACGCAGCAGATTGTCCTAAAAATGAATTGATATATTTCATGTGAAGATCTTAGCATGGTGCCCAGCTATAAGACTTATTCACCATTGACATCATTATTGTCATTGTCATCATCATTATATTAGTATAAATTTTTGGAAAAAACACCTAAATTCAGTGTTGTGCTTTTTCACTTACCTAGAGAAGTACAAATACAAGAGAAATTTCTAAAAGAAAGTTATTATTTTCTGTGTTTTTTTTTTCTTTCTTTCATCACTGCTCTCTTGACTTTCCAGCATCTTCTAATAATTTGTTTTGTTTGTGTGTTGCTTCAAAGTATGCAAATGCAGCAGTATTTGGGGGATTATTTGCATTTCATAGATGAAGACCCTGGGGCTCCATAACACTTCTCAAGGACATTGGCAATATAACAGGAATAAGTTTAACATATAAATACTTCAGAGTCTAATGGATCAAGTGGGAAAATTTCTGGTAGAATAATCACACACCGCGTAGAGTCAATGGTCAGATTAATGGTATTGCTTCCTTATGCAGCCTTTTATTTTCAATGATCTTGAAGTAGTCACCATTAATTTTGGAGTTTAGGAAATGGGCAAAGTATAAGGCCACTGAGTTAAACATGAATGCTCAGACTTAAAAACCATGTTTAGTCAAGACTGTGGGCTGTATTTACTTGAAGATGGGCCCGGCCAGAAGTAATTACACTGAGAACTCACCAAGTTTTGAGAAAATATTTCTGAAGATTCTCCAAGCCAGGCATATAATATCTTCTCACGGCCTAATTACCCAAACAATCCTAGGCCTCCAGACTTCCACTAATAGGAATTAAACTGTAAAGCTTTGCAGCCCCCAGGAAGGGCAACTTTGCCAATACCCACCTTGTTGAGAGCGTGAGAGAAAACGGACAGATGTACCTCTCAGATGGAAGGGCCAGAGGCCATGGAGGGAAATGGAAAACAGAACCAGAGATTGTCAGATGGGTTAATCATAGAATGTACTCCATTGCCAAGAAAAGGAGTTCTCACTATTCCTTCCAATCAGGTTGGGTTAATTGCTCTGGCACACTGATGGTTGTATGGTTCCCATTTTTCTCTGTACCACGTGGAAGTTTTTACTACAGCTACTTATTTTCCTCTTATACTTTTTCCCTCTTGTATTAAGTGTCCCAGGGTGGAGGATCCCCAAAATATCCTCAATTTATAGTTAGTTGGACCACAGAAGCTGCCTGTAGACATGACTGAAAGGGCTGTACATTACGTGAACTTTGAGCTGGATACAGATGCAGAAACTGCTTCTTACCTTTTGAAATGGAAATAAGCCTATTTCATGAGTGGAAGAAGTGTATGCAGAGATGTGAATAGTTAAATAGGGCTGTCATGGAGACTATCTTGACCACCAATTTCGATTTCATTTTCCTCCTTAGTACAGAATTCTTACTTATGTTACTCTGGTCTGATTTCATTCACAGCTAAAAGCACACATTTTTCAGTCTCTTTTGAAGGTTAAAGTGGACTAGGGCATGTCAAGAGAAGTTGCTGGGTACGGCTTTTGGTAATTCTTTTTAAGATGGCTGATCAGTCATAAGGGCTGCCATTTTCTTTTTTGCCCTTTTCTTTCCAATCTGGAACACAAACACCATGGGTTGAGTACTACAGCTCTCTTGTGACTTTGAAAATGGAAACAACACACGAAAGATAGGTTGGCAAAAACTTAGAAAATTCTGGATCTTGAAAAAGATGTCCTTAATGTTTCCCTCAAATTGACCAAGTTCTAGACAGGCTTCTTCCTGGCTGCAAGCCTTGTCATGAAGATAGAAGAAAGTCTACTTTTCCTCTGAGAAAAGCTAATCAACAAACATATATGGCCTATGACAACCCCCACCCTGGCTCCTCAAAAACTCCCCTGCTCTTTGTTTCAGTGGAGTAAGAATCCAGACTTGGTCTGTGCTTTCTCTCCTGTGGCTGGCAATAGTATCAGAATAAAATCGCTTTTCATCTGTTCATTTTGTCTTGCTGATTTTTCTTTTACAAGTCCTAATGAGTTTGTGGAGTCATAGCACGTCTCTGAACTGCTTATCGCCAATCTTCTGTGTCATGATTATATACATTTTTATGGCACTGGAAAAGTAATTGCAAATTTACTTTTAAAATTTAAAATATAATGGCATAATTTAGTAAGTAATGGCAATAATTTAAAAGGAATGGCAAAAACTGCAATTACTTTTGTACCAACCTAATTCTAGGAGCCAAATGCAATTCCTAACTAACAGGAAGCTTTGAGATGCAAGAGTATATAAAGAAACTGATAAACATAAGAAAATGTCTATTGGTGTCTGTAGAATATATCCTGAGAACGGTTGAGTAGAGTTAAAATATGATAATCTTTTATTTTCTGAGAGAAAGACATAAAATATTCATTTAATTGAAACTTTATAAATTTAAGTATGCCAAAATAGCCACTAAAAGACTAAATATTGATATATGTAGCTTTCAAACCTGTAGAAGTAAAACTTAGAGTAAGAAAATAGGGACCCAATTAATCCAACGGAAGTTTATTTATATAGAAATAAAAATGAAGTATTTAAAAAGTAGGAGAGACATTAATAGAAAAGTCAAAAGCTCAATCGATAAAACAAACACATCAGCAATGATAATACATATAAAGGTAAAGGCTGTAAGGTTAGGTTTTTAAAAATCTAACTCTATACTCTCTATAAGGAAAACAGACACAGACAGAAGTAAAATAATGGAAAAGTTACAAATTTCATATAAGCCAAACAGAAGTTAGAGTAGCTATTTTAATATCGGACAATTTAGATTTTAGAATAAAATGATGCGTAGAAGAAAGAGGGTTACTGTAAAATGAAAACTATTTGGCCGGGCGCGGTGGTTCACGCCTGTAATCCCAGCACTTTGGGAGGCCGAGGTGGGAGGCTCACGAGGTCAGGAGATCGAGACCATCCTGGCTAACACAGTGAAACCCCGTCTCTACTAAAAATACAAAAAATTAGCCGGGCGTGGTGGCGGGCACCCGTAGTCCCAGCTATTTGGGAGGCTGAGGCAGGAGAATGGCATGAACCCGGGAGGCAGAGCTTGCAGTGAGCCAAGATCGCACCACTGCACTCCAGCCTGGGCAACAGAGCGAGACTCTGTCTCAAAAAAAAAAAAAAAAAAAGAAAGAAAAAAGAAAAATATTTAATTCACCAAGAAATTTACAGTTTCATATGAGGGGGTTTAAAAAGTAACCTCAAAACATATAATGTAAAAATTTATAAAACTACCAATCAGCCACACTCCTTTCTCAATAATTGAGAGATTGGGCAGAAGAACACACACACACACACACGGAAGATCTGCACAGCACAATTAGGAGTAATTTAATAGATATTTAGAAATCTTTACCAAACAATTTGAGAATATGCATTTTTCCCAAACACATATGGAACACTTATAAATGATGTTCAAACTCTAGGTTGAAAAACAATTCTTAAATATCAAATGTTCAGTTTCATGCACACACATACCACGGTGTTGTGTACAGCATAATTAAAGGACAAGAGCAGCAAAAACTGTGAAGGGGACATTATTTTTGGGAGAAATATTTAAAGCAGTCTTCTCAATTTATCAAAGAAGATAACCTGCGAGGAAAAAGAAATTACTTAGGACCACATGGTAATAAAAATAATTTTTATTGAAAGTCATGTTATATAACTTGAATAGTAACTAGAAAATACACAAAGTTCTTATATAAGTATTTTTAAATACTCGTATAAAAAACATCAAATTTAATAAGCTTCTGATCTTCACAACAGGGGAATCAAAGATTTTATAAATTCCTAATACCTTGATCTCAAGTATGTTTTGATTTTGAGAATTCCACCAAGTCCTATTTTTACTATACAGATGAAAGATGTTTCCTGATGGAGAAATATGTAACTAAGAATTTTAGGCTGAGAGTGGTAGATCATGCCTGTAATCCCAGCACTTAGGGAGGCTGAGGCAGGAGAATCGTTGAGTTCAGGAGTTCAAGATCAGCCTGGGCAACATGGTGAACCTCATCTCTACGAAAAATGAAAAAATTAGCCAGGTGTAGTGGCATGTCCCTATAGTCCCAACTACTCAGGAAGCTGAGGCAGGAGGCTCCATTGAGCCCAGGAGTTCCAGACCATCTTGGGGAACATGGCAAAACTCTGTCTCTACAAAAAACACAAAAATTAGCTGGGTGTGGTGGAGTACATCTGCAGTCCCAGCCACTCAGGAGGCTGAGTGGTAGGATTGCTTTAAGCCTGGGAGGTCGAGGCTGCAGTGAGCTGAGATTGCACCACTGCACTCCAGCCTGAGCAACAGAGTGAGACTGTATCTCAAAAAACAAACAAACAAACAAAAACACACCAAACCAAACAGACAAAAAACAAAACACCCACACACAAAGAAAAATAATTCTAGCCCTGACCCACAGACCTTTCTAAAATGTTTGTATACATGAATATTGGCTGATCATTAATCTAAGGCTGGTATATGTCAAGGCTGAGGGATGCCAGAGCAAAAAACAATGGTAAACTCAACACAGATTTGGTGGTAATTTGAATTCTGGTCTTTTTCCCTCTGTCTGATCCTATTCACCTTTTAGAATCCTCAAATAGCTGTTGCCTGAATTCTCTCCAGGTTTAATATAGTTGCATTTCATATAAGAGATAGGATTGGAATGTGCTTACTCTAACTTACCTGGAAAAGCCTATGTTGCTCTTCTATACCATTTGTAAAATTTTGGGATAAACATTAAAAGCCAAATACAGGATATTCCATATTTGAGTCAGAATATCTATCATTATTATATTGGATAGAAGAATTACATTGTATCATTATGCTAGTCCTGAAATTCTCATATGAAAGCTCCTGTATGTCCAGATAAAAGTTTTTAGTTTTGCTTTACATAGTTAAAGCAAATATGGAAATGAAACTGATTTTTATGAATAATCATTTGTCCTAGGAGCACGAAGTGATCTGCAAATAACAGATCTCACTTATCAAGTGGTGCTTTGGCTTAACATTCAGTTACATTGGTCTACTTATATCTGCCACTGTCTTGATTATTATAGCATATTATAGCAGTGTAATATGTTGTCATATCTGACAGAGTAAGTACCATCTATTCTTCTTCTTCAGGGGTATCATAATTTTTCTTGATCCTTTGAATTTCTATGTTTACTTACATGATTTGTAAATTCCATGAAAAAGTGCCTCTAAAAAACTAAAATTGCGCTGAATCTGTAGAACAATGCCGAGATAATTGATATTTATAACATAACATGTCTTTCTATAGCTGAACACCTAGTTAGTTTTCTTCAATTTATTAATAAAGCTTTATTTCTTTTTTGATAAAATACTTGTCCAGTTTTTTTCAAGCAAACAAGCTATTATTTGCATGATGGCTTTATGTTATATATTTGTTAATATTGATTAACAATATTGTCGTTATTGATTTAATGAACTTATATTTGGCAAACACATTTTGTAGTGTTTATCAGAAAAGCTCTGAAATATTTACTTTATTCTACAAATTATAATCATCATGACTATGACTATTATCACCTTACTTTTTAAAATGTATCTAGAAAGTGATGTTTGTGAAACACAGATTTTATGCCATGATAGCTGAACTCACAATCATCAAGTTCAATATAAAATTTAACTTTTAACTTTTTTATTTTAATTATCTATTGTAACTTAAGATTTGCAAATCAACATTTAAAAGAATCCCGCTTTGCGTTATTTACAAGGGCTGCTCCAGATGTCCTATCTCCTGTTTATCTGCTGAGATGCAACTGCCATATGCCCAGTGGAACTTGCTCCCTTTGTACCTTGAGGATGGACATTTCCTTGATGGCTGTTGCTGATGCTGCTGTGACTGCACTGGCCTTCATGACACAAGGTGGAAGCAAATGAAGTCAACTCATGAAGCTAAAATTTGGGTAGACAAAGCCAAATAGACACATCCAAGAAGATTTAGTCCAACTTGATCTAGCATCAACTGAAAAAAAGATATGAAAAGCAGAACTGAAATAATACAGGACCTCTTTGCAGGGATCCCCAAGGTTCTAACTGGAATATTAATTGGCCTAAAATCTAACATTATAAACAAAGAAAACCAGAATCTGTTCTTGATTTTAGGGACCATCTAGTCTGTCCCAAACTTGTAAGGACTATTCAGACTTACTAGAGGGTAAAGACATTCCTACTGTCCTCCCTAATTTCTGTACAGACATTCAATAAATTTTAATAAGTAGCATAATAAAGAAAAAACAGAACTCCGGCTGGCCATTTGCTTAGAACTCTGACTGGCCATTTGCTTTTTTTTTTTTTCTTTTTTTGGAGATGGAGTCTCACTCAGTCACCCAGGCTGGAGTGCAAAGGCGCGATCTCACCTCACTGTAACCTCAGCCTCCCGGGTTCAAGCAATTCTCCCATCTCAGCCTCTCGAGAAGTTGGGATTACAGACACCACCATCCTGACCAGCTAATTTTTGTATTTTTGTAGAGACAGGGTTTCACCATGTTGGCCGGGCTGGTCTTGAACTCCCACCTCGGCCTCCCAAAGTGCTGGGATTACAGGCATGAGCCACAGCACCCTGTGGCCACTTGCTTCTTTAGGTGAATTCTAGGAGTTAGCAGAACGTCGGAGCCTAGAATTGATCAAAGAAAGGAAAAACTCAGGCATAACTAATGGTCCTTCTAATTAAATAATTAGAAAACTCATGAAATAAAAGTGATCCCATAGCTAAGTGAAAAATAGATAAAGGCACTTGACAACATTGTAAGGCAAAAGGCATTGGAAAATTAATTGCCTGGTATTGGCTCAATGCTGCAGAAACAAGAAGTAGGATGAGGTCCTTTCCCTAAATGAGGATCGTGCAAATAAGTAGTGTTTTCTCTATGCCCACATTTACCACTGTCTTCCAGAGGGAAAATATCTGTACAGAAGACTCCTTTCCTAGTGCACAAAAGAATCATAATTTGAATAATAATCCTGCCACCATTTGGTCGCCTTTTCTTTGTAGTAATTTTACTAACTCAGTGAATGCAATTTCAATCACTCTTTAAACTCTGCCTTTGACACATCCGTTTTCTGTTTCCTTAGATGACTCATTAGTTAGAATGCCTTTTTGACCCCATTAATCTTGTGGGAAGATATTTACTACGTATATTAAGTGCCTTGATTAATTGTGAACAAGATGGTTTCTTGCTGGAAATCCCAGAAGAAGAATCCCCAGCCATTTGATGGCACAGATTGATTACCCACTTTCTAATACTTCCCCTATTATTATAGTAGACCTTGAGTCTGCCCCACATAATCTCTGGGACAAAGACAACTCAGATGTGGGACGCATATACTAAACCTTAAAAGTCTCAATTGAACTGGTTGTGTCTTTATGAGAGTTAGCTCCATACTCACTGAAATAAATGGTGGCCCATCCTATTTTTACACCCACATAGAAGACTTGTCATCCCCCATGCTATCTCTTGCAATGCTTCCTTCTGCCTGTCAAATAGGCAAATGGGTGAGGACATCACTCTATACAAAACAAGAGCTATTGATAGAAGTGGACTTCTTTACTTCCAACCCTAATTAGGCTGCCAACCCTAATATCACTCTATTATCAATCCCTGAGACAGATGTTTATTTTATAATAGAATCTATTCTTAGCATTAGGGCCAACTTCATTTGCAAGCGATCTGTGCAGTTGCCCAAGTCTACACACTTAGAAGGGCCCTGTGCTTTGTTCCCAGCTGCTGCCACCATCTTGAATTTCTTAATAATTTGTGAACCAGGAGCCCCACATTTTCATTTGTACTGGGGCCACAAATTAAGTATCCAGTCGTGGTCAGTATTCTTTAGCATACTGTACCATCTTGTACCTAGATTCACACTATCAATTTACATACATAGTGGGAAGATAACAAAATATATGGACAGTAATTGGCCAAGGCTTTAGAGAAGTGCTCTCTTGCATTTCTTCCATCGCCTTAGAGATATTTAATTTCCTGAGATTGCCACCACCCTTTTGTAATATGTAAATGACCTTCTGGTGTGCTCCCCGGATTCCAAATGCATTACCTAGATCATGATAGTACAAAAATGGAACAGCTGATCACCAGATATCATATACATCTAGATTCGTAGCTCTTATCTATGATTTGGCTACTTTTTAGGTTGATATGGCCAAAACCCTATAATGGGTTAATCTAATTTACTCAAGTTTATAATCAACAGGGGCAGACTCCTTTTCTGAAGGATTAACTGCAGGAACCACTCCGTGCCTTTCAGCTTGGAGACTTGGTTTATGGAAAATGACACCAACGTAAGAATACTCTTGAACCTCCTATAACCTGATAAACACAACACGGCAGGAAATCTTCAAAAACTAGAATCTTGTCAGGTTCCTCAGTTAAAAAGACATTACAGATTGCATTAAAATTAAAAATGTTTGCTCTGTGAAAGACCCTATGAAGAGGATGAAGTGACAAGCTACAGATTGGATAAAAGTATTTGCAAACCACATATTCAACAAAAAACTTATATCTAAAATATGTAAAAAGAATTTCAAAACTCAACAGAAAAACAAAAACAATTCAATTAGAAAATGGACAAAAGATAAGAACAGACATTTAACTAAAAAGGACAAACAGATGGCAAATAAGCAAATGAAAAGATGTTTAGCATCATTAACTATTAGAAAAATGCAAATTAAAACCACAATGATATGTCATTACACACCTATCAAAATGGCTAAAATAAAAAACAATTAGTGCTAACCTCGAATGTGGTGTGGATGTAGAGAAATTGAGCCACCAATACAGTGCTAGTGAAATTATAAAATGGTACAGCCATTCTGGAAAATAGCTTGTTAGCAATAAAAAGTAATTAACTATCAGTACATTCAATAGCTTGAATAAATGTAGAGGTAATTATGCTGATTGAAAAAAAGCCGATCCAAAAGGCTTTGGATTCTATGCGATTGGATTTATATGATTCTATATATAATATACATAGTTATATACTGTATAGTTTCATGTATATAACATTCTCGTAATGAGGAAAGTTTAGAAATGGAGAAGATATTCGTAGCTACCAGGGGAGCTGACCTGGGTGGGGGAGATAAGTGGGTGTGCCTGTAAAAAGATACTACCAGGGTCCTAGAAATAATAAAACCTTGACTGTATTAATGTAAATATCCTGGTTTGACTTTTTACTAGAGATTTGCAAGACGTTACCATTGAGGGAAACTGAGAAAGGCGTTCACAGGATGTTTCTGTAGTGTTCCTTACAACTGCATGAGAAAAATAATGATCTCAACATAAAAAGTTTAAAAAAGTCTCCTTATTCCCTTGAAATTGTTCCCATACTACATCTTAGAAACTGATTTATCTGACTTTTGATTTTGCCAGTATTCCAATCAAGAAAGGTTCAAGCTAGTAATTCAGAAATTTTGAAATAAGATGTACAAAGTTGTCCATTAAATTTCAAATTCAAGTTGTAATTCCAGCTATGCTTATGGTCTGATAATTAATAGGGGCTGTTAAGTTAAGCAATTAATTATGTCTTAGTAGCTTATTATTAATAATCTCTGTTCAGCTCCAGTTTCTTACTACGGGCAACAGTACTATATTTAAATACTTTGGCTGACCTTCCTTTTTATTTAGCAGATGTAAGGTTATTAAAGTAGTTATGAAGAAATATGACACCTTTGGTTGACCTGATCATTGGTATCTTTGATTCACTAAAGAAATAATTATCCTGGCTGGCATTTAAAGCAATGTTTTCCACTTGAAGAAGAAACCAGTGCCCTCTTGCAGGAGTAGTGCAGTGCTACAGAAACAAATGATCTTGTTTAGAGACACTGTAAAAAAGATTAAATGGCTCAGGGTGCAGTGACACTTGCGGCGTGGTAGAAAGAATGTACTTAATTCCACTACTTATAACTGATGATCAGCTATGTCTCAAATTCTGTGAAGAAATTATTTTTTTGTCTGTAAACATGCAAAAACCAAGATTAGCTAAGGCAGTTTTGAACAATGCAAGCGTGGTAAGAGTACTTGCTCTACCAATTAGAAAGACTTACCATAAAGCTACCACAATTAAGCAATGAAGGATTTGTACACAAATGGACCAAAAGTGAAGGCCTTTCTGTTGAGGATCTCTCTCTCTTTATTCCCTTCCTTTCTCATTGATTACTTATTTTCTCCATTTTTAAAATCTTTCTCGGACATGTTAATATTGGAACTCAGACTTCAGATCTCTCTTCTCAACACTCATTTTTAAGTGATTTCAGTGTTCTGACTTTAAATATCATCTCTACACTTATAACTCCCAATTTTACATCTTCAGCGTAGCCCTCTTTCAGTTGCCCATACAAGTCCCTATCAGACAGCAAATAGCCATCTCAAATGTAATGCGTCCAAAATAAAATTCGGATTTCACTTCCAGGTCAGACACCGCCATTTGTCTACTGGTATTTATTCTCTCTGTGTTCCTTTTATTTTATTTTTCAGAGACAAGGTCTTTTTCTTACCCAGGCTGGAATGCAGAGATGCAATCACATTTCACTGTAGCTTTGGACTTCTGGGCTGAAGCCATCCTCCCTACTCAGCCTCTTGAGTAGCTAGAACTACAGGTGTGCACCACCCTGCTGGGCTATTTTTTCTAATTTTGTAGAGAGGGGTCTTGCTATGTTGTCTAGGCTGGTCTCAAACTCCTGGCCTCAAGAGAGCCCCCCATATAAGCCTCTTGAAGTGTTGAGATTACAGACATAAGCCACCATGTCTAGCCATCTACCTTGCTTTTTTTTTTCTTAACAGAAACTCCATAGTTTTCACCAAACACATGGCCATAGAGTTAGAGGTGTTTATATCATTATCGTTTCATTCAGCTAACTGTTGATATAAGACAAAACTAGGATCACTAGGATGTCAAGGGAAGTGGTTTGTATAGCCTCCAGATTATCTCCTTAAAGATGAAGCTATTTGTTCTGAGATTTGTTTTTCTCCCTGCTGTGGACTGGGATTGAGATATGGAAGTGAGCCAGTTCTCCTCATGAGCAACAGGACAACTCTCTGGAAAACTGTAGCAATAGGATTGGTAGAAATTTAGGTCGCCAAATGACTCCTGGAGCAAAACCACCTTGCCATCCCTGGATGGCATTTTCCTGGGAAGTTTCATGAGATAAAAATAAGCCTCTGACTTAGTTGAATCACTGTATCTGTGGGGTCTTTATTCTAGGACTGTAGACTGTACTATAATTCATACAGCCCCAAAACCTGGTCTTGCCTCATTTTTCTTCATTCTTGACTCTTTTCACATCCCATATGCAAGACTTCAGTACATTCTGTTGTGTCTTTCTTCCAAATAAATACAAAATCTATTTTTGATTACCTACTCCCTTTGTCTAAATTATCATCATCTCTTACCTGGATTACTGCAGCAGTCTCCTAACTTGGCTCTTTTTATACTTTTATCTTCCCCAAATCTATTTTCAACCTAGCAGTTGTAGTGTTCTTCTGAAACATGTCAAATCATGTTACCCTTGTACTTAATTCCCTCCAATGGCTTTTACCTTACTCTAAGTGAAATACAACATCAAGAGCTTTACTTCTACCTCTGTAACTCATTTTCTATCACTCATCCAGTTACTTGTACCTTTCCAGTGCTTTTGGACAAATTACTGAGAATATTTCCAGCTCAGGAATCTAAATTTGCCTGAAATTGTTTCGTCTAAGATATCCACATGGCTCATTCCATCACTTCCTTTAGATTCTGCCTTAGGCATCATCTTCTCAGTGAGTTCTTTTCTATAAAATGTCAATTCCACATTTCCGGGCACTACATATTTTAATGTTACCCTAGTTTATTGTTCTCCATAGCACTTATCAGTACTTGACTTGTAATTAGACTATATTTTTAGGTTTTTATGAGGACTTTTTTATGTAAGCTCTATGAGGACAGGTTATTTTGTTTAGTTAGTTCCCAGTTCTTTGCTATATTCTCTGCCTGAATCATAGTAATCGCTCAATAAATACTGCTTGAATGAATTGGATAAGTGATCATGAACGTCTACTCAATTAGATAGGAAACAACCAGCCGGGTGCGGTGGCTCACGCCTGTAATCCCAACACTTTGGTAGGCCGAGGCGGGCGGATCACGAGGTCAGGAGATAGGGACCATCCTGGCTAACACGGTGAAACCCCGTCTCTACTCAAAATACAAAAAATTAGCCGGTCGTAGTGGCGGGCACCTGTAGTCCCAGCTACTCAGGAGGCTGAGGCAGGAGAATGGCGTGAACCTGGGAGGTGGAGCTTGCAGTGAGACAAGATGGCTCCACTGCACTCCACCCTGGGCGACAGAGCGAGACCACCTCTCAAAAAAAAAAAGAAAAAAGATAAATAAATAAAAATAGATAGATATGAAACAACTATCATAAGTGATATTTCTGAAAAATATTTAATTTTATAAAAATAACAACAAAGTGCTAATTTTTAAACAGAAGAATATTTAAGTAAGAGTAACTTGATAGGCCAGGCGTGGTGGCTCACACTTTTACTCCCAGCACTTTGGGTGGCCAAGTCGGGCGGATCATGAGGTCAGAGGCACGAGACCAGCCTGGCCAACATAGTGAAACCCCGTCTCCACTAAAAATACAAAAATTAGCCAGGTGTGGTGGCTGGCGCCTGTAATCCCAGCTACTCGGGAGGCTGAGACAGGAGAATCGCTTGAACAGGGAGGCAGAGGATGCGGTGAGCTGAGATTGCACCGTTGTACTCCAGCCCGGGCGACAGCGAGAGACTCAGACTCACAAAAACAAAACAAAACAAAACAGAACAAAGCAAAACAAAACAAAACAAAGGAGTAACTTGATAAAAAGTATACATATTTATGTAGGAAACATTGGATTGATGTAATAGTCACTGTTATTCAAATTTACTGTCTTCCAGAGAATGTTTAAATGCATTGTCTCATTTAATACTTATCCCATGTAATACTTTTTGAATTGGATTCTATTGCTGTACTTTTTATTCAAGTAACAAAACAAATGTCTCACAGTTCAGTAACTTGCCAAAGATTGAACAATTAAAATCTGCCTCACCAGTACTGGCTTCTAAACCTTATCTCTATGCTGCCTCTGAAGGATAGATTCAAAATATTAGCAGTGGTTTTGTTTATTAATAGGCTTATAATATATTGCCATTTAATGCTGTTCATACTTTATATTAATGTTAAATTAAAATAAAGACAAGGAAGAAATAAATGAATATTAATAATAAAAAAATTAAAATCTCTGTATAGAAAAAGTTGAAAGGTATTTTGGTGTGATAATTTACAGTAAGAGGAATCTAAATGGTCAACAAATATGTAAAAATCTTTACCAGTTTTCTTTTTTTTCTGTTTTTGTTTTAATCCTTTTTTTCTTTTTTACTTTTTTGTTCCTATATCATTGAGGCTGTATGTTCTTACATCCTATCGACAATATTAAACGGTTCTCTAAAATTATCTGTAATCGCATTTACAACTACTCCTTCTGTAAATCTTCAGGATTGTTTTGCCTTTCTTTTGTAATGTAATCTTCCTGCATGCTGACTTTTCCTGTTTATTCAGCCTCCAGCAGGGAGAGAAAAACAGCTATCCAGACCCTATAGTGGCCAAAAGAAATTGTGTGGCTTGCCCTTGGCTTCTCTTTCTGTGCATTTGGGTGTTTTTCTAACCCTCTTCTCAGAATTACAGCCAGAAAACAGCTAGATGTATGCCCATCTCTCCACCAGTTTCCAGTTTCCAGGAAATAGCAGAGTCTGTTTCACCTTTGTTCAATATAGTCTTACTGACCCAAGATGAAATCTCTGTTCCTCACTCCCTTGTCGTCTGGAACTCTTAGCTGTTAAAGTACAATAACAAAAGCACATAACCCACAAAAACTTAGTTTCACTCCTGCAGTGCTGCCAGGGTTTTCTTTTTTCTCTATTGCCTGAAGAACTTGTGTTGTGAGGACTCTACCACTCTCAGTCTTCCTTGTTTTCTGTACACTTGTTCATAGAAAGATATATGGATGATTTAAAAGACATGATTTTTGCCTCAACAATGAACAGCAACACAGTGTGGAATAGTGGGATACCTGGGGTATTTGAATCAGAATTTACACATAGAAGGAATCACCAAAATTCTTACTAGGTACATTCTAATTGCTGATTTTGCTTTCTCTCTGATGAGGTAGCCAGGCACTGAGTTATCCAACTAATTCCTTTGGCCTTCAGGTTAATGATATTCTTCTTGGATTCTGATAACAAGTCCACTGTTATTTGTATTTTTTATCTAAACTGTCATCTTCTTCTTTGTCTATTTTCTATGTATTTCAATTGGACTTTGAGAAATTCTGCATTATTACTTACCAGCCAGCTTAAACGGGAATTTTCTTTAATTAACTGTAACTTATTTATAGGAGTTGTTTTTGTTTTACTCTTTGTAACTACATTTCAGTTACAATTAACTTGTAAATGATTTCAATTTGATGTCCATGTGTTGGGTGGTGCCATTTTTCATTAAACAGCACTCAAATTTAAGGAGACTCATTCTGTAAAATAGTTGTTTTCACAGAATGGTGATCCGTTTAGATTTATCTGAGGAAGTACTTGGTGACATGGAAATGCCAGCTTTCAATAATCTTGTTCATTTTATATGTGAATACTATGATAAACTTCATTTTCTCCCAAAATTACTTAGTTTGTTAAAGAGAGACAAGAAGAGAATGGTACATTAGTTCTGGAGCACAAGTCCTATATCTCTTTCTCCTAATTGTATGAAAATACTCTTCCTTTGTTCTTCTTTGCTTGACCCTTGATTTGGAGCCAGTATAGTAGAGCAGAAAGAAACTGGCTATTGGAAAATTTTTTAGCTGCACTGTTTGCTTGGCCTGCAATGGGCAGGCTATCTTACTATTCTGAGACTGCTTAGTCACCTGTAAAATAAAGGTAATCCCTTTGGGGGACTCTGCTAAAAGGACTGCTTGAGATGCCATCAAGTAAGAAGCCAATAAATATTTTTATTTTTGATTCCTTGAATATCTGAAACAGCTAATTGTTTTCAAAAGATGAAAATGACTAAAATTTTAAAAGAGCAATCATTAATTTTCCTTTATTCTCCAACCTTAGTATGTTTGCTTTCTAAAGAGATTGGAAAAGTAAATCTGATAAATAGGGGCAATAACTCAAACATGTAAAAATTAAGGTAAGAGCTGCTCTTCTCCCCTGCAGTTTTATATATGCTTGATCCCGTTCTTTTTTCCTTTCCAAATTTTCCTCCTAGAACTGGTAAATATATAATTTCCTCAGAAAATTACTTAATACTTGATGTGTCATGAATATTTGATTTCATTTTCTCTGAAATCCGTTGGAATAAATAGAATTTAAGTGTGTGTATATGTGTATGTTTCAGAACGCACTCTACTCAGTAATAATTCTGGCTATCCGTCGTCTAAAAACTCTTATTTAGGGCTGTACAAATCAGAAATAGTCCAACTATGGCTCAGAAATCTTTCCAGAGGGAAAATACTTTGTAATTCCAACTATCTGTTACAACTGATTAAATATAGTTACATGTTTTACACAGGAAAACTATTTTTTTCATAAATAATATTCCCATTCATGAAATATTTACTGAATACCTAATATGGATCTAGATCTGTAATCATTGCATGGCATATTATATTGAACAATAAATATCCAATCTTTTTTTTTTTTTTTTGAAACAGTCTCCTCTGTCGCCCAGGCTGGAATGCAGTGGTGCAATCTCGGCTCACTGCAACCTCTACCTCCCAGGTTTGTGATTCTCCCGCCTCAGCCTCCCAAGTAGCTGGGATTACAGGCGTACACCACCACACCGGGCTAATTTTTGTATTTCTGGTAGAGATGGGGTTTCATTATATTGTCCAGGCTGGTCTTGAACTCCTGGCCTCATGTGATCTGCCCACGTCGGCTTCCTAAAGGCCTGGGATTACAGGAGTAAGCCACTGCGCCCAGCCGAATATCCAACCCTTAACATACGTAAACATGATCTTTCCATTCTCGAAGTTAAGCTTGGTTGAATGGGGGAAATGGACATTAATTCAGAAATCATATGCACAAATATAAAACTATAATTTTGACAGGTGTTAAAAGAAGGAGGTTCAAAGCTTATGAAGACTATACTTTTCAGATATGACTTGCAATATAGGTCAGGGAAAGTTTTTACAAGAATATGATTTTGACACGATTTGAGTGTTGTGAAAGTTTAACTAGGTGAATGGTAAAGAAAAAAGCAGAAATAGCAGCATGTTCAATGACCTTATTATGCAAGGGGGCATTCTAAGTTTAAGAACCAAAGAAGTGGTCACTGTGTCTACAGAGAGAATGAAGAGTCATGGTCCTAGATGAAGCAGGAAAGTTTGATGTGGTCTATACCTTATAGGAACTTTCAGGTTGTTTCTGCTATATATTGCAGCATAACAAACCATTCTATAACTTAGTGGCACAAGTCAATAACTATTTTATTTTGTGCTTATGGATATCAATACTTGTATATCAGTAATTCAGAAATAGCACAGTGAGGATGGCCCTCCTCTGCTACACTAGATCTGGAGCTTCAGCTGGAATTACTCAAATGAATAGAGGAGGAAACAACTGGGCCAAGAAGATCAACTTACAAAATGGTTTCATTTCCATATCTAGCAACCGAGTGTATATGGCTGAAAAATAACTCAGCTGATACTGTCAAACAAAATGTCTACCTGTGGCCTCTCCAGCATGTCAGTCTTAGGGTTGTCCAGCTTCTGACATGGAAGCTTAGCATTCCAGAAGCAAATGTTCTACAAACAAGAAGGTTGCTTCTTGTTTGTAGACCTTATGTAGTCTAGTCTTGGAAGCTATGTAGTGTCATGTCTACTGTGCTTTATTGGGTGAAGCAGTCACAAGCTCAACTAGATTCAAGGGGAGGGAATATAGACTCCAGCTCTTGATGGAAGGATAGCCAGAGAGTTTGTGGCCATGTTGAAGAACCACACATGGCAGATGTTAAGGAGTCATTACTTTTATCCCAAGAACATTGGTTATGGAATAAGGAACAGATTAGAGAGGAACTGAAGTGTAGCCAAGTGAACAAGCTGAGTGTTTAATAAAGCAGTCAAGGTAAGAATTATCACTAGCTGGGACCAGAGTGGTATTGGTAGAGTTGATGAAAAGTGAATAACTTTGAGAAATATTCTGGAGGTTAAGTGAGGGTACTTGGTGATGAATTAGGTAAGAAAGGTGAGAGGAAGAGAGGTGACAAGAATAAGTTTCAGATTGTTTGGTTTATACAGTTGGGTGGATAATAGAGCCCTTTTCTGAGATTAGGAATAGAACTAGGAATAAGACAAGAGAGGAGGATAATGAGTTTATTTTGAGAATAGTAAGTTTGGGATAACTTTGAAACATCCAAAAGGAGACATTAATTATATGGTTATGGAAAAGAGAAATTGAATCATCTTACATTGTATTATATCACCTAAATTGGTTATGGTAGGAGTGCATGATTCAGATGGTACTCAATGAGCCATCAAATATTTTTTGAGCAACTACTCTGTGAATGCAGGTATAGCAGGAGAGGCATTACAGATATATTTCTTCCCTTGAAGAAGTTACTGTGTAGTTAGGACAGCATCAGTGGGAACACAGAATGTTAAGAAATGAATAAATTATAACAATTAAGACAACATTGTATTGTAGTGCTTTGGAGTTGCAAGGAGGCCTAGGATAGCCTACTATGTGGAGAAGAAGCCAAATTCCAATGGGACATCTGAGGACATAGCTGTGTTACAGTGTACATGCACAGGTGTTCAGTGATAAACCTGTTATATAATAAGAATTCAGGGCACCTGTTCAGAGCTGATTTATGGTTAGATAAATTGTCATAATGACATGATATTATTTGCAATAGTGTGTTTGTGTTTGATAGTTGATAAAACCTAGATGATGCTTTTAGATTTTTACTCCCCTGCCAGTCTCTCCAATATAACCTCTGTTCATGACACTTAGAGAATTTTAGTGCTAGGACAATTTTAGAAGGAACTCTTAATGAGGGATCCAAGCAACTCTCAAAATCTGATCCTCTCCAATCTTCTTGTGCCTTTCCTGTGAAATGAATCACAATTTGCAGAGATTCTTAAAATTGTATAAAAGACCCTGCGACAGGAGAATGATGTGTTATCAAATAGAAGATGCAGGTAATAAGTTCTAGTGCAGTGGAGGTTGTGACAGGTTATTGGGTCATTACATTGACTTAGTGTGCCATGAGCAGAATTTAACAAAATGAAATAGAAGACGATGGAATAGAAAATAATGGAATGGAACCGGTGGAGTATAATACAATGTATTGAAACGCATTGCTATTATTACTATACACAATATATTTAGATGGACTAAAGTGGATATGTAAGTTTTCATTCCATTAAAAATTAAGAAAGAAACAACAAACAGGCTCAACAATGCACCAGATTTGCAGGTAGCATTGCCTTAATGTGTTCCATGTAGGATTAATATGTAATCCAGCTAGCACCACCAGATGCATTAAACATCTTGTAATCTTTGATTTCCTATTATTCATTTGGGGATTTCCCCTAATTTTTATATTTATATATATTTATTATATCAATAAACTCAAAATTTCTATTAATATTATGTTTTAATTTTTATACATTATAAGGAAAAGTATTGCTTTATATAATGTATCAATATCCCTAACAAAATGGTGATATTTCAGGACAGGACAATATTTTAGTCTTATTTGTATGCCTAGTATCCAGCTCAGTGCTTGAAGACTTGTGATAGTTTAATACATGTTTGTTATGGCAATGAAATAAGTGAATTTATTCATTAATAATGTACTCAGACAATTATTTTGTCTAATCTTTTGGTTTCAATGTAAGAGAAAAAAAGCTGGTACTTAAGGGTACTGGCATGCTCTTGTAGAAGCTCTTCCCCTCTGTGATGAAAAATGGGTAAAGTCTGGCTTCCTGGAAACTCATTATTCTCTTACTTTAGACCTCCCGCCCCAGGCTTCAGGCTGGTCCTTTGAGAACATTATTCTGGTCTTCTGCTCAGTTGTGTAGAATCATGCCACCATTTTCCATGTGAATAATAATAATGATGAATAGTAACCAATGAACCTGAAGTTATCTGGCCTTCAACTTGCTCTCCAGTAATCAGGTTTTGTTTAGAAAACCATCTTTATACCTGGTGGGCCCACCACTGTTCATCACCTTCAGGGATGGATCAGTAAGAATGGGGCCTCGTGGTAGAGCCCCCGTGTTATACTGAGTTGCTTTAGCCTGTGGTGTTGGGCATCAGAACTGGCTCTATGATGAAGAGAAGTAGACAGCACCTGCCATAGTGTGATTTCTAGGGTCCCAAGAGAGTCCATCTATCCTAACTCATTATTTATACATATATTATCATTATATAGTTATGTAAGAGAATTTTCTTAATCTTGTTATTTGTTTCTGTTATCATTCTTAGAAGAGTCTCTGCTACATAGTGAAATGTTAGAACTTGGTGGGGCAAAGATTAGAACAGAATTCCTAGGCCTGGTATTCCATGACACTTTCTCATTTACATAGGACTAATAATCCTAAGTAAAATCTTCTCATCATGGCTACTTCCCAAATCTAAGTAATAAATTCAGTGACTTCCTCTAAAAGGTCACCTTTATAATGCATCTGCCACCTGAGAAAGATCTCAACTTTCTTGTCTGGCTTACCAGCTCAGAGGATTTTTATCAAATTAGCCGTTTTTCATTTTGGAGGTAGAGATTGGCAATGGGAGCCTCAGTAGAGAAAAATACTTACACATCCTCAAATACAAGAGATCACATCCTCCATATCCAAATATCTCAGTAATGCCCCTGCCCCTTTAGCCTTATTTTGAACTCAAATATTGGAGTTTTCTTTCTTTTTTTAAAAATACTAAACCCGTTTTTAAATTTGTTTTCACAGAGGGGTCAGTTGCACAAGTTTGTCTAAATATTGTGCACTAAATAATTATAAAGAACTCCTCTGGGACCTTAGGTCAATTTTAGTGGCCTAAATTCTCAGAATATCAAAGAAAATAATTACACTTTGGAGGTGGAAATATAAGTGAACTGATTTGTCTAAAACATTCATCGGATAACATGTGGAAACTATACGTTTTGAGATTAGAAATAAGAATTTGACATTTTAATTGGTATTCCTTGTGTTCGTTGGGTTAAGATTTCTCAAAATATCAATCTGTTTTAGTGACAGAAATTTCAACTAAATCAAAATGACAGGGTTTGCAGCAGAACTATAAATCTGGCAGTACTTATGTTCAGGTTCCTTCCTACAGTGGTAGTAATTTGCTTTTATGTCAGACAGTCTCAAGGATATGGTCATAATGGGATTCTAGTGAGTTGTTGGGAATCTGTAGAGCAAAATGGGACATGAATTAGCTGACATTTTCCCTGCTGAAGTATCGTTCTTGTTTGATCAAATGTTGATAGATTAGCAAGAAGGGGAAAACAGTTGGGCTTTTGGAACTGGATGTGTGTTAGTCTGCCAGACTTATCTCTTTGAAATGTCTTGAAGGAGTGTCGGCTCCTAATATTTAAATTATTTAGGGTAACACTTATCTGAATCTAAGTCCTTGGGATGAGAGAATGTAAAGAGGGAACATCAGGGAAACTGAGAATCAGGACACTTCTGTTTTTGAACGTTAAAATTGTTTTGGGGAGAGATTTTTTTTTTTTGAGTTTTGGAACTTCCTGTAAAGAAAAGTGAGAGGTTTTGTCAGACTCACTAATATTATAAAAGTTCAGACTCAATTGGGACAAAGTAGATCGAGCTGGCTCTTCTTTAAATAATTGCATATAATTTTTACATGTTTTAATTTCTGCATATGTTTTTATACTAATATGTTCAATAAACAAAAAATATTTTTTGGTCTACCATGTACCTGATACAATAAAGGGTCTTGCAATTATATAACTAAACCTATTTTCATTGTACATATCCCCGTGATATGGAGGGAAGTGAATAACTTACCGAATTTCTCAGGGTGTGTGCAGTATCCTATTTTGTTTGTATTTTTGTTATTTGGGCATAATTTATTATTATAGAGTTACATAAAAGAATTTTCTTTATCACCTTATTTGCATTCATTGCCATCCTTAGAAAAGTCTCTGCTACACAGTGAAAAGTTAGAACTTGGTGGGGCAAAGATTAGAACATGGCTCCTTATATTTTTAAATGAAAGCTTTTGTTATAGAGCTACATTCTGTATAATACCATGGAAGAAGTAAACCTCTTAACAGATAATAAATCAGAAAACGTTCAGGCAGAGGACACACATCATTTAAAACTGCTATAACAGAATGGGAGTTCTAGTTAGAGATGGCAGATTGCAAACATACATTTAACTCCTCTCCCCTCTGATATTCACTATGACGAAGGATTTTTAAAAAGACATCATTCTGAAGTGCAAAGAGAGAGAAGACAACCCAACAATGAAATGTTCAGAAGCTAGAAAACAAAAACAAATGCATATTGGTAATGACTTAGCAGACATGGCAAAATTAAATCCTAAGCTTGAAGTATGGAAAGCTATCAAGCAATAGAATATCTATGGGTGGAATAGACCTCCCAAAGTGTCATAATTTGGAAGGACCAGACACCTTTGGAAATGATGATAAAAGTGGGGTTAAAACCAGGAAGTCTGAGAAACGGATCAGTGTGTCTGCCTCATCTCCACATTCCAGGGGATTCTCTCCCTAGTCTTTAATTCTCTGAAAAGAATTAAACAAGTTGGATGATGGACTGTGTAGATATTTGCATTGTGGAAAATGAACTTAAGGAAATCACCAATAAAAATACAAAAGATCTGATAGGATTGAAATTGTAATCAATGTCGGTAATTAATTCACCATAAAGGAAATACCAGGAGAGCTAAAATCAATTAAAGAGATGTCTACCTTATTGATAAATCAGAGAAATCAAAATTATATCAACCCTGAAATACCACTTCAAACTCAGAGTGGGAAAAAAATGTATTGTCAACTATTGAGAGGTAGTAGAGAAATGGAAGTTCTCTTGTTATGCTAGTGGGATGTTAATGAGTGTGTTCAATTTATAAGGAATGTGGCATTTCCTAGACAATGAAGTCCAGTGTTGTCAAATCTATCCTACATGTGTAACCTTAAGAAACTCATGGCCGGGCGCGGTGGCTCACGCCTGTAATCCCAGCACTTTGGGAGGCCGAGGCGGGCGGATCACGAGGTCAGGAGATCGAGACCATCCCGGCTAAAAAATGGTGAAACCCCGTCTCTACTAAAAATACAAAAAAATTAGCCGGGCGTAGTGGCGGGCGCCTGTAGTCCCAGCTACTTGGGAGGCTGAGGCAGGAGAATGGCGTGAACCCGGGAGGCGGAGCTTGCAGTGAGCCGAGATCCCGCCACTGCACTCCAGCCTGGGCGACAGAGCGAGACTCCGTCTCAAAAAAAAAAAAAAAAAAAAAAAAAAAAAAAAAAAAAAAAAAAGAAACTCATACACTGACGCATGGAGATATTCACGAGAGTGTTCATTAAGGATTTGTTTGTTCTAGCAAAGTTGAAATACGTCTTGTCCACCAAATGAAAAGAAGAATGTGCCTGTCCTTGAATATGACACAGTTTTTCCTGAAGTAACTTTAAATAAATCTTGTTAAACATTATAAATATGAAAAGTAGGCAACAAAAGGAGACATATAGCACAATCCCAATTACTAAAGTATGAGTATTCAATACAGAGTGTGGGTCTATAAGAAAACTGGTGATGTTAGAAATGGACCTGCAGGTGCAGGATAAATGAGAAACACTGATAAAATAATGATAGTGACTTATTAAATAAGGATAATCATTAGCACAATTCTCAGTCTCTGGAATCCTTAAGCAAAGGACAACAAAAAGCAAGCCACAAAGGGTAATCAGAAGTAAGGAGAAAAGTCAGCACAGTATCTGACACAAAGTAGTTGCTCAATAACTGCTTCCTGAACAAACGAATAAATAGATAAATTTGTGAATGAGCAAATTTAAAGAGTGAATAATATATGTTTAATGTGCTATAACTTTATTATATGGAATAAGAAGTAGGTACAAATATAAAATGCAACTAAGGAGCATTTTTTTCCTATATAATTTAAATAGATATGCACTACAATGATTGATAATTGCTTTGGACTGGGGATTTAGTTATGATTATTTATGAAACTGAGGGGAAAATGCGGAATTGATTTAGATGATGCTGATTGTGCTGAAAAAGCATGATGTTGGTTGGAATTCCATTAATTACATGCGTTCCTGACCATCCTAGGGCTCTTAGGTCTTATCATAAAAAAAGGAGACTGTGATCAATTTATAAATCTCTCTAAGGCAAACATATTTCAGTGGGAAATACATTTTCCTATCTACAGTGTTTGGTTCAGCATAATTAACATGAATAATTCAGGACAATTTCCTGATAGTTATTATATTTGAGAGCTTAGTTGGATCCTAACTGCCCTCAAAATGTAGTCAGAATGTAAATTTCTCAGGACAGAGTGGGAAGTAGGTAGTTTGATTAAAATGTAATACGTATTTTGAATTAACAATATTCAGGGTCTTAACAAAATGACCTTAACAATATTATTTTATAAAAATACATTTGCATAATTGTTGCAATAGCATCGCCCTCTCTTCCTAACTCTCTCCCCAAGCCACCCAACATATCTAACATATTTAATTTCCCTGTTAATCAATAAGCTTTCATGGAATGGAACATAGTTTATTTTATAGTTCATTTTAAGTTTAATGCCAGCTAAATGAGGGAGTGTGGTTTTAACCTAAAGAAAGTACACAAAAGCTCCGCTTTTATAGAAATGAGAATGTTTGAATCAATTACTTGTACTGGGTCATGTTTGTCATATTTACATTCTACAGCAAGACCTTTACCTTTGTGAACCTCTGATTTGGTACCCTTTCATCGTGTATTAAACCCAGAAAAGGCATTAGGTTTTATGATGCGTTGTAGGAGAATGGACTTTATATGTGATAGTGTCATTTTTATTTTTAAAATTTCATACTCTCTGAGTCAGTTTGAAATATTTTTAGTATAAACAAAACATCTAAATGAGACTTCTTGATGGCAAATGAGAACGAAACTGCAACTAATTTCCTTCCCAAATTCAAAGAGAAGATTTTCTTTCTTTGTCATCGTATATTTTGTGTGACAACAGTTAGCCCTGGCCACAGAGAAATAACCGTTCTGATGTGGTCCTGGAGAGCCCGAGGGGAATCTGGGACTATTTGAGGATATTTGCTTCAGATGGCAACAGTGGGGTGAATAGAAAAGGAGAAGGGCCAGAGACAAGGGTATCAGCTGGTGGTCCATTGAGATCAGCCTGGTAAACAATGAGGTTACCCATTTAGACCAGTGGCTCTTAACCTTTTGGGGCTCATGGGTCTTTGTAATCTGATCAAAGCTGTACCCCTCAAAATACACTTATTCTCATCTCTGCTTTCTTGTTACATGGAACTTTTCCGTTCCATGAACTCTTAGGGAAAAAATGAAAGAAATGAAAGAAAATGTAAGCCCTTGGTATCTTATTTTCAACTGAGTCACTTTAGAACTGCATGGTTCTATAGCTGACTATCTAAAAGACCATCTGAGTTCTAGTCCAGCTCCGTCATTTACAAGTTTTCGGTCACTGGGCAACTTACCGTCTTTAAGCTTCAGTTTCCTCAATTAGGTAATGAAGTTAATAATAGTACCTACCATATAGATGTTATTTATTACTTTATTATCATTATTTATGGTGTTTCATAGATACAGCAAAATTTTTAAAAACCACCTTTAATTCTGAGTCATTTATATTGTTTATAATTATTTGTCAGAGTAAACAATGTGATAAAACCAATTACCTTCATTACTCTTATCAAACTATACAGATATATGTTTGTGCATATATATACATATATATATGTACGTTTGTATATATATGTATGCATTTATGTGTGTGTTTACACACACACGTGCACACACACATATGTATATATATATATACGTCTTCACCTACTTTTTAAATTATTTCCTTTTGATGAGAGCTTTTCCAAAAATGAAATTGATTCATGGAAGTGAATTAAATGTACTATTTAGGATATTTTGTGCCACATTATATTCTAATTTAGATTCTTTTTTATTATTATTATACTTTAAGTTTTAGGGTACATGTGCACAATGTGCAGGTTAGTTACATATGTATACATGTGCCATGCTGGTGTGCTACACCCATTAACTCGTCATTTAGCATTAGGTATATATCTCCTAATGCTATCCCTCCCCCCTCCCCCCACCCCACAACAGTCCCCAGAGTGTGATGTTCCCCTTCCTGCGTCCATGTGTTCTCATTGTTCAATTCCCATCTATGAGTGAGAACATGCGGTGTTTGGTTTTTTGTCCTTGCGATAGTTTACTGAGAATGATGATTTCCAATTTCATCCATGTCCCTACAAAGCACATGAACTCACCATTTTTTATGGCTGCATAGTATTCCATGGTGTATATGTGCCACATTTTCTTAATCCAGTCTATCATTGTTGGACATTTGGGTTGGTACCATCTCACACCAGTTAGAATGGCAATCATTAAAAAGTCAGGAAACAACAGGTGCTGGAGAGGAGGTGGAGAAATAGGAACACTTTTACACTGTTGGTGGGACTGTAAACTAGTTCAACCATTGTGGAAGTCAGTGTGGCGATTCCTCATGGATCTAGAACTAGAAATACCATTTGACCCAGCCATCCCATTACTGGGTATATACCCAAAGGACTATAAATCATGCTGCTATAAAGACACATGCACACGTATGTTTATTGCGGCACTATTCTAATTTAGATTCTTTCTACTGGTATATGAGAGTGTCTTTCCTCCAAACCTTTTCCAAACATTAACTAGTATTATACTTTTAAATCGTGCTAATATTATAGTTAAAAAAATTTTTAACTACATTCGTTTCTCTGATATGTTGGAAACTGGCATATTTTTGTGTGCAAAATTAGCTACTTACATTTTTTCTCTAGAACATTTACTGTTTATATTCTTAGTCTTTTTTTCCCCTTGTGGAGTTCATCTTTTCTTTAATTTGGGAGAAGAATTTGTCTGCTAAAGTTATCATTAATTATTCTCATATATACTGAAATCATGTTTCACAGTTTATACTTTGTCTTTTTATAGTATTTTCTTAAAAAGCATACATGTATTTTAAGGTTTACAGAAATTCTATTTATGTTTCCTTTATGGCATTAACCCATATTTACTACTGGAACATTTTTTGTTTCATTTTTATTAAAAAGTTTATAATCTGCCTGTAGTAAATTATGAGTTGGGATCTAACTGACATGAAGTGTAATTTTTATCATACCATCAAATCTTAAGAGAAACTTTCTATTTTGGAGTTATTTTAGATGCATAGAAAAGTTACAAAAGTAGCATGGAGAGTTCTTATTATATCCCTTATCCAGTTTCTGTTAGTGTTAACATCTAATTCAACCATAGTTCATTTGACAAAATTTAAAAAATTAACATTGTCTAATGTTATTCACTAAATTATAAACTTTGTTCAGTTTCTTTGGTTCCATCTGAATACTTTTCATTCTCTTTTATATGTCTGTCTATTCCTATGTCAACACTGCAATGTTTTCATTGTTGTTAATTCATACATTATTTTAACATCTGTAAAGCAAAGCCAAATTATTAGTCTTAAAAAATTTTGCTTGATTATTTTAGAGAGTATGTTTATTCTTCCCAAGTGAATTTTAAAGTTATGGAGCAAGGTTTAAGAAAATTTAGTATAGATATCTTGTTTTTCCTAATTAAATATTAATTTTGGGAAGATTAATATGTTTGTTTTCCTCAATTCACATATTTTGAGTCTTTGGCACAGCATTCCCTCTGCTCTCTTTCATAGGTGTGAAGGAACTTACCTATTTTGTTTGATGAGCTCCAGTCCCTCTTGTCCTAATGTTTTATGGAGGAAACACTTCCGGTTCCTCTCCCTGTAGTTTGGGCATAGCTGACTTCACCCTATATCTCTTTTTTTGAATATTTTAACTTTTAGTTTAGATGAGGGGTACATGTGCAGGTTTGTTATACAGGTAAACTAGTGACTCAGAGGTTTGGTGTACAGATTATTTTGTCACCCAGCTACTAAGCATAGTTTAACAACTGTAAGCATACAGTTTTGGGGGTTCTTTTTTAAACCTCTCTCTCCTTCCAGCCTCCTCCCTCAGGTAGGCCCTGTGTCTGTGGTTCCCCTCTTTCTGTCCATGTGTTCTGAAATCTCTGTTGCTGCATTCATCTTAGACTAATGGTTTGGGGTTTAGTGAATTTCTCTGATGTGATTTCCGAAGTATTCTGCATTAAGTTGAATACAATCAGGTCCAGGTAACAAACCATGAAAAAGAACAATCTCTCTTGTTTACTTTAGAAGTTTTAAAATAGGTAGTTCCACTGTATAACCAAAGACCCAGAGTCAGACTGTTCATTAAAATCTTTTTGTACTACTGCTTTCAGGCTTTTGTACTTGTGCATGCCACCACGCTGTCCAGGGTGTATGCTGTAGTTCCATGCAATGTGTTCTCACATCAGTATCTCAAGCAGAAAAAAAGGAGGTATTTAGAAAAAACCCCTCATTTTTTTCTCATTGGTCCAAACGGGGTCACATGGTCACTCTTAACTAACTATAATGGAGATTAGGGGAAAAAGTTCCTGGAGAAGGGAATGTATCCCCCATGACTGGTTAGATTAACCCCGGGTCTGGGAGCAATAAGAGTTCTATTAACGAGTAACAATAGAGAGCAACCAATTGGACAAATTATAGCTGCTGGTGTCTCTGAGTAAATATATTTTCTTTAATGTCCACTCTTCTAATGAGAAACTGCCTTAAATAATAGATAGCCCCTATTCTATTTCAGCTTTCACTCCTAACTGATTCTTAACATGTCTCACTTAGGTACACTATTTTAATTTAGGTCCTGGTTTTGCAGGTTCAGCTTGAAATGTCTTTTTCTGACTGGGCATGGTAGTAGTTCACATCTATAATCCCAGCAGTTTGGGAGGCTGAGGTAGGAGGATCACTTGAGGCCAGGAGTTGGAAACCAGCCTGAGCAATATAGCAAGAACCCACCTCTACCAAAAATAAAAGTATAAATATAAAAATTAGCAGAGTATGGTGGGGTATGTCTGTAGTGCTAGCTAGTGGGGAAGGTGAGGCAGGAAGATCTCTGGAGGTCAGGAGTTCCAGGTTATAGTTAGCTAGGATTGTGACACTATCCTCTGGCCTGGGCAATTGAGCAAGACCCTGTCTCTAAAAAATAAACAAATAGAATGTAAATATAAATTAATTAATTAATAAAATAAAATGAATGTTTAAAAAAATAAAAAAAATAAATTTATTCTTCTGATACTAATTTAACCTCTCTGGAACATCCAAATTGTGACTACTTTAATCCCAAATTTCTACATGCCCACTTTTCCATTGCTACAGAGGATTAAAAAGATGATAAGATTTTTCACACTACCAGTTTTCTAGCCACAGTTTTTACAATAATCAAGCCTTTAGAATCAACTGTCAGTTTATATTCTAAGCATTTTTATTGATATTAGGAATGTATACTCAGACTGTATACCTTGCATTTTGAGAGGTATTTCTTACTTCATTATAGAAAGTAAATAGGAGACATCAAGGGAAGAGCTTTGCATCCTTCTCTCTGAGAAATTCCTCATTTATTATTACTACTGATAAAGGTTAATTTTGAGAAAAATCACTTATTAACAGCATCAATTGCATCTTCTAACTGAATGTCAAAATTAAGTAGAATTAATGACCCAAGCACAAACAACATTGGACCATAGAAGCACCCTTCATAGAAGCAGCAGAGCCGATCTATGGAAAAGCAGATTAGAAAATAATCTTCCATAGGCAGCTTACTCCTAAGAGGAAGAGGAAAAAGCCAACCCAGGCATTTCCATTTAACTGTACCAAATAGTCCAGTCAGAGAAATCACCACATTTCTCTGGGATAAAAAGAGTAATGGGATAGAGTAAAGGCACCAAGAACACAGATTGCATTTGTCTACTGAAAAGGGGAATATTCATATGTGGAGAAAAGGCATTGTCCCCCAAATTCTGTTATAAATGTATATATATATATTATACACACACACATAGACACGTATACATATATATGCATATTCCTTACCTTGTTTTTTCAGAAGCCAGTTTCCTCCTTCTTAGTGGTACATTTCTCCAAATTTCTTATTTCAGAAGTAAGAAATATTATATGTCTATATGAATATATATACAATTATAATATATTTATTACACACATTTACACACCAATTGATATGACTGCAAATTTAATGGAGACATTACAGTATTACTAATATAGCCATTGAGAATAACAACTCCAAACCCTTAAGCTCACGTAACTTAAGGCCCAAGAACTTGCCCGACCTCCCCAAATTTGTTTTCCAATTAGTGAAAAACTTGGACCAGGACCTGTGATGCTCCTTCTCAGGGTAGTGCTCTTCTCACAATAGAATTTGTTGCTTCTTATAGTAACCATTAATAACTAATAATAATACTGTCTTTAAAACACATGAGTGAATTACTGTTCCAACACTTTTAGTGCTGCTATTTTTAGGTTGTATTATATATTTATTTGTTTCATCCACATGGTCATATAGTCATACTCCTCTGTTTCCAATTGTCCTACGGCAGAGATCTAGTATGTAGAGGAGGAAAGTTGGTGTTATTTTCCAGGGCTGTGAAACTTAGTGCACGGTTTTAAAAATCAGATTCATGTTTAATATTATATCACTATAGGAGATAAGAAAATAAATCCACCCTTAGATACATCTGCTTACTACAAAAAACATATTGACTAAAGTAATCCCACATTTTTAAGACACATCTAGCATTGAAATAGTGATAATGTCTAATATTGATACAATTTCCTGAGCTAAACTTGATTGAAGCATTTGGGCAAGGACACGTAAGCCCACGGCTCTAATGCAACAATCTTGGAAGTGATTGAGACAACAGGAAATAGCCTCTTTTGGAAATAAGCTGGGAGGAAAAGTGTCAGTGGGAAGCAGGCCCCAGCTTTAGACAGAAACAAGAGAAGAACTCATGGTGAGGGGCCTGAAGCCGGGTCATAGGTCAGGGCTCCCATAATATTTATGCTGCTTGTTCTGAGGATTCTTTGGGAATTTACCCTAGAAACATAATTGAAGTTGGAGCCCAGAAATAGGCAGCCTCTTTTTTGAATAATTACAAAATACATTTCATATTGAGGTTGTGCTGGAGCCACTTCTTACCCCCTTTATCAATAAAATAGGCTTTTTCTAGAGACCCTCATTGCCAGAATGAAGAATTGGTGCCCATTCTTTTCCATTTATCTCCTCCAGCTTCTCCCTTCCCTTATAACATTGCCTTATTCTCCTAGCTAACCCAAAGAACATTGGAATTTTTATATCTTTCTTTCTTAATGTCTTTCTCTGGCCTTCTTAGCTGTTCACGCTTCTCAGTGTTCACTCATCTTCCCAGAGCCAACTTAAACCTTATCGACCCATCACACTTGTGTCAGTTAGGTGTTTGCAGATGCAAATAACTGAAACCCAAACACAAAACAGAGTGTTAGTTCACATAAGCCGATGCTGAGAGATCAGGCAGGTTTTACAATTGGGTGGAACATGAACTGAAGCACATCTTAAAGGACTCAGGTCTTTGGTGTCACTCCACTCTGTTGTCTGCTTCTTATGGTTGTTGTTTAAGAGTGAAGAAGAACTTGGGAGGCTGAGGCAGGAGAATGGCATGAACCCGGGAGGCGAAGGTTGCAGTGAGCCAAGATCATGCCACTGCACTCCAGCCTGGGCGACAGAGCGAGACTCCGTCTCAAAAAAAAAAAAAAAAAAAAAAAGAGTGAGGAAGAACTGTTTCTGAAGATGACATCCAATGTTTTCTTTTAAGTCAATGGCCAGAATCTGTCATGTGCTCGTTTCTGAACTAATGTCTGATAAGAAAGATGGCACTATCCTTAGATTAGAGTTGCCAAATCTTGGTGGTATTCACTTTTGTGGCCAGATAATTCCTTTATGCAGAGCTTTCTCGTACATGGTAGGAGGTTTAGCACCATCCTTGGATGCTATCTACTGAACGCCAAGTCTCCTTCACTATGTGACAACCCAAAATGTCTGTTAGCATTATCAAATGTCCTCCAGGGCAAAATTGTCCCCAGAACTGCAGCTTTAGACCAATAAATTTAATCCCTCAGGGTAAAGGTGAGCTTGTGGTACCCAGCTCCATAAGACAGAGGTGGCTACTCTATTAACAACAACAACAAAAGTTTCTTTGAACAATTAATTAGAGGACAATGGTGATGTGTGGCTAATCAACAATGTAAATTACATGGTTAAATCAACTCCTGTTTTAATATTGCTGATGATCAATCCAAGATAAGCCTGACACTCCTCAATTAAGTTGCTATCCATTCTGACTGGCTATGGAAGGGGAATTTCAATAAGGAGAATGGACTGAATAAAAAGAAGGAGGCCTTGCTTCTGTGAAAATATCTCTTGTCTGTCCTTTGCCATGGCTGCTCAAAGAGACCACAGTCCTACAGCTTCTACTGCCTGGACAGGAGAAGCAGTGCTCAATTAAGTACATTAGCACATCACTGTTAGCATGTGAGATTTGTCAGGAGTTGCAGGATTTTCACAACATTTGCTGTGAGTTGTGGACCCTTGGGGTAAACTGAGCATCTTTTGAACAAATTGTCTCACTTGGTGGCACTTGAATGGACCTGACCTCATATGCATCTATCTGTTGAAATGCCCAATAGCAGAACTTACCATGCTGCCTTCCAAATCTTTGGCTACATCCCTCATTTCAGTGTAAAGAAGTCCTCTGCTCCTCAGGAAGCCATGAATGACACAGAAGATGTCCTCTAAATTCCTTTACCATGAAGATGACAAGCAGAAGATAAATGTTAATTAATTTGGAGTTTACTGGAACATAGCTCTGGATAAACCCAGCTCTCAGCATGTGGAGTATCATTACATGCTGGCATTAATCTCTTTCTTTTGTGAGCCCTTCCTGGGCATTGGCCTGGATATCTGGGGCAAGGATTTCTGTTTTAATGTTAGCAGATGCAGGAATCAAGTTGCCTTCCTCCAGACTTAACACCACTTATATAACACAATGATGAGCCTGTTATTTTAAATGAAGCAACGGTCTCAGATAAAGGAGGCTTTTGACATCACTTAAATTTTTAGCTGACAAGGAATGCAGTTGCAAATATGTGCATTTATCCATCCATTCACACACATTTATTTATCAGGCATTTTGTAAGTTCCTAATGGCACATTGATGTTTAAAGCAAAATCTCAGCCATCAAGGAAATCAGGGCCTAACTGGGTGGAAAAATGTGTAGAAAAATTATTGAAGTAGACTGTAAAAAGTGTCATAAGAGAAATGGACAAAGTGTTGTGAGAGGACAGAGGCAGCACACTTCTAAAAGTAATCTATGGTCCAATTCCTACTAAGAAACAGGCTACATTCAAAGAATTTACTAATAAGAGCTTAGTGGAGTGACTACTTACAGAAGCATGGGTTGGATTTGGGAAACAAACTTGAATAGCAAAGTAGCCAGGTACTAGCAACAGTGGAAGCCCAAGGGCCTGAAGAGCTAAAAGGAGAACAACATTACTAGAACTCACAAACACTGTAGCCATTGGAAAAGAGCTGTCCAGGGCACTTGAGACTGTGGGTAGAAGAACAAGAGAAACATGGCACTGCCAAAACTGTAGTTCTGGGTGAGGTGGTGGTACGCAGAATAAATACCCTAATCTTTCTCACTTCATGCCTTCCAAATTGGGGTTGCTACCTCTCATTGGCTGTTGCCATCTAGAAAACAAGGCAGGGTGATGTGTTCTATAGAAGCAGCCTCTTGGTAAACAAGGAAAGATAAAAAGGGCAAAAATGGAACATATATTTAGTACCTGTGGAGCGGGATGCATAGAAAAGGTGCTATTTGTTGGGTCCCAGTAAATGAAACCAGGTTGGGAAGATCTTTGGGTTCTCATCTCACTTCATTTAGTAGAGATAAGAAGACATTGGCAGACCAAAGAAAATGTGGTTTCTTTCTTTAGCTTTTTCCCTTGTTACATTAGGGTTTCTGCAGAAAGACTCTATGCATGTGTGTAGGCATGCACATGCATGTATGCCTGTGTTTGCAGGTGTGTGTGTGTTCCCTTCTCATTTGCATAAAGAAAAATTTTTCAGAACAGCTTTACTATGACCAGAATAAAATGAAGGTTTTTAATATTATTTTAAAAAGTAAAGTAGAAGCAAGTGCTACAACTACTAAAAAAATTTTAATTTTAAAAAAAGTTACTCACCAGGAGAGAAATTTGGTAGATTAGGACAATAAATAGTTTACTAGCAGGGTTTTCATAGTGGGGCTTTTAAGCAAGTTCATAACCATACAAAAATGCGAAGTATTGCTGCTTTATAGACTTTGAGATCCCTAGAGAACGCATAACAGACTAGGAAGTCTAATATCAAAGCAGATATCAGTTTTCTGTTTCTTACATCACAGCTCATGTTGATCAGAGATGCCCATACATTTCAGGTCCTCATTAAAACTAAGGTGGCTTAGTATGCTCTGTGATATGTAATTTTGTTCCTGCTCCTATTTCATCTGGGCTCCAGACAACTGAGGTTTTTAAAAGATGCTTAGAATAATTGGCCAAATACTTCTGTATTTCCAAAAGTGTTTACAGTTAGGTTGGATTTTTTCCCTTCAAGCTTAGTTGAAAAAATGACAAAGGATGAGCTGTTTGTGTATCATTAATCTGTATCCTCGTTAACTAAAGTAAGATCTTTAGTCAAAAGGAAGAGATTAGGCTAATGATGGTTTCTGGCTGTTTGATTGTTTATCACTCCTTTCGTCATTTTTCACCCTCAACATCCGGTTGATTGAGCCAATTGTGAATACAGGCAATCAATAAAACTCCAGGTGCCATGATTTGGCACTTCTCTTGCATATATTATGTGAGATGGGGGAAATGAGACTGTAGCATAGTTCATCAATAAAGAGTTTAGGAAAATTTAGAAACACACACACACACCGCAAAACATTGGAAAATGTTCAAGCCAAACATAATGCAGTTGTGTTTTGTGGGTGTATATTTGTGTAGGATTATGAATTAGACAGTATTCTGGCAGAACAAACATGCAATGTGTATCCGGAGGAAGTATATATTAGTCTTACACAGACTATATATCCTAACTTATATTCTATTGGCATCCATTTCACCTGTAGACTATGTGTACATGGGTGCTTTGAGCAAATGACAAGTTTTGAATAGTTTTAACAGATCTTATTCTTTTTTATATACAACAAGAAAGGAAAAAAGTGACAAAATCACTTCTCTTTTCAAAAATATTAGTAAGCATTTGATAAGCATGTTATTCAATAGTCAGTATGCAATACAAATTAAATTTCCAACATAGTTCCTCTCCACATGAAAATATAATGATTTTAGAGAAAATCAGAACCGCTAGGCATATGCAAATCTCAATTAGAAAATATTTTAAATTATTAAATAATTTGAAAAATGAATTTAACTTTGAGTATAACATATATTGTAAAGTTAGTTGTAAATGAGTGCTAATTGACAAAAGTTAAGCAAATGGAAAGAAAATCAGCAAGCTTACATAGTGTATAATAAACATACAAAACTTTTTAGCTTATAAAGGATTAAATGTTGAAGTTCACCAATTAAAATAAGTTATCAAGCCTATTAGGGAGTGCATACAGGTTTTGTAACCTGTATGTTTTAAATAATTACCAATTTTCAACCACAGCTTCTTCATTTATGAATAAACCCTTTAGATTTGGAAAAGAAAACATTATTTTGGTCTCAAGTCACTTAAAAGCATACAGACTGTAAATGAGCTATGACACAGGCTGGAGTATAGAATTTGGAGTCAGGGAGGTTGAAGGTTGGGGGTGTTTGCTAAATCTGGCCACTCCACATTCCCATCAGAACTACCATGCTCTTTATCCTTCCTCATTCTTCAGAGAAAAAGAGAGTTTAGTGTGAGAAATGGTGTCACTGGTATGAATTATTTTTATTTTTAAAAATGAAAATTTTAAAAATTGTTATATATTAGTTGTACAAATTTTGGGCATACATGTCATCTTTTGATACATATATACATGGTGTAACAACCAAATCAGGGTAATTGGTATGAATTATTTGCACCTGGACCTGTTAAACTGAGGAGACCACTGGAGACCTGTTCCTGAGTAGTGATGCTGTCACTGTGGCTGTGGAGATGACAAAGATAATAAAGAGACGCTGAGTGAGCAGGTGTTATTACACTGTCCTGGCTTGAAATCAGGAAGGAAAACAACCTAACAGTTGAAGTCAGGATTTCACTGACTTCAACCTAACAGCTTGAAGTCAGGATTTCACTGACTTGAAATCAGGAAGGAAAACAACCTAACAGTAATGTCCACCGCAGCCGGGTGTGATCTTGCTGATCGTGCCCAAGAATTATCAGCCAGAGCCTCTCCTTTGCTGCAGGAATTGTAACAGTAACACTGAGCAGCCCCTTCCCAGACAGCTTTGCTTTGAGGGTTCAGTGGGCTACCGTCAATAGTTAGGCTACTTGCTTCTTACGGGTCTCCTAACGTAGATTTGTAAAGATTGTATAAAAATGTCTTATGTGCCTTCCCTTCCTTCCCTCCCTCCTTCCCTTCTTTGCTTACTTTCTTATCTTCCTCCTTCCCTACTTTTCTCTCCTTTTTTTCTCTTCTTTTCTTCCCTCTTTCTTCCTTTTTCTTTCCTCCCTTCCTTTATTCTTCCTACATTTAAATGATTGAGGGCCGGGCATGGTGGCTCACGCTTGTAATTCCAGCACTTTGGGAGGCTAAGACGGGGGTGGATCATGAGGTCAGGAGTTAGAGACCAGCCTGTCCAACATGGTGAAACCCTGTCTCTACTAAAGATACAAAAAATTAGCCAGGCGTGGTAGCAAGCGCCTGTAATCCTAGCTACTTGGGAGGCTGAGGCAGGAGAATCTCTTGAACCCCGGAGATGGAGGTTGCAGTGAGCCGAGATCGCACCACTACACTCCAGCCTGGGTGACAAGGCAAGACTCCATCTCAAAAAATAAATAAATAAATGATTGAATTACTACTATGAATTAGATACTGTTGAAGCACTAGGAATACGAAAGTGAATAAAGTAAACAACCCCGCAGCCCAATTACAACTAGTAAGGGAAGATAAACCACTTAACAAACAAAATAATAATAATAGTATTAGGTAGCGACAGGTACTATGAAGAAAAATAAAGCAGGTGAGAAAACAGAATGTGTTATTTTAGATAAGGCAGTCGTATTAGTTTTCTAGAGCTGCTGTAAAAAATAACCATAAACTTGGTGGCTTAAACCAACCAACACACAAATTTATTCTTTCATCGTTCTAGAGGTCAGAAATCCTAAATCAAAGCATCAGAGGGCTATGCTCCCTTTAAATGTTCCAGAGGAAAATTTTTCCTTGGCTCTTCTGGCTTCTGGTGGTTCCATGTGTCCCTTGGCTGGTGGTTGCCTATCACCAATCTCTGTCTCTATGATCAGAGAGCTTTACTTCCTTCTGTTTTATCCTTTTTCTCCTCTTCTGTCCCATATAAGGACACTTGGTCAATGGATTTAGGGCTGAGTGGTAATCCTGGATGATCTCATCTTAAAATACTTAATTACATCTGCAAAGATTCTTTTTGTAAATAAGGTCACATTCACAGTTTCTAGGGATTAGGATGCAGGTGTATCTGTTGGGGAGCCAGCACATCACAGTAGTCAAGAAAGGCCTGTTGGTCAAGAAAGGGCTTTTGGTTAAGATAACCTTTGAACTGAAATCAGGATAAAGTGAGAAAATGAGCCAATATGAAAATATTATGTAACAGGAAATATATAAATCACAATGTTTATCCAAAAAGTACTGATATCTTGAAAAAAAAATCTGAGGTGCGCTCTACAAAGAGTTCTGCACCAACGTTTTCACTCTCACTTTGTAAACATAAAATGCTAGTTTTCAACATTCATTGATGATTATTTTTTATGCTAGTTCTTAGAATTTGTCTTGGATTGTCACCAGTGTATTAAGTTCAATAATAAATCAAAGACATGTCTGAGGACATAGAGGATCTAGCTCTAGGGGTTAGGGATAAATGAAAGTGCTAGAAGCTTCTTGAGTTATGATGGTAGATTCTCATTGTGGTGTTTACAGTTGCATGCACAATTACACACTAGGATTTCCCCATACCCTCCCCAATTCCATCATTAACACTCTGTGCATATTTTTAACATTTTTATTCTTCATAAAATGCATATATTTATGGAAAGTTCTTAAGTGATATCAATGTAATGTGGAAGTGTCAACATGAAAAATAACATGAGGAAGGGATGGAGATGCTCATGGGGGTCCAGGGATGAGAATGAAAAAAGGGGAGGTGTTCCCTCCCTCCCTTTCTCCCTTCCCTCGTCTCCCTCCCTTCCTCCCTCCCTCCCTCCTTACTTCTTTCCTTCCTTCCTTCTCAATTTTTTGCCAGGCTGCAGTGCAGTGTCACAATCATAGCTCGCTGCAACCCAGATCTCCTCGGCTCAAATGATCCTTTCACATCAGCCTCCCAAGTAGCTGGGACTACAGGTGTATGCCACCACAATCAGCTAACGTTTTTAAATGTTTTGTAGAGATAGGCTCTCACTATGTTCCCTAGGGCTGGTCTCAAACTTGGCCTCAAGTGATTCTGATATTTATTTTCTAAGGAAAACAAACAAACAGACAAAAATCTCAATCAGAATGCAGCTGAGAACTGACCACAATAACCACAGTGAATTTTAAATACTAGGTGAAATTATATTGCTAAGTACAGAAAAAAAAAACCAGACATTTTTCTATAGGAAGGGTTTCTTTTATTTTTTCTTTTTCTTTCTTTCTTTTTTTAGAGACAGAGTCTCACTCTGTCCGCCACGTTGGAGTGCAGTGGCACGATCTCAGCTCACTGCAACCTCCATCTCCTGTCTCAGCCTCTGGAGCAGCTGGGATTACAGGCACGCACCTCCATGCCCGGCTACTTTTTGTATTTTTGGTAGAGACAGGGTTTCGACATGTTGGCCGGGCTGGTCTTGAATTCCTGACCTCAGGTGATCCGCCCACCTTGGCCTCCCGAAGTGCTGGGATTATAGCCATGAGCCACTGCGCCCCGCCAGGAAGGGTTTCTTATTTCCACTTTCTAACAATAATTCTTTATGTTGAAACCAGAAGAATGTCACTACACAGCAGAAATCAGCATGAAGCAGATCTGGTTTTTGTGCTTCAAGATTTTTTACTCACTGAAATAACATTTCACCTGTGACCCAGTTGTAAGACATAGATGTGAGGAGATTGGGTAATTTTGTCCTTCCCTCTTCACAGATTCTGCAAGTCAGTATCTCATGCAAAGTAGTGCACCACATGACCCGCAGCAATAACCAGCATTCCCAAAGTGAATAGGAGTTCAGGTTTTCTCTCCTAATTATATTATTATACTTACCAGAAAACACAAAGGGCTAAAGCTAGAAGGTACCTTCTACAATGTGTAATGAAGAAAAACTCATTTTGTATTCAGAAATCAGAAAATCTGATTCCTAAATACGGTTCTGAAATTCAGTTTCCTCATCTGAAATGTGGTTAAAACATTGCCTTCACAAGATGTATATAAATGTTTTTTTCTTTTAATATCATCAGGATTAAGAATACCTTAAGAACAACTACCTCAATGCATTTTAGCTGAGAGCTCACAGTTGTTGAAAGGAGTCCTCATAGCTCTTTCCTTTTTCTTTTATGTCATCTTTCTTTCCCAGTGACTCCTGGATGACACATTCATTTTTGTGTCTGATTATTTTGATCTTTTCCAACAATGTTAATATCCTTAATGTTGATTAGACTCTGCAGTTGCCAAGAAAGGTACAAGCATTTGTCAATTATATATGTTAAAAACATCTTTTTCTTCTCTGTGACTTGTCCTTTCACTCTCCTAATGATGTTTTTGATGGATAAAAATTTTAATTTTAATATAATCTATTAATCTTTCTATTTATGGTTAGTGTTTTTTGTATTCTATTTAAAAATTGCTACTGCCTCCAGTCATGAAGACAGTCTCCAAAGTTATCTTCCAGAATCTTTATTGTTTCACCATGTCTTTATTTCTTTTTAAAATTTGTATTTAGGCCAGGCGCAGTGGCTAATGTCTATAATCCCAGCACTTTGGGAGGCCGAGGTGGGCAGATCACCTGAGGTCAGGAGTTCGAGACCAGCCTGGCCAATATGGTGAAACCCCATCTCTAATAAAAATACAAAAATTAGTGGCCGGGCACGGTGGCTCCCAGCACTTTGGGAGGCTGAGGTGGGCAGTAATTCCAGCACTTTGGGAGGCCGAGGTGGGAGGAACATGAGGTCAGCAGTTCAAGACCAGCCTGGCCAACATAGTGAAGCTCCGTCTCTACTAAAAAATATAAAAAATCAACCAGGTGTGGTGGCAGGTGCCTGTAATCCCAGCTACTCGGGAGGCCAAGGCAGGAGAATCACTTGAACCTGGGAGGCGGAGGTTGCAGTGAGCCGAGATCGCACCATTTCACTCCAGTCTGGGCAACAAGAGCAAAACTCCATCTCAAAAAAAAAAGTATGTAAATATTATTCTTTTTAAACTAACTTTTGTCTTAATTGTATTACTCTGTGATAAGAGAATGAATAACAGTTTTCCATAGAAAGGAATTTACTGGTATTTGCTTTGTGGAAATTGAAAGATATCCAAGTATAATCATGTTACTTAAGTCCTCTTGTTTTACTGAAGAAATTGCAAGAAAGATGTGTCAAAATTTTGTTCTGATATGCTAGAGAAATGTGTAATTTCTGCTGTTCAGAATCTATTGAGGCTTTCTTTTTGGCCTTACTTTGATCAGCTTTTTAAAAATCTTACATGATCACTGGTGGTGGGAAAGCATATTTTCTTTTGGTAAACTTTGAATCAAACCTATTTACTTGACATATTAGTAATTACGTTATCCATATATTTGGTACCCTCATTTTTATTTCCCTTCATTCATCCAACAAGTATTTATCGAGTAACTAGTAAGCACCAGAACTCTTCTAGTGACTAGATGTTAAATAATGAGAATCGCATATAGTTTCTACCTACAATTTAACGAGGAGAATTTGAAAGCAATGAACCCTACAAAGGTAAGTACAGGGTAATAAGGAGAGAATATAAAAGAGGAATGGGACCTGTCCTTTTTGGGCATGAAAGATTTCTTCACTTTGAAAGGGACAGCTTGTTTATATTTGAAAGATGATTGGGGTTAACTAAACAGGTTCAGCTGTCAGGTGGGGAGGTCAGCAGGCTAAGAAATAGTTTTAAGCAGAGAGCAGCATGATCAAAGGTTGTATTGTGGAAAGGAGCAAGATGCTTATGAGGATCTAAAAGAAGGCAAGGGCAGCTCCAATGTCAACAGCAAGGAGGAAGTGGGGCGAGGTGACCCTGGAGGAGCTGGCATGAGGCAGATCATGCAGAACTTGTAGACCATGTTAAAAATGTGAACTTGCCTCAGAAAAACTGATGTATCTAATAAAATGCTTCACACAAAAGCCTCAAACTAGCTTAAGCAATACAAAATTGATTTGTTGGATGTCATCTATGTTCCAGAATTGTGGGACAAAGGCTCTTGCTTGACTCATTTGAAAAGTTCTCCCTCTGGTCTTCCTCTTTCCCTGCGCTCACAGCTCCCTTTTAGCCCTGACAGTTCTATCATTAGGCTGTCTCCAATCACGGGGACAAACTATTTGCTGATGGCACCCAGGCAGTATGGTTTCACAATCACTTCTCAAGGAAAGAAGAAAACATTTATCCTCAACCCTTTCACTAAAGTCCTCACTTTCTTCTTGTATTTCTATTATTTTCTCCTTTATTAGTTTTTACTTTGTATATTCTGAAATTTTCAAATGATAGATAAAAGTTATAGAGAAAGTATCATCTCCATAATGATGGCTTTTTCTTGGAATTTCATTACAATCACCCATGTTTTCCAAGTATCCCTAACAATGTCTCTTTATATGTCTATCTATTTTTATTTTATATATTTTGGTAATCAAAAGATTCATTATGGTTGGTACCTGTTGTTAACAAACTATATGGCTTTGTTCTCTCTATATAAAGACAATGAACTCTACTGTTGTATAATATAGTCTATTTTTCTTAAATTTTTCAAAAAAATAAAGAATTTATATTTTAAAATCAAATTCAAGCAAAAGATTATAAACTTTATTAATTTCTTCATATTTGCTTTAAGGAATGTTATATATCTTGTTTACTTTCATCTAAAGCTTGTACCTATTTTTAATTTAAATGCTAATTTCCCAAGACTTGGCCTTTTATAACATGAATTTCCTTTTGTGTTTTGTTTATTTTCATTGATCTTTCAGTTAGCTGGAATATTTCTAAGGCGTTTTGTTTTTCAGAAATAATAGGCTAGTTACTTGTATTTTGAGGTTTGAATATCTGAAAATTTTCTTCACCTGTCTTCATATGTAAATGATAACTGAGCCAGCTATGGAATTCTTGGCTTATATTTGTTTTTCAAAATTCCACTCATGTTCCATTACTATTTATTCTCTCATGTTTCGAAAGATAGATATTCTAATTTTTGTTCCTAACCTCACATCCCCCACATCTCTTTGGGTTACAATGAGTAAAGTTGGGATGAAGATCAGGTCACATGATTGAAATTTCTTCAATTTACTTTGTTCAAAGTCGCATTCCTTCTCAAGAAGATTAATTACATTCTAGCCATGACAGAGTTCTATAACAATTCCTCTCAGCAATAAAAAAAAATTCTGAAAGCTGCTGCCATTTGAAAGACTTTCTCATTTGGCTTGCATCATAAATGAATTTTTTCTTCTATCTTCATATTTCTTAGCGGAAACTGGAACTGAGGTGACAGTGATATTTGTACAATCAAGCCTTTTCTTTCCTAGGAAGTTTCAATAATATTTGAACCTTAAATGCAGCAATAAATACTTAGACTTCTTTCTTAGAGAAACATTTAAAAAGCAGACAACAATCTGCAAGGATCTTCTAGAAATAAATTAGAAAAAGACCAAGCTCCTTACAAAAAGAATATTCAAATAACAAATACATAAAAATGTACTTGGTCTCCAGAGAAATGCAAATTAACACCACAGTGAAATACTCTCTATACATACCCTCCAAAATAGTTAAAAATAAAATTAATAATGTCAAGTTTTAGTGAGGACATGGAGCAACTGAATCTCTCATCTAATTGTGAAAATGAATCATCAGTATCTACTACAATTCAACATCCACATGACCTTTGCCCCAGCAATTTTTACTGCTATGTAAATAACCAGTAGTATGACAGCAAATGTGCAAAAAGACATGTATAAAAATATTTGCAGTTGCACTATTTGTAATAGCTCTAAATTGAAAACACCTGAGATGTCCAACAGGTTATATAAATTGTGGCATATTCATAAAATTAAAACCATATAGTGTTTTTCAAAGAAATAGAATAATGTTTACTGTGATGATGTCAGTGAATCCCATGAATATAGAACTGAGCAAAAGATGCCACATGCACACATAAACACACACACAAACACATTACGAATCATATAATTTAACTTATAGAAGCACAAGTGTGTTGATTCTAACTCATTGGAAGATACACATATGATTTTTGCAATTCTTAATATTTTAAATTAAAAGTTAATAAGAAATCTATATGCCTATGCACACAAACACACACACACACACACACACACACACACACACACACACACACACTACCCCCATACAAAGAGAACTCTTTTGAATTCATATTAGAAATTACAAACTACTCAGAAATTGGAAAGAATAAAAATACTAAATACCAAAACCCAAATATGTTTGTGCAAAGACCCATCAATTTTTTTCTCGGTTGTTCAGTCAACCTCTATCTCTATTTTTACAACTACATTATATTTGTATCTGCAAAGAGAAATATTTAGAACAATATTTAGTTAATGTTGAAAATAATTTTCTCCTTTCTTCTAAGTAGAGAAAATATTGATAATTTTTTGTGTTTCACTTGTATTTTTAAAATTATTTTAATATGAATTTAATAAATATTCCTTATATTTCTTTCTAAATATAAACCATTATTTAATTTAGATCTCTTATTTAAAGTATTTATTTTATAAAGTCTTATTTAATTTAAATTCTCTATTAATTCAAGTAAAAATTTCCTACTAGGTTTTATCAGATATATTCCTAAAATCAAAACCCAGCAAGCACAGGACACAGGACATACCATATGACACATATGATTCTGAATACCGAGCAAATATTTGTATTAAATATGTAGTATCCAAATCTGAAAAAAAAAAATATAAAGGATACATTAAAAAAGTGAAATTTATATTGGAAATATAGTATAACAGAGACAACATTAAGAAATGAATTAAAATAGTTATTTTTTAATTTTATTATATGTATAATTCATATTTTTAAAAAACTATTAATTTTCTTATTTTCTGCAAATATGGCTGATTTTAATAATCTCTCTTGCTCTTACTCTTTCTCCTTCTCTCCCCACCTTTTATCTCATTTTCCTAAGGTGTTTTCCCACGTGGTATTATTGTGGTATTCAACTCAATTCTGTATCTTTGTCATCTCTCTTTTCACCCCTTACTATTGTTTTTGATATCATCTTAAATTTCTTTTAAAAACTTAAATTCAAGTTTCTGTTAATTTATTCCAGAAAATGAAGCACTTTCAGGGATATATATATTCTTTCCTTTGGCTTTCGATATATTCCAAATGCATTGTTTATCATCTTTTTGCTGCTTTCTTTTTTCCATCCTTTCTTTGTTTTTTAAATTTTCTTTTTTTGTGTTAATTTTCTCATCTTATATTTGTGTGTTTATCTCTTTTCCCATAAGAGACATGCTAAAAGTCTCTGTTTTGTTGGTCTGATCAAAGAACTAGATCTTGGACCTACTCATCTTTTCATTTCCTACTCCCTACTCCCAACTGTGGTAACCTCTGTCTTCCTTTTTGGTCTTCTGCAACTTTCAAAGTTGCAAAACTTCTCTATTATCTTCATACTGCCTATCTTTCCCTTCTCCTTTTTATTTTCAAGAAAAATTTTCTTGTTCTCCCCCTGCAACTATTATATAGAAGCTATAAGATGGGGACTCTCTCTTCTTCCTTTGGGAAATGAATATACCTGCATTTCTATTACAATGGAAAATGTGAGCTTTCTAAAGTGCTCCTCCACTTACAATCTTTCTCACTACTGTACCTCCCTACCACCTCAAGTATTGCACTTATGTATTCTTGCTCTTACCTGTATTGTAAATCACATTCTCTCTCTCTCTCCTAAATCTTTTGCATCATCCTTGAAGCATGTTCTTTTGCTTTTTACCATTACTTTTTTTGCTGAGACCTGTCACCCAGGCTGGAGTGCAGTGGCACAATCATAGCTCACTGCAGCCTCTAAATTCTGGGCTCAAGCAATCCTCCTGCCTCAGCCTCCTGAGTAGCTGGGAATATAAGCACATGCCACCATACCCAGCTGATTTATTTAGTTATTTATTTATAGAGGCATAATTTGCTGTCTTGCTCAGGCTGATCTGAAATTCCTGTTCTCAAGCAATCCTCCAGCCTCGGCCCCCCAGTGCACTGAGATTAGAGGTGTGAGCCACCATGCCTGGCTAGTTCTTTGCTTTTAAAAGACAACAAAAGAATTCATTGCATCACATATCTTGTTTTCTTTTATATTTGCATTCAACCCTTATATCCTCTACTAGTTTCAGTCTTACCTACTTTTTCTTAGAAGTCAGATTTCTCAAAAGAAATGTCTTCTTGCACAAGAAACTTGTGTTTCCCTAGTTTCTTCTCATTATCAAACTACAATAATATGGATTCTGCCTTCACTGATTTTCTTCAAACTGCCATTCTCAGTTGCTAGCGACTTACATACTATAAATTCAACAGCAAAATTATAAATGATAGTGCAATCCTTCTTCTTGTTTTCTTTCTTTGACTTCTGTGATATCGTGCCTCTCATTTTCTTCTTATCTCTTTTGTTCACCTTCTAGGTTTTCATTTTTTTGCACCCTTCATGTAGTTCTTAAATATTAGAGTTCATCACTGTTTTATCTTAGATTTTCATCTCTTCTTACTTTGTATGTTTTTCCTGGGTAATTGCATTAATCCTCATGTTTGTAATTATTATAGCCATGCTTACAACTCTAAAATGTATATTAAGCATTTTCATCTCTTCTTAAGTTGAGAAACTTAGAAACCGCATATCTACTGAACCCTAGTTTTATGTCACTATATATCTCAAATACTACATAACTGATGTTAGTTTAATGATTTTCTCAAAACTATATTTTTCTTCAGTAATTTTAGTCACTAAATAGATTTTTTTAAATCATCCATTTAGTTTTTTATAGCCCATGTAGTACTAGTTGTCTTTTGTCTATCCAATCAATAAGAAACTCCTCTTGAATGCACCTTCTAAATAACTCCAGGGTTTCTTTTCTACATATAAGCAATCAAAACCCCACTAAAAATCCACATAAACTTTACCTGAAATGTTGTAAAACTGCCTAATTTGTTTTCTTTCATATGTAATGCCTCTGTAAATTCATTCTTCTTACTGCAGCTACAGAAATGATCCAAAAATGTAAACCATACATTCCATACTTGGACTTTCCTTTTGCCTTTAGGTAAAGATGACAGCCCTTAACATGCCCATAAGGCCTTGGCTGACCTAGCTACCATTGACTTGTATCCTGAATCTCATGTTACTTTCTCCTTGGTTGATTTTTTCATTCACGTTTCCTTCCATTTATTAAAACAAGCTTCTCCCTTTCTTGAAATCTTCACATAGACCCTTCTTGTTGATTACAATGCTCTTATACTATCCAACCTTACCACATACCAAAATTAAACCCCATCGCCACTTCCATATACCAAAATTAAACCCCTTTGTCACTCCCATTCATCAAGTGAAGTAAATGCATTTTTCAAATCTTAAGCCTCCAACATTCAGGAAACATTCTTCTGATCATCCTGACTAGATGAAGCCTTCTCATTATAATTATCCAAAGTACACCCTATGGCCTTCGTAAGTTACTATAATTCTAGTTAAAAATGTAATTGCTTAGGGTTGGCTTTGCAATTTAGATTATGAGCTATATAAGAGCATGAAAGATGTCTTCCTTTTGGCTATAGTGTCAGTACAAAGAATAGCATCTGGAAGACAAGAGACACACAATATAAATTTGTAGAATAAAAAAATTAAAACCCATTGGTTTGGAAGATAGCCATCATTTTCTCGCTATTAGGAACCAAGGATATCATCAGTATCTTGCCATCTTCTAGAAGCTACCCTTTACTCTTACCCCAGTCAAAGGCTTAATTTTTCCATTACTGTAAAGTCCAATTATTAAGATATAATTTTAGTGCTATTTGTTATAGTATTGTAATGTTACTTCAACACAGCAATAAATTCTGGTATAATAGAGAATTCTGGGTTAATTTGTATTTTGGGTAGACTTCAGGCAGTAGAAAAAGTCAATTTCCAATAGCAAAAAAAGTCTATTATGGACTTAGAAAGCTAGAAATATATGCCACTTCAATGGCTAAATAGTTATTTAGCTTTAAGCGAATGAAAATACATGACCCAGTGGCTTAATTACTTAAAACACTTAAAGCAATTTCATTACTTCTCTTAATTTATTTATAATTAAGTGATTTGAAATTCAGTTTTATTAAAACACAGACACACACATACACACACCTAGGATTCTTCCTGTATTCAACACGAGGCTTTCCAAGACATTTTATCTAGGGAAGAACCAATATTAATAGATATATACAATTTACGTATTAAGCCAAAGTGACTTCTACTGTCTCTCAATTTATTCATTTTTAGTTAAAAGCCATTTTTATTTTTAATTTGATCAAATTGTTAACATCGGTTTCACCTTCTCCAAACAGATTAGTTTGGCATAAATAGTATGTCTTCTAAATTGATGTTGCTTCAATTAATGATAGAGACTATTAACAAGCTGAGTCTCAAGAAATGCCATTAGATAATGAATTGGTCCTTGGTTTTAAAAATGGCCTTGGGAAGGCCTATCTTAGTGAAGTCAGTGATGTCATCTTAAAATGAGAATTGAAGAGAGATGACCATTTTTTAACAAGAATAAGTAAAAAAAACAGCAAAATAGTTTACCTGTAGAAGTATTAGTAATATAAAGAACAACAAAAGCCCCAAAGAGTATAACAACAAACTTCAACAGGTAAATTAGGTGAAGTAATCAATGAATTTCCCAGCATCATATCATGAATCACTGGTTGAGCTGACTTCAAGACACCCTAGACTCTACTACTCGTTCTATTAGAAGGCAAAGTAGTTTTTCTTCTTAAATTTGGGAACAGTTTGCTTTTTCCTCTGACTTTTGTGTCACTAATAAAGGTAAAAGTAATTAAAATAACAATTTGTCCAATTTGTATGGTACACATGTATAAATTCTTATGGGTGTGAGCATATTACAACACAAATTGTATTTCTATCTGGAAATAAGGTCATTTTTTACATAGGCCCAAATTAATTTATAAAAGATACACTTTTGTTCAACATTTGCCTAAGTACACTACAAATACTAAGTTATTCAATCCTCACAATAACCGTGTGGTGAAAGTACCATTATCTTCGTTTTTTAAAGATAAACATCAAGTTTCAGTGATTTGTCAAAGTACAAGCTGCTGATTAGTAGTATATATGAAAATGTCTTTTTCAATGAACATGTTTGTGTGACTAAGTTATGTCAGATAACATACATAAGTTCACACACTGCATCTTTTTATTCTCATAGTACACCTATGAGGGAGATATTTAATCATGCCTTTTATAAAGAAGAAGCTGAGTTACAGAAATATTTAAGCAGCTTGCCCAGTAATGACTAGAGGGACTTGAAGCCAGTGCCTCAGCTCCAAACATGAATTCCTATTACTCTGCAATGTTGGTTGCCTCTATATTTTAACTACTATATTTTAATATACTCTATATTTTAAGTATAGTTAATAGTCTGTATCATTAAGTACTCTATATTTTAAGTACCTTCTATATTAAAGTGATAAAACATTACTTTTCACATTTTTGTTTTGCTGAGGTCATATTCTGTGTTATTTCATTGTCTACACAATTATCCTCTGCCCAACAAATCCTAAAAGAAAGCAAAGCTTTTAGGTCTCTTTGTTGGGAAGAATCATTGCTACATAAGCTAAAAGTTAGAAAAGGAAATAAAATCCCAAACTGTGATTTGTGTGCTTTATTTTTCAATATGCCACACATGTTGCCCTTGGAAATCTCTTCTATAGCAAAGAGTCAAAATGTTCTCTTTTAGTGTTTTGTTGGATTGTTCTTTAGATTTCAGATAGTTTTTGCAAGTACAATTTAGAATAAAGGATCATAATACATAGAAGTAAAGTTGTCGATGTGTGCAAACTACCAACCCTGTGCTATCAATGAGTTAGCACTGAATTTAATAACTTAAAAAGTGGTTCTACCTGGTACAGATGAGCAGAATCCAACTTTATAATTCATTGTATTGTCCCATGTGTGCCTTACATTCATTGGAATTAAATGGAACAGTTGAAGGCACTGTGGTAGAATCATAGGGTAGAAACGAAATTTGACTGAGAATTTCAAGTCTGGCTCCACTTTTAACATGATCTTGTAAAATTACAGTCTGACTTTCTTCAAATGGTAAAATACAGGAATTGAACTAGATTATAACGGCAATTCTTGCTTAGAAGATTATTTTTCAATAGCGAGTATATTTTCAGTGATGAGTGATAAGATGGCTACGTTGAATCCCTCCATTTTTAATGAGAGTGGACAAGTAATTTAACACATCTATGCCTCAGTGTTCTGGTATGGATCACGACAAGTAGTAAATCCAACCGACTTCATGCTTCTAGATCAGTGCTGTCCATTGGAAATATAATGTAAAGCCATATGTGTGATTTCAAATCTTTATTAGTTATGTTAAAAAGTTAAAAAAAGATGAATTTAAGTTTAATAGGATATTTAATGATATCATTTTAGCATGTAATTAATATAGAAATATTGATGACATATTTTATATTTTTAAGACACTAGGTCTCTGGAATCTGTTACCTTTAGACTAGCCACATTTTGGAAGCCTCCTTAGCTACTTGTGGCTGGTAGCTACCATTTTGGACAATGCAGATCAAGTGTTCATTCCCTAATCTGTCAAAGGGTATAACCCAGATAATGCTGCAGTGAGTATTATAATTGTTTCTATGATCTGCCTTGTTTTATTTAAACTATATACTACTGTGGCATTAAAAGTAGCCTTCTTTTAAAAACACAAAGGTAGGATAAATATTATAAATACACCTCAAAGTTTTTCATTTTAAATTATACATGTGTATAATGCCACCACCTGACAATGAGGAGAGAGTGAATTAGAGAGAATAGAGTTTGGGCTTTAAAATCTGAAAGGCTTGATTCAAGGCCAACCCAGTTCACAGAGGAAGTTTGCATGTGTGTGTACACATGTGTTTGTGCACACCCATGCATATGTGCCTTTCATACACTATTCCCTCTGTGCATTTTATTTCTTTCATCTATAAAATGAGGATAACAGCATTCCACATGCAAGGATGTTATAATGATTACCTGGCATATAAAATATTATCCACAAATATCTCTTTCCCTCACTGCACTCCTCCATCCTTTGCTTTTGATTCAATCGTTGCAACCCTTCAGGATCTTACAGCGATCTATGGAAAGAGTGAGGTTAGTTTAAAAGTATTATATAGGCTGGACGGGGTGGCTCACGCCTGTAATCCCAGTACTTTGGGAGGCTGAGGTGGGAGGATCACCTGGGTCGGGAGTTCGAGACAAGCCTGACCAACACAGAGAAACACCATCTCTACTAAAAATACAAAATTAGCCCGGCATGGTGGCGCATGCCTGTAATCCCAGCTACTCGGGAGGCTGAGGCAGGAGAATCGTTTGAATCCAGGAGGCGGAGGTTGTGGTGAGCTGAGATCACACCATTGCACTCCAGCCTGGGCAACAAGAGCAAAACTCGGTCTCAAAGAAATAAAAAAATAATAAAAAAAGTATTATATAACACAACTTAAGAGTATTAAGGCTTTGTTTCATATAACTTAAGGGCTGGAAAATTTCACTTATGTATAAATAAAAAGCCATAAAACTATATCAGCTAGATAGCTTCAGGAACTAATAGAGAAATTAGTAGCAATAATAATGATGTTAACATTATTTCTGACCTTCACATTGAAAGTGAAGATCTATGTCTATCTAGTGATCTACCCATCTACCTATCAATGACTCCGTATTAGGAATTTTTTAGACTTTCATTTGATTGATGAAATTGTATGGTGATGATGAGTATTGCTTTTTCACTTTACTAACTTTGAAACTAATTTCTACAAACATTTTGTCCATTTGATACCTAGTTTCTTTGTCTCTAAGCTTGTGAAGTTTAAATTTTGTCACATTGCCTCTCATTATCCAGAGAAGAACTGCATCAAAGTATCATATTTCTTCCTAGATTTGTAGAATGCCAAGAGGGAAAACAGCCTAAGAGTTTGTTTCATTTGAATTATTTATTAAATAGTAGAATCTCCCCAGCAACATTCTGGACATTTGTTAATCTAAGAAAGAACAAAATTATTTTGAAAACAAATGAGGAAGGTATTGTAATAACAGGTATAAAAATATCTTATGATAGAGTACTTTAAACAGTCTGCTTGACAATTGTACATAGACAAGTCATGAACAAATTGAATAACCAAGAAACAAACTCAGGAAATATATGAATTTGAAATTGATATATGATGAAATTAGCACACTGAGTCTTTGAAGATAAGATGGATTTTTAAAAAATAATTTCTAGGTCAGGTGTGATGGCACATGCCTGTAATCCCAGCACTTTGGGAAGCTGAGGCAGGAGGATCACTTGCACCCAGGAGTTTGAGACCAGCCTGGGGAACTCGGGAAGACTCCATCTCTATTTCAAAATGTTAATAATAATTTCTATTTTCATTTTAGGTTCAGTGGTACATATGTAGGTTTGTTACATGAGTATATTGCATTACACTGAGATTTGAGGTATACATGATTCCATCACCCAGGTAATGAGCATAGTATCCAATAGGTAGTTGTTCAGCTCTCGGTCCCCTCCCCATCTCCCTCTTCTAGTAGTCCCCAGTGTCTATTGTTCCCACCTTTATGTCCATATGTGCCTCAATGTTTAGATCCCACTTATAAGTGAGGACATGCGGTATTTGGCTCGCTGTTCCTGTGTCAATTTGCTTAGGATGCTGGCCTCCAGCTGCAACCATGTTGCTACAAAGGACATGATTTCATTCTTTTTTATGACTGCATAGTATTCCATGGTGTACATGTACCAAATTTTCTTTATCCAAGCCTCTCTTGATGGGAACCTAGGTTGATTCCATGACTTTGCTATTGTGAATAGTGCTACCATGAATATATAAATGCATGTGGCTTTTTGGTTGAACAATTTATTTTCCTCTGGATATATACCCTGTAATAATGGGATTGCTGGCTCGAATAACAGTTCTGTTTTTAGTTCTTTGAGAAATTTCCAAACTGCCTTCCACAGTGGCTGAACTAATTTACAATCCCACCAACTGTGTATAAGTGTTCCCTTTTCACCTCAGCCTTGCTAGCAGATAAGATGGATTTTTAAGACCTGGTATCTCTTGCTAGATTATTCAGCATTATTTGAGCCCTTACACTGAGTGTCAGGCACTTTCTATGAATTGTCTCATTTGGTCCCCACAAAGACCATAAAGTTTAAGTATAAATATTATCTACAATTTACAGGTTAGAAGAAGAGCTTAGAGAGACTCAGTGACTTCCTTATTCTCACACAGATAAAGAATTAGTTACAAAGCCCATATCCAGACCCAGATATCTAAAATGATGATTTTTGTTTTTTAAAAATATTAGTAAAATTTTTCTTCAATGTCTTGAAGACAAGTCTGAGTGTACCCTGATTAGTGGTCCTTTGTAAACCACTTAATTTTCTGCTTCTTTTAAAAAATATAGTTTTGTTTCCCTTGACAGCATTGTTTCCTCCTCATGTTTCTTCTTCTCTTTCTCTTCCTCCATCTTTTTTTTCTCCCACTCAATCTCCTCCCTGAACGTGACTGACCTCACAGACTCTCATCAGTTTCTCTATCTGCAGCAGAAATTATGAGTTGGGGGAGAGGTTGGTATTAAGCTGGGGATCCTTCCCTGACATCTTAGCTCCCTGATTATTTTTCTTCCTATATGTCAATCACACTTTGGTAGGTTGTCTTCTCCATTCAGCCTTGCCTGTACTTGCCTGAGATATGGATTTGAAGTTTCCACCATTAGGATGGTATAATAGATTGTATTTACCAAAAGGTTTGTAGAATTTATTCCAGATCGTATGCATTTACAGTCTTGGTAATTTCCAACAAGAATGGCATTTATTATTCCTAACAATGAATCTGGATGAGATTTTGTGATTATTGCTACAAATAAAATGAGGCAAAAGCTACTCTGTGTGGCATCCAAGGATTGGTCATAAAATGTGGTACAGCTTCTTCCAGGCTCCCTCATTATTGGGACACAAACATTTGAACCCTTGAGTCATCAAATAAAAGTCTAGCTACCCTGAAGCTGCTGAAGGGGCTACATGGAAAGAACCCCAAAGTATAAAGTGGTTTCTGAGGGGCTCCAAACTGTTTCAGTTTAACCAGTTGCTTTGAGTCTTCCCATCCCAGGTGCCAGACATGTGAATGACAGAGCCATCAGATGACCCCAGCCCCTACACTGTCTAACTGTAAACACAAAAAAACCCTGAGAGAAAAGTGTCTAGCTGAGCTCAGCCAACTCCAGAACCATGAGAGATAAAAATAAAATCGTTGATACTGTTTTGAACCATTAATTTTGGAGGTGTTTTTAAATGAACCAATAGTTAACTGGAATAGATGCTAACTTTCCAATGATAATTTAGGACTAAAATTTTTTAAATTACATTTCTTATTACCATTTAAATGAAAACTTAGGAAGAGTGAAGTTATTTTACTTAGGGTCCACACTATGTACTATAAATCTGTCTGGTTTATTTTGTGAATTAGGTTAAAAAGCTACTGATGTATTCTGCATCTGGATGTCATTGAATGGTACTTTGCAGACTTTGCACAGCACTCATGTGGTTTCATAATTAAGCTTTTTAAATTAATTAGGCCAATAAAAACAATTAAATCATGGAATGACCTCCTGGGTCACTTACTCCAAGTTCCTTCTCACATTAAGGAAGGTGTTCAGAGAGGAAGCAATGACCACCAAATGTCAGTATGTTCAGGAGATCTCAAGGTCTGGAAAAGAGAAAGAGCATCCCAGGTTATGTCAAGTTAAACTTACAAATGCTTCACAATTTTGAAGACTTGTCATGTGTACCATTTCACTACAAAATAGCATAGGAATATGGAGATGAAACATGATTTCTAGAAACACATGTATTTATGAAATCTAATGCTGAGTTGTACATTTACATATAAAGTTAAGGAGCCTAAAAGAGAAAATAAATCTAATATTTCCATTCTGCTTGTTGCAAGATTCATTGTGGATATTTTCTGACCCAGGCTATTGAATTGCAGGATTTCAAAGTATCACACAACGAGTCTAGGTTATCCTTCTTAGCCCTGATCTGCAGGACCAACTCTGTGCTTCTCATTTGGCACTCATACAGCAGCCCTTGATTTTGTGTTTGCATTCTATTTACTCAGGCTGCCTTGTTCACACAAATCTATCACAAGGCCTGTTAAACAATGCTCAGGGAATGTTAGATGATGATGACAGTTATGATGATGGTTATGATGATAATAGGTGTATTTTCTTAAAGTTCTAGAGTTGTAAGAGTAAATAACAATTATCTGATTCATTTTTTCATTTTTAAGTTGTAGAAATTTAGAAATTTTAGGAGTTTCTCAAGCTGAAAGGACTTCTGATGTTCAATTTACTTTATGCACTACACAATGTTGAATATAAATACAAATTTATAGATGAAAATACAATAAATTATATAATATATAAAATATACTTAATAATGAATGGATAATGGAATAGCTTATCATTTTTTTCACATTATTTTAGTCATCCTTCCAAATACTAAGGACAATCTTCCCTTCAACTATCCTGAGATTTTAAGATTTCAACTAGGAAGACATATGCATTAAGCTGTCGAAGAATCATGCCTTAATGGATTGAAACAAACTACAGTTCTATGGGTCCTAGCACTTTCTGAAGTGTGCATGATAGATGCTAAGACTAAGAGATGATCCACTGACCTAAATAAACCTGAAGTATTAATCTTAATGGAAACTTCTACTAAAAATAAATGGTAATGAAGTGAAGAAAGAATGTGGCATTCTTTAAATATAAATAAATTATGCCAAAGTACTAAGTCTATAACTGAATAATGTAGTCCAAATTACACAGACAAAAATACATTTTTCTCAAGATGAAAAAATATCTGTGAATAATAAAACATAGATACAATTCCTAGGAGTTAGCACATTCATAAAATTTCTGTTTATATTTACAAACTTCACGATTGAAAACTGTAATCTCTTTACATATCATTTGATATAGTTTGGCTCTGTGTCCTCAACCAAATCTCATGTTGAATTGTAATCCTCAGTATTGGAGGTGGGGCCTGGTGGGAGGTGATTGGATCATGGGGGTGGCTTCTAATGGTTTAGTATCATCTCCCTAGTGCTGTCTTGTGATAGAATTCTCATGAGATCTGGTTGTTTAAAAGTGTGTAGCACGTCCCCTCTCTCTCCTTCTCTCTCCTGCTGGCCATGCAAAGACAGTATTGCTTCCCCTTTGCCTTCTGACATGATTGTAAGTTTCCTGAGGCCTCCCTGGAGGTAGAAGCTTGTACAGCATGCAGAACCACGAGCCATTTAAACCTCTTTTCTTTATAAATTACCCAGTCTCAGGTAGTTCTTTATAGCGGTGTGAGAATTCACTAACACATCATTTTAATAAACTTCAGCTGAAATAATTAGAATATCAAGTTTATTTTCTTGTTGACATTTCATTTATAGCAATATTGAAACTAACCCATGGGAACAGTGCTTAAACTATACACATTTATTTTTAAAGTTTTTTATTCTATTTTAAGTGCAGTAAAGATTATCATTTTTTCAATTGCACAGAGACTTTATACAGATTTCGTCTTTGCTATTTCTTGTAGAATAATAATAGCAAATATAGAAATACCATTTTTCTTCATGGTCACATAGTGTCTATTCTCTGATTCAGATTCAGATTCACCAAATAATAATTGAGCCATCAGTTTAAAGAAGCACTGTGTGCTTGTACATAAATTTCCTAATTAAATCTTCTCACTGTGAGGCTGGTATTTTTATTCCCATCTTGCTTAAAAGGAAATAGGAATTAAAGTTATGTGATTCACCCATTGTTACCTACTCAGTAAAGACATAAAGCACAATTCATATCCGTACTCTGATTCAAATTTAACGCTGTTGTTCTATGTAAATTATAATGACTCTTTTGATAACTATGCTAAGCACTTTTCAGTTTTATACTTTAAAAATCTCTTTGTTTCAGTGTACATATACATATTCTATGAAAAGTTAAAAGTCATTATGCATGAAGAAAACTACAAGGAAAAAATAAAGATTAGTGCTAGCAAGTGGTGAACATGATTAGCTGAATCTTTTGGTTTTACTCAAATCTTACCACACACAATATATTTTGTACAGAATAGAAGCCCAATTCTTTTCACATTCTTATCATCCCTACACTTTTTATTTAGGCAATGATGGTTTTTAAAAGCATTTTAAAATTCCAAAATTACTTTTATTATATTTTAAATTGGCTATCTGGACCATAAACATCATTGGTGTTCTTTAGTCTCATTTTTTAACAATAATCTAATTTCATAAAATTGCCTTAAAACATGTTATTTATTAAGATTAATTAATTGATCATACAAATCTGTAAGTGGTTTATTCCAAATGATTTAGTCTAAAGTGGCCTAACATAAAGAACCATTTCATTGTTGATGTTTTCTAATTATTATTTGCCAAAGTATAGACAATATAAGAAAATAATAATTTTATCAAATGATTGGGAATTAGTAATTCTCTAGGGTAAAGAAAACTAGGGAAAAATGATGAAAGCATTTTTGTTTAATTTACTATAGATCTTCATCAGTGGATCTAAAGTAGGAGTAATTGTGACCCCAGGAGATATTTGGCAATGACTGGAGATATTTTTGGTTGTCACAACTGTTGCTGCTGGGATCTGATGGATAAAGGCACAGGATGATGCTAATCATCCTACAATGTATAAAACAACCTCCACAAAAAAAAATTATCCAGCCCAAATGTCAATGGTGCAATATATCTATGTTTATGTAGATATATAATACCTAAAAATATTCATACATCAGAAAAATAACCTAGTCTTATCATTAAGAACAATAATATTGACCAGGTATGGTGGCTCATGCCTGTAATCCAAACACTTTAAGTAGCTGAGGCAGGAGGATCACTTGAGGCCAAAAGTTTGAGACCAGACTGGGCAATATAGCAAGACCCTATCTCTACACAAGAGAAAACAAAGAGAATGATAACATTTATTAGACCAGAAAGAGGGTAGTATTGATATGGGAAAGGGGCAGCAAAGTGCTAAGTAGAGAATGGGAGAAGGGTGGGGTCGCTGGTGAGGGCTCCACCCTTGGGCCTGTGCTCAAGGACCTAAATGAGGACAGGCATTTCTGTTTTAAGGCCCACAAAGTTGTCTTTTTGCCTGCCATGCTCCATCCTGTGCCCATAAAAATTCAGGCCCATAGCAGGCACACACACAAGTGGCTGGATGTCAAGAGGAGCAGAAGAACACATTGAGAGACACCAGCAGACACCAGTAGAATGACACAGATGCCAAGGAGAATTTGGCCAGGGGCCATTCAGTGGCCCTACTCTAGGGAAAAACCACCTTCCCACTCCATCCTCCTTCTGGCTCCCCATCCATCTTACAGAGAGCTACCTCTAACACTCAATAAAACTTTGCACTCATTCTCCAAGCCTACACGTGGTCTGATTTTTCTGGTACACTAGGACAAGAACCTGGAATACAGAGAGCCCTCTGTCCTTGCAATAAGGCAGAAGGTCTAATTAAGCTGATTAACACAATCTGCCTGCAGACAGCTAAGCTGAAAGAGCACACTGTAACACTTGCCCATTTGGGCTTTGGGAGTTTTAAAAACTCACCCCTAGATGATGCCCTGGTGTCAGAGGCCAAAAAACGCTCCCCATGACCTGCCCCTCTGCATGCTCTCCCTAGGGGTTTGAGCAGCAGGGCACTGAAGAAGCAAGCCACATCTCTGTCACATGCCTTGTGAGGGCAATAAGGGAACACAGCTAGGGGCTCATCTGGGACCCAGGAAGGTGAGTGCAAATGTGAAACTGTTGGATCTGCCTCTTTTCCAAAACCCTGCCACCTCTCTCTCTTTCCTGAAGGTAAAAGGTCCTGTTTCCCTACACTAAGGTTTAACCACCCTAACCAGGCCAGTCAACCCCACCACCACCCCCTCCCTACCCTAGACTTTGTATCTTTTCCTCTCTCATGGTTTGAAAAGGCTCTTATCTCTTCCTTTATAATGTTAAGGGTTTTGCTAGAGGCTGTGGCAATGTTACTAAGTAAAATGGGCATTTGGCTCAGTCGTGAAGGGTGAAGATCAGAGTCACTGTTCTTGGAGGTACCATCTCTGCCTCCACCCTGACAGCTGCAGGCACACCCAGCTCAGGGCACCCCCTCCAAACCTCTCCTCTTCCGCTCAGGCACCTGGGCATGCCCACAGCAGTCAAAGGCCATGCCCAACAGTCACAAGGAAGGGGGGTGGGAGAGAACTACCAGCACTCCCTGCTGTTGATAGGGAAGCTAACAGAGTAGCAGCCCCTGCTTACTGATGACTGCAAATTTGGCAAGGCTCATTTGAGACACTCTAAACAGATACAAACAGCTCCGAAATACCTTTCCAGTCCCAAACTCAATTCCAAGCTTCAGGCTGAGGCCCTAGGAAGAAAGACCAGGTCTGAGGGATCCAAAGCCAGGCAACAGGCACAATGTAAATGGGCAGGACCAATTCTTACCAACTGAACCCCCCAGCTCATGGAAGGAGGCCATGCTCCATGGCATAACCAGGCTTAGGGAACTGAAAGTTTGTCAACAGCGGGGGAAAATGGAGGTACGGGTGAGGGCGATTAATTCCTATTCTCTAAATTTTCCCTGCTTCATGGGTACATACCACATTGGTACCTATGGGCAGAGCCTGCCGAGGTTGCTGGGACTCAAGGATAAAAAGATGGAAGGGATAGGAAGGACACTTATTTTCTCTCTCCATCACACCCTGAGGTTTTGCTGAAAGAAGGAAGGAAATGAGGGACACCTCTATTCACTGTCTTTCAGAATGGACAAGCAGCTCTCTTCAGCACCCCCAGCTTATATCCCTCTGGAGTGTATCCTGAACCATTGGGACTGCTTTGACCCTCAGAGTCTGGAGGAAAAAACTGCTTCATAGCCCTCTGCACAAAGTTTGGGCCAAATTATAAAGGACTGTGTTATTCCCAGGAAGGAACCATTCATTTTGATACCATCTGGCAGTTGGAACTTTCTGAGGACAGATGGTCTGAGGCCCCATATGTGCAGGCTTTCTATACCTTGTAAGGCAATTCAGACCTTTGCTGACAGTGTAGGATTGATCCAGCCCTCCTGTTTGATCCAGTGTAGGACTGGCAAGCCCAGGGTTTCAAAGATACGTGACCCAGAGGCATCCCCAGCAGAGGAGCCAGCTCCCTCCAGCCCTGCTCCTCTGGGTCCACCCCAACCTCCCCATCCAGCTTCAGCCTCTCACTTGCCACCTCCTAGAAATCCTTGCCCTACACAAGGCCCAGTCTCACTCTTGCTCCTGTAACAGATGCCGAGTGAATTGGGCCCAGAAAGGTCCAGGTCCCCTTCTCCCTACAGGACTTAAAGCAAATTAAGGGGGATCTTGGCAAGTTTTCAGATGACCTTGGTAGATATATAGAGGCTTCCAGAATTTCACCAAAATATCTGAACTCTCCTGGAGAGACATTATGTTATGTTTAAATCAGACCCAGATGGACGCTGAGAAGCAGTCCACTCTGCAAGCAGCAGAGAGATTTGGGGATGAGCTTCGTATCACATATAGCATCAGGGAAGGGGACAAAAATTATCCAACTGGAAGAGAAGCAGTACCAGTGGATGACTGTCAAAGGGATCCCAGTGACAAGATGGAAGCCTGGAAGAGGAGACACCTTTAGGTGTGCACAATGGAGGGTTTACATAGGACTAAAACCAAGCCTTTCAATTATACTAAGTTATTCATCATTGACCAAGGATACAATGAAAATTCCACTGCCTTCATGGAAAGGCTAAGAGAGTCCTTGGTAAAACACCTCACAATCTCCTGATTCAGTCAAGGGACAGCTAATCCTAAAGGTTACATTTATTACTTCAGGCAGCTCCTGACATCAAGTGGAAGCTATAAAAACAGGCCCTGGGACCAGATAGTACATTAGAGGGTCTCCTGAGAGTAGCTACCTTAGTCTTCTACAATAGAGAAAGGGAGACACAAGAAAGAGGCAGAAGCTTTAATGGCCACTATGCAAGCCCACAAACCCCAGAATTCCCAGGGTACACCTGTTAACTGCTAAAGATATGGCAAGAACAGTTATCTCTCTTCCAAAGTTTAACTGCTCCCATGTAAGGTTTAATTTCTTTCATGAAGGTGAAACAGCTTGGTGTACAATGCCGTTGTTAGTTTATATTTCACTTCTTATCTCTGTAATCTTTGGCACTAAATTCTTTACTTGTATAATACAAATGTTTAACTCACGCATACTTAACCTTATAAAGCTTGTTTGTTTCTCTCTCACTTAGAGGGCATCAAACTCCAAACAGGCATGCAACTGGAGCCACAGACAATGGCTCCCCTTTGCCAGGAACCCTTACATGGACCTTTTGGAGGAATCTGACTGCTGTTTTCCCCAAAACAATGCCCCCAGTCAGCAAAAGTAGTTAAGACCGGTCATCGTCCTTATTCTAAAGGCACTTAGATGTACCTCTTCAGAGGGGGAAAATGGTATGGGAAGGGGGCAGGGAGGTGCTAAGTAAAGAAAGGAAGGTTCCCTGGGGAGGGCTCCACCCTCAGGCCTGCACCCGTGGGCCTAAATGAGAACAGGTATTTCTGTTTTCACACCCAAAAAGTTGCCTTTTGGTCCTCCATGCCCCCATCCTGTGCCCATAAAAATTCAGGATACACACAAGTGGCTGGATGTTGAGGGGAGCAGAAGAACACACTGACAGACACACAAACACCAGCAGACACTGGCAGGCCATCGATGGCAGAATGATGCAGATGTCGAGGGGAATTTGGCCAGGGGCAGTTGGAGGAGAGTCTAGCTGCTGGGCAGCCAAACTCCAGGGGAAGACTACCTTCCCACTCCATCCCTCATCTGGCTCCCCATCCAACTCACTGAGAGCTACCTCCACCACTCAGTAAAACCTTGCACTCATTCTCCAAGTTCACGTGTAATCCAATTTTTCTGGTACACTAGGGCAAGAACCTGGGATACAGAAAACCCTCCGATCTTGCAATAAGGCAGAAGGTGTCATCAAGCTGATTAACACAAGCCACGTGCAGACGGATAAGCTGAAAGAGTGCACTGTAACACAGGCTCACTTGGGCTTCTGGAGTTATAAAATTTCACCTCTAGATGCTGCCATGGGGTCGGAGCCTAGTAACATTCCCCATGACTCACCTGCCTGCATGCTCCCCCAAGGAGTTTGAGCAGTGGGGCACCAAAGAAGCAAGCCACATCCTTGTCGCATGCCCTGTGAGGATGATAAGGGACCTTCTCTCATTTCAGTATAATCCCACGAACTTTTTAGATTCATGAGAAAGATGGTATCCCCTAATGTTTAAAGATGATGAACCCCAGTACCACCAGGATTAATGTGAGGATACAATTATTACCAGTAAAATTGTGAAAATCAGTGTAATTAATTCTAAAATTTGTGAAGCCTAAATTCTAATTTCTGTATTACTCAATGTTTCCTTTCAATGGGACTGTGTATATGGTGAAGAGGAAAACCGAAATTAGATATAGTTAATCTTGAAAATTTCTTACTTATGAATATATAAACTTTTCACTAACATAATAACAAATTTTGAGAATCTGTTATATGCCAAAACAGTGTTAGCATCTATGGATGATAGCTTTCTACATTTACCAAACGCAAACATCCTAAAATTGACAATGCTTTTTCTTGGAAATATCTGACAGAGACCATCCTTTTATCCCCTGCTCTTCATGCCCTAGGATTAAGAGACAGCCTGCTTTTTGTGTGAACTCTTAATTCCAATTACTCAACAATGATCCTTGTTTAACATTTTCCCTTCTTTTTAAACCTAGGTCAACTTTATTTATTTTAACTGGTGACCTAAAACATGTAGTAAATAACCACACTCTATACTTTCCCAGTTTCCTCTCCATTCTATTCATAATTTCTTCAGCAATACATTGTTAACTTATTCACATATTGACCTCGTAGTTACCCAGGTTGAAAATGCAGTAACATCTTGACCTCGCTGTTCTTTCTAATCGCCATATTGTTTCTGCTTCACCTCAGCAAAACTTGGATCTGTTCAGCATAACTATTTCTTATAAAACAGCTTATCTCAGCCTTCCTTTCTCTTATCCCTCACATTTACTAAAATTAATTTTAACCTCATTGAATTGTTTTCTAAATCCATCGTTTAAAATCTAACCACAGATCTATTCACCAGCAATCTCTTGGAGTCTTACATCAATTATATCCTCTCCATAGTCAGAATGCACTAGATGTTAGATTTTTGCAAAGCTCGTCTTCACAATCTGCAGTCTAGAGCAAACTCATTTCTCATGCCCGGGCCAGGCAGCAGTACTCATGGCCATGAAACTTCTGATCATTTCACTTTGCAGTCATAACATTGAACTTCATCTTAGTCCTTGCTAGTACTCAGAATTATTTTAGTTCCTTTCCTGCAAAAAAAAAAAAAAAGCAGTAGTTACATACAACTAATCACAATGAAATTATTGAATTAGCTATACTAATTATTGTTCTAGATGTTTGCCAAATTGGGCTAAAGTTTGCACAAGGTGCACTGAGGCAATTGATGAAAGAAATAATAAATACTTCAGCTGTCTCTTCATATAATTTCCAATTGAAATTAAACTTTCTAATTGCATATGTGCTCCTATTACTATTATCAGGAGAAAATCCAAGCAGGATTAGATAAAGTCAATCTGGAACTATGATATGAGAGACCACACAGATTGTGTTTAAGGAATAAGGATTTGAAGATAGAGAAAAGCTGAACAATCTGCCCAGGCTCTAAGTAAAAGATACTGATCAGTCAGCCAAGATGAAAACAGCTGTATACCAGAGAAAACTGTAAAGACAAAACCAGTTTAAAAATTCACAGAAATACACACAGAAGTCTCATTAGTCTCTCATGAATATACATACAAAATGATAAAATAAATGTTACTAACTACATATAAGCACGTATGTTTAAATACATATATATACAAAAGTATTCAGGGTACTTATGAAGAAAAATTCAAAAGGTTATGTAAGATTAATTACTAAGCAAAGGTGTTCCCTCCTTCAAATGACAACACTTGGCTTCAGAGGTTAGTTTACCAAAATTTCAAGAAGTTAATAATTTCTTTTTATGCAAGTTGCTTTAGTGAATAGAAAAATAAGGAAAACATCGAATATTCTAAAGTGTGCCTTTTTCCATATGGTAAGAGTTTTGAAAGTATGAGGCATCTGACGGTTGATGTGCTAAGGAAGCATTCTGTCAGACTTTAATTGGCATAATTGTATATAATAGCAATAAAATGCCAGTATATCTTATAATTGAATGACATCTTAGGTTCAATGAAATATCATAGTGTTATAACAGTTAATATAATATTGACACCTGTATTAATTTTCTATTGCTACATTAACAAATAACTGCATATTTGTGTGGCTTAATGCAACACAAATTCAGTATTATACAGTTCTGGAAGTCAGCCTTTCACTAGGCTAAGATCAAGATGTTAGAAGGGCTGGATTCTTTTCTTGGAAGCTTTGAGGGAAAATCAATTTTCTTGCCTTATCAGGCTTCTAGGGGCTGCCCACATTTCTTAACTCATAGCTGCTTCCATTTTCCAAACCATAAATGTCTGGTTGAGCTTTTGTCACAGGAAATCATTTCAACACTGACCCTTTCCCATCCTTCAAAAATCTTTGTAATTACAGTGGGTTCACCTGGATAATTCAGGATAATTTAACCCAGCTTAAAGTCAGCTAATTAGCAACCTTTATTTCATCTGCAACCCTAATTCTCCGTTGTCATGTAACATAATATGTGTATAAGATCTGGAGATTAGAACATGGACATTGGGCGGAGCCATTATTCTGCCTACCACAACACACAAATTGGATAAGACTAATACAAGAAAGTATTAACATACACCATATAAATGTAAGTGCAAAAATGGCAAAATAGTACTAACAAAATAGATTATAGGACTACATAATATATATAGTTCATATATGCATGGATTTATTATATATTATATATGTATATATCATAACTAGAAAGATTTATTATGGAAATACAAAAATGGCTGAAATAAAAAAATATATCATTTGTAAATCATTAATTATAAATTGTATTTATAAATTTACTATTAAAAATTATATAATAAAATTTAACCCTCCCACTCTAACAGATTAATAAAACACATAAAAATTTAAATAGATTCAAAGAAGATATTCAGTAAAATTTAACAGTACTTCATGATTTTAAAAATATGCTAGTAAATAGGATACAGTTCTTTCTTATCACAACTACTATAGCATGCATCATAATTTAAACAATAGTACAATATAAAGAAAAAGTGGGCCAGGCGTGGTGGCTCACACCTGTAATCCCAGCACTTTGGGAGGCCGAGGAGGGCAGATCACGAGGTCAGGAGATCAAGACCAGCCTGAAACCCCGCCTCTACTAAAAATACAAAAATTAGCCAGGTGTGGTGGTGCACGCATGTAGTCTCAGCTACTCGGGAGGCTGAGGCAGGAGAATCGCTTGAACCTGGGAGGCAGAGGTTGAAGTGAGCTGAGATCATGCCACTATATTCCAGCCTGGTGACAGAGCGAGACTCCAACTCAAAAAAAAAAAAAAAGTGTACATTTTAGAATTGATAGAATGCATTATTCGGTTACATCTCCTTCTTTATTTTACACTCTAAATTAGACTAGTAGCTGTCAATAGGAAAGTTTCTAATCATTAAAGTGAATCTAACATCAACCTAACAGTAAATATTCTACCTTATATAAAAACTTGTGATATGGTTTGGCTGTGTCCCCACCTAAATCTCATCTTGAATTGTAGCTCCCATAATTCCCACATATTGTGGGAGGAACCCAGTGGAAGATAATTGAATCATGGGGGCGGTTTCCCCCATACTGTTCTCATGGTAGTGAGCAAGTTTCAGGAGAGCTGTTGGTTTTATAAGGGGTTTCCCCTTTCACTTGGTTCCCATTGTCTCTTGTCTGCTGCCATGTAAGATGTCTCTTTTGCCTTCCACATGATTGTGAGGCCTCCCCAGCCACATGGAGCTGAGTCAATTAAACGTCTTTTCCTTTATAAATTACCCAGTCTCAAGTCTGTCTTTATCAGCAGTATGATAACAGACTAATACGAGTTGTATAGAGAATTAGCAACCAGATTGAATAGCTGCTGTCAACTCAGGTATTCAAGATAGTAATGAAAGTTCTAGTAAGCCAATTAGAGAATAAAAATAAATAAGATATAAAAAGTGCAATTTTCAAAACATTACTGAAACCCACAAAAGAATATCCAAATAAATAGAATGTTATAGCACAGACTATTTTAATGTTGTCACTTATTCCTATATCTTTAAATATAGGAATTTTAAAAATTCTGAAATTTTCCATAAATTCAATGTCATTTTAAAAACTTGCAAAGTGGTTTTAAAATTCACATGAAAGAGTAGAGGTTCAGGAAGAGCTGCAGTATTTTTGAATAAGAATATATTGAGAGTGTACACTTTGCCAATCACAAGATTCATAATTTATTTACTACAATTACACAGTTTGGTATTGTCACAGTGTTTTAGTCAGGGCTCTCCAGAGAGATAGAACCAATAGGCTACATATAAAGAGATACATAAGAAGGGATTTCTTAGGGAAATTGACTTACACAATTATGGAGGTTGAGAAGTCCCACCATATTCTGTCTGCAAACTGGAGAAACAGGGAGGCTGGTAGCATGGCTAAGTCCAGGTCCTAAGGCCTCAGAGCCAATGAAGCTGATGGTATAACTCTCAGTGTGAGTTGTGGGTGGGGTACTGATTCAAGTTCCAGAGTTCAAAAGCCAGAGAACCTCGAGTTCTGACATGCAACGGCAGGAGAAAAGGGCTTCCCAGCTTCTGAAGCGATAGCAAGAATTTGCCTTGCCCCTACTACCTTTCTGTTCGATCTAGAATAAAAAGGCACCATCCAATTGTTCCAGTCGATTGCACAGGACCCACCTACATGAAGGTGGATCCTCTCCACTCAGTCCACCAATTCACATGCGAATCTCTTGCAGAAACACCCTCAGAGACACACCTAGGCAGTCCAGTCATTGTAATCAAATGCCAAACCACCTGGGTTTCCCTTGCATCAAAAGAGGGATGGGCTCAGTTCTTACTAAAGCACTGAGAATAATTAATGCACTGATTAGGAATAAATAATACTTTGCCAGCTATCTGGGCATCTCTAATTCACTCAAGTTCATACTCCCAAATCAACCCTTATATGCAGCAACAAACAAATAGATGAGTGAAACAAAATTGTGAAATGAGAAACAGATCCACATATTTATGGAAATGTATGACAGGGCTGACATCACAAATCATTGAGGAAGGGAAGTGTAAATACTCAAATCTTCAGAAAGCATCATACTTACGAGTGAGAAGTTCAAGTATTTCCTCTAAAATCAGGAATGAGACAAGAATGCTTGCTAAAACTGATGATATTCAATAACATACTGCAGGATTTCCATGGAACATTAAGAAAACAGAATAAAAGACAAACATAGAAGTATTAAAAAGGAAAAATAAAGCTCTCATTAATTGTAAGTGATATGATACATGACTAGCAAAAAATGTAAATGACTTCTAGAATTAATAATAAAATAATGCAAATTTGCTATCAATGTCCAATAAAATTTTCATAGCTATAAAAGTTCTAAGGCACCTTGTAGTAAATATAAAGTGTATGCAAGACTTATATGGAGAAGTTATTAACTTTATTGAAAGACATTCTAAAAGATAAAACTAATGGAAATATTTACCATGTTAATATTTAGGGAGACTCAATATCATAAAAGTATTTATTCTCTTCAAATTTAATGTGATTTTAATCAGAACTCACCAGAAGTTTTTATGCAAGTTGGTAAGCTAATTTTACAATCCGTGAAAATTGCCAAGAAGCAGAATTCCCATGACATCCCTGGAGAGAAAAATGAGTTAAAAGACACTTGTTCTCTCAGGTATTGCAACTTTTATAAAAATATAGTTATAAAGACTATGGTATTGATTTAATAATTACTTCAGAAATATATTGCTAAATAATCAGAGATTATATACACGTGCATACACACTTATATGGATACAGGTTTTATTACAGTGAAAAGGAATAAAAAATGCCTAACAATGGGTGTTTGGTGTGATAAACTATATTTATGTGATTTACTGAGATCTCATTTAAAACCAAGATTTAGAAGGAAAATTTAAATAACAGGATATTAGTCAAAATATATTGTTTGAAGAAAAGATCACGTTACCTAAACAATTGCAGCATGATCTTGTTTTGAAATATAAAATGTGTGTATATCTCTATATAGTTATATAGACATAGCTATGCATATGAGTGGAATATGCAAACCAGATATGTACCGATTTTCTTGTGTGTATAGTGGGAATAAGGTGCCATGTGGGCTTTTAAATTGTATTTGTTTTGCAAGCGTTCTCCTTTGAGATGGGTCATTTTCCTCAATAAATTAATGAAAATTATATTATTTGGATAAAACATTAATACCATGAAAAAATGCTTAGATTTTAAATTAAAGCTTTAAAAATATTTGTAAAATAATACACAGCTAATCATTTACATCTTACATAAGAAAAATTAAAAAATTATATATGCGTATGTTTAAGCTTATAGAGTTATCATTTGGTATCTGTGGGGAACTGGTTCTAGGACTCCCACAGATGCCAGAATTCATGGATGCTCAAGTCTCTAATATATAATGATGTAGTATTTGCATATAACCTATGCACATTCCCTGTGATTTTCGTCATATCTCGATTACTTGTAGTACCTAATACAATGTAAATGCTATGTATGTGACACTCCATTTTTTTCTTTGCATTATTTTTTATTGGTGTGTTATTTTTTCTGAATACTTTTGAGCTATGGTTGGTTGAACCCATGGATGCCAAACCTATGGATCTGGAGCACCAGCTGTATTTATTTTTCTAACTTTTGATAATTTTTACTTTTACATTTTTTCTTATTTCTATTTTCACATAGATGAATATCACAGCCACTTTGCTCAGGAATATCCATCGAGTGCCTGACAAATGTAACAAAATAAAAAAACATAGGCAGGGTGTAGTTATTCTCAGTAGATTCTTTGCTTAGATGGTACCTGTAAGGGTTAGAATCTGAGTAAAGAGGCAAAATACTCGTAAAGACAGCAAAAGGCAAAGAAAATGACCATATTTGAAATGCCTAGTAAACACCACTACACAATTATGAAGTTTACATTTTATGACTACAAGGGAGAAAAAGCAATGACAAATCAACAGGCTTAGGCTCAAAAGGTTTTTTTGTCCTTGTAGCCATAAATAGCTTAAATCTGAGTCATACTCACAATGCAGCATCTAAGGCTGCACTTTTCAACATTTTATTACTGCTAAATTTTCCTATGTGTTAAATATCATTAAAAGCAAGATAAAATTCATGCACTTCATTGTGTATAATAAAATGAATATGTGGAGCTAAGTCTTGTTTTTGTTTTATGAATTTTGGCCCATTTTATCTAATGATAGCTTGAGCCTAGCCAGAAGAGTTTAACAGGATTTCTAGAGACTCTCTTTTTTCCCACTTTGTGGTGGAATGTCATATGGATTTCACTTAAATGAGTAATTAAACTCCAATAGGAAACCTTGGTAACATTTGAAACTGTTTTGCCTCATATGTCATGAACCTCTTCTCACCATGAGAAGAAAAATACTTTCCAGCTCAAATGACTGCTTGGAACCACCCTACCTAAGTTTAGAGAAAGAGGTTTAACTAACCTAAAAAACAAAACCAAAAAATTCTAAGAAACATTAAGTCTCCAATTTGCAATGAAAACCCTAAAGAATCCAAATCCTTGAAAATATGCAGACACATTGCTTATCACCATTGCACAGGCATGGGTCTTTAATCTCAGTCTCTAAGACTGTTGCTCTATTTTCCACCACCAGCTTTAGGATGCCCATACATCGCACTCTTCAGCATCTGCCCAGTTTTCTGTTGAGCATTATTGTCCCCTAAAACCACAGCTTGATTATCTCACTCGCGCTGCCACTTTAGTAATTCAAAGTCCTCTAATGTTCTTCACGTATCAGTTTGCTTTGCACATCTTGGGGGTTAGGAAAATATCCACAGTTCCGTGTCATTGCATCTTTTAAAATTCTTTCCTTGCTTTCTCTTTCAAAACAAAATGAAACAGAAAAATATCTTCTTCCTTCTCCTTTCAGAATTTCTATATTATGATTAAATTCTTTTTCCCATATTTCATCGTGAAACTTCTCTGACACTCCTCACTGTTAAAAAACAAATGAACAGGTATACTACATCCCAGGGTGGGGGGGAGCCTACAAAGGAGACACGAGTAACAGAGAACACCTTATTTTCTATTAAATTGATACTTACCTCAATACTGGTTAATCTACTGTAAGTCAAATTAATGCTATGATGTATTTAGTAATACTCCTATTTCATAGACAAGAAAAAAATGAAACTGAAATTTAATAAATTGTTCAAGATGACAAATATCAGAGCTGGAACTTGAGTCAACTTTCCTAATTATAAATAGGTTATGATAGTCATTAAATGACATATTGAATGTTCAGTGTCAGCGGCTCTCTCAAAAATGCCTGGCACAAAGCTAGCTGGTACTTGTGGCTCTCCTTCTCCCGAGCAGGTGGGGCACCCAAAACTTTTTTTTTTTTTTTGAGACGGAGTCTCACTCTGTCGCCCAGGCTGGAGCCCAGTGGCGCAATCGTGGCTCACTGCAAGCTCCGCCTCCCGGGTTCATGCCATTCTCCTGCCTCAGCCTCCCGAGTAGCTGGGACTACAGGCACCCGCCACCATGCCTGGCTACTTTTTTGTATTTTTAGTAGAGACGGGGTTTCACCGTGTTAGCCAGGATGGCCTCCTCTCCTGACCTATTAATCCGCCCGCCTCCGCCTCCCAAAGTGCTGGGACTACAAGCGTGAACCATCGCGCCTGGCCCAAAACCTTCTCTTTACAGAGGCCCCTAGGTACCATATCAGCACATGCTTGCTACACCCCAACGCATCTCAGATACGCAAGGCTTGCATGCTCATGCTTTAAAAAGATTAATAAGCAGATGTGTAGGGATCCCCTTTTGTAGCATAACCCACAGTATATCCAGACTACCCTAGCCTCAGCATGTCTCTCTGCTAGAGGATACTGCCTCAGGGAACTAAATGTTTCATCTTCCTAACCCTTTGCTTTAGAGTTTCTTCAATAGAGTCTATGTCTCTTTCATCCTTTCTTTCTGAGAGGTGTGGCTTTTGTCTTCAATCTCCACTACATAGCATGTAAAGAACCCAGTAATTAATTACTTGATGTGTGTTGGCAGTGATAGGTATATGATTGCTATTATTATCAAAGTAAACTATCATCTAGAATTTTTAATCTGTTTCCCTTTGCCATGATTCTAGGTATTTTCATGCACCCTTCACTTTGCTGAGGAAGTCTTTACTTTTCACTCTCGAGAAAACTCCTATGCCACCTTTGAAACCCAGTTGAAATTTCACTTCCTCTATGACTTCTCAAATAAGTTTAGACACTAATTTTTCTGTACATACTAATTTTATAGTATGTACCTCACAGTAACACATCGTCACGTTGCAGGTAAATACACAACTCCCCCACTAGGCTGTCAGAGCCTCCTGGCAGAGGTGAGTGGTCTACCCAAAGGGATTAAAAGCACAAAGTCTATACAATGTAAACTTGTTTTATAGTCCCTTTGTCATTCTGTTTAGCTCTTTATTGATCCACAATATATTTTTCCTGTATAGTTGGTGGTAGAAGCATTGAAGACATATTTTATAGACATTAGTGTGAATTTTCTCCTCCCGATGTCTCAAACTGTCCTAAAAAGATTTAATGACATAAAACAGAATCTGTAGTTTACTTTAAGGATGCCACATGAATTGTCTAGAGAGATCTCTTAGAATAAATATATTTTTTCACAAAATACAGAAGCCAAGTCACTTGCTGTAGATTGGCAACATTCTAGTGAAAAAATAATCACCCTAGCAATAACAAATACAAAATGTTTAGCTCTGGGCATATGCTATGTTTTTTGCCAAGGCTCTGACATAGCATTTGTTATCATATTAGTTTTCCTCTAATCTACTTGCAACCCCAGTACTATCTGAAATATATTCCCCCTTTTGATCAGAATGAAGAATTATTTCCAACTGATAACGATCAGGTGAAAAAGCATTTGTCTTTTCATTATTTTGAATAAGCATTCAGGTTTGTAAAGGAAAACATAAGAAGGTAAAATGTATTGGGTAACTACCCAGTATCAGAAATTATGTTCACTTAAGTATGTATACAAATAATGAATAATGATCGATAAAAAAACAGACAGAGGTTTTGAGATCTCAATTACTGTGGTCAGCACTGCCCTTGGGACACGTGATTGTTTTGAAAAGGTGAAAAAAAATCTTGTTAAATTTTCCAAAAACCAAAGTATAATATTCCCGAGATTTACATGTTATTCACTTTTCTGAAAATTTCAAGTATGTTAAAACAATGCAAAAAATATTAATTGTACAGTGGAGATATATTCCACATGCATTTTTCAGTGAATGATTAAAAACACTCTTTCCTACTAGGTACAGCCTGATTCAGGGCACATGGCTTGGCTGGGCTTTGGCATTACTTGGCCCCACAGTCAGACATTCCTTGTGCAGCGGATAAATATTTGCAGAGGCCCTTTTTTAGCTTCCAGTAATCGTAAAGGTCTTTTTACCTACTTCAAGACATTATAAAGTCTTGCCATAGTGGACAATTTTTAATTATTTCTTGCCATAGGTTGGAAAATTCTTCATTGCATGTTATTGTTCTGCCCATTGTAGTGCAACTAGCAACACTGGCTCCTGCGCATTTAATTTCAGTAGCTCCTTCTATCATCCCCAACTAAAAATGATATACAGGTTTCTAAAACACACTCCACAAGGCAGTAGCACACCCAGAAAGAACCACTGCTTTAATCTCACTTCACTGGAAATTGGTTGGTGAGAGGTCTTTAAGCAGAAGAAACCACGTGATCTTATACTTTGGCAGACCTTGGACTTTATCGAACACTCTTGTCTTGCCCTCATTTGAGCCTCAAAACATCCCAAGCAATTAGAAGAAGATACTGTTATTCCCAATTTAAAGATGAAGAACATAACGTGACTTAGATCTAAGGCCATGTGACTAGAAAGTTTCAGCAGCCTGGTAAGATCTCTGTTATCCCGAAGGAAGATTAGGTTTTGTTCAGTTTTCTTATCCAGTACTTCCCCTTTAGCATAAACTACTCTCATCTAATCGCCAGAGCTTTGAGTCCCTGGCTAGCCAGAATTATTCTAATAAATATTTTTAATTCCACTGCTCTCTTGTTTTCAGTCTTGTTCGTGTTTTAATCTGATCAACCTCGCTTGCTGCTTCAGAAGCTGATATACCCAATTATTAACAATCTGCTGCTGTGAGTGCAGTGATACAGTACAAAGAAAACTGTTACTATATTTGGATTTCAGGGAAAAGGCAGCTGTGGCTGCCGCTCTGCATTTGGCTGATAGAAAGTGAGAAGGCTGCTGGTTTGATCCAGTTAGAGTAAGATTTATGATCCCATCCTTGTTTTAATTTCACGGTCCTCTTATGCCAGATTTTGCTTTACAAATGTTTTCTCTCCCAAATTTGGGTTGGTTTATTGCTTACTCACTTCCCAGCAGAAATTAATGTAATCATTCTTCCATTCATTCAAGTGGTTGTTATTGTGGTCGCTGTTTTAATTGCACTCCTCTCAGGTAGCAAGCATTGTGCTGAGAAATAAGGACACACAGTTACCAGGATATGTTCCCAGCATGTCCGAAATTGGTGGGTTCTTGGTCTCACTGACTCCAAGAATGAAGCCACAGACCCTCGCAGTGAGTGTTACAGTTCTTAAAAATGGTGTGTCTGGAGTTTTCTCCTTCTGATGTTCAGACGGGTTTGGCGTTTCTTCCTTCTGGTGGCTTCATGGTCTCGCTGGCTTCAGAAGCAAAGCTGCAGACGTTCCCAGTGGGTGTTACAGTTCTTAAGGCGGCGCGTCTGGAATTGTTCATTTTTCCTGTCCGGAGTTGTTTATCCCTCCCACTGGCTTCGTGGTCTTGCTTGCCTCAGGAGTGAAGCTGCAGACCTTCACGGTGAGGATTACAGCTCATAAAGGCAGTGCAAAATCAAAAACTGAGCAGCAGCAAGTTTCATTGCAACAAGTAAAAAAACAAAGCTTCCACACTACCGAAGCAGACTTGAGCAGGTTGCCACTGCTAGCTTGGGCAGCCTGCTTTTATTCCCTTATCTGAGCCCACCCACATCCTGCTGATTGGCCCATTTTACAGAGAGCTGATTGGTCCATTTTACAGAGAGCTGATTGGTCCGTTTTACAGAGAGCTCATTGGTCTGTTTTGACAGGGTGCTGATTGGTGCGTTTACAAACCTTGAGCTAGACACAGAGTGCTGATTGGTGTATTTACAATCCCTGAGCTAGACACAGTGCTGATTGGTGCATATACACTCTTCCAGCTAGATATAAGAGTTCTCCAAGTCTCCACCTGACTGAGGAGCCCAGCTGGCTTTGCCTAGTGGATCCGTCGCGGGGTTCACTGGAGGAGCTGCCCACCAGTCCCGCCCCGCGGGCCCGCACTCCTCAGCCCTTCGGCAGTCGATGCGACCGCGAGCCCCTGAGCAGGGGGTGGCGCCCGTCAGGGAGGCTCCGGCTGTACTGTGCGGGAGCCCACCACGCGGGGGCGCTCGCGCATGGCGGGCTGCCGGTCCCGAGCCCTGCCCCGCGGGGAGGCGGCTGAGGCCTGGCGAGAATTCAAGCGCGGCGCGGGCGGGCTGGCAGTGCTGGGGGACCCGGCGCACCCTCTGCAGCTGCTGGCCTGGGTGCTAAGCCCCTCACTGACCGGGGCCGGCGGGGCTGGCCGGCCGATCCGAATGCGGGGCCCGCTGAGCCCGCGCCCACCGGGAGCTCGCGCTGGCCTGCGAGCGCCGCGCGCACAGCCCCGGTTCCCGCCCGCGCCGCTCCCTCCACACCTCCCAATAAGCAGAGGGAGCCGGCTCCGGCCTCCGCCAGCCCAAAGAGGGGCTCCCACAGTGCAGCGGCGGCCTGAAGGGCTCCTCAAGCACGGCCAGAGTGGGCGCCAAGGCCGAAGAGGGGCCCAGCGCGAGTGAGGGCTGCTAGCACGCTGTCACCTCTCACCAGCACATCAAGGGAAATGTGGTCTTCAGGAGAAGACAGAGGAGTGGAGAGTCATATGGTAAGTAGCAACCAGGAATGAGCACACAAAGAGGATATAACTTCAGAGGAGTTAAAAGAGATTTCCCAGATGAAATGGCATTTACACTGGTACCTTGACAATCAATTGTCTTTATCCTGATGAAGAAGGAATGATAAAGCCTTTTTTAAAAATAAGACAAAATATTTGCAGATGTGCAGATTGTGTATCTGATGGATTCCAATTAGTAGGACTGAAAGAGAAAAGGGAAGACTGAAAGAGGAAAGGGTGAGAGGTGAAACTTAGATAGCAGATAGGACCCACATAATTCGTTTTATATGGTACGTCAACAAAAGCTGGGCTTTATTTGTAAGGCACGATGACATGGGCATGAAATGGTCAGATTTTTATTTCATAAAAATCAGTTTAGCTAGATTGTGGCGATGATGATGCAGAAGTTTGAGTTGGAGGAACAAACCTGAAGCCCATTAAAATACTGCAAACAAGAGATGATACCACCAGATAGGGAAAGTCTTGACAGATGTTAGGAGAAGAGAAGCAACAGAACCTGCTGTTCGGTTAGATGAGGGATGGCCTGTGGGGGAGGGGGAGGGAAGACAAAAAGGAAGAAAGCCAAATTTATGGTGTGGTAAATGTAGATTGAAAGGATGGCATTTCCTGTGGGAAGAAACCCAGGAAAAATTGGAAAGATCAGTGTGGGTTTCAGTTTTAATTTTTTTAAGCTGAGCTTGAGGTGTCAGTGGGACATCCGATTGGAGATATCCTATAAGCATTTGTATGTAGGGACGTGGAGTCCAAGGGAGAGGCTCTGGCTAGGGTTGTACTTCCGAGTCATCAGGATTTAGAGAATACACAGCTCAGTTTGAGAAATTATAATTCTAAACATGGCATTTGGGCCTGACTGGCTTAGGTTCATAACATGAATCTACTTTTACTATTTTAGTGACCTTGGGCATAATAAGTAATTTTTCTGCGTTTCAGCTTCCTCAATCTATAAAGCATGTATTATAATGTCTACTTTGAGGGTCCTCTTGGGTTATTACTCATATAATATTTAATAGTACTTAACCTACCATGAGGTTTAAAAACATTAGTTATGTTCAAGAAACAAAACTTTATGTTTCTATAACTTTGTGTTGGTTTGCTGACATATACCCAGTGCTTAGAACAGTGTCTGGCACATAATAGGGGCTCAATAAACAAACGTTTAGTAATAAATGAGCATTGCTTTCTCGTATGAGCTCCCATTCCATTAGGGGGCAGAAACGTAATCTCCATCAAACTTTCCTCCGATTTTCCTGGTGTATACCTGAATTCCTTCATGAGTGTGGAATATTAAAACGTTAAACCAAGCAAAGGTAGGTGGAAAATGATGGGAGTTACTGGTCCTCAAGACCCTTTTCATGAAAGAATATACTGCCAGGTCTGTCTTTCTGTCTAGCTTTTGGTCCATTTGGGTTCCCATAAGACAAAATTAACTGAGCATCTGCTACGTGCCTGACATGTTGTAGGAGATGGGGAGGTAGAGGAGAACAAAACAGAGATCCTGTCCGAGTAAAGTCCACATTCACACACCCCCTCCTATTAATATGGTTACTTTAGTCTCAGAAGTCCTCCTTGCTACTTTAATGCCAGTTTGGGGTGACATGGTGTGTATTCGATGCTTCTGCAAGATTCTGGCACTCAGAAACTTTGTGGGATTGTTCATGGAACATTTGACCATGCAGGTGGATCATGCATGCATTTCCTGTTTCTGCATCACGCCATTCCCTTTGGTCTCATGCAGGATCCTTCTGTCCTTTTACCTGCAGCTACCCCTGCAGTTGAGCTCTCTTTATCTTTCCTTTCCTCCCTCTAGCTGAGCCTACATCCTCACAAAATTAACAAGAATTATTTACCATGTTCTGGACAGAAATATAATTAAGCATTAATCAGGCTGCACTTTGTCCTACTTCTTTGTAGCTGCTTGTTAACCAAAAGTCACCAGATACTGACTTTTGCATCCTCATTGTTAGTAGAGATATGATCTTTGACATTAGACAAGTTTTTGTTTTAGAGTTGCTTAAGATGTTTTTCAGATCATGAGTTCCTGGGGAATGGCTGATTCCAGACAGCTTGAAGACCCCACAGAGGAACCGAATCAGCATGAGAAGGCAGTTTCTTCATCTCTCCATCCCATGCCTTCACCGTGAACTCTTTAACCAATCAATGATCCCGACACTCCAGCACAATACTTGATTAACCCCCTTAAAATCCCTATCGTTAAGCTCCTTGGGAGGCAGATTTGAAGTTTCCTCCTCTTCCTTGTTCAGCTGCGTTAAGATCAGACTTCTTTCCCTGCTGCAACCTTGTTTCTTGAGGTATTCACTTGCTGCACATCAGGCAACGAACTGGTTACATTTACAAGAGGACTTCTTTTTTCTAGCTGCTTGAAGCACCAGTCTCTTTCCACGTGTTCTTCCAGACATTTCTGTATATAGCAAATGTACTAAGTTATTCTAAAGCTCTTGAAGCAAAGATACACAGGCATTTCTGCTGTCTGCCTACCACATCTCTCTTTGGGGAAGCATACCCAGAACCACCATCTCCCTGAAAAGCATGAGAAGAAAAAGTTAAGAATACTACAAAAAGAAAAAAAAAAAGCACATCACTTTATGTATCATAACATTGTTCTTTTACAAACGTATGAATGACAACTTGAGCCATGAAAGTAGATGAGATTACCTACTTATTAGATATCAAGTTGAGGTTTGCCAAAACTCTAATGAAATTAATTTAGCCTATGTTCTTTTAAAAAAGGCTAATTTCCTCTTAAGTTTTGTGTTTTTTTCATGCATTAAATGCTAATAGTTCATTATTACAATCATTATTTAAATTATTATTTATATATTTTGTCATTTACCTTTTAATTAAGTTCAATTTCCCGTCTCCGGTTTCTTCACCACCCCCTCCCCACCCCTGCAGGACTAACCCTCTACCCCTAGATTTTCTCCTTTCTGTTATATTTAAGTAAGTTCAGCTTCCTAGCAGGTAACTCCTTTGAGAGCATTTTAATTTCTTTTTCGGCTTGTGATTGTGTTTGGGTAGTCAAATATTCTTGGAAGTTTTAATTACATGAGACTTTCAAATTCCTCTGTATTCTCAGATAATTAATTGGGCATAAGTCCTGTTCAGCTTTAGTTTTGCTTCACTAAATAAGGGGCAAGATTGCTCATTATTGCCTCCCTGTCTCAGGCATTCCCGGTGGTGGTTTCACTCTTCGTTGGCTCTGGGGTTGGTAGGTGAATCAGATGCCCATGTCAGGCAAACCACTTTCTATCTGGGTGAGTTATTCCAATTGATTTCTCTTTTGCTCATGATCCAGGAGCAAGAACTGTAGTGACCACACACAACTTGAAGATTGGCAGAAACTCTATCCTAAGAAATATTTTATATATATAAAGAAGTAGCATGAAGTGATCGACGTTCATTCCATCTTTCTCTTAAAAGTCTCCAGGTAGTTTCATTATCTAGGCTTTTTTTTTTTTTCCTTTTTCCCAATTGCTTGTGTTGAAATGTTCTTACTATATCTTCACTTTCTAGTGGGCTTCTATCTCTTTGAATCTGTTGTTTTTAGTTCAGGAGGGAAGTAAGCTATGATGGCGTTTCTTGGAAGAGAAGAAAGCAAATCCCGGCTAAGGTTTTCTTAATCCATATCCATCTACTATTGGCGGGTAGTCAAGCCAGATTCCAGAATTTATAGTCTCGTTTTTCAGGAGGATTTTGACTTTGTGTTTTTCCAGAGCCATTGTTGAAGAATGCTTAAGCAGGATATGAGATCAAGTATTTCTAGCCTTTTCCTTCTATAAATGATAAAATTGAGGTCTGTAGCTTGCCCAGAGTTGTAAATGTTGAGGATAAACTACAACGCAACAGATAGCTACAGTTCTTGATATAAAAAATGCCGTGTGTGTAATTATACTAATGTTGCCCCATACATCCAGCATATGAAGTGGATTATAGTCACTTAGCAGAGGCAAACACAGGAATGGAGGCTCATGGGAACATGGTTCTCACTCCATGATGGCACTGGTTCAACTCATAGAAACTCAATCCTTATAGCAATCTCCTGGAGTAGATACCATTCTTCTTGCCACTTTACAAAAGAGCAAACTAAGCTGCAGAGAGGGTAAACACATATTTGTATTCACTCACAAATAAAGAGTAGAGCCAGGATTTTTGAACTCAGTTAGTCTGATTCCAAGAAATCCTAATCTTACCTGCCATGTTCTGTACTACCTCTTAACAAGAAGGCTTTGTTTGTAATACAAAAACTACTCCTATGTTCAATTGCTTTTTTATAATATTTCAAATTAAAGATGCAGTTTCTGATAAGGGAAAATATAAAATATATTAGCACAAAGCAACAGTTGTCATCAGCCAAGTTAATTGATTAAAAAGCAGATAATTTCTATTTCAGTGACTGCCACAGGAGAGGTGGTCAATAAATTAGAATTTCCCCTCATTGCAGTGTTTGATTGACTGATCAAACTAATTAGATCTGCTGGCAATAAAGGTATTTGGAGACTTATTTTAAAATCTTCTGATATTTGAGACCTTTTCCTCTGCTTGTGGAATCCACTGTTCAGACATTTTGGTGGGAGACAGTGTCTTATCCCACTAGCATAGCCGAAGAAGCCAGAGCCTTGCTGTCCCTGAAGACTCGCAACTAGGTCATAGGCATACAAGATTACTGATACATACTCCAGGAATATGCTGAATACAGAGAGAATAACTCAAAGAAACAGGGACAGTTAGAACCCTTCTAGTATTGGTGTTGCTTGTGTATTAATCTGTTCTCATGCTGCTAATAAAGACATACCTGAGACTGAGTAATTTACAAAGGAAAGAAGTTTAATGGACTCACTGTTTCACATGGCTGAGGAGACCTCATGATCATGGTGGAAGATGAAAGAAGAGCAAAAGAGACATCTTACATGGCTGCAGGCAAGAGAGCCTGGGCAGGGGAACTCCCCTTTATAAAACCATCAGATCTTGTGAGACTTATTCACTATCATGAGAACAGCACAGGGAAGACCTGCCCCCATGATTCAGTTACCTCCCACTGGGTCCCTCCCATGACATGTGGGAATTATGAGAGCTGCATTTCAAGATGAGATTTGGATGGGGGCACAGCCAAACCATATCAGCTTGTTTGGCTTGTGAGCTCTTGAAGTGGGCTGACTCTTCCTGCAGTATGATTCCAGCTCTGTTTCTCTACCCTGTGGAACTATCCAACACCCTTCCAAAAGACACTTTATCTGATTAGAGTAACCAGAGAAAAATTCCTTTGTTTGTTACCAAGAACTATGATTAGTATAAGGCATATAGTTCTTGCCTGGTGAATAACTTCTGGCTTATAATAGGGCTTTAAGACCTGTTTGTCTCACTTCAGGTCTTTTAAAGCTCAGGTGCTATGAAATATTGGCTTTCTTCATAGTCAATTCAGCAGCAAATGTAAGATTTGTAATTTTCATACATGAGTTTTCCACATGGTAGCTTAAGCACATCATAATGTATTTGTATTTATTGCCTTTACTCATATCTTATTTCTTAAACATTGGTGAGAGCTCAATCAAAAATTGTTTTTGGCTTAACTCAAACAAAACTGTTCAGGAATAAATAAGCTATTTTAAAATAAGCCTTTGATAGTGTTGGTTGGTAGAGTTATTTATTTTGATTTGTTATGTATTTATTTTTATTTTTAAAAAAGAGTTATCCATGTAGCTCAAAATCATTTTCCTTCTAACATGTTTACCTATATTTTTATAGCTCCTAGCTCTCGTGTGAATGTCTTAAAAACAAAACTAAACAAATAGGAGAGAAACTGTAAAATACATTTAACCTTTTATTTTAATCAGAATGTATCATAGCATTTGTATATATTGGTAGGATATTCTTAAACAAATTATAAATGATCACCTATCCAAAAAAAGCACTCTAAAGAGAGTCAGTTCAAGCAAATGGAATGAAAGTTCATAAAATTATTCTAGAAACTTGTTTTCTATATGTGGCTGTTCCTCATATTATTTATATTTTATATTTACAATTTCATTAATTTCACTCCAAATTTGAAAATATTATGTCAGTCTGGTACATTGGTACGTTTCATTTCATTCCTAGAATAACTTACAACAAATACCCTTTTGCTCAAATTAATAATTCAGTATTGACTACACAAAGAAATAATCAGTAAAAGTATTAATTTTATCAGATCTATATAGATTCTTCATAGAAAAACAAATTATATCATCATAACTTCATAAATATTAAGAGAAAAAAATATTTCTTTTTTTAAAAAAAATTACTAAAAATGAGATGAGTATTTCACTATGTTGCCTGGGCTAACAGTCTTGAACTCCTGGCCTCAAGCAGTTCTCCTGCCTCAGCCTCTCAGAGTGTCATGATGACAGGTGTGAGCCATCGTACACAGCCAAAAAATGTTTATTTTATGTTTGTGTTTTCCTAACTTGACCTATACCTGTTCTGATCTTGGTATGTATTTTTTAATAATAGAAATTGCAATATGAAAAATCACATGTGTGGACTTATAATTCCTAAATTTTAATAACTGTATTTTGGCTAATTAAACGATGTCCATAATATAGGAGCTGTGGTTTTTCTAACATTTTTGTTTAGTGTGTATTTACAGCGTCTGTTTGATTTGTAAGACTGTTAAAAGAGCATACTCAGAAATAAGTAGGACATTGAGATACAGTTTGATATTTCACGTGTATTTTTCACCTTATTCTAATGACAAAGGCTTTCATCCATCATTAATTCACGTTTTTAACAAATATTTAACGGGTAGCATCTGTGCCAGGCTCTCTGTTCTATGCAATACCATGAAATCTTACTTTTATAAAAATTTCATTCTCGTAGGAGAGAGAAAATAAATCATAAGCATACAAATAAGTAAATTATAAGTTTGCTGGGAGGTGATACAAGCTAGGAGATGGAGGAATGGGAGTGCATTGGGGAGTAAGCAGGTTGCACTTTAAACTGAAGTGGTAAGTGTTGACCTCTAAATGAAGATGAGATTTTAGAAGACTATAAGGGGGCCTAGAGTTAGATGTGATGAGTATCTGGGATAAGAGCAATTCAAAGAGTGGAAGCAGCCTGTGCAAAAGCACGGGGCTGGACATGTTTGAGGACTAGTATAGAGCCTAGCATGGTAGTACCTGAGTGAAGGAGGAGGTGAGATGAGGAAAGAGGGAATGAACCAGATCACATGGGGTTGGCTAGTGACTCAAGCAGAGGGGTGACATGTTCCGACTTACTGATCTGACTAAAGTTTTTAAAAAGTAACTTTGATTACAGTGTAAGGATACCTTTGGAAAGTGGTAGAAGCTGGGGGACCAATGGTGAGGCTAATATTGTCATCTAAGGTAGAGATGATGGCTGAGCCAGATGAATAAGTAATTAGATTGTGTACAGATTTTGAAGTTGGAGCCAACAGTCTTTGCTGAAAAATTGGGAGTGAGTTGTGAGAGAGACCTCAACAATGACTTCGAGCATTTTGGCCTGAACAACTAAAACAATGTATCTTGGAGATGCCTTAAAGAACAATAGATACAAATCTACTACATTGATTTGAATAGCTGCTTAATATGCCATGGTATGGGTACATCACAGTTTGTTTATTCTCCTGCTAATGGACAGTTGCCTTCTTTTTTTATTAACATCAGAAATAATGCTTCAGCAAAAAAGGGTATAGATAAGAGTTAAAATAATTCTGCAATCTTTAAAAGTACTTACTTTATACAGTTTCTGTGTTGTATTTAAAATGACTTAGTCTATGATTAGTAACTTAAATCGTTTTAAAGAGATAATTCATTAATCAAGATGGCCTCAGTGTTCCTTTCTTCTTGGGTAAAGTTCTTACAGGCTTCTTTCTGACCACCATTTTCTTAGAGCATTTGCTTTAGCAAACTTGTGATTGCAAATCCTTTCTCTTCCCCTTAGTGATATAAATCTTTTAAAAAGCCTCTGCCATTTTTACAACCCAGGAATGTTTCTCAGGTCTCTGGAAAATATCATTTTAAAATGTTATCATCAAGGAAATCAGCACCCCTATCTCCCAGTCTCTGGGCCTCTATAACAGGGTAGGAGTCTAACTTCAGTGGGTGCCTTGCTTTAAGATGTAAAACTACCTCCTGCCATAGAGATACGGGTAAATTTCTTTTTTGAGGGACAAGGCCAATTGGCAAAGAAGTGATTCGTGATCCAATCGCCTAAGTTCCTAAAATCCCTCTACCTCTTTGTTTCAGTAAAATTGAGTTCAGACTTTAGTTCTGGACTTTCTCACCTGTTGCAATGGCATTGATTGAAGACTCCCTTGCCCATTTAACTTTATCCAGTGTACTTTTGCTTTGATGTAATTGCTTGACGGGTTCTTCTTGCCCACTGCACTGACAAAACCAATTCACTGAGATCATGGTATTGAGGACTATTGAAGTAAAGAAAGAGTTTAAATAATGCAAGGCCAGCCACACAGAAGATGGAGTTATTACTCAAGTAAGTCTCCCAAAAGGCTCAAAGGTTAGAGTTTTTCAAGGATAGTTTTGTGGGTAGCAGGCTAGGAAATAGGTGCTGCTGATTGGGTGAGGATGCCACCATTGGGGCACGGAAAATGGTCCTCATGTGCTGAGTCTGCCTCCAAGTGAAGGCCACAAGACCAGTAGAGTCATAAGTTACGTGTCTGGATGGGGTCAGTTGCCACAACACAAAAGCCTGAAAAACATCTCAAAAGACCAATCTTAGGTACTAAAATTGTGATGTTATCTATAGGTATAATTGAGAAAGTCACAAATCATGTGACCTCTGGCCACATTGGCTCCTGAGTAGTAAAGGATTATAGAAGCTATGTTTATATCTTAGCAGAATTCAGGCACCTCTCATAATCCTATCCTTGTGGACTTTCATTAGGTTTACAAAGTGGTTTAGTTTTGGGAAGAGGTACTGTCTTCCTTCCTTTAAGTTAAACTATAAACTAAATTCCTCCCATGATTAGCCTGGCCTATGCCCAGGAATGAGCAAGGACAGCTAGCCTTTGAGGCTAGAAGCAAGATGGAGTCCAGCCATGATAGATTTCTGTGACTGTCATAATCTTTGCAAAGGTGGTTTCATTGGCATCATAGAGTTCTCAAGGTCAGAACTCAGAGCTCCCTCAGAAAGAAAATATCCAGGGTCAAACACTCCTTCCCCCTCTTTCTATCTTCTATCATTTCCTCTTCCATTTCCAGGAAATTATCATATTGAATACCCTCATGAAAAAGGAACTATGAATATAGTATAATCTATAGTTTTAGAGTTAAGAATAGCGTTACATTATAAGGTTTCTGAATAAGTTAATGTTCAGCAATGATTGTTCAATAAATAGAATGAGTTAAGATCAACATTTTTGTTTCAAGTAGGATACTTTCCAATTATTAACAATTTTCAAAAAATTATATATCACTCTTGTGTTTATGTTTTGGAAAATAAAGCAAGGAGAGCTTGGAAACATTATTTAAATGTGCTGTCAGACTTGATTGAGGGAAACATTGCTTAAAGTTAGCATTAACTCAGAACTATTTTGGTGACTGGAGAAAGATGTATACAAGGCCTTCATAAATACCCTGCAGAACTTTTAAAATGTTAAATTTTATACTCTAATAACTTAGATTGTAGAAATGGTCATGGACATAGTAGAAACCATTGGCAACAATTATTTAAGTGCAAATTAGTCATAAGAAATTTAAGTTTTTAAAACTGTTGAGTATACTATGTACATTAATTAGGGGAGAACAAAATAATTTTCTCTCTACCCTCCATACTTCTCTGAAAGAAAAAAATATTAATGACACTTGGTAAAGATACTAAGTCAGATGTTTTTCAGGGTGAGGAGTAACTGTGATAGGCCTCGGGGCCATTCAGTGGGGTTTTGTACGGGGGAAGAGAGATTGCATACAACTCTGACTCCAACAAGGACAAGTGGGGTTTACCACCAGGGAGCAGAGCCAAGCCAGGAGCAGTGGCTCATGCCCATAATCCCAGCACTTTGGGAGGCTGAGGCAGGAGGATCACTTGAGGTCAGAAGTTCTAGATCAGCCTGGCCAACGTGGTGAAACCTCATCTCTACTAAAAATACAAAAATTAGCTCGAAGTGATGGTGCATGCCTATAGTCCCAGCTACTAGGGAGGCTGAGGCAGGAGAATTGCTTGAACACAGGAGCCGAGGCTGCAGTGAGTGAACTGAGATCGTGCCACTGCACTCCAGCCTGGGTGACAGAGTGAGACTCTGTCTCCAAAAAAAAGAATAAAGACACAGAGCTGAGGGGCAGTGGTTGGGAAATTACTAAGAGGAAACATCAAGGATAAAGGGTTTCTGGCTCAGCTGACTTGAGAAGATTATTTCTGAGGGCAGGTCAGGGAGCTAAGATATTGGAGAGTGGTCACATACCAAGAGTGGGGAATTTTTTCCTAAACTAACTTAGCAGGATTCTTGCTCAGACTGCATTCTATGAGGACAGAGAGGGAAGTCCAAGTTTGGGCATAGTCAGAAAGGACTCAGAAGGTGGACCAAAGTTTTAGTCAAAGGACTCTTTGTCAGTTCTTATTTGCACAAACCTCTGTAACAAAAGACAAATTAACAAGAGAAAAAGAAGTTTAATAACATGTATACCCTCTCTATATGTGGGCGATAACTCAGAGATGTGAGTAAATATCTCAAGTAGATCCTAAATAGTTGTCTCAGATTTCAGGCTTAAGTACCCCTGAGACAAAGAAAGAAGGGAATGGGAAAGGGTCCAGTTATGAGCAAGGACAATGAACAGGAGCAAAGCTTGCTTTGCAGAATTAAAGCCCATACTTTCTCCATTTAGTCATCTTTTTTTTCGCCTGGAACAGAAAGGAAGACACCTTTAAATGCAGATTTTTTTTATAGATGTAAATTTATCTTACCAAATAGTAACTTTCAGAGCTTCTCCTGTGCCTGCAGTTTCTCAAAATAACCCTTTCAAAATAATTCTTAAGCCAAGAGGCATACTTGGGGTGGCATATTTTGTTCTCTTAGAATGATATTTTGGGGTGATATGTCCTGAACCTCATCAATTGTGGAAATACAGCAGTCCTATATGTAAAAAATTGCATTTAGATGCTGTTTACAAATTTACTCTAAAACAGCAATAACCCAAATAACTCATGTTTTTAAGCTCACAATACTTCATATATAGATGCACATATTCTATAATTCTTCCTCTATTTGGGAGATCAAGAACTAATTCACTACAAAATAAAAACCTATGAAAAATATAAAAATAAAACAAAATAGAGCTCCGCAAACAATTTTGGGCCCATCTGGGAGCTCTGGACAACCAGCCAAGCAACATAATTTTAAAACCGAGGGACTAGATTGCTTCTGCTCTTTTAAAGTAAAGGTTATATTTGTAATCAGTGTCCCATAGGACTTTTATAAACTGGAGTCATTAAATTGTTTCTAACAGAATGCAGGGACCTTTTATACAAACAATAAATGGTTTGTTTTCAAAATACAAAGTTTATTTTTGAAGTAAAGCTTTATGTTCCATGAAGTCTCTGAGCCTCAGAATGCTTTCAGCTTTGGGATATTCTTGTTGGAGCCCCAAAGTAGCAGCTATAAGCATTGAAGTACTCTCCTGGGTGTGACATTCCCAGCTTGATGACTTGATGGCTCAATTTACTTATATGGTGCCCTTCAAAGTGATTTTGTAGCTTTGGGTAGGAAACTGAAGCCAGAGTTACTGAGCCACAGATAAGTGGAATTTACACTCATGAACACTGAAGATTGCTATAATCATTTTCAGAGTGAAAAAAAAAAAAAAAAAACTTTACCAAAGACAGCAAATCAAAACTTCAAATGTAGAAGTTTTATTCTGTGAATTTAGTTCATAGGAAGTACGACTGGAAAATGGTTTAATTACGCTTATGTTGACTGTCTATTAGCAATTCAATAATTTGCTTAATTTCAATGAAGACTTCCTAGAATAACATGCTCATTGTTTGTTCCTTCTTAAAAGACAATTGCTGATTTTCTGCGTTCAGATAGTTTCTGCCCAGTGACATCCAGTGGCATGCGTTCAAAATCACACTGGGATCATCCAGGATGACACTGACAGAAGGAAATGCAAAAGAGCTTTGATGGAAAACCCTCACAGATAAAGCAATTGCTGCCAATTAAGGAACAGAATTGAGAATAGAGCATTCAGTCTTCTGCTTTTGGTAGTACCTGGCTTTATTACTTGAAACAGAGATTGCTTGGAAAAGGATCATGCTGTTGCTTTTGTAAATTACCAAGGCCTTCAGCAGTCAAAAAGCTGGAACCTTACTTATCTCTATGTGCACTTGGGCAATCTTCTATAAATTGGGGCAATTGAGAGAGTGTTGCTGCCTCTGTCCTCACTTCACCCTCACAGATACATAAGTTCATGCAGAGACTCCAAATTGCAGGGAATGACTCGTTGACAATTACAAAGTGTTGGCTGTGACATAATGTATCCTGAAAAGCTCTACCCTGGAATAACAAGCTATGAATAACATAAACTGAAAGAAGGCTAAAGACAGTGCTAGTGATAAGCTATTGATTATTTTATTGCATTGCATGGGGTCCTAGAGAACCAGAAGTTATCTTCAGGAAAACCAAGGAGATTTGATGAAAACCTGAAAATGGAGTGAACTCAAGGCTGTTACTAGGTGCCCACTCTCTCAAGGTAGACTTTGGAAGGAAAGTTGCTCACTATGCAATTAAAGAGCAGAAAAAACTACATGCAGACTGATATTATATAGATATTACTATTCCAAGATAAAAGAGAACTGATAACATATTTAGTTAAAGGGGGTCATCTCCTTTTAAGTAACTATTTTCACACACACACACACACACACACACACACACACACAAAATCAGAACTGCAAATGCTAAAAATTGGGAGGTTAACAACAATAAACAAGAATATTATGCTGTATGCGGCATAAAAGCTGTCCTTAGAGGATAATAATAATTAATATTACTGTCATCAATAAGAATATGAAGAAATAATGAATGTAAGAATTTAGGAAGCGATAAGACAAAAACATAAAGAAAATAGAGGAATGAGATTAGATTAAATCAAATTATTTAGAAATTAGAAAAATTTAATTGATAAATTCAATAACTTTTCCTTTAAAGAGATAAATAATAAATTAGTGTTTTATTTTAACAAATATTATCAAGGTAAAAATAGAGAAAATGAAATTTAACTGTGACCTTAGAAATTAGGAATAAATTTAAAATCGAATTTAGAGAAAATAGAGCTACAATATAGATCTTGTTAATGATTTGGAATTTTATGTGAAATAGAGTTCTTCAAATATTACTAAATTTATCTAAAGAACAGATAGAGCTCTTGAATAGGTTTCAATTTCATAGATAGCAAAAACATTTTAAAAACTATTAAAATAGGTGGTTTTGCTGAAAAATTCTATCAAAACTTCAAGGAAGAGAATATTCAATGCTTATGCAGTTTTTGAACTATGTAAACTGAGAAATCCTCACAGTGCAATTTATGAATCTAAACTAATAGTGAAATTTGACCAAGATAACACAAAGAGTAGTTCTGAATAGCAATTTAATTTAGGTGTCCTATCTTAAGTAATGGTAAATTATATTTAATAAAATGGTAAAATAATAACACAGCATGTCTAAGTAAGGTAAGAGGGTTTTATTTCTCTTAAAGTAGACAGTGTGGAACAGACTCCCAGCTAATCTCTGTGAACTTGGTGATTGTGGTTTTAAATTACTGAGATGTTATGAATATTTGTGACTATAGAAAAACCTAGCTTATCTTATATACGTAACATCCAATAAAAAGCTATATAATTAAGTTACAGTTCGTCAGCTAGAACTATAACTTTATCTTCTAATATCCAAGAGGTATTTTCTAAAATCAAAGAGATATTTGCAGTATACAAAAGAAAACTATATAATAAAGTTACAGTTCTAACTTAGAGACATTTCAAGTATCTTTAAAAACAGTGCAAAATGATCTTGATAGTTTAAAATAATGTAAAATATTTTGTTCTAAAGTAAGGAGTGTTGAGCAAAGAGACTTCTAACTTGGAAATAAAGTTTGGCACTTACTTTATACTTTAATTTGGTTTTTTTTTTTGAGACAGAGTCTTGCTCTGTCACCCAGGCTGGAGTGCCGTGGTGCGATCTCGGCTCACTGCAAGCTCCGCCTCCTGGGTTCACGCCATTCTCCTTCCTCAGCCTCCTGAGTAGCTGGGACTACAGGCATCCGCCACCACGCCCGGCTAATTTTTTGTATTTTTAGTAGAGATAGGGTTTTCTACCTTAATATTTTTAAGTGGGAAAAAATGCTTTAAAAAACCCACACCACACAATAAAGCCAGGTGTGATTATCGCTTCTTTTTTGGTGTCTTTCTAAGAATGACTTCACACATGAAAAAGACACTATTGTCACACACATCCGTGTGAAGAGACCAAACAGTCTTTATGTGAGCAACAAGGCTGTTTATTTCACCTGGGTGCAGGTGGGCTGAGTCTGAAAAGAGAGTCAGTTAAAGGAAATAGGGGTGGGGCTGTTTTATAGGATTTGGGTAGTAGAAAATTACAGTCAAAGGGGGTTGTTCTCTGGTGGGCAGGGGTGGGGGTCACAAAGTGCTCAGTGGGGGAGCTTTTGAGCCAGGATGAGCCAGGAGAAGGAATTTCACAAGGTAATGTTATCAGTTGAGGCAGGAACCAGCCATTTTTACTTCTTTTGTGATTCTTCACTTGCTTCAGGCCATCTGGATCTATACGTGCAGGCTTGGCTCAGAGGCCTGACATTCCTGTCTTCTTATATTAATAAGAAAAATAAACAAAATAGTGTTGAACTGTTACGGTGGCAAAAATGTTTGGGGGTGGTATGGGGAGATAATGGGTGATGTTTCTCAGGGCTGCTTTCAGCGGGATTAGGGGCAGCGTGGAAACCTACAGTGGGAGAGATTAAGCTGAAGGAAGATTTTGTGGTAAGGGTGTAGCAGGACAAGCCACAGACAAAAACCCTCAGACACTGAGTTAAAGAAGGAAGGCCTTTATTTGGCCAGGAGCTTTGGCAAGATTCACGTCTCTAACAACCAAGCTCCCCGAGTGTGCAATTCCTGTCCCTTTTAAGGGCTCATAACTCTAAGGGGGTCTGCGTGAGAGGGTCATGATCGATTGAGCAAGCAGGGGGTACATGACTGGGGGCTGCGTGCACCGGTAATTAGAACGGAACAGAACAGGACAGGGATTTTCACAGTGCTTTTCTATACAGTGTCTGTAATCTATAGATAACATAACCGATTAGGTCAGGGGTCATCGATCTTTAACTACCAGGCCCAGGGTATGGTGCCGGGGCTGTCTGCTTGTGGATTTCATTTCTGCCTTTTAGTTTTTACTTCTTTCTTTTGAGGCAGAAATTGGGCATAAGACAGTATGAGCGGTGGTCTCCTCCCTTAAGGGGTGATATTTTGGGGTTGTTAGAAGGAATATTTGTCATATAGAATGATTGGTGATGGCCTGGATGCAGTTATGTATTAATTGAAAAACTAAATGGAAGACACAAGGTCAAAATAAGAGAAGGAGAAAAACAGGTATTAAAAGACTAAGAATTGGGAGGTCCCAGGATATCCAATTAGAGAGTCCCTAAGGGGGTTCAGCGTAATTACTTGCTTGGTTGGTGAGTTTTTGGGCTCTATCCTTGACAGAGTCCTCCTTTTTAAGTTGGAGGCTGAGCTTGGTGAGGTGTGTTTTTAAAAGACCGTTAGTCCGTTCTACCTTTCCTGAAGATTGAGGACGGTAAGGGGTATGAAGGTTTCCCTGAATACCAAGAGCCTGAGAAACTGCTTGGGTGATTTGACTAGTAAAGGCCAGTCTGTTATTGGACTGTATAGAGGTGGGAAGGCAAAACTGAGGAATTATGTCTGACAGAAGGGAAGAAATGACCATGGTGGTCTTCTCAGACCTTGTGGGAAAGGCCTCTACCCATCCAGTGAAAGTGTCTACCTAGACCAAGAGGTATTTTATTTTCCTGACTCGGGGCGTGTGAGTAAAGTCAATTTGCCAGTCCTGGCTGGGGGCAAATCCCCAAGCTTGTTGTGTAGGGAAGGGAGGGGCCTGAACAATCCCTGAGGAGTAGTAGAGTAGCAGATAGAACACTGAGAAGTGATTTCCTTGAGGATAGATTTCCACAATGGAAAGGAAATGAGAGGTTCTAAGAGATGGGCTAGCAGCTTGTAACCTACATGGAAGAGGTTATGAAATGACGACAGAATAGAATGGGACTGTGAGGCTGGAAGGAGATACTTTTCTTGGTCTAAGAGCAGTTTGCCTCATATGGGAAGAGATTGATAGGTGGAAGTTTCAATGGGGGAGTAGGTGGCAGCGACTGATGATAAGGAGAAAAACTGGCCGTGAGGGACAGAAGTTGGAACGCTAGCTGCTTCTGTAGCTACCTTATCAGCATAAGCATTGCCCTGAGTGATGGGATCTGATGCCCTTTGATGGCCCTTGCAATGAATGACTCCAGCTTCCTTTGGAAGTAAAGCGGCCTTGAGAAGAGTTTTTATTAAAGAGGTATGAATGATGGAGGACCTTTGCAGAGTGAGGAAACCTTTTTCTGCCCATATAACAGCATGGTGGTGCAGGATATGGAAGGCATATTTAGAGTCAGTATAAATATTGACGCATAGTCCTTGCAAGAGTGAGGGCTCAAGTTAAGGCAATGAGTTCAGCTTGCTGAGAGGTAGTGGAGGGGGCAGAGTGGTAGCCTCAATGATAGATGTGGAAGATACTATTGCATTAGCCTGCCTTTGCTGGTGAATGGCGATTAGGCCTGGTGGAACTGCCATCAATAAACCAAGTGTGATCAGGGTGAGGAACAGGAAATAAGGAAATATGGGGAAATGGAGTGAATGTCAGGTGGATCAGAGAGATACAGTCATGGGGGTGGGGGCCAGCCTAAAACAGTAAGGTCAAGTTGTTTGGACAGAAAGGCTACAGGGCGTGGTCCCGGCTCTTGTGTAAGAATTTTGACCGCACAGCCGTGTACTTTGGCTGTGTATAATGAAAAGGGTTGGGATGAATTAGAGTTAGTGTGGGAGCAGCTTCTAGGGCTGTTTTTAAGGAACGAAAAGAGGAGTGGTGAAAGGATTTAGGATCTGTGGGGTCAGCTAGGTTGGCTTTTGTGAGTTTATATAATGGTTCAGTCAGGATGGTAAAACTAGGTATCCAAAGGCAGGAGTACCTAACCATGCCTAGGAAGAAAAGGAGTTGTTATTTTGTAGAAGGGGTTGGGGTTTGGGAGATTAGCCAGACACGACCCAGCAGGGAGAGCACGTGTGTTTTCATGAAGAATTATGCTGAGATAGGTAATGGGTAAGGAAAAAATTTGAGCCTGACTGAAGTAATGGGGGCTGTCCCTGCAGCCTTGCAGCAGTACAGCCCAGGTAAGTTGCTGAGGCTGATGGATGTCAGGGTCAGTCCAAGTGAAAGCAAAGAGAGGATGGGATGAAGGGTGCAAACGAACAGTAAAGAAATCATGTTTGAGATCCAGAACAGAATAATGGGTTATGGAGGGGTTGTGGAGGGAGGTATTGAGGATAGGAGAGTACATGGCTTTGGCACCATGGGGTGGATAGGCAAGACAATTTGGTTGATAAGGCACAGATCCTGAACTAACCTGTAAGGCTGGTCTGGTTTTTGGACAGGTAAAATGGGGGAATTGTAAGGATAGTTTATAGGCTTTAAAAGGCCATGCTGTAACAGGCAAGTGATAACAGGCTTTAATCCTTTTAAAATGTGCTGTGGGAGGGGATATAGGCGTTGAGCAGGGTAAGGGTGATTAGGTTTTAGTGGGATGGTAAGGGGTGCATGATTGGTCACCAAGGAGGGAGTAGAGGTGTCCTATACTTGTGGATTAAGGTGGGGAGATAGAAGGGGAGGATGTGAAGGAGGCTTTGAACTGGGGAAAAGGGCAGCAATTAGGTGTGGCTATAGCCCAGGAATAGTCAGAGAAGCAGATAATTTAGTTAAAATGTCTTGACCTAATAAGGGAGCTGGGCAGGTGAGGATAACTAAAAAGGAGTGCATAGAAGAATGTTGTCCAAGTTGGCATCAGAGTTGGGGAGTTTTAAGAGGTTAGAAGCCTGGCCATCAATACCCACAACAGTTATGGAGGCAAGGGAAACAGGCCCTTGAAAAGAAGGTAATGTGTAGTGGGTAGCTTCTGTATTGATTAAGAAGGTGATGGACTTACCTTCCACTGTAAGAGTTACCCAAAGTGTCTGTGATGATCCAGGAGGTTTCCAAGGTGATTGGGCAGTGTTGGTCTTCAGCCGCTAAGCTGGGAAGATCTGTGAAGGAGTCAGTCAGAGAACCTTAGGCCAGAGTTCCAGGGGCTCTGGGAGTGGCTGTGGGGCAAGTTGGACAGTCCAGTTTCCAGTAGGGTCCCTCACAGATGGGACATGGCTTAGGAGGAATCCTGGGCTGCGGGCATTCCTTGCCCAGTGGCCAGATTTCCGGCACTTGAGGCAAGATCCTGGTGGAGGCTGTCCTGGAGGAATTCCTGGCCTCTGCGGTTCAGGCATTTGGAAGTTCTTGAGTGCTGGAGATGTGGCTGGAGTTTGTCTCACAGTGGAGGCAAGGAATTGCAACTCAGAAATACGTTGCTACTTGGCTGCCTCTACTCTATTATTACACACCTTGAAGGCAAGGTCAGTTAAGTCCTGTTGTGGGGTTTGAGGGCTGGAATCTAATTTTTGGAGCTTTTTCTAATGTCAGGTATGGGTTGGGTAATAAAATTCATATTAAGAATGAGATGGCCTTCTGGCCTCTCTGGGTCTAGGGCGGTAAAGCGTCTAAGGGTTGTTGCCAAATGGGCCATGAACTGGGTTGAGTTTATATTTGATGAAAAAGAGCCTAAACGCTAACTGATTTGGGAGAGGTCTGATAAAGAAAAAGAAGCATTAATCTTGGCTATGCCTTCAGTTCCAGCCACCTCTTTAAGAGGAAATTGTTGGGCAGGTTGGGGAGGGCTAGTCGCAGAACGAAACTGTAAGCCGGAGAGGGTGTGAGGAGGGAAGGTGATAAAAGGATTATAGGGTGGGGGTGTGGAGGCTGAGGAAGAATTGGGACCTGGCTTAGCCTGGTGAGGAGCAGTCTGGGGAGGAGGGGAGAGGTCAAATGGGTCAGTAGAAAAAGAAGATTGAAAAGACTCAGAGCTTGGGGTAGAGACTGAAGGAACAGACAGGAGAGAAAGAAGAAAGATTTGGGGTGAGTCGCATTGGGAGCAGAGACTAGGGAGGGATGAGTGTGTAAAAGAATGCCTGGACATCAGGTACCTGAGATCCATTTGCTCATTTTTTGACAAAAATCATCCATGTTGATGTAAAATGGAGAAGTCAAAAGTGCCGTTTTCTGGCTATTTAGAACCATTATTGAGTTTGTACTGGGGCTAAGCGGTGTTGCAGAAGAAAATAAGATGCTTAGGTTTTAGGTCACGCAAGAGTTGAAGAGGTTTTAAATTCTTGAGAACACAGGCTAAGGGAGAAGAAGGGGGAATGGAGGGTGAAAGGTTGCCCATGGTGAAGGAGGCAAGCCCAGAGAAAAGAGAGAGTGGAGACACAGAGAAGGGGGTTGGTGAGCAGCACTGGGCTGCAATGTGGGTGAGAAGCCAAAGCAGGCTTCCCCGCAATTGACTTGCCACCAAGGGAATGTGGGTGAATGACTAAGACAGGCATCCCCGTGGTGATCAGACACCAATGGAGTGTGGGTGAATAATCAGGCAGGTGTCCCTGCAGTGATTAAACACCAACGGAAGACTGTCTTCCCGAGCCCATGACCGGCGCCAGAGTTTTGGGTCCACGGATAAAATGTGTCTCCTTTGTCTGTACTAGAGAGGAAAAAGAACTGGATTTGGAAGGACAGGGAGATTGAAGGGTAGTGAGAGAGGCTGGAGAAGAGAGTGAAAAGACTGCTTACCCGATTTGAAATTGGTGAGATGTTCCTTGGGCTGGTTGGTCTGAGGACCTGAGGTCGCAGGTGGATCTCCTCACGGAGTGAGGGCGAGTACAAGGGACCAGTCTCCCGAAGGAGTCCTCCTGTCCTGGGTTTTGGCACCAAATGTCATGCGCATCCGTGTGAAGAGACCACCAAACAGGCCAAACAGGCTTTGTGTGAGCAACAAGGCTGTTTATTTCACCTGTGTGCAGGCGGGCTGAGTCCAAAAAGAGAGTCAGCGAAGGGAGATAGGGGTGGGGCAGTTTTATATGATTTGGGTGGTAGTGGAAAATTACAGTCAAAGGGGGTTGTTCTCTTGCGGGCAGGGGCGGGGGGTCACAAGGTGCTCAGTGGGGGAGCTTCTGAGCCAGGAGAAGGAATTTCACAAGGCAATATCATCAGTTAAGGCAGGAACCAGCCATTTTCATTTCTTTTGTGATTCTTTACTTGCTTCAGGCCATCTGGATGTATACGTGCAGGCTTGGGCTCAGAGGCCTGACAACTATATATTTCATTCTATACAATTATTTTTTTTCTCTGTACTGAATAAATCTTAAATATATTTAAAGCCATGAAAAACTTATAAAATGCATTTGCGTAAAGGACAATCTAGTTGGTTTTTTTCAAAATGAAAGCTAACAATTATCTAATGCTTGCTAAATGCCAGTCACTGTTCTGTGAATGTTACATGGCCTGGAGCAACTATTTATTCCTCATTCAACTAGTGGCTTCTTCAATTCCCTTCCCCAATATTCACAAGAGGAAATTGGAGCTTGGAAGGATCAAGTAAAATGCTGAAGTCACCCAGGCAGTAATTGGAGAAGCCAGGATTCTATCTTCAATATTCAGCCAGTCTGGCTTCCAGCTGCATGGGTGTCTGCCCTGTGCAGTTGTACAAGGATCCATACTCAGAAGGGCCCTTGGCTTAGTTTAATGCTCTGCTGTTGCTGCCTTGAAATTATGAATAAATTTTGAACACGGAAACTTGCATATTCATTCTGCACTGAGCCTGGAAAATCATGTAGGGGATCTTGAGTGAATTTATACAAGGATTGTGTGTGTGTGTATGAGTGTGTGTGTGTGTGTGTGTGTGTGTGTGTATTATAGAATTCTTGGCCAAGAATGCCTTAATGTTCCCTTCAGCTTGACTAGACTTTAGACAGGCCTCTTCTTCCAGAATGGAGGTCCATAGCCTCCCTTTCTTAAAGCATTTTACTTTGGAAAACTTGTAATTGTCAGTTCCCTCTGCCCCTTTGAGATGTAAACATTTTAGAAGTCTCTTGCCAGGTTTACAACCCAGGAATGTCTTACTCAAGGACCTGGGAGCCATCCCTTTGAAATGTAATCATCGAGAAACATAGAGCCTCTGTCTTCCAGTTGCCAAGGACAGGAGCCTAACTTTTGAGGGAGCAGAGGGAAATTACTCCAAGTTGTAAAATGATGTCCTATAATGAAAACAGAAGGTTTACTTTTCTCTTGTGTAAACCAATTAGAGAACTCAGATGGCCTAAGACTTCTTATCTCAATTGTTTTTTGTTTGTTTTTTTAACTTATATACTTTTTCTTTTTTCAACTTTTATGTTAAGTTCAGGGGAACATGTGCAGGATGTGCAGGTTTGTTACATAGGTAAATGTGTGCCATGGTGGCTTACTGCACAGATCATCCCATCACCCAGGTATTAAGCCCAGCATCCATTACCTAATCTTCCTGATGCTCTCGTTTGAATTTTTTAAAAAATCCCTTTTACCTTTTGTCTGGGAGGAGTTGAGTATCCAGACTTGGTTAGTGCTCTCTCTTGCCTGTTGAAGCAATACTGTTCCTTCAGAATAAAACCAATTTCTATTTGCTTATCTTTTGTAGTGTGAATTTTTCTTTAGCATATCCTATGCATTATTTCTAAACTATATTTTTGGTTAAAATATATTGCTATAGTTTATCTAAAGCAAGTAATATCAATAGCAGTAACATTTAAAAAATAAAAGTACAAAGAATTCTTACATTGTCTTCACCCGAATTCCCCAAGTGCTAACATCTTACCTAAACACACTTTAATCACCAAAATGTAAAAGTTAACATTAGTACAGTCCTACATTTTAGTCTGTAGATCTCAATGAAATTTCAATAGTTCTGTCGCTCTAGTCCTTTCTGTTTGGGGTGCAAAATATAATCTGGGACTATATATTATGTTTAGTTGTCAAGTCTTTTTAGTTGTTGTTAATGTGGAGTTGTTCTTTGTTCTTTCTTTCAGGAAAGAACCTCTTTCAGGAGGTTGACACTTTTAAAAAGTAATAACAAGTTATATTGAGAATGTTTCTCATTTTGAATTTGTGTGATACATCCTTGTAATTAAAGTAGTGCTATCTATTTTGTTAAGAATGTCAAAGAAATGGTGCTGTGACCCCTCGGTTCAGCTCATCAGGAGGCACATGATGTTGACTTTGTCATTGTTGGTGATATTTACTTTGATCACATGGTTAACATGATGTTACCACGTCTTTCTACTGTAAAGTTACGAATTTTTTCTTTAAAAATATTAAGTAGCTTAAGGAAGATAGCCAATTACATGTGCAAATTTACTAAGTGATAAAGATGACATCATATCAGTGAGGGAAAGATAGTCTCTTCTCTAGATGGGCATATAAAAAAAGATAAAAATGAATTTATTCTATATGTAGGATATCACCACCAATTCCAAGTGGATTAGATATTTAAATATAACAAATGATACCATACATGTATTATAAGAAAAAAATGGGTTAATTCCTCTATGGAGTGAGGGTGGGGAAACTTTCATAAGCATATTCTAAGTTGAGAAAGAAAGGGAATGACATAGATAAATTGTACAACAAAAATGAGAAAAAGTTTATTATAGCTGTCTCATCTTCTGAGACAGATTTTTTGCAAAATCAAAATTTTTTGAATATTTAGAACACATATTACACATTGCCATGCTAAATATTTTTTTCGGATTTTCTTTAATTTATCTGTATTACATATGTAAAATTGGAAATTATATACTTGGAAAACATTTCAGTTGTGTTAAATTAAAATTTGCTATTTCTAATATATGAAGAGCTTCAAATAAAAAAATACAATAACCTAGAAAAATTAGAAATAGGGACAGCAAGATTATAGAAGACAAAATGCAAATAGCTACTAACTACATAATAAGATGATCCCCTCACACGTAAAAAGAGAAATGCAAAATAAAATTATAGGGCAATAACATTGTTTACCTATTACATGGACAAAAATTGAAAAATTTAACAACATATTCCACCAGCAAGGCTGTATCTAGGAGGAGAGTTTGGCATTACCTAGGAAAATTACATATGCAGTTATACTTTGACTAATGAATTCACTTCCAGGAATCCATCCCAACTATATGCACTGCTTAAAAATGTTTTTAAAACTCTTAGGGACTCCAAGGCGGGTGGATCCACTGAGGTCAGGAGTTCGAGACCAGCCTGGTTAATATAGTGAAACCCTGTCTCTACTAAAAATGCAAAAATTAGCTGGACATGGTGGCATGCGCCTGTAATCCAAGCTACTCAGAGGCTGAAGCAGGAGACTCGCTTGAACCTGGGAGCCAAAGGTTGCGGTGAGCCAAGATTGCGCCACTGCACTCCAGTCTGGGTGGCAGAGTGAGTCTGTGCCCCCCACTGCTTCAGAAAAATGATTTTAAGAAATACAGATTTACTCTTTGTAGTAGTAAAAGATTGGAAGCAAGTCTATCAATGAAAGGCTGATTGAATAAAGTCTGATATAGAAAATAAATGACATACTGTGTCAGTATCTAGCTGTATATTTTGATGGAATGACCTTTAAGATATTTTTAAATGACAAAAGCAAGTTAAACCTTTTATGTAATTATGAAACACAATTATATTGAGAAAAATGTCTAAATATCAAAAGTCAAAGTAAAAAGAAAGAAAAATAAACCTAATTATGTATCTAGTTGGTGGAATGAAAACAGAGATAAACAATACTCCCAGTAACTTTAAAAACAAGCATTTCGATTATATGTTCTTGTAGGATATTCCAAGGACAAAAAGAACTGGGAAAACAGAACAAAACACCGCCCTATTTTGTTGATTTTGTTGTTTTGAAAGTGTTACTTGGAGTCCATGTTAATGGGAACCATCAATATGAGCTCAGGATGTATTTTATCTTCAAAAAATTATTTATCAACCTTGCCCTAGAATCAATGGTATGCCCATTTGTAATGAGCACCCTTAATACCCAGATTGAAGTCTCCAAATATCATTTCCAACTAAAAGTAAACAGCTGGCTGCAAGAAACTGTGTAATTCAAGTCTGGGGGCAGTAATTTACAAGCTAAAATTAGAAAGTGTATCAGTTCTCTGGCTGGGCCTGGTGGCTCATGCTTGTAATTTCAGCGCTTTGGGAGGCTGAGGCAGGTGGATCAACTGAGGTCAGGAGTTTGAGACCAGCCTGGCCAACATGGTGAAACTCCATCTCTACTAAAAATACAAAAATTAGCTGGGCATGGTGGCGGGTTCCTGTAATCCCAGCTACTCCGGAGGCTGAGGCAGGAGAATGGCTTGAACCCAGGAGGCGGAGGTTGCAGTGAGCCAAGATCGCACCATTGCACTAAGTGTATCATTTCCCTCATCTTTAAAATGGGAATAATAACAATGATTTTATTGACTAAAATACTTCTGATGTGTCAAATACAAGAGTCTTGCCTAAGATTAAATCTCCCTCCATGATTTCATAGAACAAGAACTGGAAGAATATAAATGGTGTTGCTTTAGTTAAGTTTGTATTTAATTTTTTTTTCACTTTTTATTTTATGTCATTTTCTAAATGTTCTATAATTAATATACAAAAGACAAAAATGATGATAATGTTAATGTAAAAATTGAGAAAGAAAATCAATTTGACTGTCACAAGAATATGTGAAATGTGTGTATTTTTCTGTATTTGCAGGATAGAAGTGATGTGAAAGATGTGTACTTAAAATAAAAATGATTTTAAATTTTACCTCAAACTTCTGGTTTGCAGAGTGGTGTTAGTCTGGTGACATACCTTCCTGAGGGTCATCAATGTTTTTTCAATGAATGAGAAATTTGTATTTGTATTTATTTATTTATTGAATTTCAACTTTTATTTTAAGTTCAAGGGTATATGTGCAGGATGTGCAGGTTTGTTACATAGTTAAACCTGTGCCAGGGTGAATAGCTGCACAGATCATCCCATCACCTAGATTTAAACCCAGCATCCACTAGCTATTGTTCTTGATGCTCTTCCTCCTCCCACCCCTAACCCTCCGAAAGGTCCCAGTGTGTGCTGTTCCCCCTATATGTCCATGTGTTCTCCTTATTCAGCTCCCACTTATAGGTGAGAACAAAAATTCGTATATTCATTTTTTTTTTTTTTGAGATAGAGTCTCACTCTGTCACCCAGGCTGGAGTGCAGTGGCATGATCTCAGCTCACTGCAACCTCTGCCTCCCGGGTTCAAGGCATTCTCCTGCCTCAGCCTTCTGAGTATCTGAGATTACAGTTGAGCGCCACCAAGTCCAGCTAATTTTTGTACTTTCAGTAGAGAAGAGGTTTCACCATGTTGGCCAAGCTGGTCTCGAACTCCCAACCTCAAGTGATCTGCCCACCTCGGCCTCCCAAAGTGCTGGGATTACAAGCGTGAGCCACCATGTCTGGCCAAAATTTGTATTTTTATTATTTTTATTTTTTATTTATATATATATGTATTTTTATTATACTTTAAGTTCTAGGGTACATGTGCACAATGTGCAGGTTTGTCACATATGTATACATGTGCCATGTTGGTGTGCTGCACCCATTAACTCATCATTTACATTAGGTGTATCTCCGAATGCTATCCCTTCCCCCTCCCCCCACCCCACAACAGGCCCTGGTGTGTGATGTTCCCCTTCCTGTGTCCACGTGTTCTCATTGTTCAATTCCCACCTATGAGTGAGAACATGCGGTGTTTGGTTTTTTGTCCTTGCGATAGTTTGCTCAGAATGATGGTTTCCAGCTTCATCCATGTCCCTGCAAAGGACATGAACTCATTCTTTTTCATGGCTGCGTAGTATTCCATGGTGTATATGTGCCACATTTTCTTAATCCAGTCTATCATTGTTGGACATTTGGGTTGGTTCCAAGTCCTTGCTATTGTGAGTAGTGCCTCAATAAACATAAGTATGCATGTGTCTTTATAGCAGCATGATTTATAGTCCTTTGGGTATATACCCAGTAATGGGATGGCTGGGTGAAATGGTATTTCTAGTTTTAGATCCTTGAGGAATCGCCACACTGTCTTCCACAATGGTTGAACTAGTTTACAGTCCCAGCAACAGTGTAAAAGTGTTCCTGTTTCTCCACATCCTCTCCAGCACCTGTTTTTTCCTGACTTTTTAATGATCGCCATTCTAACTGGTGTGAGATGATATCTCATTGTGGTTTTGATTTGCATTTCTCTGATGGCCAGTGATGAGGAGCATTTTTTCATGTGTCTGTTGGCTGCATAAATGTCTTCTTTTGAGAAGTGTCTGTTCATATCCTTGGCCCACTTTTTGATGGGGTTGTTTTTTTCCTGTAAATTTGTTTGAGTTCTTTGTAGATTCTGGATATTAGCCCTTGACAAAATTTGTATTTTTAAATGCTGATAGTATATCCGGATCATAAAAATGTTGTTAAGTGTAAGATGAATGACACAGGAAGAGTTCCAAGCACATGGTGCAACTTACATAGAAAACAACAGTTTTAAATTTATTCTGTAAATTTTTGAATAATGATTTTTTGGAGTAGGAAAAGGATATAATAATTCACTAAAATGATTGTTTAGCATTTATGTCTCTATTCTTTTATGGTTTCCTCAATTCTGTTAACATAAATTCTTCAAGAGCATCTTGTTTTTTCCCTGAGAAGATGAACTTGTAAAGCTAGAATAAAGGCCAAATTTTCTGCTATTACCTTTATTTTAACAATCACACTGCTTAGAAGAAAAGGTAATAGAGGTAAAAGCAAATGCAGCAGTGGAATTGCTCCTTTTACCCTTCACAAAATGATCACTGACTTAAAGGCTGTATATTTTTTAAAATAATTTTTGAATGAACTGTCCTTGGAATATTTCGCTTTCTCGAAAATATTTGTCCTTATCACATATGCAAGTTTTTTCTTTACAGTATCTGCCATTTAAATATGTTATTATTCATCACGGACAAATTTTGGCCCAGTTAGGTGAATCAGCTAGTGTTCAGAATTTTCTGTTTGATGCCAGCACAATGGAAAATTAAACTGGAAAGTATCCATGGCTTAACCTTTAACTATTAGCGTTTTTCCCTCTGGTCTTGTTTCCTAACACCTTGTCATGTTCCATCCTTTCAGCTAATCCAGCTGCTAATGTGGAAGGAAAGAAATGACTTAGCAATTCAATTTCAAAGGGAAAATAAAAGAGTGTATTTGCTGATAAGACCCAGAATTAAAGAAGGGTACACACACACACACACACACAAAGGCCAGGTATATAATAATGGAGGTAATATAATAATTTAAACTTCTTAGTTATAGAAGATATTAAAATTTGTGAAAGCGTAATGTACACAAATCTGAATAACATTCTACCTCCTAATTTCTAAGCAAAGGAAAAATAACTAGAAGACTTGGTGATCTGATTACAAATTACAGAATGCACTGAATAAAATAATCACAAAGTTACATCTAAAATGTTACTAGTCCCAGATGATTTTAAAGGAAATTTATTTCAAACTTTATAGAAAATTCCTATTTTTTACTAGTTGCTCCAGAATACAAATGATGAGGCCTTCTCGAGGAAGTTTTACGATGTGACAACTTCTGGTAGCAACTGAGGTCCACCTCCTCCAAACACACACATCACACCATGAAGTGAACAGTAATCTGGAGATCACACAACAACTCAGAAACTAAACTGGGTTTTATTTTCATATTTTTATGAATTAAACACCATGATTTTCACTATGTGCTCTCACGCATGCCATTAGCATTTATATTTTTGTAATTAGAATAAGGAAATGAATGTGAAAAAATAATTGCCCTATATATAATTAACATGGTTGGGGATGAGCAAGCAACAGGCTTTTTTTCAGTATTTCACAGAGCCCATGTAAATCTTACTTCTGGTCTGATAGCACCAGTTATCACATGGATAAGCATTTCTGTCATTTTGGGGATGAGATCAATGACCTAATAGAGCTATGAGGGTCAAATAACAAAGGGCCACAGCTCTCGTTGAAAATGTTTAATAAGTGATAGAAATTGGACATTGGTAACAAAATCAATTGATCTGTAAACAACAAATGAACATGTGGCAAGACTGGGAACTATTGACCTAATTTCCAGGGTTATTTGCATTCTAGAGTTATTTGCATAAGACGAAGGAATGAATCCTGAATGTGCAATTTCAGGCATTGTGTCAAAAAGGGGACAAATTACTTTCCCAGCAGAGATCTTTCCTGAGTGCCTCTCAAATAAACCTACTTAGGCACCAACCTAAACCATTTAAGACTGCCTTGCTTTAGCATTTATATTTCAGAGTAAATTCTCTGAATCTTCATTTAGCTCTATTTATGACAATCCATGAGGACATTTTTGATGTATATTATGACAATTTGAATAGGCTATGAGGTAAACAGGATTAACTGTAGTGCCCATCTTTAATAACTCAGGTGATAAAAGATAAATTGATGACTACTAGAGCAATTGGAAAATATTGGGGACATAAAAAAGCAGCAGATCTGAAAATCTGTTAAATCCGGAGTTATTTCATCCATTCCCATATGAAAACACTTAGCACAAATTGAGGCTTGATAGTTGTTGCTTCATGCTGTCAAGAGGTTTGTGTAAATATCACACTGGGAAGAAGTCAATTATTTTCCTTCCTTCCATTTTATGATTATCTGTAAAAAGTCACTTTGGCAAAGCATTTTTTCCTTTCCTTCTTTATGCATATGTAGACACACATGCAAATTATGTTCTAGTAATAATAATTTGTTTTTTTTTTGTATCTTATTATGAGCTTCCCATAGTCTAAATGCTTTGAAATATGAATGTATAAATATTTTTATGCTTCAGTAGGAAGTCATTAAGGTGTTAAAATGTTTGAAAGTATAGTCCTCAGATGGGCAGTTGGAAATTTATATTGCTTTAAATGTCACAATGCAAAGCAGAATGTCACTGAATATGATTAAAAGGCAACAAATAACATGGATTTAAAAAATGTAAGTGATTTGTATTTAGAAGTAAATATTTATGTTATCTGAACAGGTAAAAATGGCTTTCATGGAAACAAAGCAAAACGGAAAGTTAGTTCATTTGTTCCTTTTTTTATTTAATTTAAAGTCTGGCTCTTATAAACAAATTTATTCAGAGTACTACATAAAGCTAAAATAATTGGAAACATATAGTATATGATAAGATATTTAATGTCAGAAAAGATGGTAATTAGAAAGATCTCTTTATATGTTAGTCTGTATATTTGAAATTTCCATTATTTAATTAGAAGTCTATTGATTCATAACATTCTTTTAGGGTGGTTCAAAAGTAATTGCGGTTTTTGCCATTAAAAGTAATGTAATACTATCTGTTCCATTATTTTTACCTTCTGTATACATTTGAAATGTCATTGAGTTGTGATTTAAACTGGTAAAAATTGTTAGCAAATTAGCCAAACTTTTTCATTAACAAAATCTTTATTTTCACTTTTATAAATCTAAAATATTTTATAAACCTCTGATTAAGTTATGCATGTTGCCTAAGTCATACTGTTCCAGCTGACCTGCTGTTCACCTGTATACGTTCAGATACTGTTTCACAGACTACCAGAAAAAGACTGACTTTAAGATGAGGTAGATTTAAATTTGATACATTTCTTAACTTATTGGGAACCCAGTTTCCTCTCTTCCCAAAAGAAGTTACTGTTGGTTCCTAATCTCTAAAATGGGGATAATAACTTATGATTTCAGCAATATGGAAGAGTAAACTAGTGTACTATACTTATGACACCTGGAAAAAATATATCACTTTCAAACATATGTAGCAGAGCCCAACAACATCAACAAGAAAAGCACGTATGTGTGAATGTTAGGGGTGGTGCTAATTTTCAGAGTTGGAAATGAAAGGTCTCAAAGACATGGTGGGAATATTTTTTTGATGACTCTGTTGGCAACTGGAAACTGAACATAGGCTTTAGTGAGCATGAGCTGAGATATTATTCATCAACAGAAAACTGAGACTTCCAAATAAAGCCAGGTTTTTCAAGGGGGACTAGAAATGCTCTCAAGAAACTAGGAAAAGGAACAATATCCTACAATTAATATACTTAATAGTTAAAGGCTAAATGTTTTCCTCTAAAATCAGGAACATCGCTTTCATGACGTCTTATTCAGTAACGTACTGAGTTCATAGTTTAATAAGGCAAGTAAAAATATAAAATTCAGATAGCTTAGACAAGAAGAAATCAAACAATCAACATGATTCCCTATACAGAAAAATCTAAAAGACTCTATAGGTAAGCTATTAGAACTAGTATTTGTGTTTAGCAAAGTTGTGGACCTCAGATTTATAGGCAAAAATTAAATGTCTTTCTATATGATTAGTAATATAAAATTAGAAATTGAAAAATAAAATTTAGTACTGCTTGAAATAGTATGTACAATATATTTAGGTATTAAATCTAAAATAATGCTGGATCTATCTGTATGCTGAAACCTACAACATATTTATGAAAGAAATCAAAGATTACCTCAATACATGGAGAGATACACCATGTTCATGGGTTGGAAAATTAATATTACTAAGACATCCATTCTCTAGATGATCTATAGATTTATCACAATTTCAGTGAATATCCTAGAACTGTTTTCCTAGAAATAACCAAGGTGAATCTAAAATTTGTGTAGAAAAGCAAATGAATAAAAACAATCAAAATGATTTTGAAAAACAATTACAAAGATGGAAGAATCACTATCTAAATTTAAGATTAACTCTAAACTACAATTATGAAGAAACTGGTATTAACTAAAGAAAAGATACATAGATCAATGAAACACAATACTCTAGAAATGTACCCACACATAGGTGGTTAATTGATTTGCAGCATGGGTACAAAGGAAATTCAATGAGGGGAAAAGCAGTTTTCGTAACAAATGGTTATGAAATAATTGGATACCCATTTTTTTCTTTAGTTTTGAGAAATCTCCGTAATGCTTTCTTGGGTTCAGTAGAAGCCTAAACCCCTGCATTATGCAATATATCCTTGTAACAAACCTGCACGTGGACCTCCTGAATCTAAAATTTAAAAATAAATAAATAAATACCTTGCCTTATATAAAAATCATTCAAAATGGATCATAGACCTAAAAAAAATCATAAAATATAAAACTTCTATGAGAAACAGGGCAAAATCTTGAGTTAGTTAAACATTTCATATATATAACATCAAAAACACAATGCATAACAGAAAAACATAGGAAATTGGGCTTCATAAAAATTATAAATTGCTGTTACTTAAAAGATAATATTAAGAGAATGAAGAGACAAGATATGAAGTGTGAAAAGATATTTACAGTGTTTATAAGTGGTAAAGGATTTGTAGCAAGAAAATATTAAAAACTCTCAAAACTCAATAGAAATATTCAAACCAATAAAACGAGCAAAATATTTGAGGAAACACTTCAGCAAGGAAGATATTCAGGTGGTAAATAAGCACATGAAATATCATTAGTTATTAGGGAAATGCAAATTAATACCAAAATGAGATATGGCTACACACCATTTAAAACAAGTAAATTGAAAACAAAGTCTAACAAATTAGTAAGCAAACATAACAACAGTAACAACAACAAAAAAAACAAGCAAAACGAAACAAAAACCTGACCAACCAAGTGCTCGTATATATTCAGAAGAACTGAATTACCATTGATTTTTGGAAGCAATGTTATATGTTATAGCCACTTTGAAAAACACTGTGGCACTATCGTATAAAATTAATTATAAACTTACTATTCCTTGAATTAAGTTTGGGATTTTAGCCCATTTTCCTGAGTACACATGACTGGTCAAGATGAACCTGTGAAAATGTGGGTTTTGCATAGAAAAAAGTTGTGGAAATTGAGTAGCATAATTCATATTAGATAAAAGTAGAATTAATAAACTATTTTAAAGGATTTACATTTATCTATTATAAGAAAACAAAATACTGTACTGTTTATTACTTTTTCAAAATGCTAGTTTCTATATCTGCCAAGTTTCTATGACTGATGATGCATCAATATATAATTTTTAAAAAGCATAAAGATTAAGTAATTATAAATAAAAGCCAAATGAAAATACATGAAAAATATTATAGTTAACAATAAGAGCTTAAATAGGCATACATAGCAGAAAGGATATAGTCAAAGAGTAAATTGATTTGCTCTACTGTCAAAACAAGGGACTGTACTACAAATACATTAAAAAGTTATAATTTTTAAAAATTAAGATATGTTGAAGATTATAAGTATAAATAAATAATAGAAAAAAATTCATAAAAGGGAAGGTGTATTTAAAGAAATAATAAACATAAATTTTTCTTAAGGAAATTAGGTTAAAAGTATTTATAGATATCCAAATATCTAAGAGCTGAAAAAATTCACATGTTTACATATTACAGTGATGATATGTGAAAACATTCAAGACAAAAAAGTAATGTCAAAAATTTTCTAAAAATAAGAGCAGGCAGCCGGCTGCAGTGGGTCATGCCTGTAATCTCAGCACTCTGGGAGGCCGTGGTGGGCAGATCATTTGAGGTCAGGAGTTCGAGACCAGCCTAGCCAACACGGTGAAACCCCGTCTCTACTAAAAATACAAAAATTAGCCAGCCATGGTGGCGGACACCTGTAATCCCAGCTACTCGGGAGGCTGAGGCAGGAGAATCACTTGAACTGGGAGGCGGAGTTTGTAGTGAGCTGAGATCGTGCCATTGCACTACAGCCTGGGCAACAAGAGTGAAACTCTGTCTCAAAAAATAAATAAATCAATAAATAAATAAGAGCAGGCCACGGTAGGGAAAACAGAAATTAAAATCACATCAGACTTCTTTTAAAAGCTCCAGTCTCATGAAGGAAATAAAATTATAGTTTTAAAACTCAGAAAAAAATAAATTATATCCTGAAATTGTATACCTCGTCTACTATCTTTGAAACAAAATATTTGAATACAGTATTTTAGATATAGAAAGAAGGTGGGAGAACAATTAGAAGAAAAAAAAGCAAGAAGGGAAATCCATCAAGAAACTATGCAACAATTTCTTAACCTCCTCTCATATCCATAAGCAGAACTAAGATTCCATATGTTACCAATAAGAGCTGGGAAATACAGTTGAGTATGCTAAGAACTATTAATAGTTTAGGGAAATATTATGGATACTTTAAAATGGTTAGAGGAAAGTTAATATGATTGTTAGGGAAAACATCAGAAAAATAAAGATGAAATGAATAGTTTTTAGTTCAACAATCATTCTATCTAATTGAAGGCAGATAAGAAAAAAGGAGGAATAAATAAAATTTTGCAAAATAAAGCATGAACAAAAAAGGCAGTATATCCTAACATAACAATATATCACATGCAATTCAATAAATAGAACTTAACAGTCGAAGGGGCGAAACCCTCAGACTGAACAATTATCCAAGATTTAATACTTGTAATTTACACAGACTGACTTTAGGTGAAAATAATTCTAAAAGTTTAAATTACATGACTAGAAGGATATTACAGGCAGTGAGAGGAAAGCTTGGATAACAGATTTTCTTTCAGAGCAGAATAGAATTTAAAGTGAAAAGCTTTATAAGAGAAAAAGTAATATTACATTCTGATAAAATAAAAAGAAAAAGATACTATTATAATGATATACACATATATGCACCTAACCAGCTTCCTTCAAAACATAGGAAACTGTTAAAGAGAGGAAAGAAATAGATAAATCAACGTTTGTGTTGGAGTTTTTACTCATTGTCAGAAAAAAATATAGATTAAGCAAAAAAAAGGAAATATTTTATATGTGTGTATATGAATGTGCATAAACCATTAATATCCTATCAGTGGACATAGAGAAATGATAGATAGGTAAAGATAGACAGATACATGGATCTTACATGAGATTCAGAGAAAGTACTAAATTTTTAAACAACATGGAATATTCATAGAAATCAGTTAAGTAGGAGGCCATATAGAAAGTTTTAGAAATGTAATAGATATTAGAGTATGGTCAGAACCACAAACGAAGTATTTATTTGTATTTAGAATGCATGAAAATGGCCTCCTTTGTTGAAAGTATTTTAAGAGCTATGACACACATGCAACTTCATACAAAAAAATTGGCATCAACAATAAGACACGTAATCTGGCAGTCAAAGACTGTCATAAATACATTTCTAGGTAGCAGGACAAGATGGCATAGTTATCCCTTTCTCCAAGTACAGATGTCCTTCATTCTAGGTCATGCCAACTCAAATTCTTTATGTACTTTCACATGGTCTAAACAGAACATAACACCACAGGATGAATTTTACAACAATTTCTCTATTTCATTTCATTAACAATGATTAAACAAATCTTCAATTGTCTTATATTTACAATTGTTCTGACACTATCAGTCACAGCTTTGGAGGATTATACTATTAAGTGTGAGTTCACTTTGAATATATGAATAAAACTATTTTATGTGTATATAAAAAGAAACAAAATAAACAAAGAGAAGGAATATGAACCGCTATAGTTCAATTGAATGTGAATTTAGTCACTACAAGTAGAGGTAACAAGGAATTAGCTGTCTATATTCTAAGTGGTGAGTTGTTTTACCCAACATAAAACCATAGGACGCAGAATTGAGAAGATTGTTATTACTGATTAAAATATGTTCTTCAGCTGCACTGAACTCACGTTAAGACACAGTTACAGTGAGGTTTCATCTCACAAAGCTGCCATTAGAACTAACGTTTTTATGAAAGAGGAATAAGGAGTCTGATGAGAAAGATAGCACAGTATTTGGTAATTAAGTCTAGAATTTCTATTTTCTAGCATTTTGAACAGGCTTATTGGTCTTACACTGTGTTTGGGGAGCAGAGTTGGTTGCATTCCGAGCAATGCTACTTGGCTAGAGCTTCAGAGATTGTTTCTAATATATATGGAAGAGAGTAAGTGCCCAGAGGGGCAATGATCAGAACTAGCATAGAGTAACATAGGTAAATTACAATCAAGAATATTTAAAATTCTGCCAATGAGATTGTTACAGTGGGAAGTTAGGCAGACATAAGCAGAGCAGAAGAGGCCCCACTCCTGGAATGTCAAGCAACCATCAGGTGATGTTCAGGTGGTTGTTATGCTGTCGCTCTAAAATAATAAACGGTCACAGATGGTGCCAGGGAAAGGCAGTCTCCCAATACATAGAAAACACCTGAAGCTGGTTATCAGCAGCTTCCTGGTAAGATCTCAGGAGTTGGACAATGAATGGGCCCAAGCATGGACACTTAAGAGGCAAAATGGCAGAGTGTAACTGGTATATGACCTACTGGTAAGGGAAAAATGCCTCAAGTGAGCATGTGCACAACTTCAGTAAACACACTGCACATGTGATCCCTTCCAAGTGCTGGCAGGACCCTGGGCATGAGGACACCCCACCCCAAAAGAAGAATCAGGGGAGAAGTAACACAGAACCTGAAAGCATACTAGGGTATAAAGCCTCAAGTCAAAGTTCAAACAGGGCACTTGAATCTCTCAAGTCGCCTGGTTGGCCCTCTTCCAAGTGTACTTCACATTCTTTCGTTCTAGTCTAAAACTTTTGAATAAACTTTCACTCCTGCTCTAAAACTTGCCTCAGTCTCTCAGTCTGCCTTATGTCCCCTTGGCTGAATTCTTTCTTTTGAGGAGGCAAGAATTGAAGTTGATACAGACCCATATGAATTCACTGCTGCTAACAAGATCAACTCAGCCAATGGTGTGTATCACATATTAAACACATTTGTCATTGTTTCTCAAGGAAGGAGAGTGCTAGGGTAGAGAAATGGAAGGAAGGGAGAGAAGAGAAGGCACCTCAACAGTTGAGACAGGTTTATTGAGAGTAAACCTCAGAAAGGCTTTTGGCTGGCAGGGTCAGGAGCAAACTTCTCTTACAGCCTAAGGCTTTTAAAAAGGGCTTGGTGGGGGAAGTGTGCTCTAAGAGAGGTTCCTATCGGTGAGGGGCTAGGAAAATGCTAGCTGGACTTTGATAAGCTTTGTTGCAATTAGGGTCATTATGTTCTGTTGAAGATATGGGCAGGACTGACATTTGTGGTTTGGTCAGGTAGCAACAGACAGTTCTGAGAAATAAAAGCTTGATACTTTAAGATGGTGGAATCTCATTAAGATGGCAGTACTCTTGTCCTATCAGAGAGTTTAACTTGAAAATTTATCAACCTATATCATTAGCACAGGTCTAACAGGAACTCTCTAAAATTCTGGCTTATTAGGCATAGAGGAAGTCTTCATTTGCATAAGTTAATATTTTTGTAGTTTCCACTGCAGTTGATATTATGAGATGCAGTTTATGAATTCTGTTATTTGGTAGGAATATTTTTCTGCTTAATAATCAGAAGTTGGTGTAAATCAAAAATAAAATCCTAGGCCCCCCGACTGACTGAATGAACCCCCTTTTGGTCAAGGGGAGGCCAGAGAAACCTAAAAGACTGAATTCCCAGCCATGAGGAAAGAGGTTGGATGCACCTCATTATATCCCCTCCCTTTTGGAATTAGGCAGAACAGACCTAAGACTGACAAAATAGACTCTTTGTGGCAATTAGATACCAAATTCCAACCTGACTCTGATATAGCATCACATGACAGATAGCAGGCACTGGAGAAAAGGAGAAAAGGAGAAAAGGAAGCAGGAGAAAAGGAAGGTGAAGCTTTAGTCTGGATATACTTCTGAGAAGAACTGAAAATATATACGTATATATGTAAGTATATATGTGTATATATATAAATATATATACGTATGTATGTGTGTGTATGTGTGTATATGTGTGTGTATATATGTGTGTATATATACATATACACACACACACACACACACATATATACACTTTGACATATTTTGAAATGCAAAGCCATCTTTTGTGGGGGAAATTTGCACCTGTAGAGAATCTCCATTAATGCAGCCAGGCCTACACTTTTCTGGCCTTTCCTGGATCTAGGAGAGGTTAAGAGTCTGACACCTTTTAAGGCCTGAAAATAGATATTTATCATCTATTCTCTCTGAAGGCTGCTACCTAGAGGCTTCATCTACATAACAAGAACATTGGCTTCCATAGCCCCCTTTATCTTAATGCACGCATTTCTTTACACTGGCTTCAATTTTTTAGACAAAGCTAAGTCTTTCAACCAATTGCCAATCAAAAATATTTGAATCAATCTATGACCTGTAACACTCTACCCCCTGCATCCTACCGCTTCTAGATGTCCCATCTTTTGGGGCCAAACCAATGTATGCCTACCATATATTGGTTTATGTCTTTGTAATTCCTGTCTCCCTAAAATGTACAAAACCAAGCTGTAACCCACCTGCCTCAGCCACACTTTCTCAGGACCTTTCGAGACTGTTCTTTTGGGCTATGGTTATTCATATTGACTCAGAATAAACCTCTTTAACTATTTTACAGTGTTTGGTTTTTCCACGAACAGTAGCTTATTTTCTGGGTTTATGGCTAATGCAGGAATACAAATTTTGACTCTAATAAAAATTATCTTTCTTACTTTTCCTTTTCTTTCTAACAAAGTAGACACAAAGTCAGCTGGCCTTATATTTAGAAAGATCATTAAATGGCCTCCACAATCCATTCCAGGATTCACCAACTGTATCTGATTAGATTCTCCTTTTAATTAACCCTATACAACTTCCCAGTCTTTGTTTCAGTGATAAAACCAATGAGTATCTCTCAGCTTTTGTTTCCCCGATTCAACACTGCTGGTGCGTCACAGTTTCATCACTACAGCTTACAAGAGTATTTTACCCTGAATTTTCAGTTCTTCTCAGAAGTATATCCAGAGTAAAGCTTCACCTTCCTTTTCTCCTGCTTGTCACTCTTAAGAATTCCTTTTAAAAATTTTAGCTCAGATGTTGCTTCCTTTGTGATGTCCCCCTGACTACTTCCAATATAAGTGTATCTTTCTCTTACAATACAACTGTACTTTGTGTACACTTTCATTCTTAGAAATTATCATTTAGTCTGTCGTTATTTATATATTTGTCTTGGAACTGCATTGTGAGGGACTTACTTGAGAGTAGCTGCTACCTGCAGCATCTCCTCACACCCCCCCCACCCCGCCCATCTTGAGGTCTCTAGGCCTTAGAATAGGATAAAGTAGTCACTGAAATTGTCTATTTTAAATGAATGAAATATATGAAATCAGCATTCTTCTCTTCTCACATCCCCATAATTATGTGGGAACTTTTCTTAACGCCCCCCATAGGTTCTTCATATCTCTACACACAGAAAAAGCAGACAGTCAAGACGTAAAACTTACCAATGTAATCTTCTTGAAAGTGCCTGGAAAGCACTTTCTAATGTTACAAAGGAGGTGGAATAATTTATTTCAGCACTATCTGGATATAGCTTTACAAAAGTCAATTTTATCATAAAGAAATCTATAGATAGATATTGTAGTGATATGTACATTGTATCCTCAAGAAAATCACCTAAAAATAAGTTAAATAAAAAGTCCATTGGGAATACATGCAACTCAATCTGTTTAGGAAAATTATTATTTTTCTTCAATGATGTATGTTTTAAAATAATTTTATAAACAATCAAATTGCATATATATAATTTTAGCTAGTTTTTCTGATTTTGTGGTTTATACTAAAGCTAAATCAATTGTATCAAATTGGCAGTTAATAAAGATACTTTACCTAAAATAAAAAAAATCAGCTTTATGATTTGTCTTTGAGAGGCAGAGTTAAGAAAAATATTTGAATAGACGCTGAAAGATGGGAGAAGGAAATGGAATCCAAAAGTTCAGCCTTTAAAAATTAACAATATCCATATTAAAATTTTAACTCAAGATTATATTGTTTCTTTTAAAATGTAGCATTATTTTCTATAACTGATATTATTGCTTTCATGCACTTACACTCAAACTGGGAGCAGGATGGGGGTTATGAGGTCGATATTTAAACACCACTCAGCAATAAATCAGGGACCACTGGTTTAAATATCTCTCTCAGTTGAAATTATTCCTTTTTTGTATATATTACATTAATTAGAATTCAAATTCTTACATAGAATTTCCTCCTTCTTCCTACTCTACTTTCACAATATAGTTTCTGGATAAAGGGGAAATTATTATTGACAGAAAGGGGTACAAATTCTGTGTTTCTCTGCAGGAACCCAGCAAAGCTATCCCAGCTCATTTATCTCTGGGCAGCAGCCTCTGCCCACACTGACTCCACTTATGATAATCAGGTTCTGCCTAGTTTTTGAGCATTTTCTCATGCCCAATGCTGTTGACAATTGGCAGTATGCTTGTCTGAGATCATCTCTTGTCATTCAGTTTTCCACACATAACAATCCCCTCTTCCCAGCCCCAGGCCCTTGTCAGTCCCTTCCATATTTCCATGTCCCCTGCCTGAGGTACAGGAAGAAAATCAGAGTGTCCTGCATACCATGGACAAGCCATGGAAAAGCAGCAGCATTATCTTAGGTGATCTCACAAATTTCCTTTGCCAACCCTACTTTATTGCTCTTCTACCATTTTAAACATGGTGCTAAGTAAATATGGAACTTTTCCTAAGACTTGTATTCCACCCAAACTCTAGGTTATGCCCTAATGCAGCTGGCCTCTAGCTCTGATGTTTTCACAATTCCTATATATATCTGGTTGTTTTCACTAGGTATAATTCCTCACTTTGCCTTCCTATTGTCCCTGAGGTGGAAAAGGTAGAAATTTTGCCTTATGCATGTTTCAACAATTTTATCTGTGTCATATCATGACTTATTTCTATTTCTCTTCACTTATCAGTTATCTTCACAGTAGCTGTTCTCCGATGTTACTGTGTATCAGAATCATCTAGAGGACTTGATGAAACATAGATTGCTAGGCCCCACTCCCAGAGATTCTTATTGAATAGTTCTGAGAAAAAAACCAAAATGTTCATTTCAAACTAGTTCCTAGATGATGTTAATGCTATTGATCCAGGGACTACACTTTGAGATGCATTCGCTTATACAAAGGATAACATCCAAAGATACAAAGATAACATCCAAACATAACATCCATACAAGATAATATCCAACAACATTATACAAAGGTAACATCAAAATTCATAATTATTGCTCTTGGATAGGTTAGGGGTAACTCAAAGAATTTGTAAAACATTGTTTTAAACAAAGCCTGGCTTTCAAAACTATTGCCTCACAAGGGGTAAAGAAGAAATAACAGTCAAAGTTGAGAAATGGTTTCGGTTTTTTTAGCTAGTAGCTCATCTTTCCCTTGCAGCATTGAAACCCATTGATTCAATGGGAGGAAAGCCAGAGGGAAAGAAGATTTACAGAACATGAAATATTTCAAAAAACATTATCCTCTCTAAAAAATGGACACAAAATAAGATGGAAGCTAGCAAACAACACCTGCATTATTGATACTAAGGAAAGGTCACAATCTTATGCCATAATTTTTTAAAAGTGGCAACTGGGGAAAGAGAGAAAAGGCAGCATTAAGAAAGGCTCAGTTTCTATCTCAGCCTTCCCAGATGTGATGCAGAAAAGCTAAAGGGCCTAGTCGCATAAATGCTTCACATTTGGAGAAAATCATAGTGAAGAGATAACTAGGAAGCCAGAAGGAAAGATCTGAAAACTCCTGCAGAAAAGAAGCCCTCTCAGCCACCACAGAGTTCACCAGGCAGGGGCATTTCTAAGGTTTAGGATTTGTTTTTCCCATTCTGTGAAGAAAACACAAGAGAGAGAAATTGGTATAATTATGATCTCCCAGAAATAACTACTTCTACTGAAAATAGGACTAAACATATAAGATAAATTAAAAAACATATGATCTATGGGGAAGTGTGGGTAACTTGGAGGGAAAAGAGAGACAAGGAGCCCATTAGCAACCATGAAGCCCGAACTTTCAAGTTTTCTTTATTTTTTCACATCTTGGGCAACTGCCAGGGAAAAATGATGAGTGAAATGGGCAGAAAAATCAGAGATAATTAGTGTATTCATTTTCTATTGATATGTAATAAAATTTCCAGGAATCTATCAGCTTAAAATAATTTGGGAATATCATCTCACAGGCTTGGTAAGTCAGGAGTCTGTGCACAGCTTTGCTTTGTCCTCTGCTCAGAGTCAGTTTCACAGTTAATGAGGCAGTTGTTGGCCAGGCTGCATTCTCATCTGGAGGCTCAATTGAGGAAGAATCTGCTTCCAAGGTCATTCAGGTTGTGGGCAGAATTGATTTCACTGCTTCTGTTTAACTGAAGGCTCAGATTTTTGCTAGTTGTTGGCTGGAATTTGCCTTTAAGCTGTCTACAGTTTGTTCCACATGACCACCTACTTTCTCAAGACTGCAAGAAGAGTTTCCAGCTCCTGTTGGCTGATATGAAATTCTATGTGAGAAACCTAGCTATGTGACAGCCTATCATCTTTGTCATTGTCCATTGGTTGGAGGCTAGTCACAGGTCCTGCCAAAACTCAAAGGAAGGGGATAACACAAAAGTGTGAACACCATGAATGACACAATCATGGTGTCACCAAATGACACAATCATTCAGTATCATCTCAGCCCCTGTCCACCACAATTCATTTTATTAAAAGAGATTCCAGGGCCCCACATTCAGTTGGGCAAATAATACAGCCCAAGCAAAACCCACCCATTTCATAAGAAAGAGACTCTACATTTTTATATCTAATATGAAATTTTAAAAAAATTGTAAAAGTTTTATCAAACCATTACGACTCACAGATCCAATGGAGCTTTCCCTTAATGGCTCACTTCCCTTTCAGACACAGCAAAATGAATTTAATGATACTTAGCCAACAAACTGAGCCTTTTAGGAGGAGAAAAAGTTGATAGTAATGTGGAATGGAGAGAATGAGATTCACACACACTATATTGAAGCCAAAAAAAAAAAATAGTCTAGGAAAAATATATAACCCAGGGAACCAAATAAAAAATTTCCTCACTGAGGGTTTCCAACTATGAAAGATTTGTCTGACAAGAGCGTTTGCAGGGTGAAAGAAAAAAGTGGAGCAGAAAGGCAAAGACAAGAGCAGTGCTTCACAAACTTGAAGAGCATCCACAAGCCCCTAGGGAACTAGCTAAACACAGATTGCTGGACTTCATAGGTCTAAGAAGGGACCCAATAATATACACTTTTAAGAAGTTCCTTTGGGATGCTGATTCTGCTGATCCAAGACCACACTTTGAGAATCATTGCATCAGGGGATGGTTATATTTTTTGGAACTAGATTTCATATTGTAACAGGACAGATCTAATATCAGCTTTCTGTTTTCTGTATCAGTCTTATACTGTAAGTTGTAGGTGGTTTAAAATATCATGCTTGCTGTGTGTTCTGTCCTTGGTCATTTTTTTAAAAATGTCATTTCATCACAGTTTTCAAAACAGCACATTGAATAGAATAAAATGTCTACAAGGACAAAAACCTAATTGAAACAATATATAAATGTACTTAGTATGATACCTGGTATTCACAAGCACTCAATAAATCCTGCTTTATTTCCTTCTTATCTGCATGAAAGAAGAATAAAAAAAGTGGTGTTGTTGATCTGAGCTCAGTTATTACAAACCTGGTTCACGTATCATTGTATCAGTATCTATAATTGAGATATCAGAGTTTACTATAATTTATGTTAAAACATATTTTCTCTAAGAACATATACCTTTCCCTTCCAACACCTTTTGGTACTTTTTTTCTGGCTAAATATGTTGAACAGAAGTCCAATTTGCATTATGTGTCAGAGAATGTGTCAAAGTAAGTAAGTAAAATGACTTAATGACAAAATTATCCATCAACAGTAGGATCAGTCCTATTTTTGCTTATCCTGGGCACTCCCTCATAATTTAATTTGCGATACCTTTTCAATGTGATTATGTAATTTCCTCTACCAGCTCTCAAACTAAGGTCACATCAGAATCAGTACTACTACTAAGAGCTGACTTATTTTAAAGAAACAAATTATAATACAGATGTGTAAGTGATGGTACAATAAGCTAATAAAGGCTTTTCCATAGATAGCATTGTGGCATCTTCTTTCTCTGTTCTTATTTGAGATAATCAGTTGATAGTGAAGGCGGTGATTGTAAGAAGAGGAGTTTAATGAGGCTTAAGAGTTCTAGTACTCTGTAGAATGAGAAAAATGAGATCATTCTGCCTGCAGTGCAGGATTTTTGTGAGAGTTAAATAAAATGACATATGTAAAAGTTTTGTGTGAAAAATATAAATGTTTGATTTGTACATAACTACTTCTGGATAAACAAGAGACTCTCAATATACATCAAGAGTGAGTAAAAGTTTACAAAGCTTTCTCTATTTTAAAGAACAGAGACTAATGTGACATATGGAGTGAAAGAAGGAAAAAGGATAATTAGACCAAAAGGAAATATATGTGTATGAGATAGAAGGTAAAAATGGTAAACTCTAAATACAAATAGAAGAAAGTAGAAAACTTTAATTTAGGGCAAATACATATAATGAAGGTACAATTGTAAGTGTACTAACTTCCCTATTTTGTAAAAAATATATTTTTGGAAAGCAAAATGAATGTACTCTAAAAACAGTAATTCTTTCACAAAGTAAGAAAAATCCAAAGTGAATGGATGAGAAAATACAGTCCAAGCACATTGTAGGAGAAATTAAAAAAGGACATTGGAGTCACCATATTAGCAGCAGAGAATGGAATTCTAGATAGCATGCATTTAAAACAAAAGTGCCATTTTATATAGGAGAACTCCTGTGTACCTGTATGTTTCCTACTGTGGCTATAAGGAATTACTAAAATTTACTGGCTTAAAACAACATAATTTATTATTTTACAGTTCTGGAGGTTAGAAATCTGAAAATAGGTCTTACAGGGCTAAAGTGCACCTATCAAAACTCAGCTTTAGAGGGTTTAATGAGAATCTGTTCCCTTGCCTTCTGGAGCCTCCTGCATTCCTTGGTTTATTGCCCTTTCCTTAATCCTCAAATCAAGGAGGATAGCATCCTCCAATTTCCCCCCACTCCCCGCTTCTTTGTTACTCTCTCTGAGTTCTGTGTTGGCTGTCACATCTTCTCTGTCTCCGACACCCCTGCTTCTCTTTTATAAGAACGCATAAGATTAGATTTGGCCCACTCAGATAATCTGAATTAATCTCCTCTTCTCAACAGCCTTAAATTTAATCACTTCTGTATAATCCTTTTTGCATGTAAGGTAACAAACATAGTCAGAGGTTCCTGGGTATTAGGATTTGAACATCTTTAGTGGGCCATCATTCATCTTAGCACAGTGTAGTAATAGAAGCTTTGGAGTGCTGCTCTCATTCTCTGCACATGTTCTGGATATCTTTTTCCATAGGGACAGTTGGAAGGCAGTTGTTCTTATACATTCCTAATATCATCTATGAGTTTGTAGTCATTCTAATTAAAGGATTTAATTTGAATACATAAATAATTGTCATAAACTATTTAATGTCATAATATTAACATTTGTATTTATTTATTTATGAAAAGTGGATGATGGGAACCTAAAAAGCAACAAAAGGCAAAACATATCTCTCAATTTATAGTTCTCCTATGTTAATAGAAGAAAAGAAACAATATACTACTACAAGTTCTGTGAGTGATCCGGCTTAAATATATTTAAAGATTATAGCAAACCAAATGAAATGGAATTAATATGAGGTGTGAGACAAAGGGGAAAAATGATGATGGCTTCTAGAATTGCCATCTGAAAAGCTAAAAGGATAGAGACACTGTTAATTGAGTTAGGAAAGACTGATGGAAGGCAGGTGTTAGGAGTCTTTAAAAATCAAGCATTCATTTTCAAGCATACTTAATTGAGATGTATCTTATTTTTCCAGATGAAGGTGTCAGATATAAAATTTAAACAGTTAGGGGAGAAGATTGGATTAAAAACTTAACTTGATTATCTTCTGCATAGAGATGATACATGAAGCCATGAGTCTAGATAAGACATCCTATGTGGTCAGTGAGGTAAATAGTAAATAGATAAAGGAGGATAAGGGAAAAGAGCTGGAGGGTAGGTAAAATATGCCCCTAGATGTAAGCCTTGAGACACTTCCATTTTTAGAGGTTTGAAAGAGAAGAAGCTTCCACCAAAAGAGACTGAGGGTGGTGCTATGAGAATGAAAGAAAATCAGAACAGAGTGGGGGTTAGAATCCTATGGAAAAAAAGTTTGAAGCAGGAAGGAGTAATCAGTTATATCAAAAATTGCTTATTGTATATTACTCCATTCTCACACTGCTATGAAGTACCTGAGACTCGGTAATTTATAAAGAAAAGAGGTTTAATTGACTCACAGTTCTGCATTGCTGGGAAGTCCTCAAGAAACTTACAATCATTGCAGAAGGCAAAAGAGAAGCAGGTACCTTCACAGGACAGCAGGATGGAGTGAGTGCAAGCAGGGGGAACTGCCAGAAACTTATAAAACTATCAGATCTCATGAAAATTTACTCACTAACATGAAAATAGCGTGGGGGAAACTGCCCCCATGATCCAATTACCTCTACCTTGTCCCGTCCTTGACACGTGGAGATTATTACAATTCAAGGTGAGATTTGGGTGGGGACACAGAGTAAAACCATATCAGAAAGATTTAGTAGATAATTTTTAATAATGGAACATTAAGTTTGGCAAGATGGATGTAATTGGTAACCTTGAGATTTGGAGGGTCTGGAGCTTATTCAGTTTATGGGGACTTCTATAAACAACACTATAAAATTATAAGTACAAACTAGATATAAAAGTGAGTATGTAATATATACTGAGAAAAGAGACAAAGCCATGTTAAACAGTTTAAAAAGCTGAAAAATATAAAGACATTCTAAAATCTAGAAGAGAAAATAATTGTTTATCATTATTATACATAACTTTTCACTGTAGCCACAACACTTTTTTCCTATATATTTTTGTAGGCTTTATCTTTTCATATAACATTCATTATCTAAAGATAAAATATATTTGTTCTTTCAACTAATATAGTTGATCAAAATATAATTACTGTTGATTTTTTAAAGAAGTTTTTTTTGAGTTGCATAACTCATTATTAACAATGTCCTCCTGAGCTTTTTTTGATACTTGTCAAATGTGAGAAATGCTCCATCAAGCTTCAAGACTTGATTGCAAGTTTTCATGCTCAAACTAATCTTACTCTTTGAATTGAGGATAGTCACTGAGCAGTTTGTTTTAGGTATCCCCATTGTACTGGTTTATTATCTGGTTTACGCTATATGAATCCATGTTAGATTTTGGCAAGAAATGTAAATGTTTTTCCAATGTATTCACGTGATCCCTTCTTTTTCATCAACTGGATTATTAAGCAGTCCCAGAGTCTAAATATTATTTCTATTGAGAATTAATTACTTCCTTTAATTCTTAATGAATTAAAGTTTTTGGTCTAATCTGAAAGCATTTTTTGAATACAATTTTTATGGTTCAACAGTTTCTGTTGATTTTATTACTCATCTTTATTGATTTTTTACATTCTATTAATTTTTATCTGAATTTGTATTTTCCTTAATACACAAACGTAAACGTGACATCTATTACCAAATAAAAAATCTGTTACTTCTCACTTGTTTTATTGAAATAGACTAAGAGGCCTCCCTGAGTTACAATGAAATAACATATTTCAATATCAACTTCTCTTGGCTACCTAAAGACCACTTAACTCTAGGGAAGCGTTTGGGAGGAAGCCAGAGTGTAATAAGATAGTTGCTCCAGCCAATTGCTATCAATTTATCTTTCCTTTGCAAATGTTACAAAAACATATGCCCATATTAAAATATTGCCAAGACGGTCCCAAGAATTTTACAGGGGCTTATGAAAGCCAAGGGTCCTGATACTTATAATTTTATTTAGATTCACGTTAATAGCACATCCATCTCTGTTGAGAGTGGTTCAGTAATGTGGTGGGGATGAAAGCTTGATTTGGCTGAGAAGAAAATAAAAGGAAAGGAAGAATTGACAGCAAACTTAGATACCTCTTTCAAGGACTTTCCTTCGAAAGGGAACAAAGGAATGGATTGTACTAGCTAGATTAGACTAGCTAGAGGAGTATGTGAGACAGTAAATTGTTGTTTGTTTGGTTTTTCTTTTTGTAATAAGATTGGAGATATAGTGATGTGTTTATATGCCTCTGAGAATGATCCAGTGGAGACAGAGAAATTGATGATGTGGTAAAAGAGATGAAGGGTACAGGCTGTCCTTAAAAGGGGGCAGAAATGCACATGAATTGCTGTATAAGGGAAGGCAGAGCACATGGGTGTGAAGGTGGGATGTTACTGGATTTGGTAGTGGTGAGATGAGAAAATCTTCTTCTGAATGTCTCTAGTTTCTACTTCAAACACTTACATTTGCAGTCATCTTCTAAGCAGTCCAAAAGTTGTGAAGTAGCAATTTGTGAGACTGAGAAAATGAATCAATAGAGAATATACAATAGAATTGCTGAAAGTGTTGAGGGAGCTCTTGATGTTTATGGACATAGATTTAAAGCAAGAACTGTCGTCTTGCTTTTAGTTTCTAGATAGATTCAGCTGCTTGTGTAAAATCCCAGAATTAATGGAGAGTTAGGTTTAACCGTGGTTTGGATTTTACCAGTGAGTACACTGGATGGAAAGGTGTGCAGGAGAGTTGAGGGAATATGCAGGAATAAGATTATAGAGATAAGCAGAAGAATTTAAGTAGGGTAAAGTGGAAAGTGAATTTTCAGGCAGCTGATGCTCAATAAAAAAAGTACAATCAGTGGTTGGAAGGCATTGGTGAGATTAAGTAACTTTTGAATAAAAATTTATGAAAAATAATGATAGATACAAAAGATTGATAAGCTGTGTGTATGAATCCTTGTTCTTGACAAAAATCACATGTAACTTTTTTGCAGACCTTATGGTTTTTTTCTGCATGAATCATAAAGAAGACTTTAATAAATTACGAAATAAAAGAACTGAATAGGACAAATTCTCTGAAAAAAATGCACTAAAACAAACAAACAAAAAACAAAGATTCAACTCTACTGAACATTTGTCATTCACAGCTGCCTAAAAATTTTTGAATTTTCCCACTATATTTTGAGCATTATCCATAGTGTACCCTAAACTCCCACTGTAGAAAACAGTAAATTGAATGGGAGGATGAGTGAATGAATCAATGAATGAATGAAGCACAAACTATGCATTTCTCATTTCATTTGCTACCAAGATGCATATGGGTGATTTAGGCTTTGTCCATGAGATATAGTGGGGTTCACTTACCTTGAGAAAAAAACAGGCAAGGAACAAATTGCCCATTTTCTGGTTATTTTCTGCAGTCGATGGCAGCAATGACAGTTTCCACTTTGGGAGAGACAGTATCACCTGGAGCCCAAAGCAGTGGTAGCAATTATCCGTATCAACTTCTCAGGAGAGGCAGCAACCCCTCAGTAGATCAGTTCTTGAGACCAGGTTGACCAGCATGGTGAAACCCCATTTTTACTAAAAATAGAAAAATTAGCCCGGCGTGGTGGCAGATGCCTGTAGTCCCAGCTACTCAGGTGGCTGAGGCAGGATAATTGCTTGAACCAGGGAGGCAAAGGTTGCAGTGAGCGGAGATCATGCCATTGCATGGGCGACAGAGCGAGACTCCATCTCAAGAAGGAAAAAACAAAAAGGAAAGAAGTTCAGTTCTATGATAAAATTCTAAGAATTATTTCTTCAAAAATTTAGAGTTTATTTCTTCATCTCTCCCAGTAATTCTATAAGCTTCCTTTATTCAGATATCTCTTTCCTCTAAAACTAGCTAAGGTAGATTCTCTTGTGTGAAACTGAAAATTCTCACCAGTGCGTCACCACTTCAAGTCTGACACAATTTAAAAAATTTCCTATATGCACTCAAATATGAAGAAAATAATAGGAAGAATACAGCGTGTCATAAATTTTTAGAAAATAAGTATATTTATACTCATAGACAAAGTCATAATTTTGAATATTTTCATTCTTTAAACAAAAAGAAAAAAAATTCAACATGTCTTCCACTTGTTTTTGACATTTTTTCCTAAAGAATTACTTGAGTATAAAATATAATAATGCATAAAAATTATGTTAGATATTTCCAGAAAAATAAGAGGTTTTTCATGGCTATTATTATTAGCAGTAGAAACATTAATAAGGCATTACCATAAAAACACACTTGAAACTATGAAGAATGCTTTATTTTCTCTCTCAACTAATGGAGAATGCAAATACAAAGCAAAAATTTATCTATAGTAACATTAGAAAGTAAGTTTATAGGCTGGGCGTGGTGGCTTACGCCTGTAATCCCAACACTATGGGAGGCCAAGGCAGGTAGATCACCTGAGGTCAGAAGTTCAGGTATGACCTGAATGGTGAAACCCCATCTCTACTAAAAATACAAAAATTAGCCAGGTGTGGTGGTGCTCCTGTAGTCCAAGCTACTAGGGAGGCTGAGGCAGGAGAATCACTTGAACTCGGGAGGTGGAGGTTGCAGTGAGCTGAGATTGTGCCACTGAACTCCAGCTTGGGCAACAGACCGATAGTCCATCTCAAAAGAAAAAAAAAAGAGAAAAGAAAATAAGTTTATAGACAAGCAAACTAGTGCAATAAAACTAGAACTCAGGATTAAGAAACTCACTCAAAACTGCTCAACTACATGGAAACTGAACAACCTGCTCCTGAATTACTACTGGGTACATAACGAAATGAAGGCAGAAATAAAGATGTTCTTTGAAACCAATGAGAACAAAGACATAACATACCAGAATCTCTCGGACACACTTAAAGCAGTGTGTAGAGGGAAATTTGTAGCACTAAATGCCCACAAGAGAAAGCAGGAAAGATCTACAGGTAAACATGTAGATTAAATATAGAAGAAACTGCCAAAAATTGTAAATAATTTTTAACAGTTGTGGGATTGTAGAATCATTTTCTCTTTTCTTTTATTTCTAATCAAATTTGTTGGAGTATAATTAACCACAATAAAATGCACAGATTTTAAGTGCACAATTTTTTATTGACACATAAAAATTGTGTATATTTATGGCATACATGTGATAGTTTGATACATGCATACAGTATTTAATGATCAAATTAGAGAATTAGGCAATCTGTCACCTCAAACATTGATGAATTTTGTGTTGTGGGAACATTTCAAGTCTTCTCCTTTAGCTATTTTGAAATATATAATACATTATTATTAACTGTAGGTGCTCTACTGTGCAATTGAGTACTAGCACTTATTCCTTCTATCTAATTGTATGTTTGTGCCCATTAACCCACCTCTTTTTATGCCCCTCAGCCCACCCCTCCCAGCCTCAAGTTCCTATCATTTTGCTCTCTACCTCCATGAGATCAACGTTCTTAGCCCCCACATATGAGTGAGAACATGTGATATTTGTCTTTTTGTGCCTGGCTTATTCAGGTAACATAATGATTTCCAGTTCCACTATTCATGTTGCTTTAAATGACAGAATTTCAATCCTTGTTATAGCCAAATAGTATGCCGTTGTGTATACATGCCATATTTTCCTTTTCCATTCATTCATTGATGAATATTAAGTAGTCAATTTCATGAGTATTAGCAAATATATACAACCATGAAACCACCGGACATATCAAGATATAGAACATTCTCATGAAATATTTGTTTGAGCCCATTTTACCATTAGTTTTTCTTTTTGTATGGGTTGTAGTTGTTCTTTATATATTCCGAGGATAAGTCCTTTGTTCGTTACATTTATTGTAAATATTTCTTTTAGTCTGTAACTTGTTTTGCTTTTTAATTTATTTAACACTGTCTTTTCATGAGTGGAAATTTTTAATTTTGATGAAGTCCAATTTATCACATTTCCTATTTGTGTCCTAAGAAATATTTGCCTACCTTATGGTGGCAAATATATTTTCCTGTGTTTTATTTGGGAATTTTAATGACTTTATATTTACGTTTATATTTATGGTCTATTCCCCATTAACTTTTTGAAGGATCTGAGATAGAGATGAAGGATTCTCTCCTACAGCCCCACACAGATACCTAGTTCTTGAAAAAGACTATTCTTTCTCCATTGTATAGCTTTGGCACTTTAGTCAAAAATCAAGTAACACTAAATGTTGATTCTTTCTCTTGTTTCTTTATTTTATACACTCAATATATCTATTATGCCTGGAACCAATACTACATTGTAGTCAGGTTCATAGAAAGTCTTAAAAATTAGGTAGTGCAAATCCTACCTGATTTTAAAAAGTATTGATTCCAAAAATTATTTTGGACCTGATGTAGTGGCTGACACCTGTAATCTCAGGTACTGAGAGAGTGAGGTGGAAGGATCTCTTAAAGCCAAGAGTTTTAGACCAGCCTGGATAATATAGCAAAACCTTATTTCTAAAAAAAAACTTAGAAAATTAACTGGGCATGGTGGCCCTCAGCCTCAAAGGCTGAGGAGAGAGGATCGCTTGCTGCCAGGAGTCTGCAGTGATCTGTGATCGCACCACAGCACTCCAGCCTGGGCAGGAGAATGGAACGAAGCCCCATCTCTAAAACAAAAACAAAAACAAATAAACAGTTATTTTGGCCTTAAAATTTTTTTTCCCTATAACTTTCATAATCAGCCTGTCCACTTCTAAAAGAGGAAAACAAAACTCTTAGAATTGGAATTTTGATTGAAATTGTATTGGACCTATAAATCAATTTGAGGAAAAGTATTATTATAACAACATTGGTCATTTTAATTCATACACATGGAAGATATCTGCATTCACCTAGATTTTTTAAATTTTTTTATTTGTTTGAGACAGAGTCTAACTCTGTCGCCAGGCTGGAATGCAGTGGGTGCAATCTCTGCTCACTGCAACCTCTGCCTCCTGGGTTCAAGCGATTTTCCTGCCTCAGCCTCCTGAGTAGCTGGGATTACAGGCACACGCCGCCATGCCCAGCTAATTTTTGTATTTTTAGTAGAGACGGGGTTTTACCACATTGGCCAGGATTGTCTCAATCTCCTGACCTTGTGATCCACCCACCTCAGCCTCCCAAAGTGCTGGGATTACAGGCATGAGCCACTGTGCCTGGCTCACTTTGATTTTTTCTAATCTCTTTATGGAGTGTTTTGTTATTTTTCTGTGTACAGATTTCACACATCTTTTGTTAAACTTATTAAATATTTTATGTTTGATGCCAATGTAAATAGTAATTTGAAAAAATTTTTTTCAAATTGTTTATTACTAGTACATAAAAATACAATTGATTTATTGAACTTTTATCTACCAGTTGAATAAATTCACTTAATAAGTTTAGTAATTTTTAAGTTAGACTTCTAGCCTTTCCTACTTAATCTTTTTACCTGCAAGTAGAGGCAGTTTTTCTTTTCTTTTCTTTTCTTTTTTTTTTCTTGAGATTTGTGCCTCTCCTTTCTTCCTTGAATTATTACATGAGTTGGGGCCTCCAGTATCATACTGAGAAGAGTAGGCATCTTGGCTTTCTTCCTGATCTTAGAAAAGAAAGCAAATGTAAAAGATCAGAAATTATAACAAGCTGTCTCTCAGACCACAGTGCAATCAAACTAGAACTCAGGATTAAGAAACTCACTCAAAACCGCTCAACTACATGGAAACTGAACAACCTGCTCCTGAATGACTACTGGGTACATAATGAAATGAAGGCAGAAATAAAGATGTTCTTTCAAACCAATGAGAACAAAGACATAACATACCAGAATCTCTTGGACATACTTAAAGCAGTGTGTAGAGGGAAATTTATAGCACTAAATGCCCACAAGAGGAAGCAGGAAAGATCTAAAATTGACACCCTAACATCACAATTAAAAGAACTAGAGAAGCAAGAGCAAGCACATTCAAAAGCTAGCAGAAGGCAAGAAACAACTAAGATCAGAGCAGAACTGAAGGAAATAGAGACACAAAAAACCCTTCAAAAAATCAATGAATCCAGGAGCTGGTCTTTTGAAAAGATCAACAAAATTGATAGACCACTAGAAAGACTAATAAAGAAGAAAAGAGAGAAGAATCAAATAGACGCAACAAAAAATGATAAAGGGGATATCATCACTGATCCCACAGATATACAGACTACCATCAGAGAATACTATCAACACATCTACACAAATAAACTAGAAAATCTAGAAGAAATGGATAAATTCCTGGACACATACACCCTCCCAAGACTAAACCAGGAAGAAGTTGAATCCCTGAATAGACCAATAACAGGCTCTGAAATTGAGGAAATAATTAATAGCCTACCAACCAAAAACAGTCCAGGACCAGATGGATTCACAGCTGAATTTTACCAGAGGTACAAAGAGGAGCTGGTACCATTCCTTCTGAAATTATTTCAATCAATAGAAAAAGAGGGAATCCTCCCTAACTCATTTTATGGGGCCAGCATCATCCTGATACCAAAGCCTGGCAGAGACACAACAAAAAAAGAGAATTTTAGACTGATATCCCTGATGAACATCAATGCAAAAATCCTCAATAAAATACTGGCAAACCGAATGCAGCAGCACATCAAAAAGCTTATCCATCATGATCAAGTGGGCTTCATCCCTGGGATGCAAGGCTGGTTCAACATATGCAAATCAATAAACATAATCTAGCATATAAACAGAACCAAAGACAAAAACCACATGATTATCTCAATAGATGCAGAAAAGGCCTTCGACAAAATTCAACAGCCCTTCATGCTAAAAACTCTCAATAAATTAGATATTGATGGGATGTATCTCAAAATAATAAGAGCTATTTATGACAAACCCACAGCCAATATCATACTGAATGGGCAAAAACTGGAAGCATTCCTTTTGAAAACTGGCACAAGACAGGGAAGCCCTCTCTCACCACTCCTATTCAACATAGTGTTGGAAGTTCTGGCCACGGCAATCAGGTAGGGGAAAGAAATAAAGGGTATTCAATTAGGAAAAGAGGAAGTCAAATTGTCCCTGTTCGCAGATGATATGATTGTATATTTAGAAAACCCCATCGTCTCAGCCCCAAATCTCCTTAAGCTGATAAGCAACTTCAGCAAAGTCTCAGGATACAAAATCAATGTGCAGAAATCACAAGGATTCCTATACACGAATAACAGACAAACAGAGAGCCAAATCATGAGTGAACTCCCATTCACAATTGCTTCAAAGAGAATAAAATACCTAGGAATCCAACTTACAAGGGATATGAAGGACCTCTTCAAGGAGAACTGCAAACCACTGCTCAGTGAAATAAAAGAGGACACAAATAAATGGAAGAACATTCCATGCTCATGGGTAGGAAGAATCAATATCGTGAAAATGGCCATACTGCCCAAGGTAATTTATAGATTCAATGCCATCCCCATCAAGCTACCAATGACTTTCTTCACAGAATTGGAAAAAACTACTTTAAAGTTCATATGGAACCAAAAAAGAGCCCACACTGCCAAGACAATCCTAAGCCAAAAGAACAAAGCTGGAAGCATCACACTACCTGACTTCAAACTAAACTACAAGGCTATAGTAACCAAAAGAGCATGGTACTGGTACCAAAACAGAGAGATAGACCAATGGAACAGAACAGAGCCCTCAGAAATAATATCACACATCTACAACCACCTGATCTTTGACAAACCTGACAAAAACAAGCAATGGGGAAAGGATTCCCTATTTAATAAATGGTGCTGGGAAAACTGGCTAGCCATATGTAGAAAGCTGAAACTGGATCCCTTCCTTACACCTTATACAAAAATTAATTCAAGATGGATTGAAGACTTAAATTTCAGACCTAAAACCTTAAAAACCCTAGAAGAAAACCTAGGCAATACCATTCTGGACATAGGCATGGGCAAGGACTTCACGTCTAAAACACCAAAAGCAATGGCAACAAAAGCCAAAATTGACAAATGGGATCTAATTAAACTAAAGAGCTTCTGCACAGCAAAAGAAACTACCATCAGAGTGAACAGGTAACCTACAGAATGGGAGAAAATTTTTGCAATCTACCCATCTGACAAAGTGCTAATATCCAGAATCTACAGAGAACTTAAGCAAATTTACAAGAAAAAATCAAACAACCCCATCAAAAAGCTGGAGAAGGATATGAACAGACACTTCTCAAAAGAAGACATTTATGCAGCCAATGGACACATGAAAAAATGCTCATCATCACTGGCCATCAGAGAAATGCAAATCAAAACCACAATGAGATACCATCTCACACCAGTTAGAATGGCAATCATTAAAAAGTCAGGAAACAACAGGTGCTGGAGAGGATGTAGAGAAATAGGAACACTTTTACACCGTTGGTGGGACTGTAAACTAGTTCAACCATTGTGAAAGACAGTGTGGTGATTCCTCAAGGACCTAGAACTAGAAATACCATTTGACCCAGCCATCCCATTACTGGGTATATACCCAAAGGATTATAAATCATGCTGCTATAAAGACACATGCACATGTATGTTTATTGTGGCACTATTCACAATAGCAAAGACTTGGAACCTATCCAAATGTCCATCAATGATAGACTGGATTAAGAAAATGTGGCACATATACACCATGGAATACTATGCAGCCATAAAAAAGGATAAGTTCATGTCCTTTGTAGGGACATGGATGAAGCTGGAAACCATCATTCTAAGCAAACTATCACAAGGACAGAAAACCAAACACCGCATGTTCTCACTCATAGGTGAGAATTGAACAATGAGAACACTTGGACACAGGGTTGGAAACACCACACACATCGGGGCCTGTCATGCGGTGGGGGGAGTGGGGAGGGATAGCATTAGGAGATACACCTAATGTAAATGATGAGTTAATGGGTGCAGCACACCAACATGGCAAATGTATACATATGTAACAAACCTGCATGTTGTGCACATGTACCCTAGAACTTAAAAGTATAATAAAACAAAGAAAAAAGAAAAGAAAGCATTCAGTCTTTAAGAATTAAGTGAGGCCCACATCAAAGTGAAAACGTGGAGCTCCATGTTTACAAATTATTATGAACCTCAGAACAGCAACAGCAGATCATTAAACCAAGTAGAGCACTCTTTGAAAGAAGAGGCATTGTGTGACTGCAGAGGTCACATGCTTTTGATGGTGTCCTTGGTTATAATACCAGCAGTGGACATTTCATTAATGTCCTTTACCCGGTAGTTTGCTGAAAGTGTTTATTATGTATTATGAATGAGTTTTGAATTTTGACAGTTGCTTTTTCTCCACCTACTGAGATAATCAAATGATTCTTTTCATTTTCAGTTAATTTGGTGGATTAAATTTATTGCCAATTTTTGAAGCAAACTTGAATTCCTATAACAAACCCCATATAATCATCATGTATTATCTTTTTCATTTATTACTGGATTCAATTTGCTACTATTTTGTTGAAGACTTTCACATTTATATTAACAACTGATATAGTTCTGTAATTTCATTTCTGTGATGTTTTTGTCTAATTTTGGTATCATAGTCATGCTGGCCTCACAAAATGAGTAGGGATGAGTTTTTTTCATTTTCTGAAAGAGTTTGTGTAGACTGATGTAATTTATAGATAAAGGTAATAGAATTCACTAATGAAACTATCTGGGTTTCATATCTCTGTGGGAAATTTTTAAAAATTTTCGTTGCTATAAATTAAATTTGCAATTATAAATTAAATTTGCAATTAAAGAGAAACTCTGGTTTTCTCTTTTCATTGTTTTAGTTTAGTAAGCTGTGGTTTAAGGAATTTGTGCTATTCCGTAAAAGAGCAACCTTTCTCCTAGTTGGTTCTTGACGTACCACTTCTGAAACATATTTTATTGACGTGTCACTATGTATTAAATGATTTCAGAAATCCCCCTTATTGCAAAATCAGTAAACTAAGTGATGAGACCGCACTGAGGTTTGAGGCGATTTATTTAAGATAGTGCAAAAATATCCTACTCAATAAAGTCATATTTGTTACGCAACTGTGTTTATTATGTTAGTATTTTGACATCAACATACTTGTGCTTGTGAAATCATTTTGGAATCACTTTTAAGTGTGACCTTGTATTCCTTCCATTGTAATAAAACACATACCATCAACTTTTAGTATATAATTATACCAGCTGGTGATTACTAAATCTTTATAATATTGTGCAAATTTAAATTCCTCTTTCATATTTTTATTCTATATTTTTCTTTCTATATTATTACAGTATATTATTATAGTGGTAAGTTTCTTAATGATATAAATTATCATTTTATTTAGTACAATGAGTTATGTGATACTGAAACTAGAATTTTCTGTTTTCAGTTATTCATTGAATTTGTATAATTCTTCACAATGGAAGGTTTTATTTATATGTCTAGAATGAAGAGAAAGAACAGTGTCTTTTATTGTCTTTCCAGTTTTTCTGTTATGTAATACATATTATATATATAATTTATGTATAGTATAAATATATACTATATTGTATATATAGTAAGTTATATATAGTAAATTTTATATATAAATATATATATTATATAACAGAAAAGCAACTGGAAAGACAGTAAAAGACATTGTTCTTTCTCTTCATTCCAGACAATCTTATATATATTATATAAGATTAAATACATATAATTTACTATATAGTAAGTTAATTTTTATATATTACTATATAACTATAAGTTATATATAGTAAATTATATACATATTATATATTATATAGTAAATTTTTATATATTACATGTAGTAAATTTTTATATATTTTATATATAGTAAATTTTATATATATATATATAGAGAGAGAGAGAGAGTAAATCCATGGAGATTGGAAAAATTATACTTCCTGGGCAGTTAGTAGAAACAATGTTTCAAAACACTTCTTTTATTTATTTTACTCATAATTTCACTTTACAACTTTCCATAAATTTATCTATAAATCATGTGGGTTCTGAAATTCTTTAGCACTTGCTATTTTTCCCCATAAACCTACTCACTACAGTGTTTTTCAAGATGTGGTAAACAGAGGCAGCAATCACACGTATGAATGCAAAACAATCTAGGTTCTTGGTCCTCCCAATGACTAGGTAGACCTAAGAAAGCTTTGATAAGATTTTATGCAAAGTGGGGCCACTTGCCATGATTGTACACTGGAAAAAAAACAAGCAGATGTTCTTTTTAAAGAATCATGTGACAAAGTTGTTAACCAGAACCCAGAAACATCACAATCAGCATGATGTAAATTACTATTGCTGTGAATAACCCTGGGCATTTTATGAGTGGTATGTTTATAAGCAACTGTCATATTATTCTATCATTAAGTAATATCTAAATTGACTCCTCAAAAAACATCATTAAATCAGGTTAGCACAAACTTCTGACTTCAAAGATAATCTGCATCTTATAATAAAACCTAGAAATAGAGGAATAGGATTTATCTATAGAATCTGGTAGCTCTCTTCTCCTGGAATAGCAGGGTACTACAGTAGTAGACTAGAGATGGGCAGGCTGCAGTGAAATAAGAATGAGGAATTTAATTACACAGACAGGATGGGAAAAAGATTTGATAATTCAGTTCTGCTCTGTATATTTAAATTTTATTTCCAAACTGCTACTTTTAGCTTTTCCCATGAATCCTGGACTTGGGGGAAACAAAGATGAACAATGTATGGTCCCTGCCTTGGTATGATATGTTTAACGTGATGTACCCTTCTGTTTCCCCTCTTTAAATCTTTATAGCAGGCATTTAAGGTAGTTATTGATAACAAATTTTTGAATGATGAAATAATACATAGCAACTTAACAATCATTCTGTTTATAAGTGGTATTACAAACCTCTAAAATAATAATTTAGACTCATAAGATGGTTAATTTTATGTGTCAACTTCAGTGGGCCAAGTGGTGCCCAGATATTTGGTTAAACATTATTCTGGGTATGCCTGTGAGAGTGTTTCTCTATGTGATTAACAATTGGTTGAGTAGATTGAGTAAAACAAACGACTCTTCCCCGTGTGGATACACCTCATCCAACTGGCTAAAGGTCTGAAGTAAGAGAGAATTTGCTTTCTCTGCCTGACTGTTTTACAGTTGGGACATTAATCTTCTCTTGACTTCAAACTTGGACTTGGAGTGGGATTTATACCATCACCTTTCCTGCTTCTCAGGCATTTGGACATGCACTGGAACTATACCATCAGCTCTTCTAGGTCTCTAACTTGCCAACTGCAAATCTTGGAACTCCTCACCCCCATAACCACATGTACCAAGTCTTGCTTTCTTTATCTGTCTATCTCTATCTATCTATCTATCTATCTATCTATCTATCTATCTATCTATCTAACATCTATCTGACTGTCTGTTTATTCATATACCTATATATGTATGTATCTATATATTTTCCTATTCATGTATCTATCTATCTATTCTATTGTTATGTTCCACTGGAGACCTCTGATTAATAAACTCCAGAAACAACTTGCTCAAGAAATGATTTCTTACTTGTGGCAGGCCAATACTAGCTCTTCAGAAGATACCTGTGTCCTAATCTCAGGAACCTATGAATGTTACCTTATATCATATAAAATGTTATTAGGTTATCTTCTTAGGGTGAGGCGTTTACCCTGTATTATGTGAGTAGGTTCTGAATGCTATCTATCTATCTATCTATCTATCTATCTATCTATCTATCTATCTATCTATCATCTATCTATCATGCTATATTTATATTTAGGAGGCAAAGGGAGATTTAATAAGGAGAAAAGGCGATGTGACACCAGAGAAAGATTTGAGTTATGTGATTACAAGCTAAGGAATGCTGGCAGCCACAAGAAGCTGAAAAATGCAAGGAATTGATTCTTTCCTAAAATCTCCCAAGGGAACACATTCCTGATGGCACCTTGATTTCTTCTCAGTAAAACTGACCCTAGACTTCTGGCCTCCAAAACTGTGAGAGAATAAATTTCTGTTGTTTTACATCATAACATTTGTGCTAATTTGTTACAGCAGCCATGAGAAATGTATACACTACTTTTGCCATTAATTTGGATCTTCTCTTATGGTGATTTCTCTTTTCTGTGGGGATACTGATAGGCAGAAAAGATGAGAGAGAAGGACATTACTATTTATTAGGTATTCTTTTGTGTCTGGTGCAGTGCTAGACATTCAGTATATATTGTATCATTCCCTCATCTTCTCAGAATGACTTGCTAAAATGACAAAACACTAATCATGGAAATTCATGCTTCTCTGTCTCATCATGCTAATGTGATGACATCGTTAAATTTCTTCAATGGCTATCTACAGCCCCATTAAGGCATTGCAATCTGTTGGCTTTGAAAAAATCTGGCCAAGGAGACTTTTGTCTGATAGCATAATGTTGTAAACTCATTTTAACTTGGAGGATTTTAAGCAAGAAATGCACTAGCTCTCTAGTTGCTCACAGTTCCCACTACTCAATGCTGTTGCTGCTGCCAGCTTTACAAAATGAGAAATCTACTCCGGTCTGTGATGACATTTCAGCGTGCAACTCTGGCCTGAGCTCAAACACTAAAGCTATCATATCACCTCTTTCATGTTTTTTCCCCAATTTACCTGTCACATCATGGCTTTTCCCTCTTGCACTTTCAACTGCATGTTGCCCTCAGTTAAACCAGAAGATCACATTTTTTTGCTGTTCTCTATGTTTCAAATGCTGCTCCAGTGGTGTGGAATAGTCTTCTTGCTCCTGATCCTAGTTCATCTCAGGACTTAGTTTAGTCTCTCTGTACCACAAAATCCTGCTTTTCTGGCTTCCACCTGAATCATGGATCTCCTCTGTGTGCTCTCATGTCATGTATCACTCTAATTCTTAGTTTTATGAATGCCATACAGTAATTATTTATTCATTATGCTGTTACAGACACGAAGCGACTTGAAACAGGGATTACATCTTGTTTGTATCCCCAACATTTGACATGGTGCCTAGAACATGGAATGTCTTCAAATTTTTGAATAATTTGAATCCACATAAGAATTCATGTGAGGTAGATATCATGAAGTCTATTTTATATATGGAAACATTTCTTGTTTGGGATATGCCAGTGCATTAAGCTCAGTACTCTCACTCAGTCTTTATTTACTGTGGCTGGATTTTCATTTTAAAGGGTTGATTATATATTTTGTGTGGAAACATATCCAATCAGTGATCATGGAAATTCATGGCTCTCCAGATCTTCAAAGAAATTGAAATATTCCAACTTCTAAATGCCTTCCTGGAATATTCAAGTCTCCTTGGGGTAAAATAGTGAAGTAAGCTGTATGTCTCCAGGAGTTGTGATCTAGGAGCTTTGGAAGTGGGAAGTGGAAAAATAAAGGGGACTGGTTATTTTGTATAATCAAGATTTAGACAAAAGCGTGTATCTGTGAGAGAACTGGGGTCCTAAAGAAAGCTGGGCCGTCAGAGCAGGCATTAGTGTGTATTATAGGAGATAAAAGTCTCCTTAAAGGATTCCTGGAAATATAAAACAATATTTTTAGATTTGTTAATGATCTGTTCTGAAGCATATTCAGATTAAATTAAAATGAAGATGGAGAGTCAATAAAAATAAGAGAAATGAAAATAAAAATGGGGAGTTAAGGCTTCAATGTAATGTGGCCACATAGTCAGTGGTTTATACAGTTTTTAGTCCAGGTATTTCTATTTGAAGCCTAAATCTAGTTGCTCTTTTAGTGGCCAAGTTGATTGCTTCTTATATATTAATTCTATTTCCAGAGAGGGATTGGAATTTTTTTAAAAAAGGCCATGTCTTTTATTTTTTGTTGCTTTTTGTACAATGTCTAACAATTACTGTTATTTTCCAAATATAGTGACTCTTAAACATTTTACAGCTATAGCAACATTTTGTAAGAATATTGTTACAGTAGTCCTCATAATAAAATGTTTATAAGCTTTGTAAAATTACTTACTTAGTTTTAGTAATAGTCTGCGACACTAAATTCCTGTGCGTAAAATAAGAAATACCTTTATCTGGGCTAGAAAACAGATACGTATATATTATTAGGGCAAAAACAAATGAGGATGATCATTACGATATAATGAAGATGGGGTTAGTTGGAGGATACCTCAGTAGCTCCTGATCCTATGTATATCAAAATGAAGAGATTCTTTACCTGAAATGAAAAAGTAGCCTGAAACTTCGAGTGGCACAGCTTTAGATGGGTTGGCTACCTCTGCTCGCAGGGAATTTTCAAAGTCTCAACCTGCTGCAAATGCCACGTTGAGTAAAGATGAAGGGACTGTGAAGCCGAGGGTAACTGGCTTCCCCTGGGGCTCTGACAGCATTTAAAGAAGTCTATCTGTGCTCCAGTAAAATTTAGATTTTCACTACTAAGATGGACAGAAAATGTTTTCTAAAATAGTGAACTTCCTACTGTCTATCTTATTATTTCAATCGCCTCTTCCCAATACCATCAGACAAATAGACCAATAGTTAAGACCAGGAGTTGGCAAACTTTTTCTATGAAAGGCCAAATGGAAACAACTTTCAAATTTGTGGACCATGTAGTCCAGTCTGTATTGCCACTACTCAACTCTGCTGTTGTAGTACAAAAGTAGCCATAGACAATATATAAACAAATAGATGTGTATGGGTTCCAATAAAACTTTATTTTCAAAATGAGGCAGTATGCAGTTTGGACCTGCTCACAGGGTATACTCTGCTAATTTATGACTTAGAGAAATAAAACTACAGAAAATATAAACTTTTTCTTCTTGCCTTTGAGACCGTTTTGAACACGGGCCTATAAATTTCTAAACTAAAATGATCTCAAATCTAAATCTCGGACCAATACAAAAACTTATCTCTTTAAATTGAATAAGTAGCAAAACCAAAAAAAAAAAAAAGAACCTGCTGTTTGCAAATAGAGTTATCAAATATAAAGATATCACACCGGGAAATCAAAGCAAATGTCATCCAGTTATGTAATGTAATTGCAAGAAACATGCAAAAATACATTATTTTCTCTCTGTCCTAAACAATTAGGAGAATTGCACAACTATACGTCATAGTCATATCTATATAGATAGTCATATCTCTTCAGTTTATAGAAGACAAAGCAGAAAAAATAACTGCAATCAGAAAAACAAGATTAATCTACCTAAATGTACAAACAAAATTAAGAATTTTTTATACGTTATGTCATAAAATAATGAAAAATATTGACCAGGTCTTAAGGGATCAAGTTAGTGAATAGATTAAAAAATACAAGGTTAGTCTGTACCCTTTGCAAGGTACGAAAAGGATTTCTGACAGGCAGACACTTCATATATCTTCAGGTGCTGCTTGTGGTAAGAAAAATGAATGCAAATTAGGATCTCACTTATGAGTGAGATATGCCATAAAAGGGTGATGAGCAATAAAATCAGAAACATCAACTAAATTTGTGTTAATATGTTTAGGAAAAAATAAAACAAATGTCAGACTTATTGTTTAGAAGGAAAATGTACAATGTCAAAAAATTAACAATCTGAATTGTTAAAAATAGTTTATCAAACATTATGGGAAATGAGTAGAGAAGAAGGTAGATAAGCCTGTAAAATAGATTTTCCTAGAGTATGATACAGTGTGAGAATCATTAGTTTATAGTTCTGGGATATTGATAAAGAGCTTGAATTTTAACTATTTTTACTTTACATTCACCATTAGTAAAATAAAAACAAGATAAACAATTTGTGAATCATTTGAGGAAAAAAAATATTTCCCCAATTGTATGGCAAAAACCCTCCTCCAAACCATTTGCTTGTAAAGTAGAAATAATCTACATAGATAGAATAGAAAATACAAATAAGACAATGGCATCCACATATCTAAAATTATGAGAAAAGTGGTAGGCAGCTGCTAAAATTGTAGGCTGAAGGTAACTCAATTTTACTATTATAATTTTAAATTCCTTCTCTATTTTACCATATTCTTGGAGTGACTATTAAGATTTGTTAATAGTCAAGATCAATGAGATAGGGATTAGGAATAATATAGAAAAGAAAGGTACATATAAGATCTGGTTCTCTTATTCATAACAGAATTAGAGAAATCTGTCAAATGACTCAGTGAGAAAAGTGAGATAACATTAAACCTTAGAACACAACATACGGGGCTTTATACCTCTTTTCTGTGTCTTATTTACTTAGGGTATTAATTGCAAAGATGCTTCCTCTTTCTGATCCCCTATCCTTTTCCTGCATAATGTAAAATATTAAAATATACTTCTTTTAAAAACTGAAATACCCCTGGAGCATAAAATATCTCTGCAATGGATCATCCGCAATAGAAAGCCACTACGTAATTGCAGGTCTGCTCAACTGTTAAGCAGTCATAATTTAAATTTAAGTAATTTGTCATAATTTAAATTCATTATATGATTGACTGGGTTTTATCTTCATGTGTTTGTCTATTGTTTAGACAAGCACATTATATTATTAATTTTTATAACATGTTATTTATTTTTTCTTATTGATTTGTAGGAGGTACATATATTTAAGACACTGGTTCTTTGTCTATTTTATTTATTGCACGTGTCTTTTTTCAGGTTGATAGCTTTCCATTTACACTTTATAAGACCAGAATCTCTCTTTTCTTAAGTCAAATATATCAGTCTTTTTGCTTAACAATTTTTCCTTTTGCTGTCATGTTTTTTAAAAAACTCTACCTTAAAATAAAAATATTCATCTTGTTGACCATAAGTGTGTTTAAAATTCTGCTTTTCACATTTAAGTATTTATTTCAAAAATTTACACACAAAAAATTTATAAGACACATCATTGTGAAGCTTTAGAATACCTATAAGAAGAACGCTTAAACATGTTCAGAGAAAGGTTTAAAAAAACACATTGCATAAGGAAACAACTCAAAATAGCATCAGCTTTAGCAACTTCAGTTTATAATACAAAAAGACTGGAACAAGGCTTCAGAATTACTAGGCACAATAATTTTGAATCGATAATGTTTTTTTCATTCAAACTATCAAATATAAGTTTAGAATAAAGGAATTTTCAGACATCCAAGTACTAAAAAGAACTGTATTTTCCATAGTCCCTTTCTGAGAATGCTATTGAAGCATGTGTTTCCGTAGGATGGCAGACTGAATCGAGATAAAGGAAGACATGGGATTTAAGAACATAATATCCTGCCCGAAGAAGTGCTGGGTAGTCCGGGGATAATCACCCTCCACTAGTTCTGGAAAGCAGCCAGTCTACATTATAGGAGGTGAATAGATGCCTGTCGGAGGATGCTGTATGTCAAAATGGTAAAAAGGAGATTACAGATTATATGCTTGAACATCTAGAGCAAAAAATACTACCAAGATTTTGTTAGATTTGCCAACATAAAATAACTGAAAAGCTCTGAATAATTTAAAGAGAGTTGTATTCAAGCACAAAGTGTGAGGGCAGCCATCTGGGGAACAGAGCCATACCAAAGAATGGTGATCAGTGTTCCCAGTGTGGGCAAAAATGGGGATGATTTATACAGGCAAAATGGAGGTGCTGAACCTTGGAAAATTGCATTTTCCACTCAAAGGCTAATATTCAAATACAAGCTTTGATTACCTACTATTGATTACACTCTAAGGGGGTTGCTCAGTATTCTCTTCTAAAGAGGTAATAGTTACAAGGTTCTCTATCTCCATGTGATTTAGTCCAGTTTTGAGTAAAGAATAGGGAGTCTGCTTAATATAAAACATCTCAACACAAAGATTAGGAAGCAATGGTCATGCACCAGAGAAGAAAACCGGTTGTGTTGTAGGAGTCAACTTCCAGGGCTTAACTTCTCCCTTTGGCATAATAAATTTGGAAGGTCCTGAAACTTTATTTTCTTTTTACAGGTTGAATGAAATCTTTGGACTTAATTAAAAGTAGATACATAGAAAGCTAAGCAAATGTTATTTAAAAAGTAGAAATAATCAACTCCAAAAGTAAATTTTAAAAAGATAGAAAAAACTCCACAGAATAATGGTCTACTACCTTGTACAGTAGTGTATATTACTTAAATGTAAATACTACTGGCTTAAGCCAAAATATGCATATTTACAGAATATGGGAATGTATCTGTTCAAGTTCAGCCAGAGAAATAGAACAAGGAGGAGATATGTAAACAGTCATGGGAGTATCCATGGGGGATTGGTTCCAGGACCTCCTTGGGATACCAAAATCTGTGAATGCTCCAGTCCCTGATATAAAATGGTGTAGTGTTTGTGTATAACCTATGCACATCCTCCCATATACTTTAAATTATTTCTAGATTACTTGTAATATTAGGTACAATGTAAATGCTGTGTTAATAGTTGTTACAGTGTATCGTTTAAGGAATAACAACAAGAAACAAAAAGTCTGTAGGTGTTCAGTACAGACGCAATTTTTTTCCCAAATATTTTTTATCTAATGGTTGCTTGAATCCACAGATGTAGGACCCATGAATATGGAGAGCTGAGTGTGTGTGTGTGTGTGTGTGTGTGTGTGTGTGTATTTATGTGTATGTAGATTGATATAGAAATATCTGCATATATATGCATATGTGTGTATGTATATATATGCATATACATATACATATGCAAATATATGCATATACATACATACACACATATATATGTAATGCAATTTATTTAAAAGAATTGGCATATACCATGTGAAGACTGGCAAGGCAAGTTTGAAATCTGTTGGGTGACCCATCAGGAAGGACAGGCTAGAATTCTCAAATACTAACTGGAGTTTCTGTTCTCAGGTAGCATTTACTCTCCAGAAAAACCACAGCTCTGCTCTTAGGGCCTTCAACTGATTTGAGTCAGACCTACCTGAATTCTCTAAGAGTCTTTTTTTTAAAGTCACTGATTACGGGCTTTAATTACGACTACAGAATAACAGCAATGGCTAGATTGATGTTTGATTGAAAAATGGGCGACTGTAGCCTAGCCAAGTTGACATATAAAACGGTCCATCATAAGGGTGTAAGTATTCAACTGCACTAAGAACTCAATAGGTAATGACAGAAATGATTAAGAAATACATGAATAAGTATATGCAATGCTTACTCTAATCAACAAACAGTGTGGGTCTTGGATTCTAATAGACAATCAAACTCACTGGCTATGATGGATTTATTGGTTTAAGGAAACTCAGATGGGCAACAGCACAACATGAAGCACAACATCATGGAAGAAGACTCTAGATTCTCAGGCTCACCCACCAACCATGCCAAAGCCAGCCCATCCATGGGAAGTATGTGGCCATGAGAGATGGGGTGGAGTGTGAGAAAACTACATCATCTCTGGGAAGCCAGTGGTTTTGGAGTTTCATCAAAATTTGTCTGTTTTGACTAAACACATTGTAATTTCTTATTCAAGACTGTATTTGTTGCTGCAGCCAACCATAGGATGATGAATTACTTAAGATTAAACAGAGTCTTAAATATGCCTAGCTTTGTATTTAATATTAGGAGAAGATTTATCCCTGGTAAATAAAATTTTCATTTTCTTTTTTAAAAACAGAATTATTTAGATACAATCAACATAAAATAAAATGTACATTTTAAAAAACAATCAATGTCGACTTATGTGTACACCAGAAAAAACATCACCACAACCAAGATAACATATTTACCACCCCTCAGATATTCTTCAAATCCTTAGTAATCCCCAGACAACTACTGACCTGCTTTCTGTCATTGAAGATTCATTTGCATTTACTTGAATTTTATATTAATGAAATCATGCAGGGGTCATTTTCCTTCCTTCCTTCCTTCCTTCCTTCCTTCCTTCCTTCCTTCCTTCCTTCCTTCCTTCCTTCCTTCCTTTCTTCCTTCCTTTCTTTTTCTTTTTTGATATAGAGTCTCACTATGTCACCCAGGCTGGAGCACAGTGGCACAATCTCAGCTCACTGCAACCTCTGTCTCCCAGATTCAAGCAATTCTCCTGCCTCAGCCTCCTGAGTAGCTGGGATTACAGGCGCCCGCCACCATGCTCAGCTAATTTTTGTATTTTTAGTAGAGATGGCGTTTCACCATGTTGGTTACACTGGTCTTGAACTCCTGACCTCATGATCCACCCACCTCTGCCTCCCAAAGTGCTGGGTTTACAGGCATGAGCCACCACGCCTGGCATGAGCCACCACCTCGCCTGGCCATAAGCCACCACGCCCAGCCTGTTTTCTTTCATTTAGCAAAAATATTTTGAGATTCATCTATGTTGTTGCAGGTGTCCATAGTATTCTTTTCTATTGCTGCCTAGTATTCCACAGTGTGAATATATAAGTTAGTTTTTCCATTGACTTGTTAGTGGATTTCCACTTTGGGGCTATTATAAATAGATCTGTTGTGAACATTTATGTATAAGTTTTGTTTGAACAGTTTCTTTTATTTAATAAGATATGTGGGTGTGGGATGGCTGGGTCATATGGTGGGAGAATATTGTTCCACATTCCTACCAACACTTGATATAATCTGTCTTTTTAAATTTTAGACATTTTAATAGGTATGTAATGGAATCTAATGGTTTTAATTTGTATTTCCCTAATGAAAAATAATGTTGAGTACCTTTTCAGGAGCTTATCTGCAATCCATAGATCTTCTTTGATAAAGTATCTGTTAAATGTTTTGCCCATTTTTAAATGGTTCCTCATTTATTTTATTTTATTTTTATTGAGATTTGAGAGTGGTTTCTTTATTGATGGAGCTTTGGTATTGTATCTGAGGAATCTTTGACTAACCCAAGTATATAAAGATTTTCTTCTACATTTTTTCCATCAAGTTTTATGGTTTTAGGTTTTACATTTGGGTCTATGATCCACTTTGAATTAATTTTTATGCAACATGACATATGGATTGAAGTTTTTTATTGTTTATTTTTTGCCTATGAATGTCTCTGTTCCAGCACCATTGATTGAAAAGATAGTCCATTCTCCACTGAATTTCCCTTGAATATTTAATTAAGTTGAATTTATTTTCACATATGTATCTATTTCTGTTCCACAAATGCAGTTGTGTAGCTAGGATTTAATAACACCTGATTCTGTTTAACATACCTGTTAAATTAATCATTAAATGAGGTAGCATAAATCCTTCAACTTTTCTCTTTTTCAAAGTTGTTTTCACTATTATACATTAAAAATAATTTAATATAAATGTTAGAATCAGCTTCATAATTGCTACAAAATGAGGACAACTGTTGCATGAAATTCATAGATCAAATTGGGGACACTTAACAATATTGATTATTATGCCAGCAAAGCTTTGTCTTGTTTTGTAATTCATATTACAAATCAAATAGCATGGACAAAGCACCATTTTACTGAGTGACTCTAAAGAAAAACAAATTTCTATTTTATACTGTTAATTGCCACTATTCTGGTAAGATATTTATCTTTGTTGCATATTTATGCTAATGAGTTTCTTTGACTTTATGATGAAATACACAAAACATATATATTTGAGAAATTTTATGTATTTTAATTTGCTTCAAGATGAAGTACTAAAAAAAAATAAGTGCGTCAGCTCTGATGTCAGCCCACTCGTGTTTGAATCTTGAGGCCATCCCTTAACTCCTCAGCATACTCCTCAGTGACTCAGTTCTAAAGATCTATCCATTAATACTCTCAAATGAATCTTTTTCAAGGTTGGCAGTGGTGTTCAAATGTACTTTGCTGTAGTAATGAAATAGTTTGCGTAAGTGGGAAAATTATTATGTTATTTGCCTGAGATTTTACCTCAATTGCAATGACTGAAAATAGTGACGATTTGTAGCATGCCAAGTAATCAGGCTCTATGAGGCTGTGACCTACAAAACTTTTTACCTGATGACGTTTTTTGAAAACCCTTCCAGTCGTGACTGAGGTTTTAATATGTATGATGCTCAAGGGAGGTTGTTATACTAAAAATAAATAATCTATTTAAACTTTTACTTTGGAACAGTTGTATTTGAGATAAGTTTTTTTTTTTTTTAATTGGGTCTGGGGAGAATCTCAAGGAATCCCTACTTCCTCTAGTCTTGATCAGTAGCAGAAAGCTAGAATTGAGGGAGCAGGGTCATTGAGTGAGAGCAGAGAAGGAAGTTTCAATCACTGTTGTAGCTCGTGGCCTAATATTGGCTATAATTTGAGTGTGTTTTGCAACAGCTTTTATGTAGTTCCTGCTTTTGAGGGACATTCAATAAGTTAGCCAAATATTTTCCTAGACCTTGTTACATTTGACAAGGAACCTAAAATTGTTCAGCTTTGCCTTGTACCTTACATGCTATAAACTTAGCTTCTAATATCAATGGACTATTGGTGAGAGACTATCTCATCCCAGCCTTCCTGACTCAGCACTTATGTTGATTGCCCTCAGATATAAGCATAAGTATTCATCTAGCTTGGCTGCTCTAATGAAATACCATAGACTGAGTGGTTTAAACAACAGACATTTATTTCTCACAATTCTGGAGCCTGGGAAGGCCAAGATCAAGATGCTGGCTGGTTTAATTCCTGGTGAGGGCTCTCTTCCTGGCTTGTAGACAGCCACCTTCTCACTGTGTCTGCCCTAACAGTGGAGAGAGTGATCTCATCTCTTCCTGTTCTTGTAAAGCCACTAATCTCATTATGAGGTCCTTACCTTGGTAACACTACCCTCTCAAAGATTCCATCTCTAAACACTTGGGAGTTAGGACTCCAACATACAAATTTTGGGGAGACACAATTCAGTGCATAGCAACATTTTTGGAATAAAAGTTGTAGTAATGCATGAAGGCTGAATTTGCTTTGTTCTCTTACACAGCTGACAGTGGCAGGCAGGCTGGCCCTTTTAGTTCTCTCTGTCTTTCCCAGGCTATCAGGCACCTATGATATTTCATTTCAGGTCGAAAATACAGTTGCTTTGTGGCCCAGCACCTTGGTATATGACAGTGTGTAAACAGTAAATGACGAGTGTCACTGTAGAGCACTTAAGCAGTATCTAAATGTCTCTGCTATGGTCTGAATGTTTTTACCTTCCTTCCATTCATATGTTGAAGTTTAATCACAAAATAGATATCGTTAGGAGGTGGAGCCTTTGGGAGGTGATTAGGTCATGATGGTAGAACCCTTATGAAGGGAATTTGCATTTTTATAAGAGAGGCCTGAGGGAGACCCCTCAACCCCTCCACCATGTGAGGACACAGCAAGCAAGTGTGTGCAAACTATGATGCAGGAAGCAGGCCCTCACTAGATACTGAATCTGCTGGCACTTTGATCTTGGACTTCCCAGCTTCCCAGAACTATGAGAAATAAGTTTCTGCTGTTTATAAGTTACCCAATCTATGGCCTTTTATTACAGCAGCAGGAGCAAACTGTCCCAAATGCCATACCACAAGTAGTAAAACAAACAAACAAAAAAAGATATAGTAACAGCAAATTAACTAAGGATTCATTGCCTTTTACATGGCTTATTAAACTTTTTAACTTGTCTACTATGTAATCTCTACCATCCCACAGTTTATCAACAAATGATATAAAGAACGGTTTCTAACAAACTGTGATCAAGAAATGTTGTTAGTATCAAAGAACTTGTTCTTTGCTGGCATTGAGTAGTTAGCATCCGAATAACAGAGTTTGTACTTACAGCTGCAAAACGTCTCCTAGCATAAAACACCAAGAGTGGTGTAGATTCAAGTAGAAATTTAAGGAGAAATAATGGGTGGAATCCTCTCTGTCTTTTATTTATCACTGGGTTTTATGAGTTTACAAATTCTAGTTATACATTTCTACTCTTCTGTATTTCCTGGTTAAAAAATTTACTTGCATGTAAACTAGTGGACCTTCTTTCTCTCTAATCTACTTTATTTCTTTTTGTTGTTAGGTAATATAGCATAGTGGTTGTGAGCATGGAATCAAAATATCTGAGTGTGAATTCAGCCTTCACCACTTAACCACTGCCTAGTTTTCTTTACCTATAGAAAGAAGGATGCTTACAATTTCCTATGGTGGTATTGTGAAGGTTAACTGAACTAGTCTATAAAAAATGCATAGAATAGTCCCTAGCATGAAGTGAATACTTTATAAATGTTACCTATTATTACAACTGATTATATTACCCCTTGGCCTCTACAGGTGTGAAAAATCGTGTCATTACACCCTTCCTTGGGTACCTTATTGCTAAGAGTTTTCTTACTTTTATTACAATAGCACAAATAACCCCCATACACACACAAAGAACTAGCTTTAAAATGTGTGTGTGTGTGCTGGTGTGTGTGTGTTTGGTAGATTTGTACAAGTAGAGTCAAAAGCCAAAGCTGAAATCTCAATCATGTGTTAGGTATTTCGTAAGTGTTAGATCATCTGACCCCCACAGCATATCTCTGGTTAATACCACTGTGCCATCTTATAGATGAGTGAGTTGAGAAGTCCTCTAGGTCACACAGCTAGTAGGTGTGAAGCTCAGTAGTCAAAGCTATTTTAAAGTATGTTTTACCATTAAAGTTGTGTACTAATGTGACTGATTACATAATCAGATTTGAGTAGCTATTTGACTAGTAAGTAATGAACTAATAAAACACATTTTCTTAAAGGGAAGAACTATAAACTTTTTATTCTTGTATTCTCTATGGCACCAATAGTGATACATAGATATATGATTTTCAGAAATTCATATTCATTGAATCTTTATATACTGCTTGATATTTCAGCAGTGGGTTGAAAGTGAGTAAAATACAATCCTCACTCTCAAGAAACTTAAAATATAGTTTGAAAATTAAATATCTCAAATAGTAGAAGGAGCTAAATCTCACCAAAAAAGCATATCAGTGACAAAAAAACGAGGAATTTTTATTTAGGGCCTAGTATATGCCAAGGAAAATAAATTAAAGCACACATGGGGGTCATATACCAAAATAATAGAGCCAGGGTTCAAGCATACATTTATCTACTAACTTTGACAGTTCATCTTACTCTCCATTTATGGTGTGTACCATAGAACAGAAAAGATTACAAATATGCTAAATTTACAAAAACAATTGTTATAGCTCTCTTACAATTTCATAGATTCTCTATGAATTTAATTTGTCAAAAATGTGTCATAAATGTGTTGAGCAGTCACTATTAAGTATGATATTTTAGTCGTACTTTCAAGTGTGATGGGTTATTGGCTGTTTTTAGGTGCGTAAATTTTTTAATACAAGAGTTTACACTTAGTAGATACTTACAGACGGCTGCTAGCATCTCTAGCAGCAAAATGATTTTAGATATAAAAAATGATAAAATGAGGGGTTTTTTTTCTCAAGGAATTCAGTAACTCAGTAGGGAGATAAGACTTTAAGTCACAGAAACAAAATACAGGAAAAGACCCTATAATTTATCAAGTGCAATACTTTAATATTATGAATGAAAAAATTGAGGCCAAGAAAAATTATTTATCTATGATTATGAGAGCCATTAATGATTGAGTTGAGACTTAAATACAAGCCTGCTGATTTGTAGTGAAATCTTTCCACTACTCTTTCTTGAAATAGAGATCAATAAAAAATAGTATGGTGTATAATAGTGTTATGAATGTTAATTATAAGGAGTTTCCATTCTAATTTGTAGCATATCATTTTCTTTGTGGGTTTTTCTTCATTTGGTTTTATGTATTTATAAAATACTCTTAGAATGCCATGCTTTATTCAATGATTTTTTAAATGTCTATTATAATTTTTATTTTAAAATTCTTTCATGGTTTGTGATAAGTTTTATTTCATACTCCAAAGCCAGCCTATAAGATGTGGAGTAAAACCTAATTCCATCTCTTGAGTGGAAGATGTGTTTAAACTGAGACACATTGTTTCATTTTGACACTTTAACTGAAACAAGAATTTAGAGAAATGCTCATCAAGGGATTTCTCTATGGCTACAGAGACACAGTTGCAGATTGATCTTTATAAATATTTTATGCTATTTTTTGCACAATTACAAATAGTGTTTCTTCTATAAAACTAGTTAAATTTCTTAACATGATTTCTAAAAGATTCTTGTATCGTCAAATAATTCTTCATTATATATGTAAATTTCAGAAACTGAGAATGAATACAAATTAGAACATCAAAAGAGAATGAATTATGTAAAACAATTCATTAAATGTATTACACAAAAGTGCTACTTTTTTTAGGGTATAGGAGAAAGACTAGGGCATTTTCCTATGGCTCCCATCTATGAGATGGTTAAGTTTATATCCTTTTAGGGAGTTGGAATCACTGTTTTCTGTTGTAAAGCCAGGTGTGGGTTATTATAATTATTGGCATCACAGATTTATTTTTAATTATTCATGAAAGTGGATTAAACAATGGAATCCCCACATGAAAACACACAGTGCTGTTTTAGAAGCCATCTGTGGCTGTTTCAAACACCAATGAGATGCCCATTTTGCTTTTCATGTCAACTCAGAAATACTTCAAATTGATGAGATGTCTTGGTCCTTTTTGCAGTGCCATAATAGAATGCAACAGCCTGGGTAATTTAGAAAGAATTGAATATTTATTTCTCACAGTTCTGAAGGCTGGGAAGTCCAATATCAAGGTGCCAGCATTCGCTGAGAGCCTTTTTGCTGCATTATACTATGGTGGAAGGTGAGAGGATGAGAGAAGAGAGAGGGAGAGCAAGAGGACCAAACTTGCTTTTATAGCAAACCCACTCTCCTTATAATGACAGTAATTCCTCATGACCTAATCACCCTTTAAAGATCTCACCTCTCAACACTGTTGATTAGAGATTAAGTTTCTTAAGTTTCTATCATGTGAACTTTGGGGGTTCCATTCAAACCATATCATAGGGTATATAATTTTCAGGATATGTATTTTTTTTATGTTTTCTCTTTTTTTATTTATTGTTATTATACTCCAAGTTTTAAGGTACATGTGCACAATGTGCAGGTTAGTTACATATGTATACATGTGCCATGCTGGTGGGCTGCACCCATCAACTCGTCATCTAGCATTAGGTATATCTCCCAATGCTATCCCTCCCCCCTCCCCCCACCCCACAACAGTCCCCAGAGTGTGATGTTCCCCTTCCTGTGTCCATGTGTTCTCATTGTTCAATTCCCACCTATGAGTGAGAATATGCGGTGTTTGGTTTTTTGTTCTTGTGATAGTTTACTGAGAATGATGATTTCCAATTTCATCCATGTCCCTACAAAGGACATGAACTCATCATTTTTTACGGCTGCATAGTATTCCATGGTGTATATGTGCCATATTTTCTTAATCCAGTTGATCATTGTTGCACATTTGGGTTGGTTCCAAGTCTTTGCTATTGTGAATAATGCCGCAATAAACATATGTGTGCATGTGTGTTTATAGCAGCATGATTTATAGTCCTTTGGGTATATACCCAGTAATGGGATGGCTGGGTCAAATGGTATTTCTAGTTCTAGATCCCTGAGGAATCGCCACACTGACTTCCACAATGGTTGAACTAGTTTACAGTCCCACCAACAGTGTAAAAGTGTTCCTATTTCTCCACATCCTCTCCAGCACCTGTTGTTTCCTGACTTTTTAATGATCGCCATTCTAACTGGTGTGAGATGGCATCTCATTGTGGTTTTGATTTCCATTTCTCTGATGGCCAGTGATGGTGAGCATTTTTTCGTGTGTTTTTTGGCTGCATAAATGTCTTCTTTTGAGAAGTGTCTGTTCATGTCCTTCGCCCACTTTTTGATGGGGTTGTTTTTTTCTTGTAAATTTGTTTGAGTTCATTGTAGATTCTGGATATTAGCCCTTTGTCAGATGAGTAGGTTGTGAAAATTTTCTCCCATTTTGTAGGTTGCCTGTCCACTCTGATGGTAGTTTCTTTTGCTGTGCAGAAGCTCTTTAGTTTAATTAGATCCCATTTGTCAATTTTGGCTTTTGTTGCTATTGCTTTTGGTGTTTTAGACATGAAGTCCTTGCCCATGCCTATGTCCTGAATGGTAATGCCTAGGTTTTCTTCTAGGGTTTTTATGGTTTTAGGTCTAACGTTCAAGTCTTTAATCCATCTTGAATTGATTTTTGTATGGCGTGTAAGGAAGGGATCCAGTTTCAGCTTTCTACATATGGCTAGCCAGTTTTCCCAGCACCATTTATTAAATAGGGAATCCTTTCCCCATTGCTTGTTTTTGTCAGGTTTGTCAAAGATCAGATAGTTGTAGATATGCGGCGTTATTTCTGAGGGCTCTGTTCTGTTCCATTGATCTATATGTCTGTTTTGGTACCAGTACCATGCTGTTTTGGTTACTGTAGCCTTGTAGTATAGTTTGAAGTCAGGTAGTGTGATGCCTCCAGCTTTGTTCTTTTGGCTTAGGATTGACTTGGCGATGCGGGCTCTTTTTTGGTTCCATATGAACTTTAAAGTATCTTTTTCCAATTCGGTGAAGAAAGTCATTGGTAGCTTGATGGGGATGGCACTGAATCTGTAAATTACCTTGGGCAGTATGGCCATTTTCACGATATTGATTCTTCCTACCCATGAGCATGGAATGTTCTTCCATTTGTTTGTATCCTCTTTTATTTCCTTGAGCAGTGGTTTGTAGTTCTCCTTGAAGAGGTCCTTCACATCCCTTGTAAGTTGGATTCCTAGGTATTTTATTCTCTTTGAAGCAATTGTGAATGGGAGTTCACTCATGATTTGGCTTTCTGTTTGTCTGTTGTTGGTGTATAAGAATGCTGCGCGTGGCCAGGCGCTTGGCACCAGAAGCTAGAGCCCCTCGGGGCTCGCCCCCCGCCCCCCCGGCCTCACCAGGTCAGTGAAAAAAAAACGATCAGAGTAGTGGTATTACACCGGCAGCCCTCAAGGCGGGCAGACCCCGCCCCGCCCCCTCCCGGGGACAGTGGGGCGCCGGGGGCCTCCCACTTATTCTACACCTCTCACGTCTCTTCACCGTGCCAGACTAGAGTCAAGCTCAAGCTCAACAGGGTCTTCTTTCCCCGCTGATTCCGAGGATATGTATTTTTATTCTGGCAGCAATGTTCAATATCTTACGTACGAAATATAAAAACAATCACTGCTGCTCTTATGCTTTAATAGAAAACAGAAATAGTAATGACTTTAAGAGTGTGTTGACATGAACTTATTTGATATAAATCAGCAATAGATTCATAGGTCACAGGATAATGATATAAATTATCTTCCACCCTAATGTTGAAATTGGAGAAAAGTGGAAAAATATGCCTCAAAATCTAAATATTCAAGTGAATGCAAGTTGTTAATAAAAATTTCACTTTGTATATTGGCAAAGAATTTCAGAGATCATGTAATTATCACAAGGTGTCAGGTGTCAGCCAAAGGGCTAATAGGAAAATCTTTCTAAAAACAAAAAATATCCAGGTGTGGTGGTGCATGCCTCAGCTACTTGGGAGGCTGAGGCAGGAGAATCACTTGAACCTGTGATGTGGAAGCTGCAGTGAGCCGAGATTGTGCCACTGCACTTCAGCCTGGGCAACAGAAAAAGACTTGGTCTCACAAAAAAATAAAGAAAGAAAATAAAGAAAAGAAAATCTTGCATAGGTCTCAGTCATGTTAATCAATAAGGTACTGAACCTAATATGATCTCCTTTTTTACATTACTTTTTTTATATTACAAGCACAATCAAAATTTTTCGTTAAAAAATAGAAAATAATACAGGCAGGCATATGGGAAGAAATAAAAATAACAATAATGATGCCATCACCAGGAAAGGTGGCATCCAGCCTGGGCTTCTCGTCTTTTCTGGAACTTACTGAGGTCAAGCACTTCAGGTTCTGCGCTCTCTCACCCTAGTGCCCGCTAACTAATTTTAATAGTTTGGTGTATTTTCTTCTAAGGATTTTTTTTTCTGTGAAAAATATACGTGTAATTTTGGATATGTTATTTTTATAGAAATGGCATCTTATTACACAAACTATTTTGTGACCTGCTTAGTATAAACTTTATAGTGAAGAAATTCCTATTTTACCCTACCATTACATGGGAAAATTTTTGAATAGGGAGATGCAGCATAAATAATTGTTTTTCTATTATTGGAAATGTTTTATATTTTAAAATATAAAAACATGCCTTAATGGACACTCATTTCCATGACACATTTTTTTTTGCATCACTATGCCTTCTTTTGGAAGAATTCATATGAGTGCAATTGCAATTAAAGTGTTTTGGTTATTTTTCTTTTGACTTTTGTTTTATACTGGTAAAATTCTCCTGAGGAAAGTTTACGTCTATTTACAGTTCCAGCAGATCTGTATGACAATTCCCTTTTGTGAGTCCCCTCTGTTCATTCTTCGTGTATACAATGTGTGTATGTTTATTTCATTAATTGCATTTACTTTCACATAAATTTTTATGAGCTTACTACCACAGGGGAAAACATAACCTAGAGAAAAGTAGGACATCTAAACACAAGAAGAAGAGAGGGGCTTCCTATAGGAGACAGGTTCCTGCTGGATGATTCTGATTCAGGATTAAGGAAAAGCAGTGGAGTGAGGAATGATTGGATGCCGTCAAGAAATGGGGGACATTTGATAATAGGATATTTTAATATATTCAATCTAGTAGGTGGGAGGTTAATTGCTCCAGCTAGAGTTCTTATTGGTACTGAAACAGCAATCAATCACATTAGTCATCATCAGGGGAATGTTTAGTAAATTTTTGTGTCTGAAGAGTGGCTTTGTTTCTTTCCTGTTCGCAACATAGCTGCAGTGTGGTTTTGTCTAAGCATTGTTTAGGAATATTGGTGGCTGCCAGCAAGGCCACTGTTTTAGATAATCCTTGTGCTGCTTTAAAGAAATACTTCAGGATGGATAATTTATAAACAAAAGAGGTTTAATTGGCTCATAGTTCCGCATGTCAAGCTGTACAAGCATGACACCAACATCTGCTGGGCTTCTGATGAGGCCTTAGGAATCTTATAATTGTGGCAGGAGGCAAACGTGGAGCAGGAACATCATATGGCAAGAGGAGAGTGGTGTCACACACTTTTAAACAACCAGATCTCATGAGAGCTCACTACCCTGAGGTCAGCACCTATGCGTTTATGAGGGATCCTCCCCCATGACCCAAACACCTCCTTACAGGCCCCACTTCCAATACTGGAAATTACATTTTAACATGAGATTTGGAGGGGACAAACATTCAAACTGTGTCAGCCACTATTCACATTCTTAGTAGCTAGAGTAGTTTGATGATTGTCTCATCTACATAACTAAAAGTCACATCAAATAAATCAGGTATAACCATATTGAATAATATAAGTGAACAGTAAGAAAAGGGAATAGTAAAGGGAAACATTTTAATTTTATAATTTTCAATTTCTGAAATAGTGTATATTGTTGGAATAACTAGAAAATTAAGGGTTTTATATAATAAAATGACGACTGCCGGGTGCAGTGGCTCTTGCCTGTAATCTCAGCACTTTGGAAGGCCAAGGTGGGCGGATCATGAGGTCAAGAGATGGAGACCATCCTGGCCAACATGGTGAAATCCCGTCTCTACTAAAAATACAAAAATTAGCTAGGTGTGGTGGCGCATGCCTATAGTCCAAGCTACTGAGGAGGCTGTGGCAGGAGAATTGCTTGAACCTGGGAGGCGAAGGTTGCAGTGAGCAGAGATTGTGCCACTGCACTCCAGCCTGGCAACAGAGCGACACTCCATCTAAAAATAATAATAATAAATAAATTAATTAATTAATTAAATAAAATAAAATGATGACTATAACCAGTGGAGCACAAAATAGAAATCTTTTTAACTCTCAGAAGGGTTGCATACAAATAACAAAGTAAACAAACATAGGATGAACCGAGAACCCATAAAAACAGGAGATATAATATAGACTAGTAAAATTAAGACCAAATGTATTTACCATTATCAGTATATGTAACTAAGATCTCTCCCTATTTAAAGGGGCATATTTTCATATTACATCATAATATCCAACCCTATGCTACAAGAAAAAAAATATCTGAGGTATAGTATAATGATTGAAAATAGGCCAGACACGGTGGCTCACGCCTGTAATCCCAGCACTTTGGGAGGCCGAGGCAGGTGGATCACGAGATCAGGAGATTGAGACCATCCTGGCTAACACGGTGAAACCCCGTCTCTACTAAAAATACAAAAAAATTAGCCGGGAGTGGTGGTGGGCACCTGTAGTCCCAGCTACTCGGGAGGCTGAGGCAGGAGAATGGCGTGAACCCGGGAGGCGGAGCTTGCAGTGAGTCCAGATGGCACCACTGCACTCCAGCCTGGGCAACAGAGCGAGACTCCGTTTCAAAAAAAAAAAAAAAAAAAAAAAAAGATTGAAAATAAAAGGATCAATCAGCCAGGAACAGAATGTTAAACACTGCATGTTTTCCCTCAAATATGGAAGCTAGAAAGAAGTTGATCTCATAGACGTAAAAAGTAGAACAGAGGATACTAGGGTCTGGGAAAAGTAGGGGGAAGGGAGGGATAAGGAGAGATTTGTTAAAGGATACAAAATTATAGCTTATTGGGAGGAAAACCTGGTTTTCCTTACTACTGTAGGCTGACTGTAGTTTACAATGATACATAGATTCCGGTAGCTAGAAGGAGGATATCTAATGTTCCCAACACAAAGAAATAATAAATATTTGAAATTGCCAATATGCTAATTACTCTGATCTGATCAGTATACATTATATGTATTGAAACATCATTATGTACACCGTGAATATGTGAAATTATTATGTGTCAATAAAATAAAAGGAGGGGCAAAGATACACAAGCTTATGTAAGTAATTAAAATATTCAGTAATCAGGGCTTAATATTAAATAAAGATGATTCTGATCAAACTTTTAAATAAAAGGACAGGACAATTTCTAACACCAAAATATATTATTCACAAGAACTATGGCAATTATAATTTTTTGGTCATTGTACTATAAAATAATATGAACATTCATTTAAAAATAGTGGGGATTACAAAGGGAAAAGATAAAAGTACACTTACAGCTAAAAAATATATATACTTCTTTCTTCAAGAAAATATGGAAAATTTAAAGAAGTCCATAGCCAACCTACAATTAATGAAATAGATTTGATTGCTATGCTGTAAAACCTATGGGTGGTAGGCTGGTAAAGGCTCTGACAGACTTCAAATCCTAATTCTCAGAACTTGTGAATGTTATCTTACTTGGAAAAAGAATCTTTGCATTTGTGCTTGTTAAGGAATTTGAGATGAGGAAATTATTGTGGATTATCTGGGTTAGCTGTAAATGTCATCAAAAGTGCATTTAGAGAGACAGGAGATTAGACACACAAAAGGAGACTATGCGAAACTGGAGAAATATTAGAATAATATAGCCACGGGCCTAAGAATGGCAAGGAATGCTAGCAGCCACCAGAAATTAGAAGAGATAAGAAAAGATTTCTTCCCCAGCCTCTCTGGAGGGAGTGCAGCCCTGCCAACATCTTGATTTTGGACTCTTGGCCCCCAGAACTGTGAGAGAATAAATTTTGGTTGTGTAGTGTCATCAAGTTTGTGGTGATTTTTTACAGCACACATAGATAACTCATATACTATAAAACAAAGATGGAGAGTCTAGGGAATAGTCACATAATTGGACTATTACATTTCCTGAATCTAAAATTCCATCAGTGGCAAGAAGTGTCCATTAAAACAGAAAATATGCTGCTGCTTACAATTGTAGTACATCTTTTTCATTGATAGATGTCAATTTTAGAGAGTTTAACATATAAAAATGAGTCTCAGAATATACAGGTTAAATGTTCTAGGTTAATAATTATAATCATATATTAAAATAGCATATGATATACAAGTACACAACATGTAATTGCATACTTACTTTCAAAGTCAACTTGAATAAATTTTAAAATGGAAATATTATACATTCTCAGAAAAGCATGTAATTAATTTAGAAATTAATAAGACACTTCTCAAAAGAAGACATTTATGCAGCCAAAAAAACACAGGAAAAAATGCTCATCATCACTGGCTATCAGAGAAATGCAAATCAAAACCACAATGAGATACCATCTCACACCAGTTAGAATGGCAATCATGAAAAAGTCAGGAAACAACAGGTGCTGGAGAGGATGTGGAGAAATAGGAACACTTTTACACTGTTGGTGGGACTGTAAACTAGTTCAACCATTGTGGAAGTCGGTGTGGCGATTCCTCAAGGATCTAGAACTAGAAATACCATTTGACCCAGCCATCCCATTACTGGGTATATACCCAAAGGATTGTAAATCATGCTGCTATAAAGACACATGCACACGTATGTTTATTGAGTCACTAGTCACAATAGCAAAGACTTGGAACCAACCCAAATGTCCAACAATGATAGATTGGATTAAGAAAATATGGCACATATACACCATGGAATACTATGCAGCCATAAAAAACGATGAGTTCATGTCCTTTGTAGGGACATGGATGAAGCTGGAAACCATCATTCTGAGCAAACTATCACAAGGACAAAAAACCAAACACCGCATGTTCTCACTCATAGGTGGCAATTGAACAATGAGAACACGTGGACACAGGAAGGGGAACATCACACACCAGGGCCTGTTGTGGGGTAGGGGGAGTGGGGAGGGATAGCATTGGGAGATATACCTAATGCTAAATGACGAGTTGATGGGTGCAGCACACCAACATGGCACATGTATACGTATGTAACTAACCTGCACGTTGTGCACATGTACCCTAAAACTTAAAGTATAATAATAAATAAATAAATAAATAAATAAAACAAAAAAAGAAAATCCACAAACGAAATGATCATTCTACCTGGGCATTTAAAATATTTCAAAAACTTTTTTCTAAAACAGTTTCCAGGTCATGAAAGTGAAATGAAGCAAAATGAATACATTTTATTTTGTAACTAAGGAATATGGCCAAACCTATGATTAAAAGAATATTCATGGCCAAGCATGGTGGTGCATAACTGTAATCCCAATGCTTTGGTAGGCCATGGCAGGAGGACCACTTTGAGGCTAAGAATTCAAGACCAGCCTTAGTAACATAGCAAGATCTCCCGACACACAAATCAAAACAAAACAAAACAAAAACACAAAAATTAGCCAGGCATGGTGGCCTGTCCCTGTAGCCCTACTTATTCAGGAGGCTGAGGCAGTAGTATCATTTGAGCGCACAGCAAGCTATATTCGCACCACTGCACATCAGCCTGAGTGACAGAATGAGATCCTGCCTCAAAAAAAAAAATTCATATCTTAAACCCAAATTGCTCATTTTAATAATAATGAGAGAATTAAGACAACTGAAATAGCCACTTGACTGAATATTTGGAACAAACTACCATAAACTGAAGGTAAACATTAAAAATATGAGGATGAAATAAATAAATTGTGAAAATGAAAAAATGTAGCACTAAAAACAATGTGAAAGCTGGATTATCAAATAACAGATAGTTGGATAAATCATTAACTAATGTAATTAAAAAATAGATGGATAGAAATATGTAAAAATAACAATAATAAACAGAATATAATCACAGCAGAAAATAAAAGCTAAAATAGAGTAGTTTGTTCAACTGTACGCAACATAATTTGAAAAGCCGGATAGTATGGAGAACGTTTAAAAAATTCCTAGATATAGAAAATTTAAACAGATGGATTTTCATATAAGTAATTAGGCTGTCAAAGAGCTACTACTCTCATCTTTATAGAAATAAATACATAAATCTTAGATAATTTAACAGACCATAATTTCCATGCTTTTTAACACTGGCCTAAAGAATAGAAAAAGAAGAAAAAAATTATGAGGCATTTATTGTCTCAATAGCCCAACCTTACATTGATTGTAAAACAGAAACCAGAGAGCAATCTCTAATGAATTCTGATGTAAGATTCCTAAGTAAAATGTTAGCAATTTTAGTACATTAGTACAATTTAGGGTACATTAGAGGAAGAATCCACTAAGACCATTTTTTCATGTCAATAATACATAAATGTTTTAAATTTAAGCAATCTAATTTACCATACTAATAATTACAAAAAGTGATTATTTTCTTGGAATCTGGAAATGTTTCTGATAAATTGTAACAGTTACTCTCAGGAATCCATAAAAGAGGGAGAGATGGGTACATCTGAATATTTTATATATATTTTATATATATAATATATGTCTACATAATGTCATGTCTACATTATATATAATGGTGTATATATATATATGTCTACATAATATCCATAAACCATAATAGTTTGTACTAATAGCAAAATGTTAGAAATGTCCTCATTAAAGTAAAATATAAAAAGAAGGTTGCAGAAAAATACAATTATTATTGAACATTGTATTAGAGGTACTAATTAACACATTTAGGAAATTTAAAAATATAGTCTAAAAAATAAACGCTGATATGAAACAACTACTAATTGTGATTAATACGTATTATACCCAGAATATCAAAAAAAATTAATACAACTACTACAACTCAGAAAATATTACAATAGTAAATGAGGATAAAATATTATTCCAAATAGGTCATAACTTTTATATATTGTGTATATGGTTATGTTCCATTATCCACGTGTCTATTTTATGCCAATTCCACACTGTCTTATTTACTGTAGTGTAAGCCAGGCAGTGTAAGCTCTCCACATTTTTCCTCTGAAAATAGGTATGGCTATTCAAGGTTTTTTGTTTTCTCATATAAAGTGCATTCAATCTATAGATAAATTTGGAAAGCATTTGCAACTTAATTCTGAGTCTTACAGTCTATAATCATTTGTTAACATCTTTTTTCATCAGTGTTTTATAATTTTTAACATACAAAGTTATCATACATATATCCCTTGTGTGTCTTTTGTTAAGCATATAGGTGAATTTTCACAGTTTTGATGTAATAAGTGACATCTTTTAATTTTCAATTTTCTAATTTTTAAATAGCAAGTTGATAGAAAATGCAACCAAACTTTGCATATTAGCTTTATATCCTGTGACTTTGGTAAATTCTTTTATTTATTTATTTAATTCTTTTATTAATTCCTGTAGCTATCTTGGTAACTTATTATTTTGTACATAATAAGGTGATTAACAAATTAATATAATTTTGATTTTTCCTTTGCTATCTGTGCATCTTTTATTTGCTTTTTAATCTTGCTTCATTGCATGATGGATTTGCCAGCACATTGTGGAGCATATATTTAACCATAGGAGAAAGTAATTTGGTCTTTTACCATTAAATATTATTTTAACTGTAGATTTTTGTCAGAGTCTTTGTATTATAATGTGAATGTTCTTTTCTATTCCAATGTTGGTGATAATTTTAATCACAAGTGGGTGGGAGATTTTGCCAAATGCTTTTTCTGTATATATTGAGAGAGTTGTAAGATTGTTCTTCATAACTACGTCAATATGGTGATTTACTTTGATTGATTTAAAAATGTTAAGCAAACCTTGTATTTTGGGGGTAAATTCCATTTGGTCTTCCAGTGTTACATTTTTTATATATTGGTAAATTTAATTAGCTAATATTTCATTAAGGATTCCTGAAGATATATTTCCTCAAGGTCTCTTATAGTTTCTTCTCTTATAAAATCTTTGAATGCATTTGTATCAGGGCAATAATGATTTCATAAAATAAATTTGGAAGTGTTCCTTTTTCCTTAATTTCAGAATTGATGCCATTTCTTTATTAAATATTTGATTGAATTTAATAATGCAACCACCTGTGACTAGAGGTTTTAAACCATAAATTACATTTTTAAACAAGTGTAGTGCTATCCAAGTTATCTAATTATCAGTGAGTGAACTATGGTAGTTTATGTCTTCTAAGGAATTTGTTCATTTCCTCTAAGATATCAGAATTTTGGGGCATAAGTGTTATGGTTTGGCTATGTCCTCACCCAAATCTCATCTTGAATTGTAGTTTCCATAATCCCCACGTGTCTGAGAGGGACCCAGTGGGAGGTAATTGAATCATGGGGGTGTTTACCCCCCATCCCGTTCTCATGATAGTCAGTTAGTTCTCACGATATCTGATGATTTTATAAAAGGCTTCCCCCTTCACTGGATGCTCATTCTGTCTCCTGCTTCCCTGTGAAGAGGTGCCTTCCACCACAATTTTAAGTTTCCTCCCCAGCCATAAGGAACTGTGAGTCAATTAAACCTTTTTCCATTATAAATTACCCAGTCTTGGGTATTTCTTCATAGCAGTGTGAGAATGGACTAATACAAATAAATGCATGATTAATTTTTCATCATTTGCCTTTTATTGTCTTTAAGTGTATATATATATATATATTTTTTTTTTCCTCTCTCTCATTACTAATATTGGTAGTTAGGATTTACCTACTTATTTTTTTTCTCAGTTGATTTTGGTAGAGTTTTATTATCAATATTGATCTCTTATTATAATCAAAGAAGCAACTTTCAGTTTCATTAATGTCTTCCTATTTTTTGTTCTTATAATCTTAGTGATACCCTCTTTTACCTTTATTACTTCCTTTACTCTGCCTGCAATGAATTTAATTTGCCCTTTTTTTGTTGTTTTCCAAGGTAGACTTTTAGATTCTTTAAATTTGGTTTTGAATTTTTCTTATTGTCTTATATAAAAATTAAATGCAATATATTTTTCTTTAGGCATTGTTTTCTCTGACTCAAAATTGTGACTTTCTTATTAAATTCAAAATATTTTTACTTTTTCTTGTGACCTGTGTGTGTGGGGTGGGGGGGAGGGGTGTGCACACGCGTGTGTGTGTGAAGACAGAGAGAGAGAGGAGAGGGACTTTGAGTACTTGAAATGTGCATTACTAGCCTTCTGAAGTACGTCAGGTGCTATAGCATCTGCTTCACATTTATGTTGCATTTAATTCTTACAACGATACTGTAATGTAGATACTATTAATACCTCAGTTACACAGATGAGACAATTTAGGCTTACAGAGATAGAGTAATTTCCCCAATGTCTCATAACTAGTGACTAGTAAACCAGGGAATTGAAGGGTTAATGTGAACCCAAAGCTCATTCTTTTAGCCACTATAGAATAGAACATATTGCCCCTCTTTAAAATTCAAATTCAGGAGTTTTATGAGCTTATGTGTATTTGAATATATTTGTTCAATACTCCTATCATGGTAGATCCTTTTAATAAGAAAATTTAAGTATTATCTCAGTTCAAAAAAAAGTCCTTTTACTGTATATTAATTCTGTGTATAACTCATAGAAATTATAATAGTAAAATATTGATTTTCTGAATTAATCCTATAAATGTTTCTCCTTCCTTCCTTCCTTCTTTTCTTTCTTTCTTCTTTTTTGTGAGTAGGGTCTTGCTCTTTCACCCAGGCTGGGGTGCGGTGGCCCAATCTCAGCTCACTGCAACCTCAACCTCTCCAGCTCAGGCAATCCCCCTGCCTCAGCCTCCCAAGTAGCTGGGGCTACAGGCACCATCACCACACCCGGTAATTTTTGTATTTTTGTAGAGACAGGGTTTCACCATGTTGGCCAGGCTGGTCTTGAATTTCTGGGCTGAAGCAATCCACCCGCCTCAGACTCCCAAGTGCTGGGATTACAAATGTGAGGCACTGAGCACAGCCTCATTGTTTCTATTTCTTTTTTATTATTGAAGTAAGTTATTTTTAAGAAGTATTAATTGTTTTTGAATTTTTTAGAAAGAAAAGGATGAACTCTTAGATATGCTTTAGAATAAATCCTCATTTGTTGTCACTAATGGGTTCTTGGGGACTGTGACTTTAATTGAAACGACATGTCCTCCAAAGAATGTTGTTTCCATAAATGTCCTTTCCTTGTAACACTGGTAAGGGGAAAAAATGTTTATTTACAGTCATTTCACTTAAAGTCACAGTTTCCAAGAACCTATTGATGACATTGAGGACTTATAGAATAACTGGGTAGATTCAGAGGAGAGACTATTTTAGCAACAGCCTGAAGAAAGAAAGAGTGAAGCCTGCATAAGAACGTCCACTGAAATATCCAAAGATGGCCACAGCTGGTCAGATGGGAAATCAATGGGTATTCAGTGAATAAGACTGGCTTCAATGAGAGGGCATTTACCTGGTCTTAGGGTCCTGGATTCAGTCATAAAATTTAAAATCTCATGTTTAAAAAACTGTCAGATTATCTTTTCTCAGTATTTTATATTCCTGTCTCTAAATTATTCTCTGTTTTTTTTCTTGTGTACTGAAACTTACTCTTTTTTTTCTTTATTTATTCTAAAAAAAAGAATAGGGATACATGTGCAAAACGTGCAGGTTTGCTACATAGGTATACATGTGCCATGGTGGTTTGTTGCACCTGTTGACCCATCCTCTAAGTCTCACCCCCTCACCCCCAACCCTGCAACAGGCCCTGGTGTGTGTTGTTCCCCTCCCTGTGTCCATGTGTTCTCACTGTTTACCTCCTACTTATGAGTGAGAACATGCAGTGTTCAGTTTTCTGTTCCTGTTTTAGTTTGCTGAGGATAATGGCTTCCAGCTTCATCCATGTCTTGATTGTGGTGGATAAGTTTTTTGATATGCTGCTGGATTTGGTTTGCCAGTATTGTACTGAGGATTTTTATATCAATATTCATCAACGATATTGGCCTGAAGTTTTCTTTTTTTGTTGTGTCTCTTCCTGGTTTTGGTACCAGGATGATGCTGGCATCATAAAATGAGTTAGGAGGAGTCCCTCCTTTTCAATTGTTTGGAAAAGTTTCAGAAGGAATGATATCAGCTCCTCTTTGTATTTCTGGTAGAATTCAGCTGTGAATCCATCTGGTCCTGGGCTTTTTTTTTTGGTTGGTAGGCTATTAATTACTGCCTCTATATCAGAGCTTCTTATTGGTCTATTCAGGGATTCAACTTCTTCCTGGTTTAGTCTTGGTAGGGTGTATATATCCAGGAATTCATCCATTTCTTCTAGATTTTCTAGTTTATTTGTATAGAGGTGTTTATAGTATTCTCTGATGGTAGTTTGTATTTCTGTGGGGTCAGTCGTGATATCCCCTTTATCATTTTTATTGTGTCTATTTGATTCTTCTCTCTCTTTTTTATTATTCTACCTTGCTGTCTATCTATTTTGTTAATTTTTTTTTCAAAAAACCAGTTCCTGGATTCGTTGATTTTTTTTTTTTGGGGGGGGGGTTTCATGTTTCTATCTCCTTCAGTTCTTCTCTGATCTTAGTTATTGCTTGTCCTCTGCTAGCTTTTGTATTACTTTCCTCTTGCCTCTCTGACTCTTTTAATTGTGATGTTAGAGTGTTAATTTGAGATCTTTCTAGCTTTCTGATGTGGGCATTTAGTGCTATACATTTCCCTCTTAGCACTGCTTTAGCTGTATCACAGAGATTCTGGTAAGTAGTTTCTTTGTTCTCACTGGTTTCAAAGAACTTCTTGATTTCTGCCTTAATTTCATTATGTACCCAGGAGTCATTCAGGAGCATATAACCTACTCTAGTTTTATAAATATAGCCTCCTCCTTAAAATCATGGAGAAAGTTCTCTCATGTTTCTGCAATGATGGTTTTTCACTCTGATCATCTTGTTCTAACTTTAGCAGTTTGTGTGTGTGTGTGTGTGTGTGTTTTGACAGAGTTTCACTCTTTTTTTTTTTGAGACGGAGTTTCACTGTGTCATCCAGGCTGGAGTGCAGTGGCATGATCTCAGCTCACTGCAACCTCTGCCTCCTGGGTTCAAGTGATTATCATGCCTCAGTCTCCTGAGTAACTGGGACTACAGGCATGCACCACCACGCCTCACTACTTTTTTTGTATTTTTAGTAGAGACGGGGTTTCACCATGTTGGCCAGGCTGGTCTCAAACTCCTGATGTCAGGTGATCTGCTCACCTCAGCCTCCCAAAGTGCTGGGATTATAGGCATAAGACACTGCGCCCGGTCAACTTGGTCAGCTTTCGCAGTTTTCTGAAAGCTCTGTCTATAATCATCTGTCCTTAGAAGTTGAGTAAAAGAGAACAAATATTTGCACATCTTTTTTCTAAAAATATTTTTCTATTGCTTTTCAAATAAGTAAAAGTAATTCTGAATTTTTTTGGTGAAGAATGTAGAATGAATCAAGGATAATTTTTTACGAGTCAGTAAGACATGAACACATAAAATGTTTCAAATTTTAATATTAGTAGAATTCACCTTTTCTAATCAGGAAAACATATGTGTGTCCCAATCTCTCTAAGGCAAAAGGTAGATCCTGTCTTCCTCTTTTTGAAGGCAGTTAAGACAAGTGTAGATGTGTGCTCTTTGGAATGCCAGAAATAATTTGGTAATGTTAAAAATACCAACCCTCTTATTGTATTGTTTTCATCTTGCCCTAAGCTCTCAGGATCTTTTCTTTAGGAAGCAAGAGAATGTTCTTTTTGAAGACAGATTTTAGTTTTCTAAAATTAGAATATTTTGTCCTACGTTCTACACTTATGGACATTTTTGTCACAGTAGCATCCTCATCCCTAACTCCTGTTTCATGTGGGAAATCTTAGTTATTTTAAAATAAATCTGATAATTATTGAAACATTTTTATTAAATGCTTGCACCATGACTTTTTTGCTCCAGAAATTACAGCATTGTTTTAGAGATGATACCAATTAAGAATACTCATTTTTTCTTTATTCTTGTATCAAATCAGATGCCATAACCCTAAGAATTTAAATTGGAAAGCCATAATTTACAATATTATTAGTATAAAATAGTATATTTTAACAGTCATCATCATAACCACTTTGCATATAAAACTTAGATCTTTGTCATTCCTTATATCACTCTTTCAAAGCATTTAATATTTACTTCATATAGATTATATTATATTACTTACTATATGTATTTCCTACAGTCAGTATTTAGGGAGTATACTATTAAGCACTCTTTAAATCTGGAGATTATGTTGATGCATTGACCATAAAAAGAATAGGCCTTTTATAGTGCGTGTCTGATATCTGCTTCATATTATTGTATTTGATCTTTAAATCTCTATTCATGTTTAGTGAACTAAGGAATATGAGATCAATCTGCAAGAATACGCAGCAGGATCCTTTGTGTAGTTTTTCTTTGCTCCTTGGAACCACTGAATCATATTTCCATATCTTTCTCCTCTTCTTCCCTCTCCTTCTCCTTGTCTTCATTCTCCTCCTCCTCCTCTTCCTTTATTTCTTTGGTCTAGAATTCATACCCCATTTACAATGGGACTCTTTTCTAAACATTATTATTATTATTAAACTTATAGCCAAAAATAAATTAGCATCCTTCTATTCAATATGGTCATATTTGCCCTTGGGTTCTCCAATGTTGTTGATTTTTTTCAGCAGAGAAAGGAATCCAAAATAAGACATCTTCATTTGTCCAATGGCTCACCCTGATCTCTCAAATTAATGGTTGTAAAGGGGCATTATCATCATCATGATCATCTCTTCTGTTGACTGCCACATAGAAACGTCATATTAAAGTTGGAGGCTGGGGGTCATTTTAATATCTTCTTCCATTTGACTTCATTGATTGATACTGCTTAAAGCAAATTCTGTACGTGGAATCATGCTTTAGTTTTTGAGCACTATCTGACACTTTATGCATTTTAATATTTTCCTTTGTCTCTATCAGTGAGTTTGGGAAGAGAGGATGTAAATGCGTGTCTTTAGGTTGTCATTTTTCCAAGAAGCATAATTTATCTTGTTTAAGTGTTTCATCATCAAACACAGACATCTATTATTGGTTTGCACTACATTAATACAGTGACAGTCCCAGGAGCTATTGAGGTTTATGGGACTCTTTTATCTTGCTGTAAATTGTCCCAGAGCACTGTGCTTTTTTTTTTTGCTTCTAGGCCGTCACTTCTCAGTACTCTGTGTCTCCAGTCTCCTCCTACTATTTTCCTGATTTTAATGTTCTGAGGAATTATGGAACAGATGCTACATTTATCTTGCTTAAAGTGACCTCCAGAATAAAGAGCATTTTATTTAACATGAATTTGTAACATCTGTTTCTGGTGGTTTTAAAATAATACATTAATGTTTTGCTTTTTTTTTTTTTACGGCTGTTAGCACATGAGGTTTTGACCAAGAATGAAGACCTAGTTTGGGGAGGTGTTATTCTATAATTCTTAATTATAGTCCAGAGCAACTGGGAAGGGCTGTTCAAAGTCTACTTGTGACAAGTGCTGAAATAGAGAAAGCAGAAATGCTTGAGGAAGTTGGCTTAATACTGACATGTTCAACAGGGATGTTCAAACCAACAGTAATAAGTGAAGGACTTTTTACACATAAATAATCTCATTCAGTTGACTAAACAATCTTATAATTGTATATTATATTGTAATTAAACCACATTTTGTTAGATAATGTGGTTTTATTTTATTTATCTTTGTTAAGGATAAATCCATGTTTTACGAACAGCTCAAACTATAGTGGACACCTAGCAGTTAGACGCAATGCAATGGGATAAGTACTACAAATGGCTTATCCCACCACCCTCTCACTCCTTGAGCTCAGTCCCTGACAACCACTAGTCTACTTTCTGTTTTTATAGATTTTACTCTTCTGGACATATCATATTAATTGGATTATACAGTTGTGGCCTTTTGTGTCTAGTTTATTTTATTAAGCATAATGGTTTCAGGGTACACTCATGATATAACATGTATAAGTACTTTATTCCGTTTTGTTGCTTAATGATAATATTCTATTGTAAGAATATATCTCATTTTGTTTATTCATTCACCCATTTATGCTCATTGGAACTATTTTCACATTGTACTGATTATCAGCAAATTTTCTTGAATTCTGTTCATGAATCCTGAACATTCAAGCACAAGTTCTTGTTTTTTTAATCTTTGCAATTTTGACAGATAAAAATTCCATTGCAGATTTAACTCGTATATGTTTATGCATGTATAGTAATAAAGGTATATATTTATATATTTTGGCATTTTGTATTGTAAACTTTATACATCCTTTACACATTTCTCTTGTTATTTTATTTAACTGATTTTTTAAAAAGAATTATTTCAATAGCTTTTGGGGTACAAGTTCTTTGTTAAATGGGTGAATTATATAGTGATGAATTCTGAGCTTTTAGTACATTTTACTACATAGTACAGAGTAGTGCACATTGTACATAATATGTAGTTTTTAAATTCCTAGTCCCCCTCCCATTCTCCCGCTTCTGAGTCTCTAAAGTCCATTATGTTACTCTGTGTGCCTTTGAATACTCATAGCTTAGCTTCCACTTACAAATGAGAACATACGGTTTTGGATTTTCCACTCCTGTGTTACTTCGCTTAGAATAACGGCCTCGAGCTCCATTCAAGTTGCTGCAAAAGATACTATTTTGTTCCTTTTTATGGCTGAGTAGTATTTCATGGTGTATGTATACCACATTTTCTTCATGCACACATTAGTCAATGGGCAGTTAGGTTGGCTCCACCTTTTTGCAATTGTGAATTGTGCTGCTATGAACATATGCATGCAAATGTCTTTTTCATATAATGACTTCTTTTCCTTTTGGTAGATACCCAGTAGTGGGATTGTTGGATCAATTGGTAGATCTAATTTAGCTCTTTAAGGAATCTTCATACTGTTTTCCATAGAGGTTCTACTCATTCATATTCCCACCAGCAGTGTATAAGCATTTTATTTTCCCCACATCCATCTCAACATCTGTTGTTTTTGACTTTTTTATAATGGCCAGTCTTACAGGAGTAAGGTAGTATCTCATTGTGATTTTAAATTGTGTTTCCCTGATGATTAATGATGTTGAGCGTATTTTCATGTTTGTTGGCCATTTGTAGATCTTCTTTTGAGAATTATTTATTCATATTATTAGCCCACTTTTTGATCAGTTTGTTTGTTTTTTTTTCTTGCTGATTCACTTGACTTCCTTGTAGATTCTGGATACTAGTCCTCTAATGGATGTATAGATTGTAAACATTTTCTCCCACTCAGTGGGTTGTCTGTTTGCTGATTGCAGAAGCTTTTTAGTTTAAGTACCATCTGTTCATCTTTGTTTTTGTTTGCTTTTGGGTTCTTGGTCATGAAGTCTTTGCCTAAGCCAATGTCTAGAAGGGTTTTTATGACATTATGTTCTAGAATTTTTATGGTTACGGGCCTTAGATTTAAGTCCTTGATTCATCTTGAGTTGATTTTTGTTTAAGGTGAGAGATGAGGATCCAGTTTCATTCTTCTATATCTGGCTTGCCAGTTATCCCAGCACCATTTGTTGAATATAGTATCGTTTCTCCACTTTATGCTTTTGTTTGCTTTGTCAGAGATCAGTTGGCTGTAAGTATTTGACTTCCTTTCTGGGTTCTCTATTCTGTTCCATTAGTCCATGTGCCTATTTTTACACCAGTACCATGCTGTTTTGATGACTATGCCCTTATAGTATAGTTTGAAGTCAGGTAATGTGATGCCTCCAACTTTGTTCTTTTTGCTTAGTCTTGCTTTGCTTAGTCTTTGCTATGCGGGCTCTTTTTTTGGTTCCATATGAATATTATGATTTTTTTTTAGTTCTGTGAAGAATGATGGTGGTATTTGGATGGGAGTTTTATTGGGTTTGTTGATTGCTTTTGGCAGTATGGTCATTTTCACAATATTAATTCTACTCACCTGTGAGCATGGGAAGTGTTTCCATTTGTTTGTGTCATCTATGATTTCTTCCAGCAGTGTTTTGTAGTTTTCCTTGGTTGCTGTTGGTGTATAGAAGAGTTACTGATTTGTGTGCATTAATTTTGTATCCTGAAACTTTGCTGAATTCATTTATCAGTTATAGGAGACTTTTGGCGGAGTCTTTAGGGTTTTCTAGGTAGACAATCATATCATCAGCAAACAGTGACAATTTGACTTCCTTTTTACCAATTTGAATGCCCTTTATTTCTTGTTCTTGTCTGATTGCTCTGGCTAGGACTTCCATTACTATGAGGCATAGAAGTGGTGACAGTGGGCATCCTTGTCTTGTTCCAGTTCACAGGTGGGGATGCTTTCAACAACTTTTCCTTGTTCAGTATTATGTTGGCTGTGAGTTTGTCATAGATGGCTTTTATTACATTAAGATATGTACCTTGTATGCCGATTTTGCTGAGGCTTTTAATCATAAAGGATGCTGAATTTTGTAGAAAGCCGTTCTACAAAGATTGTTTATAACCAAGGCACTCTTACAGAGTCTTCACCCCTGAAAGCATCAAGAAACAAATTAGGCTATAGTTAACTAAAAAAAAAATCACATGATGATCTCAATAATTCTTATAGTTAATTATAGCCTAATTTGATTCTTCATGCTTTCAGGGATGAAGTCTCTGTTAGAGTGCCTTGATTATAAATAGTCCTTGTAGGTTGGCTTTCTCATTTGCTAGTTGTGGTAGCAATGGGCTCAGTGTGTGAGCAAGTTCGCTGTCTCTTATAGAGTTGGAATGGTAAATGTCTCTTGAAATTTACCTCATTCCCCTGTGGTGTGCGCTTTTTTATTTATGTAATTTTCCTCAATATTTTATTTACTGGTTTGGTGGTTCAGGCTTCAGACCAGTAGGGAAGATAACCCTGGGTAGGAATTTGTTGTGGCTAAAGCAAGTAAGTATATGTAATACCCAGTCGTGGGCAGAGGTTTCAGCCTTGACGGAGGTGACTGGAGGAGCTCTCAGTGAGTCACACTGAGGTCTTATCAGGGGGAAGGGTTGGAGCCACCTCAGCTCCCCTGTGAGGCAAGGAGGAAAGCAATCCTCCTCTCAGACACATTCCTATTCCAGTGCTCCAGCTAGTCAGATCAGCCAGGCACCTCTTTTCATCTGTAGGAATGTTGATGTTCCAAGTAGAGAGGAACTGTCACTCTGTCTCATGCCAGCCTGAACCTGGAGGGTGCTCCTCCTGTGAGAATGCAGTCACCCTGACATGTTCCAAAAAGGCTGTCTATAGTTGCACCCATGCCAAGCTCCCATAGGAGAAGCCCCAATTGTGCCTGCAGTGGTGGGCAATGGGGAAAAGACATTCCTTTCTCCAAGACCCTTCACGTACACCATGGCTGTCTGTTGGGTTAGAGCTGCAGTTGTTCCCCGCTGAGCTCAGCACTGCAACTGTCTCTGTTGAGAGAAACTTTCCACCAGTGGAAAGATCTGATGCTCAAGGCCTGCTGTCCAGATTATTTTTTCTCATGGGGTGCTCTCCTGATATGGTACACTCTCCCTTCCTCTAGGAGAGAAAGTCCCCAGGATCCAGACTACTGTGAATGTTGTTGCTCCTCTGTGTCTAGCTGCCCAGTGAAGTTGCCACACTCCATGCTGGTGCGGGTGATTGTCTACAGGAGATTCAGTGATGTGACCTGTCCTCAAGTCTTCCCCACAGTGGATAGCAGCATCAGCTTTAATGGGAATGGCAGGGGAGTGCTGTAGACTCTGTGAGATTCCCTGGTTGTAAATAGCTTACTATGTTGGCTTTTTCAAGTTCTGATTATAGTAGTAATGAACTGGTCACATAGATGAACTCAGGAACTCCTTGTTCGCCAGAGTGGTGCAGGGAATGGTGATAGCTAAGGTTACAGAGTCGTCCATTTTTTTTTTTTTTTTTTCCTTCATGGGCTCAGTGTTTTTCTACCAGGAGATGCTATAATGGACTTCATTGGTTGGCCTCCAATTATGAGATATCGGCTGCCGTAGTCACAGTGGGGTTTTTGTTTGCCTTATGTTGCTGGGTGGGGAGAGGGGAGTGGGTGGGAAATAGAGTGATTTCTCTGGCAATGGGCAGGACCATATAGCTCCCAAAAGTTTCTGTCCTTTGTGTTAAGCTACCAGGGCAGGAGGTGGCACAAAGTCAGGTGGGGCCGGGTCAGGCAGGTTTGCACTCTGACACTCTGTGTGCAAGGCAGCCAGCAGCCATAGTGGGTGTTGGGGACAGGGGGACAGACAGGGGCATTTCTTAGGCCGCTAGGTTGATGTTCTTGATGGGAGCATTGCTGCCTCTGCTGCACAGAAGAGTTCGTGCAGGGAGTGTAGAGGAGCAGGCAGCAGTAGGCCTCACACACATCCCACGCACTTGGTGAGGCAGATCCACTCCTACAATGTTCCACTCACAGCAGCAGGCTAAGTTCCAGGTAGCGTGCACTGAAAACTTGCAAGTGTCCCAGGTCATAAGCTTTGCCCACAGAGATAGCAGCCATGGCTTTCAGACCATGACCCTCCCTCTCTGCTGGCAAAGTCAAGTGCCCAGCTTTTGCACTGCTGGCTGCAGCCTGCTTTTTTACTCACCTCTTGCCCCCACCCTCACCCTCTTCTTTCCCCCCCTGCCCAAGGGGATTTGTCCCCACCTGAAGTTATATTGTGAAATCCACTTGCGGGCTTCCTTTAACCTGTGACCACTGCTGGAACTGTTTGTGTGATCACCACTGGGTCCCCTGTGAAGAACAATAAGGAATGGGTTCCCTATGTCTGTGCTGGAGACTGAGAGTGCACACAGGAGTCTTTCTGCAGATGCTCCACTTTTATGTTCCATGCGCCTCCCCACATTGGCTCCTGTGCTGGGTAGGGTTAAGGTCTTGACCCATGGCCTGGACTTTCAGGCTCCCTGGTGGGGGTGTGTATCCCAGAAGCAGTATCTCCCCTTCTCACATTCTGGGGTATTCTAGCTGTTTGCCTGACTCAAGGTGTAGGTTGCAGCCTGCCAGTTCCTTCAAAACAGTCAAAAAGTTAAAAAAAAAATTTAAATGTTTACAAAGTAAAAAAGTTATAGTAAGCTAAGACTAGTGTATCATTAAAGAAACAAAAATATTTTAATAAATGTAGTGAAGCCTAAGTATACAGTGTTTATGAAACCTATAGCAATGTGCAGTAATATCTTAAGCCATCACATTCACTCACTATTCACTCACTGACTCACCCAGGACAACTTCCGGTCCTACAAGCTCTGTTCATGGTAGTGCCCTATACAGGTATACCTTTTTAAAAAATCTTTTATATTATATTTTTACTGTAATTTTCTATTTTTAGATACATAAATATTTACCATTGTGCTACAATTAACTCTACAGTATTCAGTATAGTAACGTGGTTTCTGTAACATGTGGTGTACATTGAGGTAGATTTCATAAATAGTGTGCATTTAGACTTTACTAAATTTATTTAAAATATTTTTGTTTCTTCAATAATACATTAAACTTAGCCTATTCTAACATTTTTACTTTGTAAACATTTAAATATTTTTTAACTTTTTGACTCTTTTGTAGTAACAGTTTAAAACACAAACACATTACAGCTGTACAAATGTATTTTCTTTATATAAGCTTTTTAAATTTAGTATTTTTTTTTTTTACTTTTTAAACATTTTTGTTAAAAACTAAGACACAAACACACACATTAGCCTAGACCTAGAGTGAGGATCTTCAATATTACTGTCTTTTACCTGCACATCTTTTCCTACTGGAGAGCCGTCAGGGGCAATAACACACATGGAAATGTCATCTCCTAGACCAATGCCTTTTCTTGGAACACTTCATGAAGATCCTGCCTGATGTGGTTTTACAGTTAATGTTTTTTAATAAGTAGAAGGCATACACTCTAAAATAACTGAAAAAGTACAGTATAGTAAATATATACACCAGTAACAGTAGTTTATTATCATTACAAAGTATTATGTACTATACATAATTGTATGTGCTATACTCTTGTGTAACAGGCAGAGCTGTAGGTTTGTTTACACCAGTGTTACCACAAACACATGAGTAATGTATTGCACTGTGATGTTACAATAGCTACAACATCACTAGGTGATGGGAAATTTTCAGCTCCATTATAATCTTATGGGACTACCATTGTATATGCAGTCCGTTGTTGACCAAAAGATTGTTAGGCACTATATGACCACATATATATGTGTACATATGCATGTGCATTATATAAATAAATATGTGTACATATACACATACTGATGTCATGTCTACTCCATCACAAATTACCATAGTTTTTCTCGTGTTATTATTTCAGAACATTATTTAGGGTTACATTTTACATTTCAATATTAAATGTGTTTGAGGTTTATTTGGCATACTTCAGGAAGTAGAGATATCTTTTATTATTTTCCCAAAATGTATAGTTTTTGTACCATTTATAAGAAAAAAATATCATTTTGCTATCAAAGTAAGTTGTAACCAACATAAAATCCTCAGTAGAGGGGATTTTTTCTTTGATATCTATTGCCTCACATGAAACTGACTATTTTTTATAAAATTACCGTTTTCTATTAATCACTATAGCATAGCTATATAATGTAATTTCAATGTTACTAACTGTATTTTACTTTTATTTCAAAATTTTCATATTAAATATTCTAATGCATGTTTTTCAGCATTAAATATTCCAGAATAAACATATTATCTTTTTTTTTTCAAATTAAAATACACTTGGACAATGACAAAACTATATTTGGTGCACTGGACTAAATGTTTTGCCTCAAAAGAAATCCTAACTTCCAATGCAATAGTATTAGGAGGCGGGAACTGTGGGAGGCAATTAGGGAATGAGGATGGAGCCCTCATGAACTGGGTTAGTGTCATTATAAAAGGGACACCAGAAGGCTCTCTGGTGCTCTTTCTACCATGTGAGGATACAATGGAATGCCTGCAATCTGTAACCCACAAGAGAGTTCTCACTAGAATCCAACCAGGCTGGCACCCTGCTCTTGAACTTCCAGCCTTCAGAACCATGGGAAATAAATGTCTTGTTTATAAGCCACCCAATCTAGGATACTTTGTTGTAGCAGCCCAAATTGACTAAGACACTTGGAATTTTAAGTAATTTTTTTTTTTTGAGATGGAGTCCCACTCTATAACCTAGGCTGGAGTGCAGTGACCCAATCTTGGGTCACTGTAACCTCTGCTTCCTGGGTTCAAGCGATTCTCCTGTCTCAGTCTCCTGAGCAGCTGAGACTAAAGGCACACACTTTTTTAGTAGAGATGGGGTTTCACCATGTTGGTCAGGCTGGTCTCGAACTCCTGACCTCATGATCTGCCTGCCTTGGCCTCCCAAAGTGCTGGGATTACAGGTGTGAGCCACTGCACCCGGCCAGCAAAATTTTAAAAATGATTTAATTAATTCAAAACGTTGAACATAGCTCTTCCACATTGTCTTCTCTTTCAGTAGCATTGAAAGTTTCTCAGTGTATTCGATCTTTCTCTCATCCCCCTTAATACTTTTTAAGATATAGGTCTGAACATTTCTATTATAAAAACATTTCTAATGCTTATTCTTAGGTATTTGGTATCTGTTTGTTTGTATGCCATATAGAAATATCAAGGAGGATGCAGTGAGAAAAATACATTTGATTTTTTGACAGTTAATTTTATGTGTCAACTTGATTGGATCAGAAGATGCCCAGATAGCTGGTAGATAGCTGGTTAAGCATTATTTCTTCATGTGCCTGAGAGGGTGTTTCTGCAAGAGATGAACTCTTAAATTGATAGATGAGAAAGTGAATTAGACTGCCTTCCTCAATGTGGGTGGGCTTAAACCAATACAGTGAGGCCCTGAATAGAGCACAAAGGTGGAACAAGAGGGAATCCCCTGGCCCTCTTGAGACAGCCAGGTGGGAGGGCGTCCCCGGTAAAACTTCAACCAGGATGTGCACTGGGAGGAATGTGCGCTGGGGTGGAGCCTCAGGAAGTTTGCACGCTTTGCAGCCGGGAGGACCTGGCCCCTTCTCTTCCTGTGTGGAACCTGGGATTCAAGCTGCAGGTGGGAAGCACTGTAGCAGGAACTCTGGCCTTGTGGAGGATCCCTGTTTCCCCCCCCCACTTTTCCCCTCTTCACCCAATAAAACCCGGTCTTACTCACCATTTAAATTGTCTGTGAGCCTGAATTTTCAGGGCCGTGAAACAAAGGACCCCATCTTTAGCTGAACTAAGGAAAAGCCCTGTGACATTTATGGCACGCAATGTGGAGACTCAAGAAGTAGTGAGTGAGAGTTATTTTTTCCTCTCCCTTTTGAGCCTTTTCATCCTGAGATTTCTGAGAGTGGAGGAAACTGTACCTCCACCCACTGTTGCTCCCAGGGATCGGGAACCAACTGCAGCTTTTCCATGGCCTTTTCCTTTCCCTTTTGGGACAAGACTGGTGAGGTGAGTGGCTCATCGCTGCTCCCTGCTGCCTGCTGGGACTGGAATCCATGGCCCAAGGTGCCAGGAGCAGCTGGCTGGCATTTTCTGCAATGTGCCCAAGGAGTCTCCTCCTTCCCAGGCCAGGGAGGCCAGCTTTGCCCCACAGCAATTAAATTTGTCTCCCTGGTGGAGGAACCACCTGCATATAAACAAGAGATCCGAAAAATTGGATCTACTCCAGGCATTTTTATACTGTTTTTTTTTTCCTTCCCCTTCTGTACCCCATCAGCAGTAACTTTTAATGTTTTTTCCCTTTTAAAAGATGCTTAACTAAACCACTCCCCCTCCTCAACTATCACTGTTTGTATTCTCTGCAAAGTTTTGGTTGTGAAATCAAGCCTCCATCTTGTTCTACATCCTGGGGGCGTGGCTTGTAACTCTGGTGGCAAGGCATTGTTTAGCAATCCTAGCTTAGGGGCTAAGTTCCTTTTTGGTTTGATATCTGCATGTTTTCCAAGCCCCACCTGGGGACTGGGTTTTCTCCTGCCTGTCTGTGTGTATGTTGTATGTAATGTCTGTAAAAATAGCTCTAATTAATTTGACCTAAAGAAAAACAAGTGCAGCAGATCACGAGGTCAGGAGATCAAGACCATCCTGGCTAACACGGTGAAACCCCGCCTCCACTAAAAATACAAAAAATTAGCAGGGCGTGGTGGCGGGCGCGTGTAGTCCCAGCTACCTGGGGGTCTGAGGCAGGAGAGTGGCGTGAACCCAGGAGGCGGAGCTTGCATTGAGCTGAGATCGTGCCACTGCACTCCAGCCTGGGCGACAGAGTGAGACTCCGTCTAAAAAAAAAAGACAAGGGCTTGGATCTAATATTTTTTAAAGGAAAGGTAAAAGCTCTGGTACCTTTCAATTCCACAAGATTAACTTGACTTTAAGAAGTAAAAACAGCCTTTAAGATTATTGGTAAAATGCAGGTGTCATTAAAATGTAAATAGGTGAACTACACTATGTAGGTCAGAGGCAAGGTTTCCTAAGTGTTTTGAGAAACTGCTTTTTAGGTTTTGAAAACTATTTGACTCACCAGCTTCACAACTGGTAAGGCCTGGGGACATACGGAACTAACCACGTCCTCCATTAAGGAGGTGGATGTTAGCTGCAGTTAGCACACAAAGTAACTTACCAGGTTTTAAATTAAAGTTAAAAATTGCTAGGAGTTACCATTATAACATGTAATTGAAACTACTGAAAATAGATTTACATGCAAGGTGTATAAGAACAGTGAATTTTTTTTTTATGTAAAAGCATATAAAAAGGCATGGAAACGTAAACTTTTGCCTAGGGTTAAAAATTGTTTTGAGTCAGATAGGAAAAGCTAAAGGTTCAAACAGTTGGTGGAAGCATTGTGGAAATTAATCTTGCGAAAGAGGTTCTCTTTGTGAACATATTAACTAAATTCATAAGGTTAGGAAAAGTTTTGGCTTCTTTAAATTTCTGAGTCATCATTTTGGCAAAATAAATAATGTATGGTAATCTGGAATTCTGTTTCATAATATCAAGTGTTTTAAACTAAACATATTTAACAGCCTTCCCAAAATCAAACTTCAGCTTCAAAATTGTCTTTCCTGGAACTTGGCATTTCGGATAGTCCAGAGGGCCCTGGGAACGTCCAGAAAAGAAAGGTAAACAGGATTATTTGACAGGTTTCGTTACATGAAATTGCCAAAATAATGTTCAATCTTCTTTAGGTTATATCTTAGTAAATAATGCTAATAAATATTCCAAAATCGTATGGGATTTCTAACATCCTAAAGTCTATATCAATCATATATGTTATCAATCATAATTAAGGTTGTTATATTAAGTTATTGTAAACCACTGAGATAACCAAACTTTTTTGTCAATTGTGTTTCTAACTGTAACTACCCTGGACATTTTGCTATTCACAGACAGTTGTTGTCTTGTTTTAATCCTTTTTAAAAGATGGTTTATGATAAGCTGTAGAACTTTAACAGGTGCTCTCAAGTACAGACTTCTGATAACTTTGGAGATTGTAAAGTTGGAATAAAGGAAAATGTACAGGACTCATGAAGAGCTGTAAGTGTTCATGAATATCAAGCAAAACCAAAGTTAACTAAATGGACTGAACTCAAAAAGCTGAAGCAAATCTTTTTGACTTTTGCTTGGAATATTGCTGATCCTTGTTTTGTTCTTCAGAGTCAGGAAACTTATTTTGAGCTATTTATGGCTTCAATAATTGAGTAAGGTGTACTCCTGTCAACAAAATTTGGAGCATGTTTGTTTCTCTGCCTGTTTCCTCTAGAATTTGGAAGCTGTCTGTGAATATTCTTAAATTATGGCAATATAGTTGTTTGCATCAGTGCAATAAGAATCCGTTTTTCTTTTGCAACAGGACACAAATGGAGAAACAGGTAGTTTCACCAAGGCTTTGACTGGAAGGTTATGCTTCCCTTTAAGGAGTTAATCTTGACTTGGAAGTCAGTGAAAGCCCTGTGGGGAGACTGGGCTCATATCCTCATCTACAGAGTCCCTGTACAGGGTTCCTGACCTGTGGTCAGTAAAGAATGTCGCTTTCTAACAGGTCCAGGAGCTCCAAATTTATCTTGGAACCTTAAGAGGAGAGCATCAACGAACTCACAGGTATTTGAGAATAGACCCATGGCTCGGTTTGGCTTTAAAAGGTCTTACCTGAGATTCCTCGTGGAACAGAGTTTCATCAAAGCCAATCCAAAAGGTCTATGTAGAAATAATTATTCTTGCTCTACTTTATGCAAATAATCAGGCCAAGTATAAGACTAAAGTCTATTTTGCAAAAAACTCAGTCCTATTATAATTGGTTCTTTTAACAAAAGTGAGGACTGGAGAGAGAGAGAGAAATTATGTTTAAAAACGTATCATACATTTGTCATTAAATTCTAAACTCATTGGTGGTTTTTAAGTTTTTGCCTACATTTTTACACTAACCTTGCTTGTTCCTATGAACCAACCAGCAATCTCTGGCTGCAGCTCAGAAAGAACAATAGGGATGGGTAATGTAGAAATCTGGATCAATATTCTAGTTCTGAGCAATTATCCTGCAAATCCTGTCAGGTGATGGAATAAATAGGGAATAAATAGGATGTCCATCAGTTGGAGGTTTCCTTTTGGGAAAGCAAGACCAAGGGAGCTATCCAAAGCCAAGCAGCATGCACCCAAATTCTAGCTAGCATAACTATAGATACCAGTTATCTGAGTGTGTCACAAGACATCTTTTTCTCTCCCTTGTTGGAGGATGAACTCAGTTCCCCAGTTGCATCTTAGCATTCGGCTTATGATAAGGAGTCCACGCAACTCCCCTGAGACACATTTTTGTTTTAGACGCAATTCCAAGCTTCAGGTCAGAGCCCTAGGAAAGCAAACTGGATCTGAGGGATCCAGAGGCAGACAATAATGGAAATTAAAAGCACAGCACAGTTTAGTGTAGCTGATTCCTGTCAATTAAGTCAAGCCCAAGCTTCCTGTTTCATGGATAAAGGCCACATTAGCATCCATGGCATAAATAAGGTCTGGGGAACCCGAAGGCTACTGACAGCAGGGGAGATGGGGCACATGCGGGTAAGAGCAGATGATTCCCACCTCTAGGCCCCCCCTGCTTCATGGGTGCAAGCCGCTTTGACACTCATAGTGGTGCCTGCCAAGATTGCTAGGACTCAGGGATGTGAGGATGGAAGAGGGAAAGAGGACGCTTTTCCCTCGTTCCCTCATGTACCTGAGTATCTGCTAGGAAGAGAAGGTAACCAGGGATGCCTGCTTCCCTCTTTCCAGATGGGTAGCCAGTCATCTTCAGTCTGTACCCTCTGAATGCATCCTAAACCCCTGGGACTCCTTTAAAAGACATCTTCTTTTTTTTCCTTTCTTCTCCTTGGTCCTCTCTTCACTGATAGGTAATTTTGTCTCTGTACTAGGGTACACTCCCCTCAGATGCATTCTCCAAACTGGAAAGAGTTAATTTCCCAAACCTTAAACTGTTTGGCTTAGGATGGGGCTCCGAGGAAGGGAACTCAGAAGCTCAGCATGCCTGCAAAAGGGTACAGTTTCTTTCCGGTCAGGTTAGCCTCCCTCTCCCCATGCAATCTCTTAAAAGGCCCCAGAACTTTTGAGCTGTCTTTACACCTCCTCTTGTTTCATTTTGATACATGTTTTATAATAATCCAGTTTGTCTGTTCTTGCCCTTAGGCCATCAAACTGCAAATGGTCATGTAACTGGAGCCTCAGAGAATGGCCCCATCTGCAGGGAACGACTAAATAGGCCTCTGGGGGAGCTCTGACTGCCGGACTGCCGTTTTCCCAAAACAGTGCCCTCTGTCGGCAGAAAGCAGTTAAGATCGATTTTCATCCTTATTCTTTTTTTTTTTGAGACGGAGTCTCTCTCTGTCGCCCAGGCTGGAGTGTAGTGGTGCGATCTCTCTGTCGCCCAGGCTGGAGTGTAGTGGTGCAAGCTCCGCCTCTCGGGTTCACGCCATTCTCCTGCCTCAGCCTCCCGAGTAGCTGGGACTACAGGCGTCCGCCACCACGCCTGGCTAATTTTTTTGTATTTTTAGTAGAGACGGGGTTTCACCGTGTTCGCCAGGATGGTCTCCATCTCCTGACCTCGTGATCTGCCCTCCTTGGCCTCCCAAAGTGCTGGGATTACAGGCGTGAGCCACCTCGCCCGGCCCATCCTTATTCTTATTCTAATGGCAGTTAGATGTACTTCTTTAGAGGGGGGAATGAAACAGCCAGGTCTGAGGGGTTCCCCGGAAAGCCTCCAACCAGTCTGCGCATTGGGAGGAATGCGAACTGCAGTGGAGCCTCAGGAAGCTTGTGCCTTTTGCAGTGGGGAGGAGCCTGGCCCCTTCTCTTCCTGTGTGGAACCTGGGATTCAAGCTGCAGGTGGGAAGCACACTAGCAGGGCCTCCGGCCTTGGGGAGGATCCCTATTTCCCCCTTTTTTCCCATTTTCACCCAATAAAACGATGTCTTACTCACCATTCAAACTGTCTGCAAACCTGAATTTTAGTGGCCATGGGACAAAGGACCCCATCTGTAGATGAACTAAGAAAAAGTCCTGCAACACTCTGCAACACCAATTGCTTAAGATAGGGCATTGATTTTCTCTAAGAATCTGCTCTCCTCATTGTGAGACCTTCACACTTAGACTGAAATCTATACCATAGGTTCTGTGGCCCTTCCATCTCTGAATTACACCACTGACTTTCCTGGGTATGTATCTTGCAGATGGTAGATTGAAAGACTGCTCAGCTCCATAACCTTGTGAGCCAATACCTTAGGATAAATCTCTTCTTAAATATAATATATAACATGTATATCTATTGGTTCCATTTATTTGGACAACTCTGAGTAATCAGATTTTAAACAGGGCTTAACGAATACATATAATTTAGTTACATGGACATGAAGAAACAGATTAGAAATATTTCTGTAAAATATTCAGAGGGGAGCATAAATCTGCATCTGAAAATGTGTATACTTCTAGATGGTATATGAATAAATTAATTCTTTTGAAAGCAGTTAGTAACTTTAGTATTGCAACTAGAAATTCTATTTTGGCCAATATATCTTATTTTTAAAATTACATAATTTTTAATAATCAGCTTTTGCAGTATTTTGTTGGTATTTTGTAGAAATGAGTAACTGTTGTTAAGTGAGAATACATAGTATTTAATTCTAAATGACCTTTACTTCCATTATAATCATGCAGTGAGTTTAATGACTTATTTATGAAGCCATTCTAATTTTCTCTATTTAGCAGTATAGTGTAATAATTCTGTAAGAAACAAAGGAAAGCAATAACATGAAAGTTCAAATTTTGAATAAAAATTGATTATTTGCCTAATAAAGCATGTTACTGTCAGATATTTTATTAAAGTAAGGTACAACACTTGATGTTTAAATTATGAAAGACTGAAATTTTATTGCAATTGAGCTAGTCATTTTTAATCTAGCTAAGTATTATTCAGAAATAGAAATAAAACTAAACTTGTAAGAATAATAAACCATCTGTAAAATTTTTTATTAGTCACTTTCTTGAAAGAATATCAAAATTATTTTTAGCAAGATAAAAGTTTAACATTCTCACAAGAATTTAATTATCAAAATTAAAATTAATTTTATTTTATAATAAGTAAAATTTATACTAACTAATCCATTGAAGACAAATTTTAAAAGAGAATAGGAATTAAAATTCAGTGCATTTGACTAGAATAGGATTAATCTGTACAATTATCAATCAAACATACTAATTAAAAGCAAAATCAAATGATTGAATTTAAACCAAAATCTAAGTATGTTTTATTATGACAAAGAGAGAGAAATAAGATTAAAAAGAAAAAATTAAATAGTTGGAAATAATTAACGTAAGATAGAATTTGAAATATTAACATCAGAACAAGGAACTAGTCAACAGAAAAAAATCAAGAAATAGAAGAAAATGGGAAATTTCTTGTTGATAGGATAAAACACACAGGATAATTTAGCCTTTTATTGAACAGTGCTTTTTTGTTTTGTGACCAACATTAAATATTTGTTGAAGAAATAAATTCACGCAATAAAGCAGATATAAACTTTTGTGAAGATATAAGTAAAAAAAAAGAAGTTCAAGTATTTATATAATATATAGCTACTGACACAGAAAATAAGACCTGAAAATTTTGTTAATAATATTGATATTAATGTATTAATAATTTTGAACTGATAAAAGAGAATAAATCTTCATCATTTAATCTAGCATACGACATCAACAAATCATTTATTTTGTTTTATTCAAATTAAAATAAAATAAATTCTCATATAAAAAAATTCGTGCATTTTATACATTGTAACCTATGACTAGAAAGTGTTACAGACACAAATTAATAACAGAAATTTAAATAATCATCCAAATAAGAAAAATGTACTATCCTGAGTGCAAAATATCCTCCTAAATAACATTTTAATAAGATAAGAAATTAAAAACAAAACAAAACAATGATTATATATATCAAGCACATTTATGTAATATAAACAAGTAAATTCCTTTTCTATATAACATTTTGGAAAGTAAAATTAGAAAACAAAATGTCGTTCAATAGTAAACACGCTGCTGATAATAACAGAGTAAGTATATATGGATTAGCTACTTTTAGACAAAACTAACATTTGGACTTCATACAAAAGCAGCTACCTACAAGCACTGGGAAATGAGCAGAAGCAGGCAGACTTAGATTGGGAAGACGAAAGTGAGGGAAGGTTGAACAAAGTGAGTTCGAGTTCTGTGGTTTCAACCTGAGCTTAGATGCTTTTGGTACAAAGTGCAGTTAGTGGGGGTGCTGATGGAAAAAAATAAAAACAAAAACAAAAACCATATCTACAGTATTTCTGCCCTGGGGAACCAGATATCTAAATTTAGAAAACAGACCACTGGCAGTAATGAAGAGATATTAGAAAGTAAGTAATGAAAAGGGAGACACCAAAATTCTGTTTACCCACATTTCTGACAATCCTCAAAATCACACATGCACAGAAAAGTACATCTTAAGTATGGGAAAAAAAAATGAGATCTATTTAACAACTGCCTTCTCATCAGATACTATGGACAACAGAAAAGAGTGCAACAATATCTGTAAATAGCTAGATCAAAAAAAAAAACCTCTCAATTCAGAATCCTATATTCAATGAAAAATCTTTCAAGAGCGAAGGCAAAATTTTTTAAAATTTCAGGTATAAGAAAACCAAAAAAATTGATTGTCAGAAACCTATACTAAACTGAACATTCCCACCAAGAGTGTGTAAGTATTGCCTTTACTATGCAACCTTGCCAACATTTGTTGTTTTTTGACTTTTTAATAATAGCTTTTCTGAATGATGATAGTATCTCATTGTGGTTTTGATTTGCATTTCTCTAATGATTACTGATGATGGGCATTTTTCATCATTGAAAAGTGTCTGTTGATGTCATTTGCCCATTCTTCAATGAGGTTTTTTGTTTGTTTTTTGCTTGCTGATTTAATTTCCTTATAGATTCTGGATATTAGACCATTGTCACATGTATAGTTTGCAAATTTTTTTTTCCATTCAGTAAGTTGTCTGTTTGTTGATAGTTTCTTTTGCTGGACAGAAGCTCTCTAGTTAAATTAGGTGCCACTTGTGAATTTTTGGGTTTTTTTGCAATTCCTTCTGGAGACTTAGTAATAAATTTTTTCCCAAAGCCAGCATCCAGAATGGTATTTCATAGGCTTTCTTCTAGAGTTTTTATTGTTGTAGGTATTAACATTTAAGTCTTTTATCCATATTCAGTAAATTTTTGTATATTGTTAGAGGAAGCAGTCCAGTTTCAATCTTCTGCATGTGGCAAGTCATTTATCCCAGGATCATTTATTGAATAGGGACTCCTTTCTCTATTCTTTGTTATTGTTTAATCTGTTGAAGATCAGGTGGTTGTAGGTGTGTGGCTTTATTTCTGAGTTCTCCATCTTGTTTAATTGGTCTCTATGTCTGTTTTTGTACCAGTTCCATGCTGCTTTGTAGCCTTGCAGTATAGTTTGAAGTCAGATAGTGTGATCTGTCTGACTTTTTTCTTTTTGCTTAAGATTGCTTTGACAATTTGGGCATTCTATATTTCATTCATTCTGTATGAATTTTATATGAATTTTAGAATTTTTTTCATTCTATATGAATTTTAGAATTTTCTAAAATTCATTCTATATGAATTTTATTCTGTATTCATTCTATATGAATTTTATTCATTCTATATGAATTTTATTCTATATGAATTTTAGAATTTTTTTTCTAATTCTGTAAAAAATGATGTTAGTTTGATAGGAATAGCATTTCATTTGTAAATTGCTTTGGGCAGTATGGCAATTTTAACAATCTTGATTCTTCCTATCCATTAGCATGGAATGCTTTCCAATTTGTTTTTATCATCTTTGTTTTCTTTCAGCAGTGTTTTGTAATTCTCATTGCCGAGATCTTTAACTTCCTTGGTAAGCTGTATTCCTAAGTATTTTATTATTTTTGTGGCTATTGTAAATGAAATTGCACTCTTTATTTGGCTCTGAGCTTGGAAGTTACTGATGTATAGTAATGCTACTTAATTTTTGTACGTTACTTATTTTGTATCCTGAAACTTTACTGAAGTTGATTATTTGTTCTAGAAGCCTTCTGGCAGAGTATATGGGAGGGTTTTCTAGAGACAGAATTATATAATCTGTAAAGAGAGATAGTTTGACTTCTTTCTTCTCTTCCTTTTTGAATGCCTTTTATTTTTTTCTCTTGCCTGAATGCTCAGGCTAGGACTTCCAGTACTATGTTGAAAAAGAGTGGTGAGAATGCAGATCCTTGTCTTGTTCCAATTTGCTCATTCAGTATGATGTTGGCTGTGGGTTTGTCATGGATGACTCTTATTAATGTATATTCTTTCAAACCTTAATTTGCTGAGGGTTTTTAATATAAAAGAATGTTGAATTTTATCAAAGACCTTTTCTGTGTCTATTGCGATAATCATCTGATCTTTTTTTTGTTAATACCAATTTATGTAGTGAATCAAATTTATTGGTTTATGTATGTTGAAGAAACACATGCAAACATCCTAGGAATAAACTTTACTCGATTGTGGTGAATTAACTTTTGAATGTGCTGCTGGATTCCATTTGCTAGTATTTTGTTTAGGATTTTTGCACCTATGTTCATCAGAGATATTGGTTAAAGTTTTATATTTTGTTGTGTCTCTGCTGGGCTTTGGTTTTTTAGAATGAGTTAGGGAGGAGTTCCTTCATCGATTCTTTGAAATAATATAATATGTTTGGTACTAGCACTTCTATGTATGTCTGGTAGAATTAGGATGCGAATCCAACTGGTGCAGCACTTTTTTGGTTTGGTAGGCTTGTTATTAGTGATTCAATTTCAGAACTTTTTATTGGTCTTTTCAGGATTTTATTTTCTTGCTGGTTCAATCTTGGGAGGCTGTGTATTTCCAGGAATTTACCAATTTCTTCCAGGTTTTCCAGTTTCTGTGCATAGAGGTGTTTATAATAGTCTCTGAGGATTTCTTGTATTTCCGTGGGATTGTCTGTAATGTTGCCTTTGTTTTTTCCAATTGTGTTTATTTAAATCTTCTCTCTTTTTTTCATGAATCTAGCTAGTGGTCTATCCATTTTGTTTAATCTTTTGAAGAAACCAATAAGACTTTTAGTTTCATTGAATTTTAAATGAATTTTTTGCATCTCCACCCTTTGCTTTGAGTCTATGGGTGTCATTACTCAATTTTGTTCAGTTCTGCTCTGAGTTTGGCTATTTCTTTTCCTTTGCTAGCTTTCAGTTTGGTCTGCTCTTGCTTTTTTATTTCCTCTGGGTAGAACATTAGGTTGTTAATTTAAGATCTTTTCAACTCCTGGATGTAGGCGTGTAGTGCTATAAACTTTCCTTTTAACACTGCTTTAGCTGTTTCCCCAAGATTCTGGTATGTTGTGTCTCTGTTTTTATTAGTTTCAAATAACTTTTTGACTTTTCGCCTTAATTTTGTTATTTACCCAACTCATTTGGAAAGACATTAACTTCCATTTTATTGTAAGGTTTTGATAGGTCTTCTTGGTATTGATTTCTGTTTTTATTGCACTGTGGTCTGAGAGTGGGATTAGTATGACTTTGATTTGATATTTTTCAATCTGTTGAGGCTTGCTTTATGGTTAAGCATGTGGTAAATCTTAGAGTATTTACCACGTGCAGATGAGAAGGGTGTATATTCTGTGGTTGTTGGGTGGAGCGTTCTGTAGATGTGTATTAGGTCCAATTGGTCAAGTGTAAAGTTTAAGTCTAGAATATTTTTCTCAGTTTTTTGCCTCGATGATCTGTACAGCACTGTCAGTGGGGTGTTGAAGTATTAGTATTATTGTTTGGTTGTCCAAATCTTTTCATAGATCTCTAAGATCTTGTTTTATGAATCTGAGTGCTCCAATGTTGGGTGTGTATATATTTAGAATGATTAAATCTTCCAATTGGATTGATTTCTTTATTATTGTTCAATGCTCTCTTTTTTTTGTCCTTTTTGGTCATTGTTGATGTAATGTCTGTTTTATCTCATATAAAAATAGCAATTCCTGCTCTCTTTTTGTTTTCTGTTTGCCTAATAAATCTTTTTCCATTCCTTTACTTTGAGTCTATGGATGTCATTACTTGTGAGATGGGTCTCTTGAAGACAGCAGTCAGTTGGGTCTTCCTTCTGTATCCAACTTGCCACTCTGTCTTTTTAAGTGTAACATTTAGCACATTTACATCCAGGATCAATGTTGATATGTGAAGATTTGATCCTGTCATCGTGCTGTTTTCTGGTTATTATGTAGACTTGATTATGTAGTTGCTTATGGTGTCAAGGGTATATGTGCTTAAGTTTGTTTATGTGGTGGCAGTTATCATTCTTTCATATCCCTGTTTTGCACTTCCTTCAGGACCTCTTGTAAGGCAAGTCTACTGGTAACTAATTATCTTAGCATTTGTTTTTCTGAAAAGTATTTCATTTCTCCTTTGCTCATGAGCTTTGTTTGGTGGGTTATGAAATTCTTGGTTGGAATTTCTGCTGTTTAAAGATCTTGAAAAATAGGTTCTCAATCTTCTCTGGTTTGTAAGGTTTCTGTTAAAAAATCTAAAAAGTAAAATGTTAAAAGTAAAAAGTAAAAGGCTAAGTAAATACCCTTTTACTCATATCTTCAGCTTTAGAAAATTATACACTATGAACAAAATAAAAAATACAATTGCCTAAAGACTGTGAAAAGTGAACAAAAGAAGGTGTCAAAACTTGAGGGAAACAGTACATGGATGAGGTTTCTTGGTATTTTTTTTTCTCATGGCTTTGCCCAGGAACAAGCCAAGAACTCTCATAGCTAACACTTGGATAAAAACCCTAGGAAAAAAGAGTTTTCCTATTCAACTTAACAAAAACGTCAGTATAACTCAAATTTATCTACGGATTTGATGGAATTCTAATAAATTCTCTGCCAACTTCTGTTGTTTTCATCAAACAGAACAAAACTCCTCCTAACAATTATATGAAGATGTAAATGCTAGGTAGCAAAACTTGGCTGGCTGGCTCTGATTGAGTGACATGAACCAGATTTATTCTCCTGCCTGAAAGAACTAAATTATAGACAAGATAGACATAATAATGTTTTTCAAGATGTAAGACAATCAGGCTACAAAGGTTAGTGTTCTCTGAGTTATTAAAAATAAATGATGTGGCTGGCCGCAGTAGCTCACACCTGTAATCACAGCACTTTGGGAGGCCGAGATGGGTGGATCACGAGGTCGGGAGATGGAGACCATCCTGGCTAACACGGTGAAACCCCATTTCTACTAAAAATACAAAAAAATTAGCCAGGCGTGGTGGTGGGCACCTGTAGTCCCAGCTACTCGGGAGGCTGAGGCAGGAGAATGGCGAGAACCCAGGAGGCGGAGCTTGCAGTGAGCTGAGATCGTGCCACTGCACTCCAGCCTGGGTGACAGAGCGACACTCCATCTCAAAAAATAAAATAAATAAAATAAAATAAAATAAAATAAAATAGAATAGAATAGAATAGAATAGAATAGAATAGAATAGAATAGAATAGAATAGAATAGAATAAAATAAAAAAGTAACCTATGCAGGTGTTTCAGCTCACTAACTGGAGAAAATTTTCAGATTAGTGTGGGGAGAAAAGATTCAGGATTAGCCTAGCAGTCTCCTTAAGGAGCTGGGCATTTCAAAAGGCCAAGGCAGCAAGAATTCACAAGACAGAATACCAAAGTTAAGATAGCTTCACAGAGGAAAACTTCTGGAGTCCTAAAAAGAGTCCTCCGTAAGGGTTCAGCTGAGTAATGATGACTGCACATGTGTGAGGAAAATATATAAGGCCCAGAAAAGAAGCTTCTGAAAGCAATAGAAGGACTAATTCCTGAGGCTCAGATAGAGCCAGGAATACCACTTATTCCCACAAGCCAGACTGGAAAAAATTAAAAATTCATAGGGTAATAGATAGAATATAAGGAAGTATCTTACCCCAGTAGTGAAAATAATAGCTCTAGATTACATGCTCTTCTGATCTTGCTCAAAAAGTCCCAAGAGGAAGATTCAAAAGGATCAAACATTTTCTAGTAACTTAAAAACATCCCTGAACAAAGCTCAGGAATATCTATAGGAATTAAAAGTATACATCTAGCACCTAATTAGGTAAAATTTTCAATATCTCACATCTAATATAAATTACCAGCTATGCAAAGAAGAAGGAAAAAACAACTGAATGAGAAAAAACAGAGTCAATGTGAGACACCAATGATAGAATTAGTATAAAAAGACATTAAGCAGTATTTACAACTATATGCCACATGTTCACAAAGCTAGAGAAAAAACTGAGCATGTTAAATAAGGACATAAAAATATGAGAAGGCCCAAATCAACTTTTTAACAATGAAAATTATAATATTTTCAGTAAAAATATACCATGTAAAATTAATGACATTAAACAATGTGGACAATAACTAAATAGTGAATTTGAAGACACAACAATACAAAGTAGCCACAATTTAAAAAGAGAAAAAGGATTGAACTAAAGTAAACAGAGCATCTGTGAACTCTAAGTCAACACCAAGCAGTCTAATATACATGTAATTAGGGTCCCTAAAGGAGAGAAGAGACGAGGGGACAGAAAACTTAATTGAAGAAATATTGGCACAAGATTTTCCAAAGTTGATGGTAATATTTATAATTTCACTTTAAGCTTGATAATTCAAAGCACTATATATAAATATATATATATATATATATATATATATATATATATATATATATATTTTTTTTTTTTTTTTTTTTTTTTTTTTTTTTTTTTGAGATGGAGCCTGGGCTGGAATGCAGCTCTGTCACCTGGGCTGGAGTGCAGTGGCGCGATCTCAGCTTACTGCAAGCTCCGCCTCCTGGGTTCCTGCCATTCTCCTGCCTCAGCCTCCCGAGTAACTGGGACTACAGGTGCCCACCACCACGCCCGGCTAATTTTTTCTACTTTTAGTAGAGATGGGGTTTCACCGTGTTAGCCAGGATGGTCTCGATCTCCTGACCTTGTGATCTTCCCATCTCGGCCTCCCAAAGTGCTGGGATTACAGGCGTGAGCCACCGCGCCTAGCCAATAAATATTTTAAAAATACTACACTAAGGAACCTGACAATCAAATTGTTTAGAGGCAAAAAAGAGGAAAAACTTAAAAGCAGCCAGAGAAAGAAGACATACTATATTAAAGGACTACAATAAAGATGATGCAGATTTTTCATCTGAAATAATATACAAAAGACAGTGGTGCAACAACTTTATTACACCACACACCTGCATACACACACATACGCACACGCTCACACATACCTTGTCAACTGAGAACTCTTTACTGGGGGAAAATATCTTTTAATATGAAGGGAACATAAAGGCTTTTCAGACATACAAAGCATAAGCATTCATCACTCAGAAACCTGCAGTGCAAATAATGTTCAAGGAAAACCTTTGAAGAGTAGGAAAATGATAAAAAATATGTATATTGAAAAATACCAGGAATGATAACTACATGAGTAAATGTGCACAATCTTTTTCTTAGTATTAAATTTCTACAAAGGATAATTCACTCTTTAAGTGAAAATTATAACGATCTGTCATCGGGTTTATAACATACATAAAACATAAAGGCCAGAAAGTGACACATGGAGGTATACTATCGTAAGGGTTTGATAATATAAGTGAAACTGTATATCATTTAAAAGTAGGCTGTGATAAGTTAAAGATATATATAAAATAAACCTCAATCACTTTAAAAATAACAACTCAAAGAAGGCATAGCTAACAAGCTAAGAAAGGATATAAATTGAAACCATGAAAATGCTTAATCCAAAAAAGGAAAAAACAGAAATAAAAGGAAAGAGCACAAATAACAGTAGGCCAAATAGAAAATGAAGAGTGAAATTATTGACTTAATCAACTCAAGAATCCAATTAAATGTAAACCAGAGGTCAGCAAACTTTCTCTGTAAAGGATCAAGTAGGATATTTTAGGCTCTGCAGGCCATGTGGCAACAAATAAACTCCACCATTGGAGCCCCAAAACAGCCATAGATGATGTGTAACTGCATAGGTGCTGGCTGGATTTGGCCAACAGGCCACATTTTCCCCCACTAGTCACAGGTTCCAGAGTCCCAATCTAAATGCCCTAATGAAAAGGCAGAGATTTTCAGCTTGTATAAAAAAAGCAAGATCCAACATTTTGCTGCCTACTGTAAGTGTACTTTAAACATAAAGACACAAATATATTGAGTAAAATAATAAAATAGGCTAAAATACATTCATGTGAATCAAAAGAAAGTTGGGTTTTCTGAATTCCATTAGTTCCTTTTGCACTATCACTCCAAAATAATAAACCTAAAATTTTGGTGTATGGTGACAAAATAATCCAGAAATTTTGATATGTAGCCACAAGAGACTCTGGGTGTTTCTCATGCTCATCTTGGGCCACCCTTCTCAAGGGGAGGGTGTCTTGCAGGTGGTTGAAGGTATGCACAGGATTTATTTCACCAGAAATGCAAAGTGTTCTCTAAAGCAATAGTGGTGAGCTGGGAGATAAAACACATTGCTCACAACAGTCAAGATGTGGAATCAACCTAATTGTTTATCAAAAAATGAATGGATACAGAGATTGTAGTATATATACACAATGTAATACCATTCAGCTTTAAAAAGGGAAGAAATCCTGTCGTTTGTGACAACATGAATGAATCTGTGGGATAATAAGTGAAATAATGTAGGCATAGAAAGACAAATACAACATTATCTCAGTTATATGTTAAATCTAAAAAAGTTGAACACTTAGAAGCAGAGAGTACAGAATTGTGGTTACCAGGGATTGGTGGGGGCCAGGGTAGGGATTGCTGGGTTGTTGGTCAAAAAATACAAAATTTCAGTAAGACAGGAGTAATAAATTCAAAATATCTATTGTACAACATGGTGACTGTAGTTAATAACAATGTATAGTATTCTTGAAAATATCTAAAAGATGATTTTAAGTGTTCTCACCACAAAAAAACAAGTATGTGAGGTAAGGCATATGTTAATTAGCTTGATTTAGAAATGTTGTGATGTATACATATTTTAAAACATCATGTTGTATACCATAAATATATGAACTTTATTTGTTGAATAAGTAAACAAACAAAAACATGGAGGAAACAGACAGAGACACAGACACAGGCACAGACACACACACACACACACACACACACACACACACACGTTGCTCTTCCATGTGGCTGTTTTTTCCAAATCAACTTACTAAATAACTGCTCCAATATATTGAGGCACCTGGAATATCTGGAAACACCAGGTCTAGAAGTGAAGCTTATGCTTTGGAGACGTGTGGCTCTCTTCTATTTCTTGGGCTTTGAAACAACAAATGGAAAAACAGCTTTTAAAATTGTGCACTAATTTTACTTTTTTTATTACTTTGAAATTAATTATTTTGTTTTTCTTTTCTATTTTATTTCTCCTACAATTATTATGTTCATTTTGCTGTTCTGTTTTTAATTGCTTAAAAGGTTGATCCTTTATTTTATTTTACTTTAAGTTCCAGGATATATGTACCGAACCTGCAGGTATGCTACATAGGTGTACGTGTGCCATGGTGGCTTGCTGCACCTGTTGACCCGTCCTCTAGGTTCCCTCCCCTCACCCCCTACAGGCCCTGATGTGTGTTGTTCCCCTCCCTGTGTCCATGTGTTCTCACTGTTCAACTCCCACTTACGAGTGAGAACATGCGGTGTCTGGTTTTCTGTTCCTGTTTTAGTTTGCTGAGGATGATGGCTTCCAGCTCCATCCATGTCCTTGCAAAGGGCATGATCTCATTCCTTTTTTTGGATGCATAATATTCCATGGTGTATATGTACCACAATTTATTTATCCAGTCTATCATTGATGAACATTTGGGTTGGTTCCATGTCTTTGCTATTGTAAATAGTGCTGCAATAAACGTACAAGTGCATGTGTCTTTATAGTAGAATGATTTATGATCCTCTGGGTATATACCCAGTAATGGGTTTGCTGCGTCAAATGGTATTTCTGGTTCTAGATCCTTGAGGAATTGCCACACTGTCTTCCACAATGGTTGAACTAATTTATGTTCCCACCAACAGTGTAAAAGTGTTCCTATTTCTCCACAGCCTTGCCAGCATCTAACATTTCTTGACTTTTTAATAATTGCCATTCTGACTGGTGTGGGATGGTATCTCGTTGTGATTTTGATTTGCATTTCCCTAATGATCAGTGATGTTAAGCTTTTTTTCATGCTTGTTGGTCACGTAAATGTCTTCTTTTCAGAAGTGTCTGTTCATATCCTTTGCCCACTTTTTGATGGGGTTGTTTGGCTTTTTATTGTAAATTTGGTTTTAAGTTCCTTATAGATTCTGGATATTAGACCTTTGTCAGATTGGTAGATTGCAGAAATTTTCTCCCATTCTGTAGGTTGTCTGTTCACTCTGATGATAGTTTGTTTTGCTGTGCAGAAGCTCTTTAGTTTAATTAAATCCCATTTGTCAATTTTGGCTTGTGTTGCATGCAATTGATTTTGGCATTTTCATCATGAAGTCTTTGCCCCTGCCTATGTCCTGAATGGTATTACCTATGTTTTCTTCTAGGGTTTTTATGGTTTGGCGTTTTACATTTAAGTCTTTAATCCATCTTGAGTTAATTTTTGTATAAGGTGTAAGGAAGGGGTCCAGTTTTAGTTTTCTGCATACAGCTAGCCAGTTTTCCTAGCACCATTTATTGAATAGGAAATCCTTTCCCCATTGTTTTTGTCAGGTTTATTGAAGATCAGATGGTTATAGATGTGTAGTGTTATCTCTGAGGTCTCTGTTCTGTTCCATTGGTCTATATGTCTGTTTTGGTACCAGTGCCATGCTGTTTTGGTTACTGTAGCCTTGTAGCATAGTTGAAGTCCAGTGGCATGATGCTTCCAGCTTTGTTCTTTTTGATTAGGATTGTCTTGGAATATGGGCTTTTTTGGTTCCATATGAAATTTAAATAGTTTTTTCTAATTCTTTGAGGAATGTCAGTGATGGTTTGATGGGAATAGCATTGATTCTATAAATTACTTTGAGCAGTATGGCCATTTTCATGATATTGATTCTTCCTATTTTCCATTTGTTTGTGTTCGCTCTTGTTTCCTTGAGTAGTGGTTTGTAGTTCTCCTTGAAGAGGTCCTTCACATCTCTTGTTAACTGTCTTCCTAGGAATTCCTTTGTAGCAATTGTGAATGGGAGTTCATTCTTGATTTGGCTCTTTGCTTGTCTATTGTTGGTTTATAGGAATGCTTATCATGTTTGCACATCGATTTTGTATCCTGAGACTTTGCTGAAATTGCTTATCAGCTTAAGGAGTTTTTGGGCTGAGATGATGGGGTTTTCTAAACAGAATCATGTCATCTGCAAACAGAGACAATTTGAATTCCTCTCTTCCTATTTGAATACCCTTTATTTCTTTGTCTTGCCCAATTGTCCTGGCCAGAACTTCCAATACTATGTAGAATAGAAGTGGTGAGAGAGGGCATCTTTGTCTTGTCCTGGTTATCAAAGGAAATGCTTCCAGCTTTTGCCCATTCAATACGATATTGGCTATAGGTTTGTCATAAATAGCTCTTATTATTTTGAGATATGTTCCATCAATACCTAGTTTATTGAGAGTTTTTAACATGAAGGGATGTTGAATTTTATCAAAGGCCTTTTCTGCATCTATTGAGATAATCATGTCATTTTGTCTTTGTTTCTGTTTATGTGATGGATTATGTTTATTGATTTGCATATGTTGAACCAACCTTGCATCCCAGGGATAAAACTGACTTGATTATCATGGGTAAGTTTTTTGATGTGCTGCTGGATTCGATTTGCCAGTATTTTATTGAGGATTTTCACATTGATGTTCATCAGGGATATTGGCCTGAAGTATTTTTTGTTGTTGTGGCATCTCTGCAGGTTTTGGTATCAGGATGATGCTGACTTCATAAAATGAGTTAGGAGGAGTCTCTCCTTTTCAATTGTTTGGGATAGTTTCAGAAGGAGTAGTACCAGCTCCTCTTTGTACCTCTGGCAGAATTAAGCTGGGAATCCTTCTTGTCCTGGGCTTTTCTTCGTTGGTAGGCTATTAATTACTGCCTCAATTTCAGAGCTTGTTATTGGTCTATTCAGGGATTTATTGTCTTCCTGGTTTAATCTTGGTAGGGTGTATGTGCCCAGGAATTTATCCATTTCTTCTAGATTTTCTAGTTTATTTGCATAGGGGTGTTTTTAATATCCTCTGATGGTAGTTTGTATTTCTGTGGGGTCAGTGGTGATATCCCCTTTATCATTTTTTATTGTGTCTATTTGATCTTCTCTCTTTTTTTTTTATTAGTCTAGCTAGTGGTCTATCTATTTTGTTAATTTTTTCAAAAAAACAACTCGCATTCAGTGATTTTTGAAGGGTTTTTTGTTTCTATCTCCTTCAATTCTGTTCTGATCTTAATTATTTCTTATCTTCTGCTACCATTTGGATTAGTTTGCTCTTGCTTCTCTAGCTCTTCTAATTGTGATGTTAAGATGTCGATTTGAGATCTTTCTAGCTTTCTCTTGTGGGCATTTAGTGTATAAATTTCCCTCTTAATGCTGCTTTAGCTGTATCCCAGAGATTCTGGCATGATGTCTCCTTGTTCTCATTGGTTTCAAAGAACTCCTTTATTACTGCCTTAATTTCATTATTTACCCCCGAGTCTTTCAGTAGCAGGTTGTTTAATTTCCATGTAATTGTGTCGTTTTGAGTGATTTTCTTAATCCTGAGTTCTAATTTGATTGCACTGTGGTCTGAGAGACTGTTTGTTATGATTTCAGTTCTTTTGCATTTGCCGAGGAGTGTTTTACTTCCAATTTTGTGGTCTACTTTAGAATAAGTGCGTGTGGCTCTGAGAAGAATGTATATTCTGTTGATTTGGGGTGGAGAGTTCTGTAGATGTCTATTAGGTCCACTTGATACAGAGCTGAGTTCAAGTCCTGAATATTATTGTTAATTTTCTGTCTTGTCGATCTGTCTAACATTGACAGTAGGGTGTTAAAGTCTCCCACTATTATTTTGTTGGAGTTTAAGTCTCTTTGTAGGTCTCTAGGAACTTGTTTTATGAATCTGGGTGCTCCTGTATTGGGTGCATATATATTTAAGATAGTTAGCTCTTCTTGTTCCATTGATCCCTTTACCATATGTAATGCTCTTCTTTGTCTTTTATGATCTTTGTTGGTTTAAAGGCTGTTTTGTCAGAGACTAGGATTGCAACCCCTGCTTTTTTTGCTTTTCAGTTGCTTTGGTAATTTTTTCTCCATCCCTTTATTTTGAGCCTATGTGTGTCTTTGCATGTGAGATGGGTCTCCTGAATACATCACACCAATGGGTCTTGACTCTTCATCCAATTTGCCAGTCTGTGTCTTTTTAATTGGGGCATTTAGCCCGTTTACATTTAAGGTTAGTATCGTTATGTTTGAATTTGATCCTGTCATCATGATGCTATCTGGTTACTTTGCTAGTTGATGTTGATGTTTCTTCAAAGATTCATTGTTCTTTTTGTTTTGGTGTGTTTTTGCAGTGGCTGGTAGTGATATTTCCTTTCCATGTTTAGTGCTTTCTTCAGGAGCTCTTGCAAGGCAGGCCTGGTGCTGATGACATCCTTCAGCATTTGCTTGTCTGGGAAAAATTTGATTTCTCTTTTGCTTATGAAACTTAGTTTGGCTGGATATAAAACTCTGGGTTGAAAATGGTTTTCTTTGAGAATGTTGAATATTGGCCCCCACTCTCTTCCGGCTTTAGGGTTTCTGCTGAGAGGTCTGCTGTTAGTCTGATGGGCTTCCCTTTGCAGATGACCTGGCCTTTGTCTCTGGCTGCCCTTAACATTTTTTCCTTCATTTTGACTTTGGAGAATCTGATGATTCTGTGTCTTGGGGTTGAACTTCTCATGGAGTATCTTAGTTGTGCTCTCTGTATTTCCTCAATTTGAATGTTGGCCTGTCTTGCTAGGTTGGGGAAGTTCTCCTGGATAATATCCTGAAGTGTGTTTTCCAGCTTGTTTCCATTCTCCCTGTCTCCTTCAGGTGCTCCAGTCAATCATAGGTTTGGTCTTTTTATGTAATCACATATTTCTCAGAGGCTTTGTTCGTTCCTTTTTATTCTTTTTTCTCTAATCTTGTCGGCATGCCTTATTTGAGCAAGGTGGTCTTCAAGCTCTGATATCCATTCTTCTGCTTTATCAATTTGGCTATTGATACTTGTGTATGCATTACAAAGTTCTCATGCTGTGTTTTCAGCTCCATCAGGTCATTTATATTCCTCTCTAAACTAGTTATTCTAGTTAGCAGCTCCTCTAACTTTTATCAAGTTTCTTAGCTTCTTGCATTGGGTTAGAACATACTCCTTTAGCTCAGTGGAGTTTGTTATTACCCATCTTCTGAAGTCTACTTCTGTCAATTCATCTGTCTGTCTTCCTCCATCCAGTTCTGTGCTCTTGCTGGAGAGGCGTTGCAATAATTTGGAGGAGAAGAGGCACTCTGGCCTTATGGGTTTTCAGCGTTTTTTTGTTGATTCTTCCTCATGTTCATGAGTTTGTCTAGTTTCAATCTGTAAAGTTGTTGACCCTTGGATGGCTTTTTGTGGGGAATTTTTGTTGTTGTTGATGCTGTTGTTGTTGCTTTCTGTTTGTTTTTCTTTCAGTGGTCTGGTCCCTCTTCTGTAGGGCTGCTGCAGTTTGCTGGGGGTTCACTTCAGACCCTATTCATCTGGTTCACTCCTGCACCTGGAGATGTCACTCAAGGAAGCTGGAGAAGAGCAAAGATAGGTGCCTGCTCCTTCCTCTGGGATCTCTAAGCTTGAGGGGCACCAACCTGATACCAATAGGATTGCTCCTGTATAGGGTGTCTGACAACCCCTGTTGGAGGGTCTCACCCAGTTGGGTGGCATGGGAAACAAGACCGATTTAATGAAGAACTTTGACTTTCCCTTGGTGGAGGGGGTGTGCTTTGCTGGGGGAAAATCCACTTATCTGGGCTGCCTGGATTCCTCAGAACTACCTGGAGGAAAGGCTAAGTCTGCTGGTCCACAGAGACTGTGGCCGCACCTCCCCCTAGGGGCTCAGGCCCAGGGAGTTCAGCATTCTGTCCTTGAGCCCCTGGCTGGAGTTGTTGGAGTTCCTGCAGGGAAGCCCCGCCCAGTGGGGAGGGGGTCAGGGTCAGGTCTGAAGAGGCTCTCTGGCTGCAGTCTGTCACAGCCGTTGTGTTGGGCTGTGGGGGACACCTCCTGGGACCAAGTGGTCCATCCTCCTTGGCTCCAGCAGGAGAAAAGCATGGCCTGGAGCTATAGAGATGGTTGCTGCCCTTCCCTGCGCTGGGAGCTTAGCATGTTAGGCAGCTGTCAGTCCCAGTGCTGGCTGCTGCACCTCCCCCAAGAAGCTCAAATGGCTTAGACAGCAGACAGCGGTAGCTGGGGTGCTGGTTGCCCCTCCACCTGGGAACTAAACAGGCTTAAGCAGATTCCAGCTGAGAAGCTGTTGAGAATCTGCATAGCTCCAGGGTTGGGACCCTAGGCCATGGTGGCTTGGGTTCAAGAGGGGGATCTTCCTATCTGTGGGCTGCACAGTTCTGTAGAAAAAGCATGCTTTTCCCAGCTGAGTAGCACCCTCACTCACTGCCTCTCTTGGCTGGGGGATGGGGGGGTCCCTGCCCTAGGTAGCTTTCAAGTGGGTGCCGTACCACACTGCTCTTCCTTCTTCTCCATGGGTCACCCCAGCCACATAGTCAGTTCTGAGAGAGAACCTAGATGGCTTGGTTGCTGGTACAGGATTCACACACTATTATGGTTCTTTTTTTATTGTAGTCTCCAATCACTGCTGCTTCTAGTTGGCAGTCTTGGCCCTGCTCTTCAGAAACTTGATTCTGTGTATTGAAATTCATTTATTTCATAATTTTAAAACTTAAATTTTTCATTGTACATATTTTGATGTTTTCTTTTCACCTTTGTTTTTTTCTAAATTGTCTGTAATTGGGACTAGCCCTGTTAATAACAACTATTTACTTAGAAGGTTATTTTTATTTAACTTCTAAATATTTTTTACTGGGATTTTTGTAAGTTTTATTTGGAATTTTATTATTTATTGCTAATTAGTTTTATTGTAGACACAGAATACAATATAAATCAAATTTTTGAAATTTAATGACGCTTAATTTGTTCTTTGGTTTATGAAACAAGTTTACAAAATTTCAAACAAAATCAAAAAATGTATTTTTAGCAAGGTAAAATGGAGCATATTAACATCTAGCACATAAATAATTAGTTCCTACTACTGTACTAAGAAGTCATTTAAATTTTCATGCTTTTATTTATTATAATCAATTCTAAAGATTACAAATATTTCACTAATTAAAAATTTTATGTTTTGTGTATTTTACTGCAACAAAAATACAAATAAAAAGCTAGTTCATTTACATACTTACAATATAAAAGAACTCTGTTACCTTTAAAAGTGTGTGTGTCTGTGTGTGTGTGTGTGTCTGTCTGTCTGTTACAATCACCCATCATAATTTTGGTTTCTAATTCTTCCTTCATTACATACAGTTTTATGGTTTTTGTTTTGTTTTTTAAGATGGAGTCTTGCTCTGTCGCCAGCTTGGAGTGCATTGGCCTGATCTTGGATCACTGCAACCTCCGCCTCCTGGGTTCAAGCAATGCTCCTGCTTCAGCCTCCCCAATAGCTGGGACTATAGACACATGCCATCATGCCCAGCTAATTTTTTTTTGTATTTTTAATAGAGACAGGGCTTCACCATGTTGGCCAGGATGGTTTCAATCTCTTGACCTCATGATCCGCCTGCCTCTGCCTCCCAAAGTGCTGGGATTACAGGCGTGAGCCACCGTGCCTGGCCAGTTTTATGTTTTTAATGTTATCTTGCATATCGTGTTTCACGGTTATTATCTCTCTATTCATTCAATAAACTATTAATGTGTATTGGCTATCTACTGTGAAGCAGGACTGAAGTAAGCTATAGAAATAAGGAGTTGGCCAGGACAGGAAATGTTTTTGCCTTTAACAAAACTAAGTCAGAAAAATAGAAACATATATACAAATAAACAGATGTACACTCAAATATGAATGGATGTGTACATATATGTTCATATTTGCTTATATATGTGTATGTTCAATTTTTGTATGTATATGTTTGTATGTATTAGCTTAAACACATAACGTGCAGGTATGTAAAATGGATACAATATTTATTATTTATGAAATGTCACACAGTACTTATTACATAATTGCTTAGCAAAACATGAGGCAAATTGAAGGAATAGAATATAACAGATTTGAAGGCTCTTTAAATGTGGGGAAGACTTCTGTGAATAGGTGACACTTAAGTGGAGTCCTGAATGAAGAGGTGAAGTCAATTCTGAGAAAACTCAGGACATGAGCATTCCAGACAAAGGAAGCAGCACGTACAAAAGCCCTGAGATAAGGATGAGTTTACAATGTAGAAACAATAGCAAGGTCAGTATAATAGAACAGTCACTAAAATAGCAGAAAACAATCAGGGAGTAGTATTATCAGATTAATGATTTTTAAAAATCACTATGATAATAATGAAAATGAGGAGAACCATTTGAAATGTATTAAATTTGTCTGGGTGGGAGATGATATGGGCTTGGATTTGATAGTAGCAGTGGACCTGCTGAAGAGTGATTAAATATTGGATATATTTTCAAGAAAAACCTGACAGCTCTTGTGTATTACTTGCACACATGATATAAAAACAATAATGGAACTAAAGATAGTAGTCTGAGGTAGTGAAGCAAAAGTGAACCCATTTTTTTTGAAGCGGGGAAGAATAGAAAAGAAACATGTATATGAACTGAGTCAAGATTTCTGGTTTCTAAGTATCTTCAGGTTAAGATTGAGATACATACAAGCTCTTATGGTTCTTAGTGCCCACAATCTCGAATTTGACCTTTTATATTGGTTTCTGATTGGTTTGACCCTGATCCGTATGGAAATGTTTATTAAGGTAGCTGAAGTGGGAGGATCACTTGAACCCAGGAGGCAGAGGCCATAGTGAGCCGAGATCGTACCACTGTACTCCAGCCTGGGCGACACGAGTGAGACCCTGTCTCAAAACAACAACAACAAAAACAACGGACCCTGTAAGATTAGCGTTATTATTTATCCTCATTTTAAGTTGAGAAAATTGAGGCATAAATGATTAGATATGTCAAAGGTCATACAGCTTATAAATTCGAGAGTCTAGACTGGAATTTCAGTCTGGACTGGACTGTAATTACCAGTGCATATTGAGAAGATAACAGGGATTCAAACACAAACACAATTATAATGCCTCTTCTATTATGCTGGGATAATAGTAAAGTCTGTCACGATTAGCAGTACATGATTAGCAGTACTTCAGTAAACATTTCCATATGGATTAGGGTCAAACCAATGAGAGATTGATACAGAAGGTCAAATTTGAGATTGTGTATTCTAAGAACTATATGAGCTTGAGTCTATCGGGAGCCATCTTTTCCCCCATATGAATAAAGCCAGCCCAAGAAGAAAGCCACATAGAAATTAGAGCTGAGAGATGGAAAGATATTGTTTTAATGATACATTTGAACCCCTGATCCAACTGGACTTTATTTCTAGGTTTTTCAGTTATAGAAACAAAGAAATTTGCTATTTTGCTAAAAAAAAAAAAAAGGATCGAGATATATAATATATCTGCCAAGTGGGGAAGCCCAGTAGGACGTTGGATAAATGCCTCTGGAGGTGAAGGGAGAGGTCCAAGATAATGATATAATTCTGAGAATCCGTAGGGTGTATATGGGATTAAAAGGCATAGGGCCTGATGAGATTGCCAAGAAAGAGCATGGATGGTGGAGAGAAGAACTATAAAGACAAGGGCTGGGCAATGACTGCATGGAAGAGAGCAAAGGAAACTAAGGAAGAGCTCAGTGAGATAGAAAAAAAAATCAAAGAAGTATTGTCCAACTTCAGAATTATTTCAACCAGGAAGGGAATATGGCAGGTATTGTGAATGGCTTCAGTAAGTTGCAAACTGAGACTCAAATATTATAATTGGCAAATGGAGGTCATTATGACCTTAACGTGAGCTGTTTCAGTGGAGTATCAGGAAGGAAAGTGTGGACCGAGAGAGTTCCAGATGTATTGGGAAGTGAGGAAATAGACTGAAAATCCTTCCAAGCATATAAATGAGGGTGGAGAAATTTGGAGGTGGAAGTTCCAATTCTGGAATCATGACAGAGCAGAAGTTTTAAGAGACACTAGCACCCATCTCTTGAGGCATGGTTAATATTTCAAAAGATAAAAGAGTTCCCCAAGGATTCCTCTCTCATAGCCAAATGAATGGACAAATACATAATGTGACCTAGCCTGGAGTTTCTTTGAGTCAGAGTCATTGAGCAAAGAAATGGGTTTTAGGTGGCCAGAAAGTAGTACAGGAGTGCCTGGGCCCAGGTGACAGCAACAGAGGGCTGGGAGGGAAACTGAGGTTGTAAGATGGGTAAGGGGATGGGAGCAGCATCAAGGGGCCAGGTCAGATGGAGGCAGATCACAAGGAGCCAGCCTGGGCACACAGAGGCCCCAGGAAGAGTAGAGTTGCCCTGAATGGCACTGCTGTTGAGATACAAAATTTTGGATAATGGTGCCATGGGGAGGCTGAACCTGGAACTTGGACACTAAGCCAAAATCAGTTGGGGGAAAAATGGCACAAGACTAAGAGATACTGACAAAAATAAAAGCTAACCCTCCTGGAAGAATGGTTCTCAAAGCTGACATCACTGATCTCTCACAGATAAATTCTCAGAAAGGAATGCTAGGTATAGGAGATGGCAAGTTTCTATGATGGAAAGAAAAAAAAAAAGCATTACTTTTGAAAATGTTCAGAATGAGGTAACAATAGGATATGGCTATAAAGGAGTTATAAAATATACATATATCAGTGCAATATGTGTGTATATACACACATATACATTATAAACACATATACATTATATACACATATATACACATATATAATATATACATGTATTATATATACTATATATACATATACATATATACGCATACACATGTATAGATGTATATATACACACAACATATATGTATATATGTACAGATTTGTATGTATACACAACATACGTATATACATGTATATATATTTATACATGTATATACGTATATACATATATATATATTTATACATGTATATACGTATATACATATATATATTTATACATGTATATACGTATATACATATATATATTTATATTTATACATGTATATACGTATATACATGTATATATTTATATTTATACGTGTATATACGTATATACATGTATATATTTATATTTATACGTGTATATACGTAACTACATTTATATTCATATTAGCACTCATGGATACGATACATATGTATGTATACATATACATACATATAGGCATATATAAATATATATGCCTATATGTTGTGTGTGTGTATATATACACACACACACATATTGTTCACATATGTATATTTTTGTAACTCCTTTATAGACGTACCCTATCGGTAACACATTCTGAATGTGTTCAAAAGTAATGCTTTTTTTTTCTCTCAGGGAAGACAGATTCAGAAGAGAGGAGAAGGAAGGAGAGAATTGGGAGAGGAGGAAGAGGAGGGAACAGGAGAGAAGATGAGAGAAGAAAGGAGGAGGAGAGGTGGAAAGGAGAGAAGAAAGGGGTGAGAGAGATCACTAGTACTTAAGATGTAGAAAGTCTTTAGTGCTGTATCACTATTCACCAAAGGAGCAATCAACTTTGAGAGGTTTGTTTTATGTATACTGCTACTTTTAACTTCCAATTTAGTAGAAATAAGTATCTACATATTACTACAAGACACGGGGCTTTGACTGATTTCTTTTTTTTCCGGATTTACTGACAAGTGTAAATAAATATTTGTTTATGTTTTACTTTTGAAATAAATTAAGATCCATTATTAAGTAGATTGATTCTAGGCTCTGGTCCCATGTTGGTTATTTCAAAGTTTTAATCACCATTAATTCATTAAGGTAATTGTTTTGCTGAAGGGTGATGATGTAATTAATGATTTAAGTGTATTTCATCAATCAAATTCAGGAAGTCAATTTCTAATTCTCTCAAAATGCAAATCAAATTCTCAATTCCTTTTATTCTGTCCTACATGATGATGAAAAATAGTGTTGCCATGGAAGTGGACGTGGATGCTTTACCTTTTTTAAAAGCTGGTAATTGATACAAGCAGTCACACGTTGTTGTACATGAATGTTTGTAGAATTGATTGAAGTCATATCAATATTAGGATTATTCCTGGAATATTCCATGATGTATTTCCTGAGAAAATCATACCACCATTTCTGCAGCCTTGCAGGCAATTGACTGTAATAACTACTATATTGTGTTCTTATTTGCTGGAATGTTATTCCTATGACAGCTTATGATATTGAATAGTTTTATGGAAAGCAAAGAGATGAAATATATTGAAAAAGTTTAATACTCTATATTATTCCTTTACAGGTGTCCCTAATCACAGAAATATCTCTGATGTATAAAAAAGTCTCATAGCTGACATTCAAAAATTATTGATGGACACATGGTGAGTTATTTCGACATGCTCTTGGAATTATCTCTCAACATTCCTTTCTCATTCTTCATGAATGCATTGAATCCCCAGTTTTTAAAGCTGTAGCATATCAGGCCTCAATCATCTAGTTTAATAAACAATATGATAGTTTTTCTTTAAAATACTTTGGAGATTTCTTTTGTTGACCTGCTAGTGCTTTCTCTAGTTTTATCCTTTTCAAATTGAGAATGTTTCATAAAGATATTTTTTTTTCATGTTTAGTAAGACATTTAATTCTAAGGAAGAATAAAATAAACATTAAGTGTTAAAGATAAGAGGGCTATCTAATGATAGCAAATAAGATGAGATGCATAAGTTGTTAGAAGGTGCCAATGAAGTAGAAAATCCAGGTAAGTTTTACCTGATCATAAAAAGAGAAGTGCAGTTTAGTCAACATTTTAATAGTTTGGAGCAATGGAATAACAATACCTGTTAATTCTTTACTGAGCACTTACTATATGTCAGTCACTATTTGGAATGTTTTATATAAATTAATTCATTTAAGCCAAGCTTTTTCAATCTCAGCACTACCAACAATGGGCCAGACAATTCTGTGTTGTGGGTGGCTGTTCTGTGCATTGTAGGATGTTTAGCAGTAACCTTGGCAATAGAGATGGCAATAGAGATCCCCCCCTAATATGTAACTGCTAAAAATATCTGCAAACATTGACAAAAGATTCTTGAGGAACAAAATTTACTTGCTGCTTGAGATGCACTGAGTTAAGCCCTACAATAACTTTCTTATTATTTTCATATAACTTTTAACAACATGGAAATAAAGATAGTTTAAATAACTTCCAAGATCACTCAACATATAATCAGACACCTAGGACTTAATCCAAAGACTTGAATGCCATAGCGCATGTTGTCAAGTACTACCCTATAGATGCACTGCCTCTCATACTCTTCTCAGAGAGGAGCAAGGGATTATACAACTGATAGAGAAAATTAGCAAAATAAGCCTTTAATCAAATACCTTTTTTTTTAGACACTCTCATTCTGTCACCCAGGCTGGAGTTCAGTAGCACAAACAGCTCACTGCAGCCTCAACCTCCCAGACTCAAGAAATCCTCCCATCTCAGCCTCCTGAGTATTTGAGTCTAGAGGCCTGTACCACCATATATGGTTAATTTTTTTTAAGACAGGGTCTTGCTATATTGCCAAGGCTGGTCTTGAACTCTTGGCCTCAAGCGATCCTACCACCTCAACCTCCCAAAGTGTTGGGATTACAAGCATGTGCTACTATGCCCAACCCTCAAATACCAATTATTGATATTTCCTATGCATGCCACACTTATGGACTTGCTGAGAAAGATATGAAGAGCTATCACTTGAGCTGACCCAGATAAGGATTTTGGGCTGAGACCCAATGGGAGATATGGATTTAGAAAAACATATCTTGTTACATAGTAATCTTAAGAATAACCATTCACTAGATATTTACAAGTAACATGTATTTTCTATTTTTTGGGTTTTGAAGAAATGATAAGCAAAATAAAAATAGCAACAACAAAGCATTCATAAAATACCAATGTCAACAGAGGTGGCCCAGTTATATTTGCTCACTTCCCAAATTACATTGTCCAGCTTTCCTATGATTCATTCTAAGTGCGGGGTTGTGAAGATAAAATAGATGGTGGTATAGGTTAAACTTGGTGATTTTATAACAGTTCTTTTTCGTTATGCTGGTTTCTAAAGCTGTTCATACACTTATCCTGATCATAATTCTTTCAGCCAGAGTAGTTATGAGCCCCTGGAGCGTTCTAAACGACCTGAAGCACTAGCTTCTAGTTCCTAACTGACATGCATAGAAAACATTAGGGGCATTTATAGCGGATAGTAGCACATCCTCTACACAAAATATTCTGAGAAATCAATTAATGAGGAGCTACAATATTAATCCACTTTGAGATGGGATGTAGCCAGCTCTTGAGTAATTTGTATTCTAAACCTAAAAGACTCCCTGTACTCACTTCAATTTTAGGAATCTCTTTTGCTTGCCATTAGTGCTGTCAGATTTCTGTCTGTGGTAAGAATAGAATGAGATCAGCATCTAACTTTACTTCTGTGAAACTCATATCCTTGGCAATTATATTTGCAGTTATGAGAAGAGTAGAGATAACACACAAGTGAAGCTAAATGTCAATCTATAAGTTCAAACATCAGACAAACTACATCAGTCCATTTTCTATTCTGTAATCTGTCAACCAAGAGATCTAGGTCCTAATCTCATTTCTATCACTAACCACCAGTACCATCCGGTGTGATTTGATGGTATGACTTTACTTCCCTGAAATGCAATGTCCTCATTTGTCTTATAGGAGTTTGATTATTAGATTTCAAATCTCTAAAATGTAGTATCTTATAGTTACTAGTTTTCTTCAGTGTAAAGGCTTTCTTTACTGTGTTTTAATATCATTTCTGATTTTTTTTTTATTTTTGGTCAGAGAAATGGGGGTAGAATTGTGTTTGGAGGAAGAGATGATTCCAACATAGCATGATTAGAAAACTGGTGAACAAAACATTGACTCATCAGTTTTTAACAATGACTGAAAATTCCAATTTCATTTCTTCAGTTTTCTGTTATTGCTGTTTGAAGGACATTGCATTTTTGTAGGCTTTTCCTTATACTCTGTAATTGGGGTATGAATCTTGCCATTAAATTACTCTATATTTTCATTAACTAGAAAGTTGGGCTGTGAAATAATAAGAAAGTTTCTAAGAACATAATCAAACTTCTTTATAAATAGATTTGCCTGAAGCCCTAACCCAAAGTGAACTTGTAAATGAGGTCTGTCCACTAGATAAAAATAAACATTAAAAATAAACCAGTTCTGCTTTTCATATAAGACATCTCTCATTAGTTTCTAAGTTAATTTCATATTAGAACTTAAAAATTTCTGACTTCAGAGAGCAATGTTTACCCTAAGGCCAAAACAGAGAAATTGATTGCTAAAGAAACTAAAGAATCTATTGCAAGATGTCTAGTCTCCTAACAGGAATGATGAATCCAGAAACTAAAGTCATCCTCAATTCAATATGTAGAATAGAGAAAGAGATAGTGGGACATTTTTGCTGCCCATCAAACCTTCAGCAAAGACCAAAAGTCACATTCCATCAGAGGAACCAGTTGGCTACCTACATTAAACAGGCAAGTCCTTTCCCGCTAATGCACTAGAGTAGTGCCTCTCTTATCTATGGTGGGATATATTCCAAGACCCTCAGTGAATGCCTAAAGCTGAGGATAGTACCAAACCCTATATGAACTATGTTTTTTTCTATACATACATGTACATTTATAAGGTTTAATTTATATATCAGACATAGTAAGAGATTAACAATAACTAATAATACAATTGAACAGTTATAACAATATATTAGCATCATGATTCTTGCACTTTAGGGCCATTATTAAAATCAGGGTTCCTTAAACAAAAGCATTGCAAAACCACCGTAGTCGATCTGGGAACTGTGACAGCTTCTAAGTGACTAATGGGTGAGTAGTTTAACAATAATTAATAATAAAATGGAACAATTACAGCAACATGTTAGCATCACAATTCTTGCACTTTGGGGCCATTATTAAATAAAATAAGGGTTACTTAAACAAAAGCATTGCAAAGCCGCCATAGTTGATCTGAGAACTATGACAGCTTCTAAGTGACTAATGGGTAAATAGCATAGACAAAGTGGATGTGCTAGACAGAGGGATGACTCATGTCCTGGGCAAGACAGAGAGGGACAGTGCAAGACATCATCACACTACTCAGAGCAGTGTGTGATATAAAACATATGAATTGTTTATTTTTGGATTTCTCCATTTAATATTTTTGGGCCAGGGTTGACTACAGGTAACTAAAACTGTTGAAAACAAAATTGTGAATAAGAGGGGAATACTGTATTTCCAGGAGGCAAATTACAGTGTAGGATAATATGCACACAATTAAATATCACTCATATTTAAAAAATAAAAACCACTTTTCATAGTTATTGCAGATATTTTTAAAGAAATAAACATTAAAATGGATGCAATTTCCTCTGTGTTCTTTCTGAATCTCCCTTTCCTCCAATGAAATCATTACTACTGTGATATTTCAATACACTTACTGTCTCTCTTGTCTGTGATTTCTCTACACCCTAACCAGAGTAAGTTTTCTAAAATACAAGTTGATATTGAACGGGTTATTAACATTTGTATTAAATATCATTTTGCAATTTGTTTTAATGATGAAAGATTATTTTGATTTTTTTAAATTTATAAATATAGATCTAACTCAGTCGTTTTTGTAGATAGCAATCCATTGTATAAATGTATAACAATTTATTTCTGCATTCAAATATTGGTAGATATTGAGATTCTTTCTAATTTGTTGGTTTAGCAGAAATTGCCAAAATGAACATCTTTGTATGTGGCATTTTATTCAATGTGTAAAGGACTTCTTTAGGGCACAAATATCAAAGTGAAATTTCTAGTTATAAAGTACACATATTTTTAATTTTACTAGAGGTTTACAAATTCCTTTCCTAAGTGAGAATGGCAGTTTGCACTTCCTAAAATAGAATATTAAAGTTATCTCCCTCTCTTATCCTTGTCAATAATTGATCTTTTCAGACTTTCAATTTCTGCTAATCTAAGAGTTGTGAGATTGTATCTCACATTGATATTCCATGTGTATTGATATTTAAGGTTCTCATTAATTTTAAATTCTATAAAATGAGTTATTGTGATTTTTATTTATTCATTTAACTAATAATTATTTGGAAAATTAAAAGAAAATAATTTGGAATTTGGGAGGGAGCAGGTGAGAACAGAGCACAATCCACACATACCTCTGCAGCCTTACATGGCCTGGGCTGTCCTCCACTGAGTCTAGAGCCCTGGGACAACCACGTCCATTCCTGAAGGACCAGGAGGCATGGAGACCTGAAGGCAATGCAGGTCTTCATCCCACTAGACCTTGACTTTGTAATAGAAAAATGAGGGAAAGCCAGGAAGTGCCCATGTTCCTTTGGGAAGATTCACTGGCCACTTATAGAAAGGCTTGTGTATATAATGTGAAACAAACAAAAGAACTACCCTCAACTTTTTTCCCAAAGTTTTAAAAGGAAACTTATTTTGCCACATCTGGGTCTTTTTTATGTAATACAGTTAGAGACATATGATAAAGCAGAATTGGAAAATCAGACATTTTGTAAATGTTCTTTTGTTAAAAAGAAAAGAAAAGAAATCCCTCTGGAAATGACCTTTGGAAATGGGATTCCTAGACCACTTCTCCAAGTGACACTGGGAGATGTTAGCAGAGGTGAAGCAGAGGCCGTGAGAAGGTACAGAAGAGAAGGGCTCCATGTCATGCATAAAAGGCATTTTCAGATTATAACTATTGTTCTCTGTGTACATTCTTCCTCGCTACTGCATATATAGTTGACAATTCTAAGTACTTCAAAAATATATACCTAATATTTCTAAATGTCCTGAAGTATCTGGTGTATGTTAAAAGATGTAGTAAAATAAGCAATTGTAAATATCCTTTTGTTAAAATTTATGTGAAATAATATTTTTTGGATATGGAACTACCAAGTGCAAACATACCACAAATGCATGTATATATCAGTAAGTCCCAACTCATATTTTCCCAGTTACTCTCTATTGGGCTAGCCAACCCCACTAAGGGCTCTGTCCCTCACATGCTGCCATTACTGCAGTCAACCAGAGATGCCTCACAAGAAGCTGGCATTAACCTGGCAAGAAGGCTTAGAGAGCTCTGACCTGACCCCAGTGAGTCCAGTGGTTTAATTTTATGGCTTACTTTTAAACTGTTGGTAAAAAATCAGTATTTCCCTGTTATTTGCTATGTGGGTATAGTAATCATTTCATTGCCATAGCAACATTTAGCTCTGGGCTACATCAGCCATCCTTGAAAGTATAGAATTTGTTAGATGCCACGAGTGGTAGCCCTAAAATTTCTAAATAGAAAAGGCTGGAGAAACAGCTGAGGGTTGATATGGGTGGATAGAGAATTTTTCTTGTAGCTGAAATTACATTGTAAAACAAAGCAAACCAAACACAAAACCACAGATTTTGTGCTTATTTGTGGTGGATTTTGCAGGGGTGAGGAAGACAAAAAAGACAAAAGGCATTCCTAGGCATTGCATACCTTCCATTAACAGCCATCATCTTTGGGAATGGTTTCTTAAGAAACTATGGAACTTGACATGTATCATTCAAGGAAGAATCTAGGGAGCAATAATATGTTTTCTTCTTTTTAATACACTATCTTAGTTTTTGTTGTTGTTGCTTATAACAGAAAGCCTGTAACTGGGTACTTTATCAAGAAAAAGAATCTATTTATTACACTTTGGAGGCTGAGAAGTCCAGGGTCAAGGGGTTGCATCTAGTGAGAGCCTTCTTGCTCGTGGGGGCTCCGTAGGGTCCTGAGGTGACACAGGCCATCACATGGCAAGGAGGCTGAGCATGCTAATGTGCTAGCTCAGATCTCTCTTTCTCTTCATTTAATGCCAGCAGTTCCACTCCCATAACAACTCATTAATTTATGAATGAATTCATTCATCCATGAGAGCAGAGCTGTTGTGCCAGTCACTTCTTAAAGACCCTATCTCTCAATTCTGCCACGTTGTGGATTAAATTTTAATGTGAGTTTTTATGGAGACATCCAAGCCATAATATACACCATGTGATAATTTCTAGATTTAGGAAAAGGGCATTTTCCTCAGATTAGAGTTCAACTAATTAGAGCAGAATAGGATATAATCAGTATGTTGTGATGAATGCTTCAATGAGTTTTATGAAAGGCGGGAAAATGGAAAGAAAGATTCCCAGTAGAAACAGAGCTCTTAGATTTCATAAGCATGTCAAAGAATAGGGGTTTGAGTAGTAAGCCCTGGGAAATATCACTGTTGAGTAATTTGGAAGAGAAGATATAAAATAATATGCTGTCTCGTTGTTTTTTTTTTTTTTTTGCAAGTGAGTAACGACATAATTGGATGGAGACATTTTAGTTCCCAGTTTTTATTTGTTTCCCTCAAAATCTTACAGCAGTGGTACAATCTGATTGTTTTGCCTTGTCATGTCAGTTGTGGATCTTTTTCTCAGTATTCCTTTTTTTTTTATTCTTTGTACTTGTATGATTTACTTCCCTAATCTTGAAATTAGAATATTTCAGTAAGAAATATTTCTTATGAGCCTCCCTTACTACTTGGCTTATAGAAGTGACCCTTTTATTCAGATAAAAAAAAAGGTTAACAAAATATTACTTTTAGATATTGTTTCCTTATCTGTTCTTTCCCTTCTTCTCAAATATATCTGTAGGTTGAATTTCTTGGTTCTTTACTCCATTTCTATTTTATACTTCATATTCATTTTTATTTTCTGAGTTTTTTCTACAGAAAATAATCTAGATATTCATTACCTTAAATTTAATTTTGAATATTATATTTATGTTTTTTAATCAAATAAACCTTTCCTGATTTCAATTCATCACATTTTGTAGTTATAATAATGTTTAGACTTGATTAAGAAACATCCTTTAGAATACAGAGATGTCTTGAATGTTGTACTTCTCCCTGTAAGTTCCTTTCATAGCAGGAGACTTTGTTTTAGTGACTTGTTTCCTTTGTTTTGAACTAATGAGTATATTCGTGAGTATATTAATATTTTCTGTAATCTGATTGCCTATGACCAGAGGATATTACATTTAGCAAAACTGTGTTTAAGATTAGAAAGTAACTGAAAGACTTTTTCACTTAAAAAGCATCTCAGCAATTATGCCATTTATGTAGCCTACTTGAAAAAACTGTAATAGTATATATTACAGTACATATAGTATATATATAGGGAGTATATATTGGATATGAGAAGAACCATTAACAGAACTCAAGCATCAGAAATTAAAAAAACAAAAATATATCTTTATGTGAAATTGTTTGTTAACATAAAGATATGTTTAAATAAAAGAAGGTAATGAGACTAAGTAAGACATGATAAACTGTCCATTTCCTGGACGGTTTACCTCTGGATTAAAGAGGACAACAGTAAATTACTGTCCTATGTTTGCCAATTTCCTATTTGTTCTTAGTTAAATGCTCATTTAATTGTTTTAATATATATACTGAAATTTTAAGACAAAGATTGTTTTACAGCATCTTATTTGTTATCTACAAGTTAGAAGTCCCTGAAACAGTCAATTTTTTTTAAAAAAATTAAAAGCTATTTTGGTATAACAGAAATACCCAAAGCCACCTTCTACCTTTATAGAGTTTCTGACTGTTTTTCAGAGGATGTAGTTTATTACATTTATAAGAAGATTGTGAATTGAGAGGGCTTTGGAGATATGTCATTCCTATAGTAGAGGTCCCTATTTTAAGAAGAATGTTGATTGCTCAAGAGAGAGCAACGAAAATGATGAAGGTGTACTGCAATATATCCAGCTACCCTAGAGAAAGTAAGGCAGGGGAATAATAGACTAGCTGTCATCAAATATTTGAAAGGAATAATAAATTTATTCTATTGTGCTCCAAATGGCAGGAATAAAATTAAAGGTTGAAATTACAGTGAGAATATTTTGTTCAGTAAGAGGAACACATTTGCAATAGTTAGAACCCTTTATTGGGGGAGTCATTGAAGCAGGGGCTGGGTCGACTATGATAAGGTTTTATGGGGTTTTGTGGGAGGTTTCTTTCAGGATCTCTAGCAATCTTTTCCTATTTAAACTCCTGTGATATTCCACTTAATATCATGTTTAATTTCACCAGAGTTTTAAGGTTAGAGAGCATTTGTTCTATCCCATTCAAATAAACCTTTATAATTAAAAGAGTGTTTGAATTGTGAAATCTGCAAAGTTGAATTTCGTTGCATTTAATTTAGTAAAATTAAAATGCCTAGTGACATCCTGGTTAGAACATTAGCCATATTTAGACTTGTAATTAATGTCTAATTGGACACTAGTACTCAATTTAGTAGTAATGAAATAATAGCTGAAAATACCAACTGGTATTTAAAAAGATATGTGATATGTATCCTGAAGCAATTTTCTTAAATGCCAATTATAATTTGACATTTAGAGGCTGAGAGATGTGATTGCTGATGAAAGTCATACTGTGATCATATTGCACATAGCTATACATTCTGATTTGGGGAATACACAATTTTTTTTATACTTAATAAAAATTTTAAAAATAAATATTTTAATTGTAAAAATATGTTTTTAAATTAAGTATACTTGTATAACATAAAGACTGAGATAAAAATAACTTTTTTAACAATTCTAAGCACATTTGAAACATCTGTCTGTCATACCGCTAGGTAAAGTATGAGGAAGCAAAACATTTTGAATAATTTTATACTTTATTCATGCAAAGAATCTGACTTGAAATTAGCTTTCCAGTACCAATTATAAACTAATTATATATTGTCAGTTAAACATAGATTTATATGCTTTAAATGACAATTGAGAAAAAAATTGTCTTACAATATTTGATGAAACCTAGCTAGAATGTGTTTTAGAAATAAACTTACCGTGATGTCTATTCAGAGTGGAGCCAAGGGATAGTGCATTAATCAGGGTTCTCCAGAAAAACATTTATTTATATTATGTATATTCCTGTACATTAATTCCTAATAAATCTTCCCCTTTCTCTCATAGATATATTTCTCTCTATATATTTTTATATTATATGTCTTAATTTTAAAACAAATACAAAAATATTCTATATTTATTATAGAGAAATATATTTATGTCTATACTTCTATAGTAGAAATATGAATGTAGAAATATCCAAATATATTTATTTATATTTTATTAAATGTTAAAATATAAATATATTTATATATTTCTATAATAGAAATATAAATATAGAAATATAAGTATATATAGTAATATATATTTATATATTCATATTTCTCTATATTTTTACATAGGGAGAAATATGTAGTTCTCTCTATATTTCTCTGTATATTTACATATTTATATATAGAGAGAAATATATATATAATTGCTTATGCAATTAGGGAAGCTGGCAAGTTCCAAGAGCTGCAGGGTGAATTTGTAAGCTTGAAATCCAAGAGAGATGATGGTATAGTTCCAGTCTGAGTTCAAATCTTAAAAATGAAAACAGCCAATGATGTAGTTCCAGTTCAAAAGCTGGTTGACTCAACCTCCAAGGACAGCTGATGTTTCAGTTCAATTCAAAAGGTAGAAAAAAGCTGAAGAACCAGTACAAAGGCAACAGGCAGGAGGAATTCTCTCTTGCATGGTGGAGAATCAGCTTTTTTGCTCTCCTTAGGCCTTGATCTGATTGGATGGGGCCCACGCACCCTAGGGAGGACAATCTGCTTTACTCAATCTATCAATTTAAATGTTAACCACATTCAAAAACGACTTCATGGAAATACCCAGAATAATGTTTGACCAAATATCTGGACAGCCTGTGGTTCAGTCAAGTTGACCCATAAAATTAATCATCACAGTTTGTATTTGCGGTAAAGACCCAAAAATATTCTTGGAGAGTACTTTTTAATTGACTGTAACAGGATTATATATGTTGTTAAATCAGTAACATACATTGACATTGAACACTGACCTGGAAACTTTTGGAAGAAGTGCTATTATACATTATCACAACCAATTGATAACCAAAACTGACAAGGCAACCAAACAAAAAGTCTCTAAGTAAAGGCCACAAAGATGACCTGGCTTTGGATAATGTCCAAAGTAAAAAGAAAAAAGTACAAAATACAAAATAAAATGTTCTTGAGATTATCATCATTATCATCATCATACTATTATTTTGATGTATTTTATATATTTAAGAAAATATTAAAACATTGTTTTCATGAGAAATTCATATTCATATCAGCACACTTTTGTTCCCAGGATATTTCCAGAATTTTTATAAAAATATGAATTACCTATCAACAATTGAGATCACAAGGTTATAAAGAACACTGTATTAGATAAAGATTTTGCAGAACTATTTATACCAATTGTTTAGTACATAGTTTAAAAACTAATAATTTCAGAAAATGAAAGCTTATTTCACAAAAAGCAGACAGTGTACTTCAAGGTTAGCTTGACTCTATAGATGAGTTCAGTCTCAATGGGGTTATCAAGCAATAACAGAGAAAATAATTATTAATATTCAATATTAAGATGAGAAAATAAGTCTGTTACCACAACATCTAGCATTTGAATACATGTATTTATTTTTGCTATGGCTTCACATGTGTTTGTTTTGAGTATTGAAGTTTTATGTTCTTCATAAGGTTTTTTGTGACTCACACCAAATGCTATGCTGGTCACATAATAGGGGCTCAGTTTATATTGACCATTTGTTCAGGCTGTATCTGATTGAAAAAAAATTCAAACTGTTATGCACAGCCAATAAATAACCAACAGGCAGTAATATAAATGGCTGTGAATTAGCAGACATAGCAGTGAACTCTAGAAGACATTTCTTCTTCCTTAATGTTGAATGTATCTAAAATAAAATCATGGTGATGTATCTCAGGAATACTCTTTAAACATTGCAATAGGGTTGAGTACTAAAACACAATAACACGTTTAAATCAGAATCAAGCATGGGGAATCTGAGCAGGAAAAACATAACAGTATATATTACAGTGAATTTAGAGTAAATATTAATTAGAATTGTATATGAAATCAAAGAGCTAGAAAAAATGCATAATGAATTATAGGATATTCTGTCAGAAAATGTATATTAGTCCTATTCAGCTAATTAATTCTGGAGTCTTGCTGACATAAGGCTCCAGTTAAAGGCTATATTACAAGGTGCAAGTCTATGCATCCTGGAGAAGGAGAAGCTATCTGATTTCTGACATGAATTATTATTATTTTGTTTGTTTGTTTTTGTTTTTTGAGACGGAGTCTCACTCTGTCGCCCAGGCTGGAGTGCAGTGGCGCGATCTCGGCTCACTGCAAGCTCCGCCTCCCGGGTTCACGCCATTCTCCCGCCTCAGCCTCTCGAGTAGCTGGGATTACAGGCGCCCGCCACCATGCCCGGCTAATTTTTTTGTATTTCTAGTAGAGATGGGGTTTCACCATGTTAGCCAGGATGGTCTCGATCTCCTGACCTCGTGATCTGCCCGCCTCGGCCTCCGAAAGAGCTGGGATTACAGGCGTGAACCACCACACCCAGCCCTGACATGAATTATTATAATCAGGATTTAAAAAAGCAGAAGTCATGTTTTTCCTCAGAAGTACTGTATCCCACTGATTTCTGTCTTACTTTTTATTATGTCAGATAAGAATAGTGCCTTATACTGCCCGTAAGAGAGGAGGATGTTCATGGACTTTTTATGGGCCTCTCAGTTGATGGGACAGGAAAAGACAGCACCGACCTGTGAAGTGGGATGAAGCTTGTATAGCTCTCCAGTAAATTTGATTATAGTTACATAATAAATGGAATTGTTAAGGCTCAGAAGTTGATTTTGTTTTCTTGAATCTTCTCTTTGTTCATCTATATTTAGAGGGTGCATAATGTAAAGAAAAGTTCATCAAAGTTGAAGCCTGGAGAGTTACACTCTACACCTTGTTCTACTACCTTCAATTTCAACCTTTTCTACTTCTGTTTCTACCTTCAATTTCATTTTTTTCTACTGCTGTTTCCTTATTTAGGAAATATAATAATACCTCTAGTACCTGTGCTGCAAAGCTTATATGCTACAAGCATATAAACATATATTCTTGGGAGCTATAATCCCATGTGAGATGGTTTGGCTCTGTTTCGCCACCCAGATCTCACCTCTAATTGTAATAATCCCCACGTGTTGTGAGACAGCCTGGGTGGGAGGTATCTGAATCATGGGGCAGGATTTTTCTGTGCCATTCTCGTGATAGTCAATAAGTCTCATGAGTTCTGATGGTTTTATAAAGGGGAGCTTCCCTGCACATGCTCTCTTGCCTGCCACCATGTAAAGCATGACTTTGCTCCTCATTTGCCTTCTGCCATGGTTGTGAGGCCTCCCCAGCCATGTGGAACTGTGAGTCCATTAAACCTCTTCCTTTTATAAATTACCCAGTCTTGGGTATGTCTTAATTAGCAGCGTGAAATAGACTAATACACCATGGGAATATAAGTGAGAGGGAAAGGGAAGTGATGCAAGGCAATAGGCAAAGCAAACATAATATGATTCATTATTGAGTTAGCCATGGCCTCTCAAGAAAACCTGGCAGTTTGCTGGAGCAGGTGAAACATCTTTAAAAACGTCATGCACTGTCTTTCAATCATTGGATCAGTTTGTCTGGCAACATAAGGGAAATAAATTTATCTGCTAGCCTCCTTTCATTTCTTGTCTCTCATTGGTCAAATTTTGCCTCATGGCATATTAGTGCCACTGTGCTTTCAAGTTGAGTTATTGATTTCCCTCATGCAGCTCCTGGAAAATCTAGACTTTATAACTCAGTGAAAAGTTTCATTTGAGTCTGTGAGTGATGGAAGAAGCCAGATCCTCCTATCCAAATGTCATGAGCATAAGCTCTTGAGCCAATGTGTCCCCTGTAGCATGAATGCTGTATCAGAGCTCCATTCTCTCTAGAAGGAGGCCTTGAGAACCAGTGGTGTAAAGCAGCAAGGCTATAGTGGTGGCAGCCATGGCTCTCTATTGGGCAAGTGGCCAAAGTCCTAGGAGCTAGGTGGGTCCAAGTAAATTGGGCTTATAATTAGCACTGGAACACATACTTTAAGACAAAATGGCTTACACTTTTTAAAAATCTGTCAATTTTTTAGTCTTTTGAGAGATGTCTAAGAAATTACACAGACTGCCATTTTGATATCAGCTGATATTCTGAACTCTGTAGGATTTTGGAAGCAAAAATGTTCCCTTATATTACCCTAACATTTTAGAAATACTTTAGGTGGTTCTGGTAAAACATATATTAGGGAAGTTGTTAAAAATTATCCCAATCTTGCCATGCAGAAAAAATTAAGTGAGCAAGTTTTCTGCAGGATTATATGACATCCAGTGATAACTCTAAAGTTTAGTCCACCATTTGTGAGCTGTGCATGTGTGTTTCTGAAACAATTATTTAAAATCGTCTATGGTCCTGGCCAGCTCATTAACATTTCTTGAATGGGCTGGAAAAATATACATAACAAATGGCATCAAGTAGGATAGACACAGCTTCTGAAGCATGTTCTTTCACATGGGTTAGAGAATCAAATCTACAACCCAACTGGAGGTAAACAACTGCTAAAATGATTTAGTCACTTGTCAAGAATGTACATCTCTGTAACTTTTTCGGTAATGGACAAAAGCAGATTTTTATTTGAATAATTTTGTATGAATAATAACTATTTTACTGAGAAAATGAGACTAAAGAGGCAACTTCAGGGAAGAATGGGCACTCTCATGGTTGTTTCCGGGAAGGCTGGGATGAACATTTTTCTCCCTTTCTCTCCTCCCTCCCTCTCCCTCCCGGCTTCCTTCATTCCTTTTTCTCTCCCTCCTTCATTCCTCCTCCATCCCTGTCCTTCTCTCTCCCCTACCTTCCATTCTTCCTCCCTCCCTCTCTTCCATTCTTCCTCTTTCTCTCCCTTCTTCCCTCCCTTCCTCCCGTCCTTCCTTCCTTCCATCTCTTTAGGAACTATCTTCCATACTTTCTGAACATAAATCAGCTAGGCTGTAAACTCCAGCTTAAGCTCAAAGTTGTATCCAAATGATGCCATCTAGTCAGAATGAAAAGAAACTATTAATTTCTGGTGGTAAAATGATGAAAAGTAAGTCATACCTTTGCCTTTGAATGACTTTTCATGTCCTATTTACTCTATTAGATAAGAAATCTAGTTACATATGCTTTGAAAGGAACATTGTCCCACAGGGTAAAGTAACAACAAGATATGGAAGATTATGAGCCTGAGACCCAAAAAGCACTCCAAGAATAGGACTCATTGCTGGAAATACATTAGATTGAATTTTTCCAAAGCTTTAAACTGCAACCATATGAATAAAAGTTTTTTTTTCTTCCTAATAATGGATCAAAACTTATTAGGCAAGGAATTATAATTTCCCAGGAAGAAGGAATATTGCTGTGAATCCACTCATGTTTTGGTGAATCAGTACTTACACAGTCTGTTTGATAAAGCAGTGCTTTTTTATATAAATAAACAGGTTATTTGGGAAAATGAAGAGTTCTAGAATTTTAATCGTATTATATTTATGAGTCAAATATGCTTTAGTATATGGATGTATGTGTTAAAACTGGTCTTATAGTAAGTGTTGTAATGAAATATTTAATGTGCCAATGAGAATTTTATTTTTCTCCTTAGTATATTGTCATTAAAGTTAATTTAAAGTTGCTAAACAATTTGAAGACTTTTTGTTTTTCTGTGCAGCTATGGAGGATGTGCACCATAGCATCAAAGCAAAAACTTGGACATTATTTTAATACATATTTTATAAATTGAATTGTATGTTATAGTACCATTTTTGCACTTCAAGTTTAACTACATGTTCCCTCACTTTATTTATTTTTACAGAAGTAAAAAATGCTCTCACAATACCAAGAAGAGGTATGCTATGGTTTAAATTGTGTCCCTCCAAAAAAAGACATGTTAGAGTCCTAACTCCTGGTACCTTAGAATGTGATTGTATTTGGAGATAAGGTTTTTAAAGAGGTAATTCAGTTAAAATTCTATTAGCAGAGTGAGTTCCAAGCAAATATAACAGGTGTCCTTATTAAAAGGGCAAATTTGGACACAGAGACACATAGAGAAGGAGGATGATGTGACTGCACAGGGAGAATGATATCTACAAAACAAGGAACACCGGAGGCCACCAGACGGTAAAAGAGGGGCATGGAATAGATTGTTGCCCACAGACCCGAGAGAACCAACACTGCGGACATCTTGATTTTGGACTCCCAGACTCGAGAACTATGTGACAATAAATTTCTGTTATTTAAGCTACATACATTTTTGCAATTAGATAAGGTCGCTCCAGAAAAGCGATACTAGATTTTTGTCCAAATCACTCTCAAGATGATGTATGAGTTCTCCACAGATCATCTTGGGGAATGACTTAATATCATTGTTACTGAGAAGTGTAGTAGAGGATAATTAGCTTCAGAGTTTATTATCATGCAGGAATGTTCTGAATTGGGATAAATATAAACAAAAATGTTTATTTACTCTCTGTGTGAAGCTTTCCCAGTAGAGAAAAAAGTCTAACCCATGAAAAAATAGCAAAAGTGATGAGAAAATGTGATTGTATAATGTTTAATGAATGAGAAAAATGTGATTGTATAACATGTAATGAATGTGGAAGTTCCCCTGTAGGAACGTGGCTCCAAGATTCCTGTCCCCGTCTGGTGTACAAATCCTGAGTAGTGCTCATCCTCTGAGTTTAAGAGAGAGTGGTAAATATGATGGGATTTCATAAATATGATGGGATTTCACTATTATGATTATGTTACCTTAGAGAGCAAAAGGGATTTTGCAAATAAATTTAAGTTTCCTAATCAGTTACTTTTGAGTTACTCAAATGGGAAATCTTAGTCACTGTGTCTGACATAATCAGGTGAGTTCTTAAATGTAGTTTAAGAGATTATGATCAAGACACATTTTCCTGCTGGCCTTGAAAGAACAAATTTCCATATGGTGGATAGGACTACATAACAGGAAACAGTGGCTAGCCTCTAGGTACAGAGAATGGCTGTCAGTTGATAGCTTACAAGAAATTTAGAAACTTTGTTCCACTAAAATGCAAGAAACTGAATTATACCAACAGCCTAATGAGCTTGGAAGATAACCTTGAGACTGAGATGAGCTCATAATGCAGGCAGGCATCTTGATTTTAGCCTATGAGACTCTAAGCATAGAACCCAGTTGTGCTGAGGTTAGTCTTCTGATCTAGGGGACTATCAGATAATAAACAGATGTTGTTATAAATTGCTAAGCTTGTGGTAATTTGTTACATTGCCAGAGAAAGCCAAGAAATGCACTTACAATGCATATAAAGTGGCATACTCATATTCTAAGAAAGATCGTGAACAATTAAATAGGCATACTGTAAAGTCTAGGGTAACTACCAAATACAGTTTTAAAAAGTGAAAAAAAATTAATCCAATAATGGAGAAAAATAAGGAATAAAATATACTTCATTAGTCCACTGAAAGGCAGAAACCAAACAAAACAGATGGCACTAATAGAAAAACATCCAGCAAATTGATAGATTTTTTTAACTGCATCAATAACTACATTAATGCATGCAATCTTAACATATCAATAAAAAGAGATATTTTCAAGTCGGATAAAAAAGAAAGATCCAACTATCTGCTATCTACAAGAACTCATTTAAATATAAAGATATAAATAAGTTAAAGGATAAAAATACCACTCCAATATAATAAAAAGAAAGGTAGAATATTTACATTTATATGAGGAAATATAGACTTCATAACAAGAAATATTACTAGGACTAGAGAGATTCATTGCACAATAATAAATCAATTTTCCACAAGGACCTGACAATCCTAAAAGTAAAAGAAAACTAACAAAATAATTTCAAAATGTAGCACACAAAACTGATAGAATTATGAGCAGAAATATGTAATTCTATAATTATATTTGCACATATCAGAATTAATCTTTTAGTAATTAATAAAACAAGTACATAAAAAATCAATATGGCAATAGAAACTCTGAGCCACCCAACCAACCAGTTACAGTTGTATTCTTGGGGGACTGGTACACATAGGGAGATGGTTCCAGGACCCCTGTGGATGCCAAAATCCGCAGATGCTTAAGTCCCTTATACAAAAGGGCATAGTACTAGCTGGCAAGGGTAGGAGAGAGGAGGAGATTGGTTAATTGATACAAAATTACAGCTAGATAGGAGGAATACATTCTAGTGTTCTATAGGCCCCGTAAGGTGAACATGGTTAATAATAATTTATGGTATATTTTCAAATAGGTAGAATAGATAATTTTGAATGCTCCCAACACAAAGAAATGATGAAGGTTTGAGAAGATGGATCCGCTAAGTACACTAGTTTGATCATTACATATTGTATACATATATAAAAATATCATGCTGTACCCGATAAATATGTATAATTATATATCAATTTTTAAATTAATGATAACTAAATAAAATTATAATACGATTTTTTAATTATTTGTAAATTATGTTATACAACTATTATATCGGTAAAATTTGTAATAAACACACACATGTGTAAACTTTTTTTTCCCCCAGAGAACTGGTTGTTCAATATTTAACAGCACGTCGCTGGTGGAGCTCATGCACGGTATGGTATGTTAATAAAATGCTTTATGGTTTTTTAAATAAAATCTATGCACAACTTCCTATATATGTTAAATCATCTCTAAATTACTTATAACGCCGGAAACAATATAAATAATTGTTATACTGTATTGTTTTTTATTTGTATTACTTATGTTGTAGTGTTGTTATTTTTGTTATTTTTAATATTTTTGATCTGTGATTGATTGAGCACAGATGCAGAACCCATCATTATGAAGAATAACTATATTTAACATACATAGATTCTACCCAGCAACAGCTAAATACAGATTTTTTTTAAGTTGACGTAGAGCATTCATCCAACAGCCCTTTTTCTGGGTCATTAAAAAAACTTAAAAATAAACTATACTGTGTTTTCTCAGATTACAGCACATTAAACCAAAAGTAAATAATAGGAAAATATCTAGAAAGTGCTCAAATATTTGAAATTAAACAACATACATGTAAATACCCCTGGTTCAAAGAAGAGATTATGAGGGAAATTAGAAAATATTTTAAATTGAATTAAAATGATGATACAACATATCTTTATTTTGTGGAGTTATCATTATTGGAAAGCATTAAAGGCTTCTATAAGAGAGGAATACTGGTTTTAATTCACTAATCTAAGCTTCCACATTAAGAAACTAGAGAAACAAAAGCAAATTAAACTCAAGGCAAGAATAATTAAGACAATAACAAATATAAGAGTAGAAGCTATTGAAATCGAGTATAGAAAAATAAAGAGCATTAATTAATAAAACCTGACTCTTTGAAAAAATTAATAAAATTGATAAACCTCTCACCATACTTACTAAAAATGAGAAAAAACAAATTAAAAATATCAGGAATGAAATTAAGTATATCACTACCACATAGAGAGTAAAAACAAATAGAGAGTATTACAAACAACTCTATGGCCATGAATTTGATAATGTTTATGAAATAGACAAATTCTCAAAAGAAGGAGTGGGAAATTTTACATTAAAATAGATACAAGAATAACCTAAATTGAGTTTATACTTAAATGCATGTTTACATAAATTTCCCGGTTTTGATGGGAAATTCTACCTAATCTTATAAAACATTTAAAGTAGAAATAATACCAATTCAGCAGAAGTGCAGAACACGGATGAGGAGGAAAACAAGGGCAAAATCACTTTTATGAGGCCAGAATCTCCCTGATAACAAAAACGTGTGAAGACAGAAAAGAAATAAAAATATAGATAAGTATCTGTCATGAACATTGGCACATATTACCTTAAACAAATTATTAGCAATTTAAAACAAACAATATTATGACCAAGTATAGTTTATTTAAGGAATGTATAATTTAGCTTCCTAAATTTAGATCTTGCCAGATTTGGGAAGATTTTTCCTGGTGTTATTTAAATATTTTATATGACCAGTTTTACTCCCTTCTCTCTTTCTGAGATTTACTGTCATTATATACCATATATATGTGATGATATATGTATAGTATTAAAACATTATTGATATTAGTGTAATATATATGAACATATGCAAATTTTGCATTATGTGTCAATTATATGATGTCAATACAATTTTATACACACACATATGCCAACTGTGCATACTCATACTGTCACACTCTTGATATTGCCCTAAGGATCTCTGAGCCTCTGTTAGTATTTTTCAATCTTTTTTCTATCCCTGTTCTTCAAATTGGAAAATTTCACTTAATCTATGTTCCTGTTTACCATTTTTTTCCTCACCATTCTACTGTAAAGTCTTTCCAGTGGATCTTTTTATCTCAAATATTGTATGTGTCAATTCTAAAACTGATGTTTGCTTTTGTTTTTATATATTGGATTTTTCTTTGGAGATATTCTTTCCTTTATTATGAGTATATTTCTCATGATCTAATTGACCATAGTTAAATAAAATTCTATAATGTCCTTTTGTGATCATTTTAACAGCTAGGTCATCCACAGGTTGACATTTGTCAATTTTTATTTCCCCTGAGAATAGGTCATATTTTCCCAGCTTTATGCCTATAAGTAATTTCGGAGTATATTTTGGACATTAGGAAAATTACGTTGTGGAGACTGTGGATTCTGTTATATACTTCTGAAGAATGTTGTAGTGCCTGTTTAGTAGGACTGTAACTTGGACAAAGTCTCTGAGACCTCACGCCAAATTGTTAGCAATCTACTTCATACATGTAGAACTCCAGGACTGGTTAGATATTAGACTAAAATGTATTAACTGAATTTGAAAATTTTATTTTTTGAATTTTGTTTATGGGGTTCCCCTTCACTTTTCTTTGACTCTGTCCTTCATTGTTTTTCAAGGGCAGAAAAAAACTGGCTGGTTAATTTTTTTAAATCAAAGGTTAACCATTCAGCAATTCTGCCATGAATTGCAGAGTCCTCAGGGCAAAGTCATAAAAAAGGGGAGCTCCCTGTGTGCCAGTTGCATCTCCTATGTTTTTATCACTCTCTAAATTCTGCCAGTTTTTCAGTCTTCAGAGTAATCAGTTAGCATTTTTCTCATTTGTTTAAAAGTGAATAATTGATATGTGTGAGAGGGTGAATTTCGCTAGAATCTTACACATTCCTTCAGTACATAGAGAAGTATTTAGATTTATATATGTGGTTTTGCTGTTTTTAATAAAAAGTGTAATGGACTACCTTTTTAAAAACGTATAGTTTGCACTTTGTATATAGTTCTTTTACAGTGAAGAGTTTTTTCTTTGTTTAATTTTCAAATTACATTGCTAATGCTATTTTATTCACACATTGCTTACTATTGCCAAGGGACCAAAAAAATGCATAACCACCATATTTTCCACACAATTTAAATATATCACATGGCATATTTATTTAATCTTTTTCACTAGTGAATCACTTTATTTTTCCTCAAGGTACCAGCTGGCCCAGTGAGGCTAGTAATGTTAGGTGATTTTATAGGCTATGAGATTAAGGGTAAGAAAGAAGAGCTTGTAATACAATAATAAAGAACATGAGAATACTGAAGTTAAAATGAAAAAAAAAAGGTAGTCAAAAAAGTAGTCTTCTAAAGGAAATTTTCTGGTTACTTTGGTGTCCCAGCTTAAGAGACTGCAGCCTACACTTCACTGAAACATTAGCATTAAAACTTTTTTGTGTCTTTCTTTGAATACTGACTTTATGGTATTGAATCTGATTCTCTTTACCTTTCTGCACTCTCTTTTACCTTAGACTAGTTTTATCATTTTATAATTATGTTTTCCAGAGCTTAAATTTGTCACAAACATTTTGTTTTGTGTTTCTTATAAGGTCATATCTATTAATGCTATATCAAGATAAATAATTAATGAATATGATCAATATCTTGGTCCAAAACCACAAAGCCACTCTTTGCCTACAGGGTCTTTCAAGTAATAATTGAATAGATCTGGGCACAGGTTTTTGAATATAGTGGGTGAAAATCCTTATATACCCTGAGTATAGTGGGTGAAAACCCTTTATCACTTGAGGACAAATATCTTTGACCTGGAAATTGCGGTAATAACAACCTCTTTAATGAACTCCCTTCTAGAAGCATGTTCTTAGATTGTTACAGGTTTATGTTAAATAATAATAAACAATGTGTTGAAAGGGTTCTGGAAGAAGATACATTGTAAATAAGTGTATATTATATAGTGTATTATTTTAAAATTTTACACATTTACTGGAGCTGGAGACATTATTTTACTTGCTCTCATACTGCTGGCAGGCATCAGGAACTCAAGAAAATTTCCAAGTTTCTGTAAGCAAACTGTTTTCCATCTTCTTTCAATTAATCCAGCATTCCTGGGAAGCCATAAGGCTCATCTACTAGCTAATAAAGGGGCCCCTGGTAGTGATACCACAATCTATATCAACATTTTCAGATAATCCTTGACTATTCTCTGTAATAACTGATGCCTGTCTACTTTCCTAATATTAGTTCCAGAAGAAATGCCCTTCCTCCCATTTTTTATTCATAATGTCAGCTACTTTTATAACAATTGCATTTGGAATATATTCATCTTCTTATAAAAAGAAAATTTACCACCTATTGTTGAATGTAAGACAGCAAGGAGGTTTGATGGTATTCAAAGACCATATCGTGCTTCTTTTGAGATGTCATTGCCATCAGAAAATAATGTGAATAGTTTGAAAAGGGCTGCTGAAAAACCTCTAGTCTGTTACTGAAATGTAGTTTATCTATGCTCATATTCATTTTCATAAAGAGAGCTGGAAGTTGAAATAAACTTAATACTTGGATTTTATGCTTCTATAAGAAATATAAATATATAACTTAAAAACTTTTCAAATATTAAGTGACATTCTGAAAATACATTATGATAAATTTTAAGCATGGTTATGAAAGTACTTCAGAAGAATTATATCCTAATTATATCCTATACATGATTATTCAATGTGTTGCATTTTTACAGTGAGAAGAATGGATACAAAATGGTATGAAAAAAGTTTCAATCTTATTTTGTCTAAAAGGCAGTTTTCAGTCCATCAGAATGATAGGGGAAAAGTTCTAGAGTACATTAGATGTATTTCCAGAAATATAATTATATAAAATAATATTTTATTTATCTTGCTTGTTTTAGCCATCAGATTAATGAATGAAAGAACTAATATATACACTTAAAAAAAGTAAGATATTAACTTAACGGCTATGAATATAAAGTTTTTCTAAATAACGTGATTATTTTTGTGCCTTGTGAATTAACTTTCTCCAAAGCACATTCTAAGGAGAAAACAAATAGTACTTATAGGATTCTTTTTGTCTATAATAACAGCATAATCTTATAAAAACTAGATTCTTTATAATAAATATGATTTGATTTTTTAATAAAGCTCCAGATATCAATGGATACAACTACTTCCATTCTAGGTTCCAATAATCTGTTGTGCATCTATTAAAACACAATGCATTGTGAATCAGTGTAAATGATTTAAAGTAGATTGGAAAAAAGTCAAATTTCTTAGTATGTGTTACAAATCAAAACAAATCTCTTTACCTTTTGGAATTTTTAGAAACTATGTTAATGTAAAATGGGAAAAGAGTTTAAAAGAATTCTAAGGAAATGGGTAATATAAATATTTTGAAGTTCTTACACAATTTGAAAAACATTAGAATATTTGTAACCACAAATGGCTGGTAGATATTCAAGGTAGTCACCAAGAAAAGTAAGTCAAAAGTGGAGTGAGGAAATAAACAAGACTGTTTATTACTTCTAAACTCTGTCATTACTTATACCTTAGACACAGCAGTGCTTAGTGTCTCAAGTATCAGGTGACTTTCTTAAATCTTTTAAGATGTGACCGACCATTAACTTTATAAGCTTTTCACATTTTATTTTCATCTTAACCCATCTTTGCTGACTGCAAAAGGAGTATAAGAGTAATTTAAAAGCCATGAAATCAGCAAATTTTTTTTTGGTTTGCATAATCATTTACTGCTTTATAATGAAACATTCAAAGCATTGCTTTTTTTTTTAAGCTATCCCTCCCCCCTCCCCCCACCCCACAACAGTCCCCAGAGTGCAATGTTCCCCTTCCTGTGTCCATGTGTTCTCATTGTTCAATTCCCACCTATGAGTGAGAACATGCGGTGTTTGGTTTTTTGTTCTTGCGATAGTTTACTGAGAATGATGATTTCCAATTTCATCCACGTCCCTACAAAGGACATGAACTCATCATTTTTTATGGCTGCATGGTATTCCATGGTGTATATGTGTCACATTTTCTTAATCCAGTCTATCATTGTTGGACATTTGGCTTGGTTCCAAGTCTTTGCTATTGTGAATAGTGCCGCAATAAACATACGTGTGCATGTGTCTTTATAGCAGCATGATTTATAGTCCTTTGGGTATATACACAGTAATGGGATGGCTGGGTCAAATGGTATATCTAGTTCTAGATCCCTGAGGAATCGCCACACTGACTTCCACAATGGTTGAACTAGTTTACAGTCCCACCAACAGTGTAAAAGTGTTCCTATTTCTCCACATGCTCTCCAGCACCTGTTGTTTCCTGACTTTTTAATGGTTGCCATTCTAACTGGTGTGAGATGGTATCTCATTGTGGTTTTGATTTGCATTTCTCTGATAGCCAGTGATGATGAGCATTTTTTCATGTGTTTTTTGGCTGCATAAATGTCTTCTTTTGAGAAGTGTCTGTTCATGTCCTTCACCCACTTTTTGATGGGGTTGTTTTTTTCTTGTAAATTTGTTTGAGTTCATTGTAGATTCTGGATATTAGCCCTTTTTCAGATGAGTAGGTTGCGAAAATTTTCTCCCATTTTGTAGGTTGCCTGTTCACTCTGATGGTAGTTTCTTTTGCTGTGCAGAAGCTCTTTAGTTTAATTAGATCCCATTTGTCAATTTTGGCTTTTGTTGCCATTGCTTTTGGTGTTTTAGACATGAAGTCCTTGCCCATCCCTATGTCCTGAATGGTAATGCCTAGGTTTTCTTCTAGGGTTTTAATGATTTTAGGTCTAATGTTTAAGTCTTTAATTCATCTTGAATTCATTTTTGTATAAGGTATAAGGAAGGGATTCAGTTTCAGCTTTCTACATATGGCTAGCCAGTTTTCCCAGCACCATTTATTAAATAGGGAATCCTTTCCCCATTGCTTGTTTTTGTCAGGTTTGTCAAAGATCAGATTTGGAGGCATCACGCTACCTGACTTCAAACTATACTACAAGGCTACAGTAACCAAAACAGCATGGGACTGGTACCAAAACAGAGATATAGATCAATGGAACAGAACAGAGCCCTCATAAATAACGCCACATATCTACAACTGTCTGATCTTTGAAATCAGCAAATTTTAACACTCCTACATTTTAATTGTCAAAGTGAAGTGTAATACTACTAGAAAATGTTTTGAGATTACTGCAGTCCATTCTAATTTAGACCATAATAAGCGCTGACTCTTCTTTTATTTATATTATTTTATGTTATTTTATTTTAATTTTTGAGTCAGAGTCTCAATCTGTCACCCACGCTGGAGTGCAGTGCCGTGATCTTGGCACACTGCAACCTCCACCTCCCGGGCTCAAGTGATTCTCCTACCTCAGAGTCCCGAGTAGCTGGGACTACAGGCACATGCCACCACACTAGGCTAATTTTTGTATTTTTAATAGAGACAGGATTTCACCATGTTGGCCAGGGTGATCTCAAACTGCTGGCCTCGTGATCCACCTGCCTAGACCTCCGAAAGTGCTGGGATTACAGGCGTGAGCCACTGCTCCTGGCTGACTCTTCTCTTTAAATATCTCTTTTGTTCACCCCTTCAACTCCATTTTAACCATCATCGACATAAAATGAAATACTATAGACTCCTTATGTATCTAATGAAATAACTGCTTAAGTGATTTTTCTCTCTCTACACAAATATCTACATACTGTTTTGACCATTAACCCATATAGAAAACTGTTTATGAGTAATACAGCAATATATGACTATTGATTTATTATTTTAAAAGTATACAAAATGGAAATCTAAAAGACAAAACAACCTAAAGACTCCATTTTTTTATTTCCTCCTATTATATGAGCTTGCATACTTTACTTTTTAGATCACTCCCCTCCACTGTGGGCAGAGTGCTTTATTTTAAAAATAATCATGTTGTTTGCTTACTTACTTGAAGTTTTTAAATAATTTCTGAATGTTCATAGAATAAAGGCTCACATCCTTAACATAGCCACAAAGCCCAGCAATATTTGACTCAATCAAAGCTCTTTAGCATTCTCTTTTCTCTCTGTGCGCCTTTCAGTGCATTCTAGCCCCAGTGGCCTCTATCTGTTTCTTGGCCCTTTTCATGTTACCATCTACTACAAGGCCTCCAACCATTCTGTTTCTTTTTTTTTGGAAGCTGTAACCCCTATTCCACACACAGCTTCATGTAATCTTGCTCTCATCTAATAACATGGGCTCATGTTTCAGATCCCAATTCAAATGCCAATTGCTCACAGTCGCCTTTCCTGTCACCAGGAAATGGCAAGGCCACTGTCCCTAGTTATTGCATATCACTATACTCTTGTTCTTTTAACTTTGCTTTACAGTATAAGCTCTATTTAAATAAAAGGTTTGTGATAGCAGAGATTTTAAATTTAGTTGGTTTACTACTCTATCCCAAATGATTGGAAAAGTGTCTGGCATAAGTTAGGTGCTCAATACGTATCTTTTGCATAAATGGCTAAATCTTGCTAGCATTTACATATACGTTTGTGTTTATTTACCTAATGTCTATTTCCTACTGGAGGCTGTACACTGACCGCAAGGCCCTATTTATGATGGTCTCCACCACATTCCAGCAGAGTGTGTGTCACTTAGTAAACTTCAAACAAATTATTGCTACAGTTGCTGCCATCTCCTCCCTACAGACCAAGAATAAATTTAGGATACAGATTATAGTCTTAAAGGGATCTAAAAGGCAAAGTAAATGGAAATATATTAATTTATCTGTGTTAATTTCCAAATTAAAAAGGTGATTTGTGGGGCAGAGGAACCAATTATCTCAGACATCGACTGCAACTCTTGGTAGGAATGCAAATTAGTTCAAGCACTGTAGGAAGCAGTTTGGAGATTTCTCAAGGAACTTAAAACAGACCTACCATTCGGTATTGATGGGACGTATCTCAAAATAATAAGAGCTACCTATGATAAACCCACAGCCAATATCATACTGAATGGACAAAAACTGGAAGCATTCCCTTTGAAAACTGGCACGAGACAGGGACGCCCTCTCTCACCACTCCTATTCAACATAGTGTTGGAAGTTCTGGCCAGGGCAATCAGGTAGGAGAAGGGAATAAAGGGCATTCAATTAGGAAAAGAGGAAGTCAAATTGTCCCTGTTTGCAGATGACATGATTGTGTATCTAGAAAACCCCATCGTCTCAGCCGAAAATCTCCTTAAGCTGATAAAGCAACTTCAGCAAAGTCTCAGGATACAAAATCAGTGTGCAAAAATCACAAGCATTCTTATACACCAATAACAGACAAACAGAGAGCCAAATCATGAGTGAACTCCCATTCACAATTGCTTCAAAGAGAATAAAATACCTAGGAATCCAACTTATAAGGGACGTGAAGGACCTCTTCAAGGAGAACTACAAACCACTGCTCAATGAAATAAAAGAGGATATAAACAAATGGAAGAACATTCCATGCTCATAGGTAGGAAGAATCAATATCATGAAAATGGCCATATTGCCCAAGGTAATTTATAGATTCAATGCCATCCCCATCAAGCTACCAATGACTTTATTCACAGAATTGGAAAAAACTACTTTAAAGTTCATATGGAACCAAAAAAGAGCCCGCATTGCCAAGTCAATCCTAAGCCAAAAGAACAAAGCTGGAGGCATCACACTACCTGACTTCAAACTATACTACAAGGCTACAGTAACCAAAACAGCATGGTACTGGTACCAAAACAGAGAGATAGACCAATGGAACAGAACAGAGCCCTCAGAAATAATGCTGCATATCTACAACTATCTGATCTTTGACAAACTTGATAAAAAGAAATGGGGAAAGGATTCCCTATTTAATAAATGGTGCTGGGAAAACTGGCTAGCCATATGTAGAAAGCTGAAACTGCGTCCCTTCCTTACACCTTATACAAAAATTAATTCAAGATGGATTAAAGACTTACATGTTAGACCTAAAACCATAAAAACCCTAGAAGAAAACCTGGGCAATACCATTCAGGACACAGGCATGGGCAAGGACTTCATGTTTAAAACACCAAAAGCAATGGCAACAAAAGCCAAAATTGACAAATGGGATCTAATTAAACTAAAGAGCTTCTGCACAGCAAAAGAAACTACCATCAGAGTGAACAGGCAACCTACAGAATGGGAGAAAATTTTCACAACCTACTCATCTGACAAAGGGCTAATATCCAGAATCTACAATGAACTCAAACAAATTTACAAGAAAAAAAGAAACCCATCAAAAAGTGGGCAAAGGATATTAACAGACACTTTTCAAAAGAAGACATTTATGCAGCCAAAAAACACATGAAAAAATGCTTATCATCACTGGCCATCAGAGAAATGGAAATCAAAACCACAATGAGATACCATCTCACACCAGTTAGAATGGCGATCATTAAAAAGTCAGGAAACAACAGGTGCTGGAGAGGATGTGGAGAAATAGGAACACTTTTACACTGTTGGTGGGACTGTAAACTAGTTCAACCATTGTGGAAGTCAGTGTGGCGATTCCTCAGGGATCTAGAACTAGAAATACCATTTGAGCCAGCCATCCCATTACTGCATATATACCCAAAGGACTATAAATCATGCTGCTATAAAGACACATGCACACATATGTTTATTGCGGCACTATTCACAATATCAAAGACTTGGAACCAAGCCAAATGTCCAACAATGATAGACTGGATTAAGAAAATGTGGCACATATACACCATGGAATACTATGCAGCCATAAAAAATGATGAGTTCATGTCCTTTGTAGGGACATGGATGAATCTGGAAACCATCATTCTCAGCAAACTATCGCAAGGACAAAAACCAAACACTGCATATTCTCACTCATAGGTGGGAACTGAACAATGAGAACACATGGACACAGGAAGGGGAACATCACACACTGGGGCCTTTTGTGGGCTGGGGGGAGGGGGGAGGCGTGAGGGATAGCATTAGGAGATATACCTAATTCTAAATGACGGTTAATGGGTGCAGCACACCATCATGGCACATGTATACATATGTAAGAAACGTTGCGCACATGTATCCTAAAACTTAAAGTTTAATAATAAAAAAACAAGCAACAACAACAAAAAACAGACCTACCATTCAACCCAGCAATTCCATTACTGGGTATATATCGAAAAGAAAACAAATTGTTCTACCAAAAAGACACGTGAACTCGTATGTTTATTGCAGCACTCTTCACAATAGCGAAGACATGGAATCAACCTAGAAGCCCATCAATGACAGATTGCATAAAGGAAATATGGTACATAGTATCATGGGATACTATGCAGCCATAAGAGAAGAATAAAATTATGTCCTTTGCAACAACATGGATGCAGCTGGAAGCCATATCCTAAGTGAATTAGCCCAGGAATAGAAAACCAAATATTGCGTTTTCTTACTTATAAACGGGAGCTAAACATTGTGTACTCACAGACATAAAGATGGCAACAATAGACACTGGGGACTACATTCAGGAGCAAGGGTAGAAAAATTAACTGCTGATTACTATGTTCAGTGCCTGGGTGATGGGATCATTTGTATCCCAAACCTTAGTGTCACAAAATATACCCAGGTAACAAACCTGCACATGTAACCCCTGAATATGAAATAAAAGTTGAAAAAGAAAACAAAAAAACTGACAAAACTTTGAGAAATAGCTTAAGTTGAAACAAAAAATAACTTGTAAGCAGTAATGAAAACATTTAAATTAACGGTACTACATATAAACCTACAGCAAAAGCAAGGAAAGATACTCATAACAGAAAACAAAAGTACCTAGTCTATAAAATGCCAGTTGGGACGTCATCAACTTTTTTTTTTTTTGAGACAGAGTCTGGCTTTGTCGCCCGGGCTGGAGTGCAGTGGCGCGATCTCGGCTCACTGCAAGCTCCGCCTCCTGGGTTCACGCCATTCTCCTGCCTCAGCCTCCCGAGTAGCTGGGACTACAGGCGCCCGCCACCACGCCCGGCTAATTTTTTTTTTGTATTTTTAGTAGAGACGGGGTTTCACCATGTTAGCCAGGATGGTCTCGATAGATCTCCTGACCTCGTGATCCACTCGCCTCAGCCTCCCAAAGTGCAGGGATTACAGGCGTGAGCCATCGTGCCTGGTCCAGTCATCAACATTTTTTTATCCTCCTTGCTTTGGATCCATCTGAAAAGTCACTTGAAATAAGGTTATAAATGAAGAGAGAGAGAGAAAAAAACCCACTGTATTAGAAAACCTAAATGTAGTCTTGCAAATGACAAAAAAATTTCACTAGGCACAGTAAATGAGACAAAATTTAAAGAAAGAGAATAGAAACTGGCTTACAAACGATGTGGCAGTGTCTCTGACAGCAATTCACTTATACTCTACTTTGAAGATTGGGGTATTTTAGGTAGCAGGATGGTAAAGAGACAGAAAAGTTCACTCTAAACACTTTTTGTAGATATGACTCAGTAATGGAGCAGTGCACCAATAGTCCAAGGTCAATGTTGTCACACAATCAAAGAAAAAGCCAAATGACACTCTTATTCCTTCAATGCACTAGGGCTTAGCATGTCTCCTACATGGGGCATTAACATTAGGAAAAAGACTAGAAATATAACATGTCCCCAGAGTAGAGAACAGGTTAAGGCAAATCCACATATAGAAAAGTTGGCACAGGCAAAATTTCTTCACCAAATGCAGTTATATAGATAGACAGCTACTTGCAAAAATAATAATAATAAGTAAATAGATGAAGAGAATTCCTCAAATCTCAGAACTTATTTTTGTGGCATAGAAAAGGACAGAACTAACAAAAACAAAACTCAGGACTTAAATTACACAGTATTATAAAGAGAAAAATGTATGCTCAAAAATTTAGAAGCATAATATGCATTAGAAAAAATACATGTAATAGAGGAAGAGGTACAAGTTTCAGCTGGCATCTGAATAGATTTTACGCAAATTTGTACTATATGATACAAAGGATGAAAAGAGAAAAAAACTTAAATTCTTCTACCATTTAAAAATATTTATTGAGCACCTATCAAATTTTAGATGTTGTAAATGCTAGGATTAAATAATATACAACATAAACATGACCTTTGTCTTTATGAAACTTATAGTCTAATGAAATACATTAACAAACAAATGTACAATAGTGATTCAATACTTATAATCCTTTGTTAAAAGATTTCTTTTTAAATTGAAACATAAGAACTACAGAAAAAATGGTTCATCGAAGAAACTTTTAACAAAGAAATGCACATGAAAAGTTCTGAAAGCAAGAGAGAGCTCCGTATGTTCAAGACACTGAAATAAAATTCAGAATGGGCGGACTGCAGCATTTAAGAGGAAAAAGATAAAATACAAAGCTGGAGAGTCACAAAGGGATTATTGGTGCATGCCTTTGAGTGCCAAGATAAGGTATATTAACGCTATCACAAGAAAAGTAAAAAGTTCTTTGAGGATTTTGCATAGGGAACCATATTACTTTGCAGACATTAGAATGGATTGAGAAAAGACTTAAATGTAGACAAGAAGACTGGTTAGGTAATGTTACTGTATTCCTGGAAAGAGATGGTATTGACCTGGACAGCAGTTGTTGAGGGAAATGAAGACAGTGTAGATTTAGACAATATTTAACATATGGCAGTGTCAGAACTTTGTACTTGGTTGAATATGAATAGTGAAGTGAATAATGATTTAAGAATGATTTTTTTGGTTAGGGGCTTTGGGCATAGATAGGGAACTTAGAAGGATAAGCAGATTTGGAGAGGGAAGATCATGCTTAGTTTTAGACTTGCTGATTTTAAGAGTTTAATGGGAGTAATCAGTTGAATGTGAAAGACAGAGGAGAGACTGGTTGAGACATTGGGATGTTTAAAATGATTAGCAGACAATAATTGAAATATAGAAACAGATGTGGTTTTTGTATTTGAATATTTCAAATGGCAAAAGAAGAAATAAATATCTTCATTTGATAAAAAAAATAAGAGCCCATAAATAAGACTGTAAGAGGACCTAAGAGACATTAGGAAAAGTGCGAAAAGCCTGAAAAGTGTGGTACATGAAAGCCAAAGGGAATGAGGATCGTAAATGTTACTAGGTCAGGTAACTCTGAGAATGTATGCATGAGATAATCTAAAAGAAGTGCATTGCGATCCTTGCCGGATCATGGATTGCTAGTTACAGCAAAGACTACTGTAACCTGGTGTGTGTGTGTGTGTGTGTGTGTGTGTGATATGTAGATATATAATATATTTTAATCTAAATATATTTAAATATATACTTAAACAGATAAAAGTGTATTTTTATAGATTAAAAATAGAGACATACAGATAAATGTAAGAAAATAAGATAAATTCAGGGTATAATTAGTGCACAAAAATTTGTGATTTTTTTTCTTCTTAACGAGCTGTCAGTTTAGTTCTGAGCCAAAGACCAAATCAAACAAAACAATATAATGAGATATATAATGAGTCCATTAGTTAGAAACATAAAAGTGGTACAAAGGAAATATATGTAAATATATAGGTATATGTTTTTAAATACTTTATATTTTAATTTTTAGAAAATATTACGTAATATTTATATATACATTTTATATTTATACAGTATATTATCATCATTCTTATTTTTAGAGGTGGAGTCTCACTCCATTACCCAGGCTGGAAGTCCTTGGCTCAAGAGATCCTCCCACCTCAGCCTTCTGAGTAGCTAGCACTACAGGTGTGCATAAACACACCCATCTAATTTTTAAATTTTTTGTAGAGACAAAGTCTTGCTACGTTGCCTAGGGTAATCTTGAACTCCTGACTTCAGTTGATCCTCCTGCTTCAGCCTCCTAAAATGCTGGGATTATAGGCTTGGAGTCACCATGCCTGGATGTTCACATAGTACATATTGTATTTATATAACATATATCATATATCTATATAATATAATAAATTAAATAATATACATTTATTTCATTTATATTTATACATTTCAAAATTTATTTTTGGTTTTGAAACTTGATGTGTTACAGCATATAACAACAAAACAACACAATATTTTTTATAATATCCCTCACTTTTAAAAAGAGGCTGAGGAAGCAATTTTATTTGAACAGGTGAGATATTTTAGTGCAGATTGGCATCATTATTAATCTGGCTTTTCCCAAAAGTAAAAATTTGAAATGGAGATAAAGGAATAGACTTCCTATATTTTGAACAATCCTCTTTGACATTATCTGTCTCTCTTGAGACTTTACAAAAGGTGGGTAGCTGAGATTAAATATTATGTTTTTGGTAAGAATGTGGAGTGTGGTTATGTAAGGCTTCTAATTAAGGGTATATTCATATAAATTGGTAGTAAACAGAAAGAAAAGAGAGGTAGGCATATTATTAAACAAACTCAGGAGGCTTACGTTTGTGTGCAAATGATGGACGAACTCTGACTTTGCATAAATTTGAACCCAAAGAGCATCTCTGGACACAGTGGTCTTCAGAAATAATTAAGAATAATTGAGATCTTAACAGTCTATATTATAGAATTCACCCATATAATTGTAGTAATTGTAGTTTCCTTTTTTTTAACAGTAATTTCCATTGCTCTCCAAGGATGTCCAAATAACACCATTTCCTACTAAACTTGAGCTTATCTGCCCAAATTTACCTATTTGTTAGAAAATGTTTATCTAAATAAATCTATGCTTTAAGCTGTTTTAGAGATTTGCCTACCTAAGTCAGTAACTTTTAAATAATGTTTGCCAAATTGTTTATATTATTATTGAGTCATCTATTGGGGGATCCTTAGGGAGTTAGCCTGTTGTCCAATGATGTCATTTTTGGATATGACAGTACAATTATGTCATAAACTTGGAAAAAATGTGTCTATTCTCAGTAAAAGGATGGCATACATCCAGCTCATCCAAAATGATCATTGAGTAATCACAGTAAAAATTAAACACAGGAGGTTTCCAAAATGTGTACTCTTTCATATTCACCTACCATGATGATTTAATCTATCAGGACACTATACTTGCAGGCACTGATGCTCAGTTAACGTTAAAGTGCAGGTCTTACAAAAGTGTTATTAACTAGCATCATAAAAATTATTCTTAGAATTTAGATGTAACCAGGTCTATTTTACAGAGTTGAGATGGATAAAATTCAATGAAAGTTGAAAACAATCTCATATTTTCCCTGATAGGTGGCTTTAGCAGGTGAAGTTGAAAGGTAGAGTTAATAATGGAATACTCATATTGAAAGACTCCTGACTCCTCATGGAAAACATAGGCTTCAGCATTTTAAAGTATATTTATTGAACAGCCATATGTTTCAAACATCTGGAATAGATTCATGCCAAGGAATCATTCAAATTACCATACAATTTTATTGCTGTTTTCCACAAGCAATTCACCTGGACAAGAAAGTAATTTCATTACTTAATTCATTTATTCCATTAAGAGCTGTAGTTTCTCTTTTGTGTCAGTGATTCAGTGACTGGGCTGGGTGAAATTCTGGAGTTACAGCAGTTAGAAGACATTTTCTTAATTCTAATATCAATGCATCTGTCTATAATTTCTTAGCCTACAGATCAATAAATTATATAAACTCATGATTTTGAGGTCATTGCTATGTACCAGGCATTGTGCTCCTTTTATGTAAGATACTTAATAATTCTGTTAGTAACCCTTGAGAGGATATGTTTTATGCACATTTTCTTGTTAGATAAATTGAGATGTGGTGAGATTGAGTAAAATTTGCCCAAGTTCACATAACTAGCAAATGTCAAAGCAGTGATGAAAACTGAGTAGTCAGACTGCAAAGTGTTCACAATTTATCTACTGTCATACATATTATTTGAGAGCAAACCAAATACAGCCTGGAACTCTGAAATATTGCCCAAAGCCTTATTCAGGCAAAATAATGTAACAACATATTCCCAAATTTGAGAAACAGAATTTAAGTTTGTACCTTTGGATCTGGCAATTCGTAGCATAACAACTTTCAGTGTGTTGTTCAATTTTTGAGTTTTAATCCCATTTCTTATGACAACTTGATGGTACAATGTCCAAAGCAGTGATTTTATAGGTAGGAGAGGTGGTGGCTTTGGGTTCCAAATAAATTCCAGTTCAGTTCTAACTCTATACCTTAAAAGAAACTGGGTCCTAATTAATATTTACTTTGGAAAAAAAATCCATAGAGAAATGAGGGTTGCGAATGATTCAACATTGGCTAAAAACAAAAAAACACTGAAGTAGGAAATCAGAAGTCACCTAAGACAAACTTCTAACTGCTTATTTTGCTTCAGGATAGTCCTGCAAATGAGGGTAAAAGAGTCTATGCATTGCCTCATCCATCCTGTAACAGGTGTCTACAAAACTCAAATTTTAATTGAATTATTCTTCAGTCCATCTGGGGTCTGATATTGGGAGTTTTCTCCCAGGATACATTTCTATGCTTTTTGATGCTTAGAGTAGATTTCTCTTTAAGATGATGTAATATTAGTCTTCTATGAAGTTCAGAGATCTATACCATAGCTCAAAGCATTTTTCACCCTAGAGAACCAAATTAAAGATGAAAGGGGATGAAGAGAGAAATGCTGATTGAAATATAAATATTTCATCTTTATTAATTCTTAAAGCAGGTAAGATGAATTTTAAAAGGAAAAGGTGAAGTGTGTTATGTAAAATCTGGGTATTTCTGATGTGAATATTTTCCCTGCAGTTGGTAACTTCTGGGAAAAAAGAAAGTCTATGCAGGAAATTTTGTCATTTATGTTCTGAATCTTAACTGAGATGAGTCAGTTTGGGGTATCTTTTTAATTAGCTTAATACAGTTAGAATTATCTCAGATTGGAAAGCTTTTGTAAGAAAGTGTATTTCTTTCAAATTAACTTTCTTACAATTAATTTTGTAGAAAGATACTGAAAATGTTTATAGAAAATAAAAACCTAATACACATTTTCAGTGCTCTAGTCCTTTACCTTATTACAATTGCTTATTTTCCCTTTTATTACTAAAATTCTATTGAAGATCTGATAATAACCACAACAAAACACAAATATTTACAACACTACAATATAAAACTGATGCTCAACATCATTTGAAAAATTGGAATGATGTTCTAATTAAGCCACCAGATTTAAAAAGAGAATGAAAAGGAACTCATTTGTGTTTCATTTAAGAAGCTGCCACCAAATCTTCTCTTGAGACTATCATCATCCTGAAATGATATTGTAAATCACCCTTTCCATTGGCATACTCTGAAACCAGGTAAAAGACTACTATCCCTGTTCCCCTGCTCCCATCTATTTATAGATACTCAACTACCAGGAAACAACTGTCGGGACACAGGGCCCAAACAGGAACAAAGTTTAAAATTCTCCTTTCAAGGTGTAACTCCTATAGTAGCCTTTACTGCAGACAAGAGAGGACAAGAACCAATATTATTTTATATGTATAACTGTAGTTTTTCTAGTAGTATCTGTATATCTTTAATGTCTGTATATCTTTACAATATTTTTGATTATTTCATAATTAAAAAGATTAACCAAATATATTCATCACATTCATATTTACTTATGAATTATATAGGTACTATTTTATTATATTACTTACATGAGGTAGGTACAAAATGTGAGTTAAAGATCCCTGTTACATTGTTAATGACATAAAACTCTTCAATAGTTTTAGTGAGATTAATTTGATTAAATGTATTCTGTAAATTGAAAATATTGATTGGATGGTTTGTGTTACAGTGGCTCCAATATTTGGTTGTAAGTTCATTTTATTTCTCTACATGGTTTTATCATCTGTCATAACCGAAAATGATACTCTATAAAGGCACAAAGATCTAAAGGGAAAAAGTAATTCATTCGTGCTACTTAATAAACTAGGCCACTTATTTTTTATTTCTTTCTATCTATTATCTAAAGTTTTATGTGCAAATCTGTTTAGAAAACTTGTGTAATTATGATAAAAAGGTTTGCTTACCGAGTAAGTTAAACATATTGCATTTTTGTGTTTTTAAGAAGCAAATTTAAAAATCACTGCAAAACCTAGGCCAGGCACGATGGCTCACTCCTGTAATTCCAGCAGTTTGGGAGCCCGAGGCAGGAGGACTGCTTGAGAACAGGAGTTCCAGTATAGCCTGGACAACATAGTGAGACACCATCTCTGCAAAGAAAAGTAATAATTAAAATGTAAATAAATAAATAAAAATCATTGCAAACCTTTATTGTTAGGTCCTTCTCTGGATGATTTTGACTAGATTAGAGTCTTTTGTTTCTCAATTTAAATGCACAAATATGACTTTTTATAGATAATACAGTTGCATAATTTTTGGTAACAAAGTCATTTTGAAATGGAAAGATTACCAAGCATTTGCAAATGCTTGATGTCCTTCTTTTAAAAAAGTTACTCTTTCTCATTTGTGATAAAAATGTCACTCTAACTTTAAAAGATTAGATGATTTTTTTTTTATTTTTTAGTATATAATCTAGGAATTAGAGAGTGCTGAAAAAAAACCAGCCCATGTCGCAGTGAGCTGAGATCGCGCCACTGCACTCCAACCTGGGAAACAGAGCGAGACTCTGTCTCAAAAAAAAAAAAATCGTCCCGTGTCAAAAAAGCTCATAACCCAAAATGAACAAATGGAATGACAAAATAAGTAGTAGTATTGGATAACACAGAATAAATAAATATCTGTGAGTTCATAAGGATATAAATAAATAATTGAATAAAGAAATAAGAGATAAGGGACAGCTTTCTTACAGAACAATTCCAATTCATAATATAAAAGGAATGAGGGAAATCTGAAATCATTATGTGTAGGACACAGTGATAATTGTTGCCAGCAAGATCTGCTGATGAATGACCAAGTCAGTATGCAAAATGGGAGGAATAAAGCCATATCTGTATTGTCTCAAAAGCCATATCTGTATTACTAATTTATTTAATTAATATTTAACCATTACAAAGAAAAAAAGTTTTAACATTATGGTGGAGAAACTTGGTAGGCACCGCCTTACCCAGGTGATCCAAGTAAGCATCAATGGTAATAAGACACGGTGATATAATGTGCCTGAGAGAGGCACAACATAACTTCTGTGTTATTTTAACAAAAATGCATAATATTCTAGTAAAGAGAAAACACTGGGCTAACCCAAACTGACTAAGGTTAATCGAAGATGTCAAGATCATGAGAGGGAAGGAAAGGATGAGGAGCTGTTAAGGATGAGAGAAGACTAAGGAGATATGAAAAATTAAATGCAATGTCAAATTCTGGATTGGATGCTGGAACATAGGACAAAATATAAAAATATATTAGGAGAAAAATGGTGAAATTCAAATAAAGTCTATAGCTTAGTTAATAATATTATTGTATTAATGTTGATTTCGTTGTCTTAAATATACTATGGCTGTATAACATATTAGCTTAGGGAAAGTGAAGTAAAGGGTGTACATGAACTTTCTGCACCATATTTTCAATATTATGTGAGTCTGAAATTATTTCCAAGTTGAAATTTAAGAAAAGTGTATGTTCTGAGTAGAATATGAATGACAGCTACTTGCTAATACAGAAAAGGACAGCAAATTTGGAACATGTGTCTCTGCTCAAGGAAAAATAAAACCACATCTCATTCTAAGTTTAACAGTGCTTTAAGAACCTTACCAAGAGACATCAGTAAAATTTGTGCTGTACAAAGAATTTTCATGGTTAGCCCCACCTAATTTCATAGTACTATAAAAATTGCTGTATTTAATAACTTATGGTTTTATAAACTTCAACACTTTCCATGGCAACCACTAACGCTTTGTACCCCTCTGACTTCATCTTTATTCTTGTAATGGCTTGCCTTCTAATGAATTTCACGTGTTATAATCTTTGCATTGTTAACCCAGAGTCATTTTATTTTATTCAATGCATTCTATTTATAGTTACAAGAACCCAGTTTTTCTCATACAAGCGTTTTTATTAATGAAATAATTTACTGTTGAAAATATATTTTCATTGTTAATCTTCCTTCTAGTGCTTGCAAAATGTAGTTCTTTGTTATACCTGCACTTTTATTCAACTATAGAGCAGACCTCTGAGAGTTCACGATTTGTACTAACACTTTTTTTTATATTCTTTAGCAATGTTTTCTGATTATTTGGACAGTATTTGCCCCAAAATAACACATGTTCATTTGTCACCAGGTTTTCTATTATTTCAGTCACTATTATGATGGCAGAAAGATCAAGGGCTTACCCAAATACGTAAGCTTTTTGTCTTTTGTTTTTGCGTAAGACATCACAAGTAAAGGTTCATTACTTTTTAAAAATCAGATTGCATGTCCTATGGCTTAGAAATTGGTGAATGAATCAGATTTCATAGCTTAGTTTTTCTGAGCTGGATGTTTGGTTTATAGATCCCACCTACTGCTTCATGTAACCATTACCGTCTGTCTCCAACCATGCTAATATGCTCAGGGCAAGGGTTACTCCTAATCATATTCTTCATAACCTGAGGGGCTTGCTCCTCAGATCTAATTATATGTCATTGTTGTTTCCTAATGACAAGACTGAGGTAGAACTCACATTGGGAGCAGAAATATCAGCTCAATCATTTTCTTCTCATTCTCTCCTGCTGGCATCATTCATATTATCTTAAATTAGAAGTTTCCTTGAAAGAGAGCTTGCAAGCAAGTTGCTTCTCCATTTCGTGAGGTTTAGTCTTCTTAAATGAGATTATCCAATCTATAAACCTATTGCTCAGGCATATGTTGTTCTCAGTGAATACTGTTGTTAAACTCCTCAGGGGTGTGAAACTTTCATTCTTCCTTTGGGACACCTTTGCCCCCATGCCTGATTGGGGGACTTCGCAAAGTGTAGGTAGTAGTGTCAAAACTCAAATCAAATATTAACACATCTTAATGTTTTTCTTACTTTTTAAACATAAAGTAATTATAAGCTCTAATATTGTCCTTAGAAATTCCAACGGATTGTCTTGCATACTTTCTCTAGTGAGTGCTCACATTCTTATTTGCAGAAAAATAGTTTAGAGTATGAACAGTCCCGGAAAGAAAGGTGATCTGTAATGCCATCAATCTAGGCAATAGAAAGAGGAATTTAAGTATGTCTGGAAGAAACTCAGTGTTGGATTGGGATTTGGACTCATTAATTAGAAATTGAACAATATTTGTGATAAGGATTAATAAATATAGCTAGATCTTAGAGCACTTATAATAATATATAAAAAATAATATATATTATATTGTATATAATATAAATGAGATAATATATGTACAATATTTTAATTATAAAATCTATATATTAAGTTAGTTAATAATCATATTTAAAATATGTAATCCATTTAACCTGCTACATAGCTAAGGTGGAGGTACAACTATGACTATCTTAATTTTCCAGACGAGGAAACCAGCACATAGGATGTTGAGAAAATACCCAAAATCTTAGAGCTAATGGGTGGCAGTGTCAGGACACTTTCTTTATACAGTGGCTTCGAGCCCCTGCTGATAATAATATACTTGGCTGGCTCTAGAACCTTCATAGATGATAGAAAGCAATTAGAGTAAATTAAACTAAATTTGGACAGATGTTTTCTTATTTGGGTAGTGGAAAAATAAAGATGGATGAAAACATCCTGAAGACTTGAAAGTTTAATGGTGACTACTTCTTTGAAGAGAGGTCAGTGAGTGGGGAAGAGAGGCGTGAGCACTGAATTTGTTACTTTCTGTATAGTTCGATCTTTTTTTTTTTTTTTTTTTTTGAGACGGAGTCTCGCTGTCACCCAGTATGGAGTGCAGTGGCGCGATTTCCACTCACTGCAACCTCCGCCTCCCGGGTTCAAGCGATTCTCCTGGCTCAGCCTCCCAAGAATCTGGGATTACAGGCATCCACCACCACTCCCAGATGACTTTTTTGTATTTTTAGTAGAGATGGGGTTTCACCATGTTGGCCAGGCTGGTCTCGAACTCCTGACCTCAGGTGATCCACCTGCCTCGGCCTCCCAAAGTGCTGGGATTACAGGCGTGAGCCACTGCGCCAGGATCAGTTTGATATTTTTAACTGATTGTCTACCTTCCTTTAATTCAGAGAAAATAAATTTTTAAGAGAAACAAATAATTTTAGCTTCTAATAAAACATTTGCTATAAATCCCTTCTTATTTAACATAATTTTGAAAGTGCTATGTAGTAAAATAAGTCATTCAAAACAACAAAGATAACCGTATTTAGGCAAATATTTATTATTTTCTGGATACATCATTACTTATCTTGAACCAAACAAAACAGACTTGAAAAAGTAGAAGTTATAATTTATTAGCACAGCTAATTAAAAAATAAACTTCCTGAATAATTATCTTTGCTATATATCTAGAGTAATTGGTTACGAATTTTGGAGAAAAATTCTTTTTTCCCAGTAGCCATAAAAATGAGGGAGAGAAATAACTACAAATAAATTCAGCGAGAAATCTGTGGGACTTATTTGAAAAACAGAAGAAACCTTGACTAAGCTAGGGTCATAAAACAGAAGTTGAAAATGTGGAGAACTAGCCATTGTGAAAGTTGTTAGAATCAAAATGGTGTCACTTGTGTTAAAAACAAACAAATCAGCAAGCTTGACAAATAGAGCTCAGGAAAGCCGTGAAGGGAGGGCTGTCATGAATAAATCGCTGATAACAAAAATGATCACAAATGACTGCAAAAATAGCAACCTTGCACAAAGGCCATCAAAATCTTAAACAAAGAAATATGCCTGTGAGGACATCTGCCCTGCAAGTGCCTGTTTAAGCTCAGATTGGTGCAGCTCTTGTTATTGATCCTTGTAGCCAAGGACAATTATCTCAAAACAATTATGTGACCTTCCTCATTTTTTTTCTCTAAGAACTTTTGTCTTTCATTACCTCTTTGAAAGCATACATAGTTTATTATGGTACTCATAGTCTCATTGCAATGCCCTATTCCCAAATAAATATTATTTTCTTTTAGAGTATTTCTCTGTGTTTATTATTTAGGTTGACACCATACAAAGGTTTTGACTCTCTGTAAATTAATCTACATATTTAGCATAATTTATTTTCTTTGTTTTCTCCTTTTCCATCATTTTCCATTGTGTACCAGTTATGTTTATTAATGAAATTAGCACACATTCAGTTGTTTTTGTTTAGCCAAGTTTTTCATTTTTATAGCAAGAACTGCTAACAGACAGATGGTTTGGAAGAATATGCATTCTTACAATTGATGGACAGATGGTTTAGAAGGATATTCATTCTATTGAATTTCATTTTTCAAGACTCCTAAGGTATAAGGTTATACTCAATTATATAATACATAATAATACATTATTAAATTGTTAGATACTTTTTGTGAAGGAAAAATATTGACTTGACAAATTGGCTAAAATCTCCTTCATTTTCTGTGTTTATAAACTAGGCAAAGCGGGAAAGGATGCTACTTGAATAAAAATACAAGAAAAATAACTTCTATCATTCAGAAAATGGTAGGTATTTTGTAAATGGATATTAGAAATGCATGTACAACTTAGAAATTCACCTAGCTCAATTGATTAAATAGAGCCCAAAATGAGAATGTAGGGGAGAGAATAGAACACCTGAATGGGTACAAATTATGTATTAAAAGGATATAACATTCAGATAAAATGATAACTGCATATATTGTTATGTGAGTGCTAGTTGTGTTTAGAAATGCCTCAGAAATGATCAGGACCACAGAGTTCTCAAATTATACCTAGGCAGATCCCAGGTGTCATTGGTATACTCTATCTGGGAGTGAATTCTATGCCCTTCCAGGCTAAATGGCTTAACATTCACTCCTGATTCTTAAAGGGCTTAAATTCTACTGTTCTGGGGACCTATTACAGATTCAAAATTCCTTTATCCCTATTCTCTCACACTAAAGACCTCTGCTTCTCATGAGACTCTCAGAAGCCTTCTCAGATAAGGCTAATATGTCAGGTGTAAGTAGAAAAATTATGCTCCAAAACATGTTACTATTTCTGTAGTTAGCCTTCAACTGATATATATATATATATATATATATATAAAAAACCTTCCAGATAGCTGTGGAAAGAAATCTAAAGAACATTTAGATTTTGCAAAATGATAGAACCTTTATGTTGTATGGGGATCTTGAGGAAAAAATTCAACTTCCTTATTTTTAAATTAAGTCCCTGGAGTGTTTATGTGACACACCAAAGGTGATGTAGGTGGTTAGTACCAGATTTCCTCAAATGACTGAATCACCAGATTTCACTCGACACTACTAGTGATTTCCCTATATAAATAACAAATAAATTGCCTTTCAACTCCATTGTTACATTTGTTATTCCTTTTCTTGTCCTCCAAAGTGCCTTCCTCACATAATCTCATGCAGTTTACCTTAGAACAGCAATTCTTATAGCACGGTCTCCGTTGCAGGAGGTCTGCAAGGTCAAAACTATTTTCTCAATAATACTAAAGATACATTTTTTCATTCATTTATTCTTTCATGAATGTACAGGGAGATATCCCAAGCCTCTATGGTGTGAGATATTGAAACACAGTGAATGCAGAAGCAGATACGAGAATTCGGTTGCACTTGAGAAGCCTGACATCAGAGGCATTTTTAAAAATGTAAAATAATGTCCCTTCTTTCATGATTATTATTTGGAAAATATAGACATTTTCCAATAAAATAAGTTATTTGTGTTAGCATATGATGAGTTACGGTATTATTTTAAAATGAATTTATAAGTAAATATTATTTACATGTCTTTTAATTCCTAATGTGTGAAATATACAACTGATAAAAATAGAAGCTCCTTGAAGTCTTCAATAAATTTAGGAGTAATAAAGTGTCCTGAGACACAGAAGCTTGAGAACCATGCCTTATGTGGTTATTTCCCAATACCTCAGGAGAAAACACATAAAAATTTATCCCAGACATAGAAGACATATAATAGCTAATTTAAAAAGCATTAGTTAATAAAACTTCAGATGTCTCTCTCACCCACTACAGTGAAGATTTGTGGACTCATCTTGTATTATTTTTCACCACTGTATGTTTAACACATTATGAATTATGAATTAAAACTGAGACATGTAAAGAATATTTACTTGTAAATTCATTTTAAAATAATACTATAGCTCATTATATGTGAACACAAATAAGCTATTTCATTAGAAAATGCCTACTTTTGCAAATAATACTCATGAAAAGTGTGACATTATTTTACATATACTTCATTTTAAATACAAGTTGCTTCATGTATCTGCATCTTAGCATCCTACTATGTAAACTAGGAATGATCCTGCCAATTTCAAAGTTTTTAAATAAATATCAAATAAAATAATGAATGTAAAGTCTCCCATATATGCCTGAGAGATAACAAATGCTCAAGATGAAACTTTGGATGATTGGGTAGTGGCCTTAGGGCTGGTAATAGTAAAGGTATTAAAGGAATAGTACTACTACTACTACTACCAGATATTATTATTGCTTTTATTTTTTAACCCAGGTGTATCATAACTAAAAGTGCATACATCTTGTATGTAGAGCCCAAAGACCTTTTATATATGTATTTACCAACATTGTCATTACCCAAATTAAGATGTATTTCCTTTGTTGTTTTTGTATAATTTCTAAAATTGTAACATTTTGCAACAGTATAAAATTCCAGCAATATCATTTTTGGAAAATGAATTACAGTGTTCCATTTGGTAAATTAATGCAAATAACATAGATAGCAATGCATAATATGTAGCAAAATTGAACAAGTATATAATTAGGTATCATTTGTTCAACTAACTCATTTAATTTAACCAGATCTTGATTGAAGAGTTAGTTTCATATTAAGAGTTAGCTAATTTCCTGTCTGGCCTATGTAAAATTTTAATTATTATTCTGACATTTTATAACACCTTTTCCTCCATTTAGTTTTTTTTCTTTTCTGCACTTAAAATTATCTAAAATGTTAAATAATTGACTTATCTATCTTGCTCATTGTGTGACTTCCCCACTAGAATACAAGTTACATGAGGACAAAGTGGTTTATTCATGCCTTTTTGCCCAGTACCAAGATTATGTAGCATAGTAATTGCTCATTAGATATTTGTTAAATAAGTGTTAAAAGGAAAGTAGATTTTAAAAATATGGAAAATGAAAATGCAGAATCGTGTCCACATAACAAGTATTAAAATATGATGAAAAATAAATGAATAAAAATAAGAGTTGTTTTAGTAGTTTTCTTTTTTTTTTTAGACATAGTTTTGCTCTTTCACCCAGGCTGGGGTGGAGTGGCATGATCTCGGCTCACTGCAACCTCCGCCTTCCAGGTTCAAGCATTCTCCTACCTCAGCCTCCCAAGTAGCTGGGATTACAGGCACGCCACCACGCCCAGCTAATTTTTGTAGTTTTAATAGAGATGGGTTTCACCATGTTGCCCAGGCTGGTCTCGAACTCCTGACCTCGTGATCCACCCACCTCTGCCTCCCAAAGTGCTGGGATTACAGGCATGAGCCACTGCGCCCAACCCATAATGGTTTATTAGATTTCAGCAGTATAGCAATACCTTAATCTCTCCACGCGTCAAATGCCAGTATTTTCCAACTACCTTTTGGAAATTTTTTTTTTCACTCACAAGTATATGTCTTATGATGAGAACTTCCCGACTCAAAAACAGTACAGATAGAATTGTTGCAGAATTATGGGGTATGTGAAAACACAAAACATGTTACATCAGCAATTTCAAATAAATGAATATAGAGGACAAATTGATAAACTGGTTAAATGGAACTGCTCTAAGATGAAAAACAATTTCTTGTTTTTTTCTTTGATACATAACAGGGAATGAAGAAATTCATGATGAAGAAAATCACACGTGACCTATCTCAAGGGTAGATGCTGTTGCCCAACTTCAGCTACTCATTTCCACCTAAGGATGCAGACCCACAGTCATCTTATCCTACAGAATTTTTTTTTTTTTTTTGAGACGGCATCTCGCACTGTCGCTCAGGCTGGAGTGCAGTGGCGTGATCTCAGCTTACTGCAAGCTCCGCCTTCCAGGTTCACGGCATTCTCCTGCTTCAGCCTCCCGGGTAGCTGGAACTACAGGCGCCCGCCACCACACCCGGCGAATTTTTTTTTTTTTGTTCATGTATTTTTAGTAGAGACGGGGTTTCACCGTGTTAGCCAGGATGGTCTCGATCTGCTGACCTCGTGATCCGCCCACCTCGGCCTCCCAAAGTGCTGGGATTACAGGTATGAGCCACCGCGCCCGGCCCAGAATTTTTTTTTACACAGAGAAGACAGATATCTATGTTTTCATGTCGAATCTTGCAGTTTCTAAATTTTGACACTGCAACAGTTTGTGGCAGTAAGAAAATATACTTGAATGCCTCCATTTTGACCTCTGGTTTCATTTGCAAATATTTATTCATAAATATATGTACAAATTAAACATCCATTAAATTGAGCACAGGCTCAAAAGAGAGAACACAATAACCTATTCAGTTGTATTAAGCTATTGAGTAATATATTCATGGGTGTAAATTACAATTTCAGGGAAGATGTATTATTTTCTGCTTTTACTTGCTCTTCACTTGGAAGAAACTCCTTAAATGTTTATACATACTTAATTTTACTTCCACCAGTATTTTTGTTATGCAGTGAATGATGTATTTTCTCTTTAAAGAAGCCTTTTTAAAATAAATATGGAGGAATCTACTATCCTAAATCTTTTTTCTGATGTCCAATTTATATTCATATTTTTTAAAAGAGTGTATACTCACAATTATGAAACAATTTAATCCAATCTTTTTTACTTATTCTTGGGAATGATCTAGAAAAAAGTGACTATATGCCTTATGCATACGTGAAAACGCATATTGCTAATACATAGTCTCTCCAATTATTTCATTCTTTAATAACAGAGATGATTTCCCAGCGTCTTAATAATTTTCACTGCTTCTTCCTGGATAGTGTCCAAATTATCTGCATCCTTGAACTTGTAGAGCTTATAAAGGAACATAATATAGAGAGATAATTAAAGTAAAAATTAAGTAATTCTAACTCCTCTTTTGACAGTGATTGCAAAAGTCCATATTTCTTATGAATGATGTAAAAAGCAGTAATTTTTTTCCAACCCACACTTGCCCTCCACCTTTAGAGTTACTATCTATTTAAAATAATTTGATAATTTGGAATAGCAGGCAGTCAGGATGTAGAGTGCATGAGATGAAATGTGGTGAGGAAAGAGAAATGATTAAGTGATGGGGGGGTGGTGCTCTTTTTCTTTAACAGAATCTGCATGAGAGAGAAGGCATGAGCCCCAACCACATGTTCATGCTTTTATTCTAGCTACATCTGTGTGTGTGTGTATTTACTCAGACATTTATCATGCACCTTCAGTGATGGAAAACTTCTTTTCTCAATGCACTACATTTTTAGTTAATTGTAATTATCAGAAAGTTTTTTTTTTTTTTTTTGGCTTTGTGCCCAAATTCTTCTTCTTGCAAGTAGCACCTAGTGAGTCAGGACCAGAGTTGGAATATGAACCAGGACTTGATTCCAGAACCCAGTGTTCTTTGCCACTGAAGATTATTGTATTAAAACACCTCTGTTCCTTAGATATCTTTTCTACATCCCACATTGACGTGCCAGAAATTAAATAGTTCACACATAATTCCAGACAGAGTTCTCAGCTGCTTGAGCTTTACGTGAATACTGGGAAATCCCAAGATTTCTGTCCTAAACTTGGAACCACGTAGTATAAGTGTGCCCACAAGAGTCAGAGAACTGTGAGACAGGTCACAGGATAGTAATCAGGAGATGACTTACTGACATATTGAATATAACTAATTTAAAATCATATCATTTAGAAAAAATTATCCCAGTCTTAATTAGATGGTTAATGAACACAAAATACAACTATGTTAATTTTTAAGGGTATACATTATTTATTAATTTTGTAACTTTCTGCCAAAATAATTTGGTAAGTCAGGAAGTATAAAATAACGGTATAGTTCAAAGCATGATATTTAATTTGCTGAAATTTATTTCTACACTTTATGCTATAGGAGCATAGACACAGAAAAAGTGTTTAATTAATATAAATATATTGTAGACTACAAATATTTTTCTTGTTCATTGAAAACCTGTCAAATTGTGTGTACATGGAAGCTTTCCTAATTTGCAATGCAATTGTTTCATTAAACTGCAGCTTAATATATATAATTATTAACAAAATAAATTAATTCTCCTGTATGTAAAATTTTACATAAAAACCTAAAGTATACTACTTCATAAATTAGTTGCTTTACCATTTAAATTATTGATTTAATTAATTTGCTTATTTGCTTATTTCTTTATTATTTTTGAATGAATAAGTGAAAGTAATTTGGCCTACATATAATTCACTTTTTTAGTTTATGAATGTTTGAGGATTTGGGCAAAGTATTTCTGGAAAAGAGAAGAATGAAGCCATCTGTATTTATTTCAGGAAAGACAAAAAATATTTTTAAAGAAGCAACACAGATGGTCTAAAAAGTGCTGTGGTCTTTGGGGCTTTTATTGTACTATCAGTGTCATGCTTGGGGACTGTGTTTCCTCCACAATGAAAATAGGAGAGCACTATTTCCCCTATCACTTTGTAACACTTCAAATATCATCAGGATTATCTATTTTAAAAAACAGACTACATTTCTCACTGCGAATATCGTCACACTGTCTCTCTTTTTGGAGGTATCTCTTTTGGCAACTTTACCATTTTTGCTGATATATATTTTTCTATTATTTTTAAGTAAAATTGACACATTTTCGTAAGTCATTTGCATAATGAAAACAAATAATTTCAAGTAAATTACTCCAATAACAAAATATGATCCATAACTTTCTAATATTGGAAAAAATGTGCTTGTATGGAGTGCTTGACTTGCTTCTCCTTGTTTATGTAGGACACAAAAGTTATCCCTCTATTTTTTGGACCTGCTGGGTTTACAGTTACATGAATAAATCACTGAATTCCTGAAAGCCAGAGAGCAACTGTGGAAGCTAAGTTGGTTGCTCCTTTCACGGCGCAGAGCTCTACAGGCAGTCAAGGATGCAATCACAGACATTAGACCAACAAGCAAGGCAGCTCCTGTTTTGAGGTGGAGAAAAATAAGCTGCCACAAATGCCTTAACACTTTATTATTGCAATTGATCATATTTATGAAGACCTCATAAAGTTGCAAACAGTTATAATACAAAAAGGCAGTTAGAATAATGCAAAGTGGTCTATCATAGCCTCTTGTTGACAACTTTATTATTGCTATGGACCAATATTGTACAGAGGAACCCAGTAGCCATAAGTTATCTTGAAGTGAAGCAGCACAGCAGGCTGGAGTATTACTGTATTAAAAAAAATTTATTTTTTATGAGACACAGTAATTATATCAAACAGTTACCAAAACATGTGGGAACTACAGGATCTATTAAGATACCACAACAGAGACATCTCCTTTATGTACATTGGGAATGGCACTAAGCATTACCACCTGGGTAGAGAGACAGGCTGTCACAACTCATTCTTGGATTGCCTATAAGTTAGTGTCTCAGGTGAATGGCAAAGACGAAGTTTAATAACATGTGATCTCATGGAGCTCAGCAGAGCAGGCTTAATGGCTTCTCTCCAGGAAAAGGGATTGAGCATTCACCAGCATCTAATTGGGCTGTTGCATTTCTTACTATAAGAGTCAGAAGGAAAGAGGTTAACTATCACCTGTGGACTATTGCCTATTTATTCTTGAACATTTATAGTCTTATTAAAGAGGATAGGAAACAAAGGAAACAAACAACAACATAGTTAATTTTCTAAGGAGGTTTCTTATAAACAAATCTCATATATCAGCCTTCAGATGAATGGGATAATTAGAATGTCACAATGGGAGTTTCAAATGTGTTGACTCCTCTCAGATATATGTCTGAGACTTACCCTAGAAATTACCAAATTCCTGAGACCGTGCTAAATTTAACTTGAGTCACTTTAGTACTCTAGCCTCTTGCAATCCTGGAACGATTTGTATTTTTTATTACTCATTAAAGTATTTATTAATTGTCTACCATATGGCAGGAACTGTTCTGGGCAAAATGAGAACCAAATTAGAATTTATTCCAGAAAAATATGATCAAAGGTTGATTTGGATTAGAACCTTATTTTTTCTTACACTTACCCATTTGAATCTTCTGAATAGGTATAGCCAAGATGTAAGAAAAGCAACGTAGGCCGGGCGCGGTGGCTCACGCCTGTAATCCCAGCACTTTGGGAGGCCGAGGCGGGTGGATCACGAGGTCAGGAGATCGAGACCATCCTGGCTAACAAGGTGAAACCCCGTCTCTACTAAAAATACAAAAAATTAGCCGGGCGCGGTGGCGGGCGCCTGTAGTCCCAGCTACTCGGGAGGCTGAGGCAGGAGAATGGCGTGAACCCAAGAAGCGGAGCTTGCAGTGAGCCGAGATTGCGCCATTGCAGTCCGCAGTCCGGCCTGGGCAACAGAGCGAGACTCCGTCTCAAAAAAAAAAAAAAAAAAAAAAGAAAAGCAACGTAGTGTCCTTTGAATAAATAACATGGAAGCTGTCTATATAAAACTGAGCATTTTAATAAGAGAACCTCTTCTCCATAAGGATTATGCTAACTGGCTTTTGAGGCAATTGCTCAGGGAACCCCCACCTCCATTTTGTTTGGAATTTCTCTCATCCTTCCTTGTTACCCTACTAACAATTTTCCATGTCTGTGTCTTGACTGGTACCCCTACATACTGGACTTCTACTATATTTGGTAGGCTGTCATCCTGATTTTCACTCTGGCTTGCCTCTTAGGCTTCCTGCAGTGTATCTAGCGTATTCTTCTTCCTGATCCTTTGTCACCCACTGTCAGCAGTGAGGTCTCAAGTCTGAAGACATCAACCCTGTGTTATAATTGACAGAATAGGTTATACCTTATTAGTTTAGCTTGAGTTTCAGTTTAGGCTTAGTTTCAAATACAATAACAAAATATAAATACATCCTGTGTTATATAATTAAAACAAAATATAAATACATGGATTAACAAGTTAGTACTGACTTACTCACATACACTCTATCTTCTCTTGTAGTTTTCTCAGATGTTTTCTGTTTCTTATGCTACTCTATAAGGGCACTTTCCTTTATCTTTATTTTAATTTACTGAATCTTCTAATCTGTATTAGAAAATTTAATTTCTAAATACAAAATTATAAAAAAAATTAATCACACTGCTAATAAAGACATACCAAAGACTGGGTAATTTATAAAGGAAAGAGGTTTAATTGACTCCCAGTTCCGCATTGCTGGGGAGGCCTCACAATCATGGCAGAAGGCAAGGAGGAACAAAGCCACATCTTACATGGTGGCAGGCAAGAGAGGGAATGTACAGGGGAACTGCCGTTTATAAAACCGTCAGATTTTGTGAGATTTATTCATTATCATGAGAACAGCGTGGGAAAAACATGCTCCCATGATTCAATTACCTCCCAACAGGTCCCTCCCACAACATGTGGGGATTATTACAATTCAAGGTGAGATTTGGGTGGGGACACAGCCAAACCATACCATAATCTATTTGGTGATTTTTCTTTGGTTGTACATTATATAACCAGATGAAAATGAGTAGTTTCTATTTTCCTTTCCATGTCCACTCTATGTACTTCTCTACTTCTTCCTGTGTTCCAAAAACCTGACCTTATGGTCTGCATCAAATGTTCTTTTACTCTCTGTTATCTGCATGCTTGGGGGCAAAGGGAGCCATCAGCAAAAGCTCAAAGTGGAAAATTTGATCAAATGGGATAATTATTCTTCTGGCCTTTCTTCCCATTCCCCAAGAGATGACTGTTCACCTTTACCAATGACCTCAACTATTGTGGAGCATCCTCCTTAATAACTACTTTCTCCAGGTTCTGGTAACCGCTTCCTTCTCTCATCTCCTTAGTTCAATGAATGGTAAAGGCACCATGCCCACAAGGTACTTTATTATCCCAGGTTTTTTGCCTTTTATCTGCACACTTCTTTTGTAATTAAAAAAATCATTAATATATTTTCAATTACTCCCAATGAATGGAACTTTGATAAATTTCTTTGTTTTTGCACAGTATTAGGACTTGACATTCTACCTATCAGATTGAGTGAGTTTCTCTTCATATATTATTATAAATTTCTTCATCTGTAAATTGATGAAAACAAAAGAATGAACCTCAGGTTCTGGGAATTAAATGAGATAAGGCATGTAAGGTACTTAGCATAATGCCTAGAACATGGTAAAGAATCAATAAGGTGGCTGTTTTTAAGTGGACATTTCTTCTTGCAGCCTACTCCTTGACATGGTCCCCAACATCAAGAATATTTTTGTGTTGTCACTTTTTAATTAACACTTTGGTGATATATTCCCTGTAAAATCAATATATTTAAAGCTAACTTGGCATTCTGTCAGTAGGGTATCTATCTCACCTCTGATTAAAATTCTCTATGTTACTGGCATAAGAATTGTGTCTTACCTTGAATTCCAGTATTGATATAAAAAGTTCATTAGTTTGGGGTCTTTTTATTGCAAAAAATAAAAGGATGGTATGGCAACATTAATTTTTACATGTTTAAAATTTTATTCATACTGTGGCTATAATTCTTTTTTCTCTTGCTTTTAAATATTTCCCAATTGGAAAGCTATTGAATTTGCTCTTTAATTTGCAATTTTCTACTTTATCACAATTATTTCACATTACACATGATTTTTAAGTGACTTCCTTAGAGGTTTTGTTTCTGTTTTCTAGAAACCAAATATTTCTGCATGGTTTATAGAATGACAAACTATTTCCTAACATTTTATTTTGGATTCTGCAGCATACCATTTTGCAACAAATACACTGGATCTTCAAAATTATATTTTCCCTCATCTTCTAGTCTTTATTTTTCCGTAAGCTTAACTCCATTTTACAAAAAGGCAAAGTATTGACAATTTCTTTGGTCTAGTTTCTGGCCAGATGAATGACTGGAAATTAAAAGATTGTGTTCTCCTCATTTAGTCTTATCCTGGTTGACCCTAGTGAAGTTTTTCATTTGGTACTGCTTTGCCAAGGTGCAGTCTTACTTGTTGGTCTCTAACTGAGCTCTCTTAGAGTCTAAACCAAAAAGGCACTTAGAAATGAATGTTTCTCAGGCTTTATTGAGGGCAAGGATGTTTTCCTTCTTTTTAAATGTTGCTTTAAATTCCAAATCCAAAATTATAAAAAAAAAATTAATCACTTTCCTCATGGAGTTTAACCATTAATCATAAATGAAGAACCTCAGTCCCAGAGAATGTAAGCAGTTTCCAAAATTACAAAGCTGGTTAATGATAAAGATGGTACTAAAACTCATAATAATGCACAGGAAAGGGCATTGCCTTTGGAAATAGGAAATTTGTGTTTACAGTCCTGCTTTACCATTAAAAAAAAAAAGAGTATAGTGCTAATAATCTAGTAGTCCTCTCTGTTACCTCAGTTTTTAGATTTGAAAATAAGAAAAATAAAAATACGCCTACCATAAAGGACTGTGATGTTGATCAGTTGAAATAATACACATGGAAACCTGCAAAAATGTCAGCCTACTGATTCCCATGATTTTCTGCCTCAACATGCTGCTTTTTCTCTCTTTTCTTTTCTTTGCTAAAAGTATTCTTAATTTCTTTCTTTCTTTTTATTATTTTTTTATTTTTTTTCTGAGACAGGGTCTCACTCTGTCACCCAGGCTGGAGTGCAGTGATGCGATTACAGTTCACTGCAGCTTTGACTTCCCCAGGCTCAGGTGATCCTCCCATATCAACCTCCGGAGTAGCTGGGACTGCAGGCGCAAACAACCACACCGAGCTAATTTTTGTGTTTTTTGTAGAGATGGGGTTTCACCATGTTTCCCAGTCTGGTCTTGAAATCCTGGGCTCAAGCGATTTGCCTGCCTAGACCCCTCAAAGTGTTGGGATTGCAGGTGTGAGCCACCACACCTGGTTTTTCTTTTCTTTTCTGTATAAATAATCTCCAAGTGCTACCAGTCTTAACAGAATAATCATTTAATATCAATACAAATTCAATCATTACTGTTCAATATGTTACCCATATTAATATGTATTTCATGAAATAATCAGCCATAGTGTTAAATTGATCCATTTAAAATGCATTCTTATTTTGCAGAAAAAATAATCTGTTTCAATAAAATAATTCCTAGAGTTTTGAAAAAAACTCATTTCTCTCTTTTTCATATTAAAGATTTTCTGTTTGTAGCTTTATTTGAATTGTTGTATTCTGAAATATGTAATCTCAAAAACTAGGAATATGCATTTTTATTGTTGATTTTACCAAAAAAGAAATGATTATTTATGAAAAAATATAAATTAATCATGCTTGGAAAAAATGTAGTATAGACATACAAATTTTGCTCCATTTTAATTTGAACTTAATTATATAAAATAGAGTGAGCATTTTCAACTGCACCCTTCATTAAATTGCCTCAGGAAAATGTATTAATTTATAAATGTTAATTAAAGTATCAGATAAAAGTTGTCAAACAGAATTATATTCTTTAGAGTATTCCAGATCTTGTTCGGGGAATAATTCGATGGGAATTTAACTTTAGAATGTTTTTGAGGCCCTGGCATTTTTAATCAATATGATATGTAGCAGTGACTCTTTTCCTGGAGCCTATGTTTTTAAACTTTCATTTATTCATTTGACAGATTGATTGCCTGAGAAAAACAGGCACATGGCTGGGCTTTCTTTTTTTCATTTTTCATCTTTTGTATAGGAATGGTGAAAACAGGGAAAAAAATAAGGTCTGAATGGTAGGACAAACTTATAGCCTTATTGAAGGTGGATAGTGCGATTATAGGGTGAGGCCTCTTGTTCAAATGATTTCTTTTAACTTACTTTTAGCCATAAAGGAGATCATTTTTTGTGTTCTTGGTTTAGTTTTTGAGGTCAAGGATCACTCAGGTTTCGAATAAGTAATATGGAATTTAGGGCGGGCATGGTGGCTTATGCCTGTAATCCCAGCACTTTGGCAGGTCGAGGTGGGCGGATCATTTGAGGTCAGAATTTCGAGACCAGCCTGGCCAATATGGTTAAATCCTATCTCTACTAAAAATACAAAAATTAGCTGGGTGTGGTGGTGCACACCTGTAATCCCAGTTACTCGGGAGGCTAAGACAGGAGAATCGCTTGAACCCGGGAGGCAGAGGTTGCAGTGAGCTGAGATTTCACCACTGAACTCCAGACTGTCTCAGAAAAAAAGGAAAAAAAAGAAAAGACAAGAAAGAAGAAAGAAAGGAAGAAAGGAAAGAAAGAAAGAGAGAAAGAGAAAAAGAGAAGGAAGGAAGGAAGGAAAGGAGGGAGGGAGGGAGAGAGGAAGGAAGGAAGGAGAGGAGGGAGGGAGGGAGGAAGGAAAGGAGGGAGGGAGGGAGAGAGGAAGGAAGGAAGGAGAGGAGGGAGGGAGGGAGGAAGGAAAGGAGGGAGGGAGGAAGGAAAGGAGGGAGGGAGGGAGAGAGGAAGGAAGGAAGGAGAGGAGGGAGGGAGGAAGGAAGGAAGAAAAGGGAGGGAGGAAGGACGGAAGGAAAAGAAAGAGAAAGAATTTAAACATACAAGCATTTCCGCTGACACAAAGCCTTGGGGTGTGTACACTCGGCGTGCAAGATACTAGTTAAGTCCTTTACTCCAGAGCCCAGCTACACTCTAATCTCTTCAGTCTAAGCATCAATTCAAGGCCCTCTGCTTGTTCCCCTTGTTAGGAAGGGAAAGGTATGTCTGAATTGTTTTGACAACTTTCTGCATTCAGGCTTCTTGGTGTTTTAAAGTGACTTATACAGTGAAATAAATATTTACAAATTTCTTGGCATAAGTAGAAGGGCAGGATCTAGGCTGAACTTCCCGGAATCACTCCCATAGCAATATCCACAAACTGGCTGAGTCGGAAAACTGGAAGGGGATATAGTCATTGTTCTGCTGCTGCTACCGCTGCTGTTCTCATTGTCACCACCAATGCTGCAGAATCACCCTTCACCTCTCACAAAGTTAGTACTGGAATGCTGCTACAGAAACATCCAGAGCCTACACAACTCTGCTTTCCACAGCAGTTGCCACAGCAGCTGCAGATGGCCTCTCCCTCTCTCTGATTTTGTGTAAGTGCATCTAATTTACAGGAATAAATTTCCATTCAGAACTGCAGCTCTAAGGGAGTCTGGGAAATATTCATTTTAGCTTTCAAGACTCTGCAAAGCAAGAAGGAAATCTAAGAGGAGGTTGAAATTCACTCTGTACCAATTTTTCATATACAGCATGTTTATGTTCAACATGGTGTCTATGTTTCAATGGCTCCTCAATAGCTTAAGGAACTCCCAGTGAATTCAAGTACAACATCAACACTATCACCCAAAAGTCAGCACTACTTATAGATTTTCTGTTCATCATTTTGTTGTTACTGCCATCACGTTGTCTCTTGTGGAAGATTCCTCTGTTCCAGACACTTAGAATGAGGTTTTCTAGTGTAGTATTAGAAGCCATCCAAGGAAGTAAATATTTGTATCACTTCCTTGAAATAATTTTTTATGTTCTCTTTCATAAATAGTCTTCTATTCTTCCAGGTAAATATGCCCTCTTAGAAGTCTTTTAATAGACTTCGTTCAAGTTATTTTATCTTCAAGTATTTATCATATGAAAGGATGTACAACTGCCACTGTACGTGCCATTCTATATGTGGTAAACTTATATAGATTCTGGTCATAAGGAAAGTTGATGTAAACTGCATCTGTAGCTTCTTTTTATTTTTCTCCTCAATTTAAGAAATGAGATCACATCTCTGTGGATGTGAGATATTTCAAGAAAACACAGACTTTTTGAGGATTTTATTTTGTATTCTGGGAATAATGCAGCAGTCAATTATGGGCAATTCTTTTAGGACATTGAAGTAAAGGGGATTTCTATTTTAGGACATTGAAGTAAATGGGATTTCTTTATTTAGTATTAATATTTATTAATTTTCACAATGTTATCAGGGATGAGTCTACTGCAAATGTCATGAAAAGTACAACGTCTTCTCCGAGATTCTACCACATAAATTATAGGCTTTCAGCTATTTAATAGTGCTCTCTACTAGTCTAGAAAATAATCAGAAATGCTGCTTATAAAAGAATAATTATTCTTTTATAAGCAGCATTTCTGATTATTTTCTAGAGTAGAGAGCAATTGAGAAAAAATTATCCAATATGGAATAATTATAAGAAAAATATGAAGAACATTCAAGAGCATGTGTTTTCCCTACTGTTCTGACAAATGGATAAAAACAGCAATTCTTACTGCAATTCTTTCAAACTAAATTTAAAAAGTCAAAAATATTTTTTACTTTAACAGAAGAGATAATTAGCTTCCATATTAGGGCAGAAAGGGAAATGAAGAAAATGATATGCTAGGATTAAAACATTTTAGTCGTCACAATTAAAATATAAGAGACACGTGTGTGTGTGTGTGTGTGTGTGTATTTCTCTATCTCTATATACGTGTGTGTGTGTATGTCTGTGTGTGCACTTATGATTAAAGACTCTGAGACTATAATGTTGGCACATCTTTCCAATATTGATTCCTAGGTCAAGGACATTATTCTGGGAGTCAGGAAAAACTGAGTGAGAAATCGATTTCAGTCCTTGCTCTACCACTACATTTTAATTCATGACATCTCCATATTTCCAGTTGTACATGGCGCAACCTGAGTTATCCTTGACTTCTCCTGTCTTCACAACCCACTTTCAATCTATCATGAAACCCTTTTGTTTGTACCTTCAAAATTCATCCAGAATCTGACAATTTCTCAATATCTCTACTATTTCAGTTTTAATCTGAGACCCCTAGATTTCTTGCTGGCATTAATGCAAGAAGTTGCTTAGCAGTCTTCTTGCTTCTATTCTTGCCTGCCTTACCCAACAGCGATTCTTTTAAAACTTTTGTAGGATCCTTTCACCCCTTTGCTCAATACCTACTGCATTAGTTTGCAAGGGTTTTCATAACAAAGTACCATAGACTGAGTAGTCTAAACAGCATAAATTTATTTTCTCACAGTTCTAGAGGCTAGAATTCCAAGATCAAGGTTTCAGCAGCATTGATTCATTCTGGGAGCTTAGAAAGAGAATCTATTCCATGCTTTCTCTCCTAGTTTCTGTTGGTTTGCTGGAAATATTTATTTTGCTGGGAAAGCATCACCCCAATCTCTGCCTCCATCTTCATATGGCATTCTCCCTATGTGTGTCTACCTCCAAACTTCCCCTTTTTATAAGGATACCAATCATATTGGATTTGGGCCCACCCTAATGACCTCATCTTAATTAATTGGATGGGCAATGGCCTTGTTTCCAAATACGGTCTTATTCCAAAGTACTGGAGCTCAGGATGCTAAAATATGAATTTTGGGGGATACAATTCAACCTGTAATGCTTACTAAGGCTTGCTTTTCACACAGAGTAAAGAGCCAACATCCTTAGAGAGGCTGTAAAGTGGGTGCTTCATGCCTGGAATCTCCATTACCTGTCTCATCTTTACTCTCCAACTTAGTCACTGCTCTAACCACTCTCTTACCTGAAAGTTATTGCACTGACTCTTCCTTGTGCTTGCAGCACTTTTCATTCAGATGACAGACATGTCTACTGACCTTGCTTTCTTCATGTTTTTGCTTAAATGGCACTTTTGCAATGAAACTGCCCTGACCACCTAAAATAATATTAGAGCTGCCCCTTCCTCTCCAGAATTTTCAATACACTTTATTATATTATATTTTTTCAAGCACTATGAAATTCTAATATAATGTATGCATTATTATTTATAAAAAATAGTTTACTGCTTTTCTTTCCCACAAAACAAAGTTCCATTTATTAATTTATCCTAAGCATTGATAACTGCTTGACACATAAAAATGATGGCTCACTCTAAATGAATTGAATGTTGGATCAATAGTTCTTTGTGAAATAGACAGTAAGAGTCATGTGAGATCTGATCAAGACTGAATACTGTAGAACGACTTATTGTCTACAGAGTCTGGATATGGACAAGACGGGTGCCCCGATATCAAATCTGGATTGGGCATTCAGAGAAAATCTGGGATTGTCTCTTTTTATAGAGGTAGCAAAAATGTTTACAGCATACTAAAGTGAGGACATCTTTAGATAAAGGAGACAAAATGTGTATGTGCCAAGCAGTAAAAGATAGAATTTAATAGAAAATTCATGGAGTGAAAGATTGGTTCACAACAATTTTCCCTTTTATGGAATTGGGACTCAATATCAGCTTCCAATCATTAACAATTGATACAGAGTCACCTGAACAATTTGAACAGATGTAAAAGAGTAAATGAGAATTGTGGAGTTAAAACACACTGTAGAGTTATGGACAGAAAAATCATGATTCCTGCTGCTGCAGGATCTGGAAATGTCTATTTCCTTTCCTTTTCACATTTTGTTTAATTGAAACGTTTCATGAGATACTAAAATATTCTTTCAATAAATTGGCCTCCCCTTCTTTTAAGATTTAAGGTAATCAGAGAATTTTTTTAAACTTTTTTAAAATTTAAATTTAATCTTATGTAAAGATTTCAAAGAGACAAAAATAATGTAACAAAAGCTCACATTTCCTCTTATACTCCAATTTTTCATCTTGGATTTACCTTTCTTTATATATATAATGGATGTATACTTTCTAGATATAATTCAGAATTTGAATTTGATGTTTTTCCATCAGCACTTTGATAGTCTTATTCCATTACATTCTGGTCTCTCTTGTTATTGGAAGCCTGTGATCAGTTTAACATGCATTTTTACATACAACTTTTTGACTTCTCATTGTTAAAATTTTTCAATCTTGAGGATTCTACAGATTTATAACGTGAAATCCCAGATCTAAGTTAACTTCTTTTTTGTTGTTCAGAAAATTGTGCACACAAACTTTGAGAATTTATGTTTGCACAATATTTTGGAAAATTCCCAGCAGTTATGTCTTTCAAGCCCCTCCCTTCCCATTCTTTCTCATTCTAATTCCATGTCTCATAACTTGTCTCCATTTCTATATTACCTTTTCAGTTACTTTTCTTCTTCAATTACTTTGTCTTCTGTTTCTTTTTCAAATATTCTCATTCTTTTTTTCTCCTCAGCCATGTGTTTCCTTTTTTAAGGGTATTAATTATTTTTTAAAGTTTTAAAAATGTTTGCATATTTGGATTTTACTCCTTGTGTTTGATCACCGCTCTGTTATCTGAGGATCCTGCTGTCTGTTATGCCTGACTCTAAATCATGACAAATTGTTTTCTCATTTCTTTTGTAATTTTATGCCATGAACTCCTGTCTTTGTGAGTGGTAGGGGACAGGTATCCCTTCTGGACTGAGTTTTTGAAGTGTGACTCCTGATGGGTTATGTATTTGCTTCCTGAAAAAGAACCTGAAAATATTGCCTACCTATAACTTATCACTGTATTAATTTTTTATCTTGAGGATTCTGGATTTACATGGGTATTGTAAAATCATTTCTAAACCTGATGGCTGCCCAAGCTGAGGGACTCTATATTTTAGGTGACAATAACTTTTTTTTTTTAGTGAGAGTCCAGACAGGAACAGATGAGCTTCATTGTCATCATCCTGTGCTGGAGAGTGAATTTTCTTCTATTTTCCCATTTCTCTCTGGGAACAACCAGCTTTATTCGGGCATCTCATTCACCTCCAACTGTCTACCTCACACTTTTCAGTAAGACCAAATCCCTTAGGAAGCAAGACACATAATTCCCTTGGCTTAAATTTTAAGGGAAGCCACAGGATAAGGTTTTACACTTCAGCAAGTGACTTTCATTCACCTCTTCAGGTTTTTTCCCTGTAATATTCATTTCTTCTTGAGACCTTAGCTATACTTTTAAACATTTTTATGATATATTTCTCCAGGAATTTTTATGCGACCCTAGTTTTCCATCATGTTAGCTTTTATCTAGAGTATAGGCAGAATATAATGGCATGTCAATGTTTGGTTCTAGGGGGAGTATCTTTAACTCTGCCCTTTCAAATTTTACCCAGGCAAATAATATTTTGGAGATAGACCTAATGAATAAATTGACTATGTTTTATATGAGAAAATAAACTTACTGATTACTTTTCATTTGTTCCATATACCTAATTACATGCAGTGTTACTAGCATCTGAAACAGCCTCTCCTTTAGAAGGCTGGAACACGGCCTGGAATGGGCATAACTCATGGCAAGACTCAACATTCTTCTTTGCAGGTGAGCCTATAGTTACAGCTTGACTAACAACAGATGGCATTATTTTAACACAGAGAAATGCTGAGTGAGACAGTGATTCTCTCTTAAGAGTAGTGATAGCCTGAGATTCTTGGCTTAAATGAGACCCTGGTGACTGGAATTCATAAACCTGGACAGGAGAGAGACTCGTCTACTGCCAAGCACATAAAACACCTTTAATGACAGCCACATTGCTAAAGGTTAAATAAGCCCCATGTAAGTAAAAATAAAAAGAGAAAGACAAACATTTTTTCTTAAAAAAAGCTATTGAATGTCACCATCTTTTGTCTCAATAGTGTGAAAATCCGGGGGTAAAAAAATACAGAAATAAATAAGAGAGAATGCCTTTGAAGTTGAGAAAAAGAAAAAGATTTTTCACACATTTAATTTCTTTAGTTAGTACTCCTGGCTGTGCCTTTAAAATATGCCAAGAATCTGGCTCTGTCTTAATTATCACCACTTTCACTGATCTGGTCTAAGACACAACCATTTCTAGCCAGTATGACTGCAGTAGCCTCCCACTGATCTTGCAAACATCATTCTCTAGAATCAATTTTATAACACAATCCTTTTTAAAAGTATATTCTTTTTGCTTTTGTTTCATTTTTAATTTTGAAACTTCCACAAAACAGAGAGAAAAAATATAATGAGCTGCCATGTATCCATCACCAGCTTTCAACAATTATCAACATTTTGCAATCTTGCTTCACCTATCCCATCCTTCCCACATGTCCTAGTTCTCCAATAATTCTTTTAAATTTGAATCCAGATCAAGTTTCTCTTCTGCTCAGAACTTTCCACAGGTGTCCAAACTTAGATGGAGAAGCCCTAATCCCGTTGATAGCCTACATGCCTGGTGTAATCTTCCATCCCTGTTCCCCCTGACTCCTTAATCCTCCTCCTCACTCCCTCTGCTCCAGCCACTGGCCCCTTTGTTGATGGAACACTGTGACCTGCTCCCACATTAGGAATTTGTACTTCCTGCTCACACTGCCTAAAACTTTCCTTCCTCTCCCACTGTCCTCCTATACAAACAGATTCCTTCTTCAGTTTTTTCAAGACTTTGCTCAAATGTTACTTTAAAGTAAGGCACTTTCTGGGCATTCTATTTAAAAATTTAATTTACCCCAAGCCACCTGCTGGCATTTTATATCTTCCTGTTGGCTATATTTTCATCTTAGCACTATTTTATTTACTAACGCAACTTTTATGCAGATATATGCCTACTGCCTGGTATATAAGTGGTGTTCCATAAATATTTGTTGAATATTAACATTGATTATACATTGCAAAGTCTGAGTGAAGTCGAGATGCTAAGCATATTCTAATCACTGACATAATATGCTATTTTTATATATTTGTAAAACTCTCCAAATGTGCAGCTGTGTTGTAACCTAAGAGGAAAGGGAAGTCTTCCCTGTTCCTGTCAGATCCTGATATTTGACAGCACAACAGATGTCCTGAGAGAAACAGACTTCTTATGAGTGTGGTATATTCTTGTTTCAAGTTTTACCAACGAGCTCTATGGTGGTGGGGGTGGGGGAATAGGAGGCAGTAATAAAAGCCTCTTTAACCAAAAGTACAGTCAGACTCCTTTAAAATCATCTCATTGATTAGGTCTGGAGTCTTTGGTCTTCCCTCTCCATCCTTGTAGAATCCAGTTTGAGCAAGAATCCTGTTAAGTCAGCTTAGCAAAACCCCCCACGCTTGATATCTGACTTGGAGTCTTATCATCGTGGCCTACCTTCAGCAGTAATCATATCAAGTCAGTTTAGCGAGGAACCTCTTATCCTTGGTGTTTCCTTTTAGCAATTTTCCATCCACTGACCCCCAATCATGCTCCTTGGTTATAAAACTCCACCTGTCCTTGTTGAAGTCAGAATTGAGTCCAATCTCTCTCCCTTGCTGCAAGACCCCACTGTAGTGGTTCCTGTACATAGTGCCATGACCGCCCCCCTCCCCGAATAAAGTCTGCCTTGCCATCTTTAACAAGTGCTTCAATAACGTTGTTGTTGTTTTTCTTGACTGGGGTAAGCTTGGTGTGCTGGTAAATGTTTAACAACCAGCTTTCTGAGAGAGAATTAGAAGATCTGAGTAGTAGCATTGCTAAGTTCAATGGTATAAATACTCCCTCCATGGCAAATTGCAAGCTACTAATATGAAATCTCTGAATGTGGATTTGGGGAGAAAATGCACATTAGAACATCATTTTAAAGCCTCTCCGTTATATGTATATGAGAGAAGCAAAGAATCTAGAGAGGAGTGTCAGCAAATGACAGGTTCTGAGCCAAACCTGACTTGCTACATTGAATACTGCCTTCCTCATTCATTTGTGCAGTGACTGTGGCTGCTTTTACATGGGAAGGACAGAGTCGAGTAGTTGTGACAGAGATGATATAGCTCGCAAAGCCAAAAATATTTACTCTTCGGCCCTATACTTAAAACATTTGCTGAACACTGGCCTGGATTATAGTAAAAGGTATAAAGAGATTAAGTATGAGTGAGTTTTGAGTGCTTATTATCTTTGTTTCTTAACATCATTTGTTTAACAATAAGTTTATATAATTTAATTTTTAATAATATCTTTTTAATAATTTCACAAAAATTCTAAAAATTTTATAATGAGCTCTTGCAGTCAAGATCCAACATACCATTAGGGGAGAGAAACGTCTTAAATTCATTTATAAAAAACTACTCATATCATCTGACCCAATAATATTTTTGATAAGCCCAGTAGATTTTTAAAACATTAAATTAGTTATATATATATATATATATATATATATATATATGCCTATAAATGTATCAGCTTTACTATTGTACAGTATATTTTTATTAAAATAACTCTATCATTTGGCCAGTCTGTCACTGAATATTTTTAGCCACCTACTAGGGTATTTAGTGATGAATAAGACAGACAGAATCTAAGGAGGTGGCATTTCAACTGCAACTTACTAATAGGAAGAAAGAGGTGCATGAAAATGGGAAATAGGTTGGTTCAATTATGAATAATGGCAAGTGCAAAGGTCCCAAAATGGGAACCAGTTAGATGTATTCAAAAGTCAGAATAATAATTTAAGTAAGATAAATGATAAGTCAATTAAGAAAAAAGGTAAAGTCTGAAAAGTACATGGGGGCTTTACAGCTAGTAAGCTTCAATATTTTTCTTAGTATAATCAAAAACTTTTGCAAAAGTTTTAAGCTGGGACAAAACCTGATCCAATTTGCATTTCCATAATTTTGTTTGTGTGGAAAAGGGGAAGAACAGGGCAACAATGGGATCAAGGAGACCCAAAGGAGGCCATTCACCAGATAAGAGTGACTTAGACTAAAGCGACAAATGTGGAATAGGAAAGAAATGACCAGATTCATTACACATTCGGATACATTTTGAAAGTCAACTAGAAAGTCCTCTTTTCAATTTTGCTCTATGAATTTGTTAATGGTGACATTATTGTAATAATTCGACGACATATTACTAGTATTCACTTCTCCAAATGGTCCACTTGATCATAGAGCAGACTCCAACCTGCACGGTTAAATTAGGACTTGCTTTTCATTCATGTGACTCAAACCTCATCTGGACTTTGCAAATCTTACCTCCACCTTACCCCTACAGTGTCCCCTTCTGAGGTTGATCCTAGGCAAAACCCAATAAAATGAATTGATTCTTAAAATACAAATATATAACTAGCAGCATATTTCCAAAGAAAATCTCCAGCTGGCTTTTTGGGCTCAGGACAAAAACAGAAGAGAAGACAATGTTATTTTTATTGTCTTATTGATACAATTGCAATGCTAATTTTTGTAGGCAAATCTAATTTACCAAAGGAAAAACCAGAGGATCAATATATAGCATACAGTTTTTAAAAAATTTCTCCTGCAAAGAAGTCAGCTTGTGATTATTTTTGTCTTGAGATTTATTTTCAGGGAAATATAATGAGATAACTGGCTAGGTGATACTTTTCAGTTACTTCTCTAATACTGTGGTGCAAGCTTAGGAATTGGTTTTATAAACACTTCCAAACCATACCTCCCATCCCTCAGTTGCATTCCTTTATGTGGGCAATAAACACCACTTGCAGCGTTATGAATAGAGTGAGTTTTAGTGGGTGTCCTCCAGGAGCTCATCTACTCTTCTATCTTTAGTGGCCCAGGGCTGATTAAAGGTCTGCACTGGCTAACATAATATAATATTTATCAAGAGTCTAGTAAGCATGTTTAAGTGTCAGAATGACCTGGGTTTGATATCTAGTTCTAGTTCTGTCTAGCTGTGTGACCGTAAGCTACTTAACCTTGCTTTGCTGCCATTTTCTTACATTGCACTTCACAGGTTGGTTATGAATATTAAATGAAATAAAGGCCACACAGTGCTAGATAAATAATAACTATTTTTATATTTGTCTTTAGGTAAAATACATAACAAAGTCAGGGCTCTTAAAGATTGTGTATAGAAAATATGGACAAGGTAAATATATTCTCAAAATAAATATAAAGCATCCAAAGATAAAAGAGAATGAAAGAGCTAAACTAACATGTTTTGAGAGTGGAAAGAAGTTAGGTTTTCCCTGTAATAATGTCTCATGACTATAACTCCCATCTCAGCCCCACTCTACAAATATTCTTCTTTTCAATACTTTCATCATAATTCCACCAAGGCAAATTCTCATTGCTTTATCCAGTAATTTAGGTATCAGCCTCCTCTAGTATTGTTTTGTCTAATGAAGTAGCTACTAGCCACACATGGTAACCTAGTACGTGAAATTGGGCTAGTGCAGCTGAAGACCTGAATTTTAAATTTTATTTAGTTTTAATTGTTTAAAGTTTAACTTTAGAAAACTAATAATTCAGCCAATGGAACACTTCGTTTAGAACAACTTGGTTATGTGAATCTACTTTTTCAAATGTAAATTTATGAATCCACATATGGATCAAGTATTCCCATTAAAAATTAGTGTTTAAATGAAGATGTTCTCTAAGTATAAAATATACACCAGAAGCTGAAGAAAATGTGAAATAGGTCATTAATAGTTTCTGTTATTGATTAGTTATTGAATTGACAATAGGCTAGATACATAGGGATAAATAATATATACAATAAAAATTAATTTTACCTGTTTCTTAATGGAGCTATTGGAAAATTTATCATTACATTCTGGCTCAAGTTATATTTCTATTGTACAGCACTGCTCTAGCTCTTCCTAACAGGATAAATAAGATACTTCATCATCCATTTACCTTACTGTAGTGGATTTTTATGCTTTTTCAAATTGAGCTAAGAAAGTTTTGCTTCTAGTTCAAGTTAAGGTTGGAATTTTTTCTATATGTGCTTTATGGAATGTATTAATTTTCAAATTTGAAGAGAAGGTAGAAATTATGGAATACATTTTCTAATCTAACAAAGAATTATGCAGCAATACCAATAATATACATTCCTCTATCTTACTGGAGCAAACTCACCAAGAGGAAAATCACAATCTCAAAAAGCAGTTCATTGCGCTGTATATAAGAGCTAACTTTTTGAAATATCCTATTTATACTAAAGTATTTAACTTTTATTTATTGTTCCTTCAACTTGAGCCAAACTAGGAATTGATTTAATTCCCTTTTTATGTGTTATCTCTTTACTGTAGCTATCATCCTTTCCCACTCTCACTAATGTACAGTAGTATGGCTAGAGTATCCATGACAGGCAGCAATCCATTCCATCCTAAAGTCTTGTTGCACTCTCCCCTCACAAAGTTTGCATGGGCACTCTGATCCTTTGCCCTTGTAAACTTCCCTTTTCAAAGCTCTCATTGTCTGCAAAATACCATTTCTGACTACTGTCACCTTTTCTTTCTTATTGGTAAATGAGAACATTCCTAATCACAAGCCACTCTATAGCTTTTCGTAAATGGCATATTTTTCAAGTCGCTGCTATAATATTAATACATTCTAACTCTGAGTAATATTGATGATTTTTTTAATCTGGCTTTGTGGTCTCTAGCATAATCATTTTGATTTACTTTTCTCTATTTTACATTGATATTTTCCAAAATGTTCTTAAAAATGCCTCCATCATTTTGGGTATAGCATTTTCCTCCTCAGTATATATTTCTTCCTCCTCACTGTGGCCCAATGTATACTGTTTGTCTTTTACTTTCTTTTTCTTTTTTTTTTTAGGGGAAGGGAGATGTTTTGATTTTTGGTGTTTTTTCAAATTTGCCAATATTCTATAATCATCATAAAAATAATAAAAATACAAGTAAGAAAAAGGAAATAAAGAAAAAGCTTCAATAATCTTACAATATGAATATAAACATTTTTTGTATTTTAGACTGTAGCAAAATTTTTGTCTTCAGATGCAAATTTGCTTGTATTAAGTTTTAGAAGGACATTTTGCCATTATATAACTTGGTAGCCAGTTTTCTTTAGTAACAAGAAATAGCAACAACCCTAAAAACTAAAACTGGTAGATACCTGCCGTATTATTTATTCATTGTAGGACACAATTCAATAATCTAATATACAAAATTTACATGGCTTTCTTAGGCTTTTTTTTCTTGCATATAAGTAATATGGTCATAGACATTTCTTTTAATATATTTTAGGCAGTTTTAAAATTATTTTAAGATGAATTATCAAACATAAAATTGGTAATTAAGAGATTTGGGGATTCTTCAGTCTTTGACATTTACTATCAAAATACCCTCCAGAAAAGCTGTACCAATTTCTAATCCAACCATTTGGGTGTTTAGTCACTAAGAGTACATCACATCATTCTTTCACAGCTTTGTAAATCTTATAAACAAATGTTAGCTTGATATCATTGATTATTAATTATTTGAATATTTTTGTTGACCATATTAAAGAAGTCTATTTTTGGAATTGATATTTTCATGACTGCATATTTCAGTTAGGGTGTTTGTCTTTTTAACAGATTTTATTCATTAAATATTTGATTGCTAATAATTTTATTGGCTGTAGTTTGAATCCATATGTCATTTATTAATTTAATATTTTGTTGTTAAAGTTTCACAATTTTACTTAGTCAAATCTTTCTTCTTGTTTTCTTTTATAAGTTCTAAATTTATGAAAGGCCAGTGAAACAAATTCATAAAGTTACTGTCTTAGTTCATTTGTGTTGCTATAACAGAATATCATAGACTAGGTAATTTAAAGAGAACAGAAATCTATTTTTTCCCTTTTGAAGGCTGTAAAGTGCAACACTGATGCACTGGCTTTGACGTCTGGTGAGGGCTGCTCTGTTTCAAAGATGACTCTGTTGCTACATCCTCCTGAGAAGAGAAACATGGTGTCCTATATGCATGAGGGACAGAAGGATAAGCGAGCACTCCTTTCAAACTTGAACCTCTTGAGCCCATTTTTATTTTTGCAATTGTTAATTGATTTATTAATTTTTACATTTTAATTTTTATATTGACATAAGAAATTGTATCTCCTGTGTATTACAGGATGTTTTCAGGTATGTATATGTTATGGAATGACTGAATCTTGCTAATTAACATATGCATTACCTCACATAGCTATTATTTTTATGATGAGAACACTTTATATCCACTGTCTTAGCATTTTTAAAGAACACCATATTGGTTTTGTGCCCTTTTATAAGGTGCTAATACCATTCAGGAGGGCAGAGCCCTGATCATTTAATTATCTCCTAATCACAATTCTCAATACTACTGCATTGGAAATTAAGTTTCAACACGAGTTTTGGAGAGGACACCACCTCTGCTCAAACCAGTGCAGTGGCCATATTGTATCACACAAGTAATCATCCTGTGCTTGGTAACTTTACTTCAAACTAGAATAAAGAAGGATGTTAAATGAGCATTCTAAAAATCTTTAGCAACATTTTTTTGTCTTCTCAGATGCATTTATTAAAGTCAGACCTGCAGTCAAAGTTAACTGTTCATTATTTCTGTTCTCATAATATGCATACTACCATTTGTATATGCTATTACATAGGGCCAAATGTTCCTTATTTGGATGTAATCTGCATTAGGTAATCACAATTAACAATTGGCAATGACGTTTAGGGATTGTTTAAAGTAATTAATATATTTCTGATAATCTCTGCTATAATTACAATAACTAAATGTCTTTGATTATATATAGTTCTCTTGAAAAACACATGCAATAGATAAAATGCAAACAAAATATAGAACTTATTAATTCTTCCCTGGATCATATCCTTGTTTGCAATGTAAAAGAAAAACAAGAATGTCTCTATAAAAATATGTCTGACTACACAATTAAATTGTTCTTTTTATTGTTTCATTATCTAAAAGCCAATTTTGAAAGCTGAAATATTTTTAAAAAACAAAGGTCAAAATTATGCCAATTACTTAGATATAATACAACTAATTTCTGCCACTCATTTACTTGATTCTCATAAAGATAAACAATAACTTCTTATTTGTATTTTCTAATATTTAAAATTTCCATTATTACTACTTTCCTTAAGGTCTTCTTATTTCTTGATATTAATATTAAATGAACCACTGAATGGAAATAAGAAGTAACACACATAGATACAAGGTGAGACTTCAACCAGAGTGATTTATACAATCTACAGTAGGAGAGTTATATTGAGAAAAAGTATATAACAATGTTACATTTCATAGAAAGTTAGCAGAAAAGTAAACATTAGGAAAATCTCACTCAATTTAAGACTTTGGACACTTGTCTTACTCTAAATTGGCCACAAACTTCACTCCATAGTGAGAATAATCTTCTAAAAAATAGAAATTACATTGCATTACACTTCAAATCCTCCAATCATGTTCTACCTCTTGTATGACACTATCTGAACTCCTTAGCTTTATATATCGAAGGATTTCTTTCATCTGTTTATCTCTTCAACCTCATCCATCAACACTTTCCATTTCATCTTTTTCTTCCATTCTAACAGAATTATACAACTCTAATTGTGATGTGAATCTGTTAATAGCAAAATTCCTTTCCCATTTGCTGCCTGAGAAATTCATTTTTCAGGCCCTGCTTGAGAATGTTCTTTTCTGTAAAACCTATCCAGACCTCCCCAGGCCCTAGCAGAATTGATCACACTTTTATGTTTTCCTGCTATGACCTTCCATCTTCATCCCTTTAACTACATTGTGTTTGTCATTTTTTAGTTATATTTGTCTCCAATAATACATTGTATGCTCTTTAAGAGCAGGGACTGTGACCTTATTAATCTTTGTATCTACAACACAGTGCCTGGCATATAGTAAGCATCTAATAAATATTTGCTAAATGAGTAAGTAAAAGGAATAAATAAATAAATAAATTTTTTAGAAAAGAGAAAATAACTGCTCTTAAAGACCTTGGGGAAATTAAATGACTTCTGAAGCAATACAAGTTATATGAATAGCACACACAATTTGGTCTTCAGTGTTCCTTTGCCACAAAATTTGATTTAATGTCAAGTGAGCAAAGTAGCTATGGTGGCTTATTTCATTGACTAAGCATTTTGTGGGCCAAAAGTAAGCAGATGTGACCATTTAGGAGGGTATTTATTTTATAGAGGGCATAAGGGCTGTAGAGAAAAGGCTATGAAATCACTCTTTTCAAAGAATGCAGAAGTGAATTGACAAGGAGTTTAGTAAGTAGCAATTTTGTAGTGGCTGTGTTCCTCCAATTTGTCGTTGTCACTGGAAAAGTTGACAAACCACAGCTCTATTCCAGGATAAAATTAAATATAGTTTGTTTAACTGAAAACACCCAATATCCACAAATGCATAGAGACATATCTGTATCCCAAGTTCAAGTACCAGGTTGATTGTATTCAACCCATATATCAACATATGTTTTTATTAGTTGCTCCAGTAAAATAGAATTTTTATCACCCTGTATATTCAGCAATACTCTCTAAATATAAGAAAGCACTCCTTCTTTTATTCTACCAAAAAAATCAGAAAATAATGATATAAATATATATCAAAATAATATTCATATTATAAAACCCACATATGATAATTAGGTGAAGAATTACTACTAATATAGTTAACACTTAATATAGAGAGACTTGGATAAAAAGTTATGGCCTCTTAAGTCTGTTTCTTGCTTCCTCTTTTTATCTTTCCTAACTAGTAGCCTTAACTAGGATAAGTGAAGAACCAAAATGTACTAAAGGCTGAATACCTTGGTTTATCTAATTGTGCTCTTTTTCTTTTTTTTAAAATTAATTAATTAATTATTTTTAATTTTTTAATTTTTTATTTTATTTTATTTTATTGTTATACTTTAAGTTTTAGGGTACATGTGCACAATGTGCAGGTTTGTTACATATGCATACATGTGCCGTGTTGGTGTGCTGCACCCATTAACTCGTCATTTAGCATTAGGTATATCTGCAAATGCCATCCCTCCCCCCCTCTCCCCACCCCACAGGAGTCCCCGGAGTGTGATGTTCCCCTTTTTCTGTTGGTTAAAAGCTTTTGTGGTGTAGATAAAGTCCTAGAAAGAGGTATTTTTCCCCTTCTCGTGAATAATTTCAGGTAAAAAGATGTATTTTGAGGGGACTTCTCACTGCCTTATTGCCAGAAAATGTGAGGAATGACTCTTCTCCTTATCCATGTGATAAATTGCAATGTGGGAAGATAATTTACTGAAATATTAATGTGTATGTATTTTATTCTTACAGTGGTGCTTTTTCCTTCCTCTCAAGAAGATAAATGGGCCCTTTTGGGATTCTGGCCTGGCAGGAGTGGGCTGGTCTGATGAGACTCAGGGATTCATGCTTATGGAGGAAAGGACATTGACAGAAGTGGAAATGCCATGGATTTCTAGAGACAAGGTGGGAACTGAGATCTTCAAATTCTCTGAGCATGGAGACCTATGTGCAGGTCCAGGCCCCTGGTGGGGAGGCATGCCCTGGGAAGTGCAAGAATTTGTTTGCAAGGTGCACCCCAGAGGTGGGATCATAATTTTGTGCTCAAGCTCATAATGAAAGTGGCACAGCCCCTTGGATAAGAAAGATATCAATAGCCAGCTGGTGGGTGAGGGACATATATGTAACTTCAGGAAAGGTAAAGTGCCCCTAAAAATGACTGAGTGTAGATGCTCTGTTGTTCTGATAAAATGAAGTTTCAGTGTCAGATTTCTTTGATTCGATTAAAATAAAGTAATGTGATATTTCTTTGTCACCACCCAGTTTGCAGAGTGAGATTTACCCCTGTAAAATGAATTAAGTAAGATTATACATATATTAGATAAAGAGATACTGGCTATTAGGAAGACATATGCTTGAGATATCATGGAGTGCTGGGAAGTTTACAATGTGTGTGGGTATGAGAAATTTAAATTCTTACATTGATGCTGTTGAAAATGACTTGATGTCAGGACAACTTTTGGCACACAGCATTCTCCTTCTCCTATACCTTATCTTCCTATTTCCTATTCCAAAACTTACTTGCATCTGATCTCTGTGAGGTCAGCCCATTCTGAATTCCTAGATTCATATCATTTTCTTTAAAACTACTGCCTTATATTGAGTCAAATGGCTTTGTAGATAATTTTTGAAACAACTTAGAATGATGTCCCAGAAATTGCACCCAGGCACTCTGTTGTAGAACTGTCCTGAGGAGGTACGTTGCCTTCTAACAACATCCTTGGGAATACAGATGGGCAGAATTTTCACTATGTTCAAAGATTAACATGGACCCATTAATGTATAAACATATTTAAGTAGCTACCAACAAATCACAAATATGCACATATGATTGTGCCTGTGGATATTGACACACATTGAGAAACCTTAATATATACCAATTAATCAATGATATGTATGTAGATATTTCTATTAGTGTTGTTCAAAGATATGTATGTAGATATTTCTATTAGTGTTGTGATTTGTTAATTTAAACATTTTGAATGATTTATAAAATGCTCTAGTGGTATAAAAATCAAATTTTTAGGATAAAAATGTAGCATCTCATGAAATATAGATTTTGATAACTTCCATTTATCTAACAATGTTTATCTGGCTATGCCCATTTGGAGCACCAGAACTCAGAACTAAAGTGGTTAGTTAGGATTCATTTTGTTGGGGTATCAACATTTCCTTAATATTTCCAGGTGACTTTTCATTCTAGAGAATGATGGAATTACATAGCAAGAATAATTCAGTTAATTTGGTAAAGATAGCTCCTATCTTATTCAATATTTGTCTGTGAAAATCTTACTGCATTCTAGCTGCTGAGCTCAGTGCTGGGGCTTCAGTGGTTAAAGTTACAGATCCTTCTGGCATGAAGTTGGAAGTTTAACAAGAGCTATAAATGTAACTATAATCATAAATGTAATCATAATTATGAATATATGGCAATTATAACTGTGTCTGTAATTATGACTATAAATATACCTATAATTAGAGCATTTACTATTCAAGATTATTTACAACCACCAATAAAGGGTATACAGAAAATTTTGGTGTCTGCTATCCCTCATCAGGAATTAGTGATAACCCTTAATAACTTATTAAGTTAGCATTCTGGGTAGGGAATATTCTGCTTGAAAAAAGGGTTATTCTCCCAATGATGGCAGACAGTAACTGCATCTTGTTCACATTCAGAGTTTCCATTTCCATATTCTCTGATACATTATTACTGAGCATTAATTTCACTCCTTTGAAAAACTTCAGCCATTATTACCAGTTATTAATGCCTTCATCTTACAGATCCATCAGAGACTAACCATCACCTTAATATGATACAGCATTCCTGAAATTCATTGACATGACTTTGATACATTGATGAGAATTCCAAGTAAAAGTGTCCTTTAAAAAATGAGAAATATGGGATTAGATTTCATAAGATAAGTAAGGTAGAGCTGGAACTTAGTTCTCTGAGGACTTCATTTCAGAAAAGGCATTGAATGACCTCTCCCTGGGTCCTCTAAATAAGAACTCTAGGATTTACAGTTTCAATCCATTTATATAGCCTAAGTTATAATTTTCATATCTACTTTCCTTAGTAAAACATTCTAATTCTATTTTTGAACATAGGAAGAATGAGTTTTAATTTAGTGCTTGGAAAGAAGAAGGTACATTGGCCGTTGAATTCTATCTAAAAAGAGCTATAAGAATTGAGAAACTGCATGCTTTGGAGATACTGGAGAAAATTGATTTCTTACTTGCTAAGGCAAAGCGCACGTTTTTGCTGAAAACACCCATCACCTTAGCAGCAGAGTGGTAGCAAATGCTTTACTCAGACTCTGAGCATTTTAGCCTCTATCTATATATTCTATATATATTATATATATATATTCTATATATATTATATATATATTATATATATATTATATATATATATTCTATATATATTCTATATATATTATATATATATTCTATATATATTATATATATATTCTATATATATTCTATATATATTATATATATATTATATATATATTATATATATATTATATATATATTCTATATATTCTATATATATTCTATATATATTATATATATATTCTATATATTATATATATATATTCTATATATATTATATATATATATTTTAAATTACTCTCAATTTTATTCTTATCTCATTTTGCACCAGTAACAAACATTTTTATAGCTACTCAAGTCCATCGGCCAAAATTTTGGTCACACTGCATCTAGAACACATACCAATATTTTGAAGTTCCAGAGCAATCTTGAAAAGTAATTTATTAAAGGGGTAAAAATAATAAATCACATCTAAGATCCCTCAAAGCTATAAAGATTGACAGTGTCATTAAATGACATTCTTCAGCCATTTCATTCGTCTCTATAACCCTAATCCCCAATATCTTTAAATAAAATAATATAATAAATTATAATTACATCTCACACTATTTACTGTGAGCTTACTATGCATCAGGGACCATGATAAGCGATTTGGAGATATTAATGCATTTAATTCTCACATTGACCTTATGAGGGGAGTAATTTTATAGATAAGGACTTGAGGTGGAGGGAACTTAATTATCTTTTCAAAGTCACACACTTAAACCATGACTGATAAAACTAACAAAACATCTGCAATCCAGAAAATAAAAATTAATTAGATTACAGCCTTGTCTGTTTCCCAGCCCAGAGAGTTTACTCTGGGTATTGTACTGAATTTCATAATTCCCAAATCTCCAATAACAAGATATTATAATCCAAATTCCAAGCTCCAGGTTGTCATACCATGGTCTTCTGCATACTGATTATAGAAGATAGGCTGTGATCAACTCCACAACCCAACCTAATGCACAGGACGATAGAAGATGCAAGGGTCACTTGTGTACATATCATTCATAAACTATCATGGAACAAGTAACAAAACAAAGTAAGATTAATCTCCCTTAGACCTATTCGTAAGATTAATTTCCCTTAGACCTATTCAATTTCCCTTAGGTAGACAGAATTAGATTATGAAATATTTTGGGTAGTCTTCCATTTTCACCATATATTCTCATCTTGCTTAGCAAAATGAGCTGAACACATTGTCTCTTTCGAGTATTTGATGAAAGGTGAGACCTTTAATTTGGTGAACTTCCTGTTGCAGGAAATATTCAATATTGTATAAGTGAGACTTTGATTTTTGTTCTGATTCACACACCGCTAATTACAGAGTAAAACTCAGCAGTAGCCTGGACCCCTATGGTAAATAACAAAATTTTAGCAGTAAAATGGAAATGATAAAGACATTTCACTCCTCAAATTCTGTCAGGAAATACTGGGAAGATATTCACTGCTAATAAAAATGTGCATATTTGCTAAGGTTGTTAATATATTGCTTGCATTATCACAGAAACAGAATCACAAAGTTTTATAACTTGGTAACACTGCACCCAGTCTCTTACAGACATTTCACAGCGACAAAGCATTTAAAAGGAGCATTGCAGTCAGGTAATTCTAAAAGTTACTTCTGTGTTTGCTTAGGGCACCATAGGGAAATTTCAAACTTAAAATTCATCTAGTCAACTATGTGCATTGTATACGTTTTACAGGTAGATGATATCCTGTATTTATGATAGTTGTTGGCAGACTTGCAGCTCACATACAAAAATGAGTGGTAGGGGCCATGCCAACAAATGCCATCAATCTGTGAGACACTGATGCAAAGACATGCAGACGTGCAGTAAGTAGTTGTCAATATTGGAAACAAGTATTTTATTACTTCCTTCTGGTGTGTGGGACTAATTAGAGGGTGGTGGTGTGTATGTGATGGCCACTAATGCTCATCAAAACCCAGTTGCCAGGATGTGGAATAGGAACAGAGGTAGATATCATCATGTGTGTAATTGCATATGATTGTTTTATTATGGTCATTAATGTAGATGCCTCCTTTTCCTCTGTCTTTGTGACAAGCCTCTCTTTCTTCTCTTATTTGCCAACATTTTCTTTTTTAGTATTCTTGGCATCCATTCTGGTGTGGAGCATCACATTTAGTTAGATTTTCAATTACTTCTCACAAAAATGCACATCATCTTAAAGGAGTCTTTAACATAATATGTTTGCATGTACATGTACATATATAGTACAATCTGATACATAAATCATGTACTATTGAACTGTTGTACTGATGAACTGCTGTACTGTTGAAAAGGTCTGTGATCTCATGTGGTTATTTAAAAATATATCCATAGATTATTGATACTCTTCTCTTCAAAAGGTGAAGTGTGATTCCCACTGTAAAAATGTAGGTTATCCTTTTTTTTTTTTTTTTTTTCTTTTTGAAATGGAGACTCGCTCTGTTGCCCAGGCTGGAGTGCAGTGGTGTGATCTCAGCTCACTGCAAGCTCCGCCTCCCAGGTTCACGGTATTCTTCTGCCTCAGCCTCCCGAGTAGCTGGGACTACAGGTGCCCGCACCCACGCCCAGCTAGTTTTTTTTTTTTTTTTTTGTACTTTTAGTAGTGACGGGGTTTCACCGTGTTAGCCAGGATGGTCTCGATCTCCTGACCTCATGATCCACCCACCTCGGGCTCCCAAAGTGCTGGGATTACAGGCATGAGCCACCGCACCCGGCCTGTAGGTTATCTTTTGTAACTCACTCCTAAGGAATAGAATGTGACAGAAGAGTGAGTTGTGATGTCTAAGATTAGGACATAAAATGCACCATGTCTTCCCCCTCACTTTCTTGGAAAATTTGCCAGGTGCCTTATTATGATGATACTCAAACAGTCCCATGGAGAGGTCCAGTAATCAAGAACCCTACAGCAAAGTACAGAGCAAGGAAATGGAGCCTCAAACTAACAGCCATCTGGGTTAGCTATCTTGGCAGCAAATCTTCTAGCACCAGTCAAACCTTCAGATGACGGCAGCCCTGGCCACTCACTCAACTAAAACCTCATAAAAGACCCTGAGCCAGACCCACCTATCTAGGCAATTCTTGGATGCTTGACCCTGAAAAACTGAGAAGATCAATTTGTTTTAAGCTGCTATGTTCTTGGTTAATTTTTCATGCAGCAATAGGTAACCAATATGCCCAAGCCTCCTTCATAATTTAATTGGACAGTTTCTGAGTCTATTTCATCCAGGTTGGCTAAGCCATTTACTATGCATTTGAATAAACAGCAAGGAGAGATGCACTGTGATGGCAAGTGCCACTTGACATTAAAAATCACTCAGAAACGTGTCATAGGTTCTGTCTGCAGTGGCAATTTATTTTGTAAATCATTCTACATTCAGCGAGTTCAAGGCATAAATCTAAATGCTAGTCAACTCTTTAGTTATTGAGTCTTGAACACCTACTATGTATCAATATATATTACAGATACTGGTGATACAAAGATACTGAAACAAACATAATTGATCCCCTGCCTATGATTGTTTAATTAATGGATGTGTAAATCTAGCCACAGTATTTCTGTTTGGGATTATTTGTTACAAAATACACTTACCATTAAATGTACAATAACTCCTTAAATTGAAAAATTGAAAGATCTTTCTCTCTCTCTTTTCTGTCTCTCTCTCTCTCTCTCTGTCTCTCTGTCTCTCTCTCTCTCTCTCTCTGTCTCTCTGTCTCTCTCTCTCTCTCTCTCTGTGTGTGTGTGTAAATAATTATTTGTGTTCCGGAGTTGTCTACTCAGTTTGTCATTTCCTGTTTCTAGTGGATGTGATGTTGGGATGGCTCTAACGAAGAAGCAAAAATGATAAAGCAGAATGTTCAAGGCACTAAGAGTCAGATCTCCCAGCTCTTCTCCAATTTTGCCTGTGACTAGTCATCTGTCTTTGGGTGAGTCTCACGTGTTTCTCAAAGTTCTTTATGTAGTAATGCTGTGCCCCCTTTTCTTTGCCCTAAAATTGTTACTTCTGAGTAGGAAAGGGTGCTATTACTCAAAATTCCCACTAGTGTTCTGATTTCACAGCTGTGTGCCCATACTCTCTCCATCTTTTTTGTTTCTATTGCAATGTGCAGTTGTTCCTCTCCTCTCCCCTCCTCTACAACACATACGGCGGAAAAGTTAACTGATTTCTGCAGATATGCAATCCTCAGTGACCTTACCCAACACCAAAAGTGTTGACATTAATCATAAATTGGATTTCTGACCTTGAGTTTCTTTTTCTTAAAATACAGTCATGTTTCCATGAGTCAATCAATCACTACAAAAATAAAATATTCATTGTAAATTATTTTTATTCATAACATTGTGCTATGGCATTATGAAAAATCTTAACTGTAGTTGTATAAGTCTTTATCTGTAAAATGTAATAGTGCTACTGGTGTCCATCATTTTAAAGTCTGTGCCAAATTTGAATATTACTTTTTACTATTACATTTACACATTTTTGCATAATTGCCATCGTGTTACAGAAAAAGTATTTTGCATGCTTTTATCACATGGCCTGATACTGTATTTTCCTTATTTTCTATGTCATCTTAACTATGTTTTTAATTAGTTGAATAAAATTTGCATAGCTTGCATGTTGAAGATGACAACTCTGAACCTAGTGATCCAATTCTCAAAAATAAACAATCAAGGGTTAAAATATAAGGAGGCATAACAGGTTGCAAAAAAGAAACCATGAAGTTTATAAGCAGAAAAATGAAAAAAATGACTGTCATATGCTTTCTCTCTAAGAAAAACCAACGGAGTCTCAAGAGAAGCCTGCAGTGCAGATAATTGTATGCATGGTAGTTTAGAAAGGGAATAACGAGGCTAGGCTGAGGTTATTTTTCTGTTCTATCAGGCAGATAGAGACTAACGGAGTAGTCAGTGAACAATGGGTAGGAACCAGCAGGTTTGTAAATTATGCCTGGATGCCTCACAAGCCCGCCTCTGACAGGAAACGACAAATGCTCATCGCTGAGTTACTTATTACTGTGGAAAAATCACTCATTTGTTTGACATTGCTCTCCCACCAAGGGGGCCTTCTGTTGTTATATCCCTTTACAATTTAAAAATTTATAGTGAAATTAAATTCTATTACTTATTGTGGCTGTGTACTATCTTAAGCTACCATTAATCACAAAGGCAGAGAATACAAAGGAATGAGTCCAATGCTCTGTCTTTAAGGAACTGAAAAGAAGTAGGAAATCAAATGCACAACTGGAAAGAATAGGGACTAGATAATGGCAAGAATAGAAGAACGCCTATTTTGAGACCTTTTATGTTAACAGTGGTGATAAATTACCCTGTAATTCAGAGTATAAGTATTGCATTTGTAATATGTTATTTTGGGAAACAAAGCCAAACTTCATTATGTCATGCTGTGTTATTTCTACAGCTGGTACTATTGTTGGCAAATGTTTTTGAAAAACCTTAATAAGACAAGGAAAATGCTCCAATTGGTCTCATTACTAAGAAGTGATGTTTTCATTTAGACTTTTCAGATAGTCTCCTGATCTCACTTGATTACATTGATATGAACAAATGCTTGGCTTGGAAGAGCCCTTGGTTTCTACAGACCCGGGGTCCACCAATTGCTCTTTCTGGGTTTCATGTGTTCTCTGTGGCACTTCCAAAATCTATCCACAGATTCCTTTACACTATTCCCATCACCAGGAGTTATCTGTATCATCTCCCCCTTGAAAACGGGCAAGTTTTGCGATGTTTTTGAGCAACAGAGAATGGCAGCATTGGCAAAGCACCATGTGACTTCTCAGTCTAAGTCACACAAAGGCACTGCAGGTTCTGCATTGTTTGCTTGAATACTCACTCTTGAAAAATATTAGCTGCCATGCAAGGAGTTTGATTACATGTTTCTGTTGACATGCTATGAGGAAGCCTAAATTAATTAACACTGAGAGACTACATGGAAATAACACAGGTAAAGACTCTAAGACTCCTGGAGAAGAGAGTTTTGCCCAGACGTCCCCAGCTGCTCTATCGTCCCATATATCTTACTCTATTATTGAGTTGGAACTGAATGAGAGAACCAAATTATCACGACCTGGTTCAGCTCTTTCTGAATTCCTGAAGTTAACAGAATAAAACAACGTGGTTTTTTAAGCCAGTTTGTGTGGGGCAATTTGCTATGCAGCAATAGACAGTCAGAACATTTTCTGAACCTAAGTGAAATGAAGATGTTTCCTATATGAAAGGATAGGTGAGGGCAGCACTTATGTGTACATAGTTCTACCCCAAGCAGTTACTCAGTAAATTGGAGCACTAGCAAATTTTTAAACTATACAAAAGTTTCATAAATAGAGGAAAACATCCAGTCAAAATTCCAGCCTTCTAGTGTAATAGGCATGAAATTATCCACAATACTTGAATTGTCTAAATCAACTTGGATTTGTTTAAATCAAATGAAATCTGTCACAAACCATAAATAACTGGATTGGGAGAGTAGTCCAATCTCACTCAGTCTCTGCTTTCTCCCTGCTTTGGATAATCCCAGAACCACAGAGAGAGTGCATTTCTCTAAAAACAGTTTCCCTTCTCAGTCAGAAAAGGTCCTGAACCTCATTGCTTTGCTGCTGGATACTGTATCTCTTCCTGTGCCTGCCCAACTCTAATGGCGCCGCCACGGCAGAGTTGTAGAACTCTCACTACCGTTTCTTTCCATTCTTCATGTATCCTCCTTCTCCAACGTGGCTGCCTTGAGGTAGGGCCCTTTGTAGAACCCATAATCTTGATCTTCTTCTTCACAGTGCTGCTAATTTATTTTTTATACTAAATACAACAAATATTCATGTCATTCTCTACTTCCATGATATCTTCTGAGGACTCATGTGGAAGGCCTGTGGCTAACTCTAACTTCAGGCATTAGAAGCCAGAACAGTGAAAAAGCCCCTTTTTAATGGAAACAATTCTAGTATAATACCATTCTGTATACTTTCACTTAAGAGTTAATAATCATTTTATATTTTAACATTGATTTTATAATTAAAATTTATTCCACTATTGCATTAAATAATTTTTAAAATTTATTGTTTTTATGTCTTAGTATAGAACTATAAAATCTTGACTATTTTATAGAACTTTTTTGTATATTTTGTTGAAAAAAGCAAATATAAAATATTACTGTGATTTTTTGGTGAGATCCAGTTACCCAGCATTCAATAACAGCTATAATTTTTATTCCTGTATGCTAACACGTACATTTATGTACAAATACATTTTATGTATACACATGTGTATATAACTTGCATTCATGTGTATGCAAATCCAGCATTTTGTACGTTACTGACACTACACTAAAAACAATGTGTGACATCAAAATAATCATAACTTTTTCAGTGAATTGACAATAGAAATAATTGCTATATTTTATTAATCAGTTGTTCAGTTCCTGGGCCAAATTAATTTGGATTTTAAGTGCTATGCAATAGTTTTACCACTAAACAGCTATTAACAATGGCTTAAATAATGTTCTGAAGATTTGATTAATAAATTCATCATTAATAAATAATACTATGCCACTGAAAACTTGAATATAAAGTGTATCGCTTCCCCAAAGCAATCTAAAATGTTAAAAACCAGCTATGATTTGTCCATTGTTAGACAATTTACTCTTCTCTGTGTTAGCCTCAGAGGAAAGATGTGGAAGTAATTACTTTTTTACTGTTCTTATTCTGACTGATATATGTTTATTCAGTGTGATTTCATGCAAAATGAAGATATCATAAAAAGGACTCTTCTGCTCTAACAGTCCCTTTGGAAATCAAGGATTCATAGAAAATATCATTTTTAGACTTAAAGAAAAGATGTCTTGTTTTCAAGTTCCACATTATGCAAAAATCTCTTACTTAGAGTTACAGAATTTATGGGAATGCTGCCTTAAAATTCCATCCTGACAAGAACTGCCTGAAAAAAAATTGTCTGCTGTTCACATAGCCAGTCTCAGTCATGTGCAACTTCACCATGTGTATCTTCACCATGGCTCGGAAGTACTGGTTTCTAGTTAGAACAAAAGAGGAAAGGAATAACGAGACCCAATAACACACACTTTTTTTGCTAGCTCATTGTATTTAAATATGATACTGTGCTGTGCATTTCTCTCTCACTGGTAAGTTCTTAGGCCCCATACAGTCAAATGAGTTCTGTTGTTCTTTGACTTTCTGATTTTTGCAATAATATCTGTGATTACTTCTCATCTGTTCCACTGGGCAATACTCACATCTCTCACTCATGTAAGCAATGGAGATAGGAGTGACTCTGGCTGCTCTGTTGAATCAGGAAAGGATAGAGATGATTTAGTGTCACTTTTATTTTACCAAGAGACAGAAAATAACAACTTACTTAAAGGCAAATGACTAGCTGATGGGTAAGCCAGAAGCGCTAGGATTTCAGTTAGGAACACTGCCACCATTTTGATATGTCAAAAATGGGGGAAGGATTATCATTGTCAGCAGCGGCTGCTCCTGCGGTTATTATTTTAGACTTTTAACTACATTTTATTACCTTATCTCACCCTTCCAGTGTGCCACATTTGAGCTACTACTGATTTTTCATCTCATAAGGCTGAACTCTACATTTCTAGATGAAATGTGACCGTGTACTTCAGCAGTGCCTGGTCCTCATCTATTGGGATGTCCTACAAACCACTATTCCTATCACTGATCAGAGGTTGCTTCCTGTTAACTGCGTCGACCTCCTGGATTGCTTTTATTCATCTCTAACCACTGACCTTTCTCCTTAATTGTCTCACCTCTGTTTTGACTATTATCTCCGAGTTATTGCCACCTTCTAATGTTTCTGACTACATGTTATGATAACAGATTTTTCAGACCCCTAGTACCCAAAACACCAATAACTGGGTTTCAACTCATCAAGGTGATGGACTTGTTTATGCTTATTTTTAATAGAGTAAGTGGACTTGCTTGCATCAGACTAGTACATCTTTCTAATTTCTATAATTTTCATCATGGTAAGCCACATTTTTCTGTTTGGTACCCTCATTTATTTACTTGATAATACAGAGTCAAACCTTTGCCATGCTTTTTAAACATGAGACTAATACAATATGCCATTTAAAATTTTCTCTTTGTATGGTTAGTATATGTCACTCCATTATTCATGTTAGTTGAGAAGTGTAGTGCTATGTTCTGGTAACTCTTATTTGTTATTTGCTTTATACTAATATGTATAAAGACTGGATATATACATGAACAAGAGTCAGGGTATAAATAAAAATAGAAGTCTGGCTCACAACCTGCAGCAATCAGCCAAGAAAGCCAACCTACTATCTGTTGCAACCACTCTAGGAAGTCAAACAATACCCCCTGTAGCTAAGTATAATTAAAATAGCTTGCTTCCAGCAGGAAGTATAATGAGAATTTTTTTTCTGTATTTCTAATGCTCTATTTCTAAAAGTTTTTGATTAATTTTTCCTTGGTAGAGAGGATGGAAAACATACCTCCTAAGAAGAAAATATTCAGACTATTATAACTATATTAATTTTGTATTCTTACACATTGTAAAGACCATGTGATTCCATTTTAAGCAATTGGCTCAAAATGACCAGAACTTGATTAATAACTGATGGCTTTCCCATTCTTTGCAGCTGCTTCCCACTTAGGACCAACTGGAGAAAGCAAAATAATGCACTCTTAATCGCATATGCTTCCCCACTTCTAGTTAGACCACCTCCAGCATTCCCATGCCAACAGCCTCCGAAAAGGGCATACCTAAAACCTTCTGGTTTTTCTACTACAAAGCTTTCCCAACCCTCAGTCTGCCTAAGTCTCTGTAAAATGCAAGTGATGATAACTGTTTCTCTTGCTATAGTAAACTCCAAGAAAAAAAAAAAAAAACCTGCCTTTGCTTGTTCTCATTTGGGTGGTCTTCATCTATTTCCACAGTTAAAGCCATATTGTGACACATTTTAAGACAAGAAAAGGGTTAAGGGTAGTCTTTCTCTGATAGATCCGATGATGATGCTCCTTGGAGATGCCTTGAAAACCCAGGAAGCTCCCTTTGACTGGAATCACCACCATGGGTAGTGAATTGGTTACATAAGAACCGCTTGATATACAGGTTTCCTCAGTCACCGCTGATGTCTTACAATCTCTTTGAGCCTAATTTGCCTCATCCGAAAACAGGAAGATAAAGAAATCTATCTCATGAGTCAGTTGATTGGAATAAATAAAGAAATGAATACAAAGTAACTACGATGGTGTTTCTAAATGCTCCTTTCTTTTATCCTTTAAGGGCATCTAACATTCATTATCAAAGGAAAGTTGTGATGGACTGTCATTTCCCCAGAGATCATTTTTCTGGTTGAGGATGAGGTATGTATATTAATTCTTGCTCTCTTTTATTCTTAATATATTAGTTAATTAATTTAATTTAATTTCAGTGAATGCTTATTATATACAAGATTCTTACTTAGATACTGGAGCCATGGAAGAAGACAAGCATGGGTCCTGCCATCTTACAATGCAAATTTAGGAAAACAAGTGATACACACAAAGTGATAGAACAGATAGAAGGAGAAATTCAAGAAGCTGTAAGACTGTTTAGAAGTGATATTTAGTTCAAAATTGCACACTGATAGCGTATGTCCAAATATGATTGAAAGAACCATATTATTGCTGGAAAATAAAAAAAATCATTATCATACAAAGAAGTTTAAGAATTGAATAATTACTAAACAATAGAAAATAGATGGGATGAAAGTGGTAGAATTATCAAAAAAACAAGCCAAAGAGAATAGATACTAATAGATACTGAGCACCATGTACGATGTATTGTCACTTAATGCTTAATGAAGTAGATATAATTTTTTTAACTTAGTCTTTTAAATAAGTCAACAGTTCCATGATAACATGTCTGAAGTCACACAACAGAAGTCGAGAAGCTGTGCTAGCAAACCAAGTAGCTTGGCTCCACAGCCCACGCTCCTAACCAGTGAATTTTGCTGGCTCCTGAGGTAAATGAAAGCAAAAATGTAAACAATTATACTCCATGGAAAAATGCAGATTTCAAATTCTACAAACAAAAGGAGGAGGAATTTCTTTCAAGGTTTCTACTTTGGCAATTCAGTAGGTAATTGTGCCAGTTAATAAAATAAAATCTCTGGAAGACATATGTGGATTTGGTGGGGTTGTTTCTTGGTTTTGTTTTTGTTCTTGATCAGGAAGAGACTCTAGGGTGTTTTGGCCAATGACTGCAAAATTGAAATAATAATAATTTAATAATGTATAGTTTTTATTATAGTAAATATATAATCTTTGAGCTAATTATAATAACTATTGCTGTTGCATTATTTATAATATGGAAAAGCTAAGTGGAGGCTATTTAAGGAAGGGCTTATCGCTATATCTAGAATAGTTTATAAGAAAAGATACAGGTTTAAAAGTATTATTTATTTTACTAACACTTTAGTGAATAATCAAAATGTTGTTTCTTCTGTAAATTATGTTAGATTCTATTGTATTACCTTTGTGATATACATAGTACCTGGAATACAGTAATTGCACAATAGAACACTTAAACAATAAATACATTTACTATAATATATATTCATTTAAAGAATATATAAGTAGAGACCAGAAGTCAGATTTTCTAGATTCTGTTGTGTGTGTTCTCTCTGTCTCTTTCCTGAAACAGGAGATGAAATACAGCACTGGTTAAAAAACTCAAAAAAAAAACAAAAAAACACCTCTACCATCACCAAATGAACCATGTTTCTAAATTATTAGCGCAATATGAGCTGTTTAAACTTTATTTAAGTTACTGAAACTTCGCAGTAATACTTTTTTAAAAATATTGAGTAACTTTTGAAGAATTCAAAGATTTGGGGCTTTGACATCTGAACGTGTGTGTGTGTGTGTGAGAGAGAGAGACACACACACACACACACAAACACATACTCAAACTTACATCCTCTTGACATTTTCAAATGTCATTTTGATATATTAAATGCTATTATACAATGATAAAAAATCTGCTCCCCACCCCCAGGAAATGTACTTCAGGGAGCCTGAATAACATTTTGGCTGAAAATACTCAAGATGAGCCAAGTACAATGAAAATAGCTTGAAACTAGCAGGAAGTGTGACAGAGAATTCCTTTGCTGTGTTTCCAATGCTCCATTTTATTTTAAATTGGCTATTTTTTTCCTTTGGCAGAGAGGATGGAAAACATACCTCTAAGAAGAAAATATTCAGACTGTTATAACTATATTAATTTTGTTTTCTTATACATTGTGAAGACCATGTGATTCAATTTTAAATAACCTGAAGGAAAAAACAAGTTGTATTAAGATTCTCAGTTTCTTGAGCAATGCATTTATATGGTTTGAGCTTTTTGAAATGTTATGTAAGTAATGCTTCAAATCATCTCCCTTCCCCCCTGCCAGTGTTTTAGAATATCCTAAGTTGATGCTAAATTATTAAGATATTTAAGAAGTCTTCATTCTTTCCACAAATTTTCACAGGTAATATAATTTTTCCCTGACCCAAATGAAAAGCAAATCAAAAACATGTTCTTTTCATAATATCTTTAACCAATATCTTTAATTGAGGGAGTAATGGAAATGAAGTAGTGAGAATGAAGTAATACAAGAAAATGACAAATAAGAGTGTTGTCATTCAGGCTTTATCACAAATACAGCCAGTTGTTAAGTCTTTGCCTCCCACTTATGATAGTTCATTACCTGATATGGGTCCCAGTGTAGGTAGAGGTAATTTTTAAGACAACTATAGTTAAAGGGAATATTAAAGGGGTCTAAATGTTGTCAGTGTAGCTACATTTCACTTGAAGTGGTAAATATTCAAATGTCTATCTTCTGTTTGTTGCCATCATCTTTGTTTCCTTTAGACTTTTTTAAAATCGAGGTTTCTTTAACTCCACATTGCCAATATTTCTCAATTATCTTTAATTTATCCTGAAGATTTTTTATGAGAGAATTAATACAAAGCCACCATTCGTGTGAGCATTGCTTTTTAAATAAAATATGCATACTATTTCCCAGTAATGTAAAGTTTAATATATTATTTTGGTGATTTAGAAATCTGAAGGAATGAAGCATTCTGGTGAGGTTTAAAAATGAGTCCATTTATAAATTTGCAGTCCTTATTTCTAAAACTCTTTAAGAATACAAGTCATATTTCTTCTATAGTAGATGTGTAATGAATTAAATTCAATCCTTGTAATATTAATTGAAAACCTCTAGAGATTTAAAATGAAAAATATATTCTAACTTTTTACTCTTGATAGATTAGAAATATTTTAAAAAAGCATTGTCAACTAATGTGCATGCACATCCCTCCTCCAAAAGTTTGCTTTCTTATTTGCATATTTTTCTTAGGCATGAAGTACCAGTGAAGAACTGTCGAATTCTCCTTTGTGAGGTAACAAAGATTTTTGTTAGCTAATGCATCACAATTGTTCTTTCAGGAGAACATTTCATAGCACATAGCAGCATATTTTATAATTCAATGACAACTTGATAAGCATTGCATTGGGAAAAGCCACCCAAAGGCTTAGTGTTGGAATTAGAGTGCCTAGATAAAGATAAAAATAAATTGGAAATTTGAGATTTTTCTGTGGGCAAATAAATAAAAATATGTTATCATTAAAGGTAAAGTAACTAAAGTTTATACCCTACAGAGAAAACATTGCTTTGATTTGAAATTGGAAAAGAAACAAAAATGTAATGCCAACCATACTTTTGGGCTATCAAGGACCATTAAAGCTATCAGTGACAAAACTATGTAAATGCAAACATTGAGGTCTTTAGTAGCCACATCCCATCAACTGCCAAATTTGGTTTAATTTGATGGGTATGAAGTCACACAGGGATGTCAATTACCAGTCACCATCCGTCTGACTTACTTTCTGGAAAATGGAAATCTGTGTATATCGTATAAGCCCAATTATAGAGAAGTTTCCTAATAAACCCACAGTAAAGAAAAAAATGACTGAATTAATATATATGTGAATAAAAATAGTGAAGACTTCCATTCAATGAAGCAGAGCACTGAAAACCTTAACTAGCAGGGCCTCAGTATACTTATTCTTTCACTGCTTTTCTTACAAATGCAGATCAATACAAGAAAAAGGAGTGTATTCAGTTCTTACCAAAAACGCACGCGCGCACGCACACACACGAGAAAACAAACAACAACAAAAAACAGAACAAAACAACAGCAGCAACAAAAGGTACCATGTTACATAAACCAATTTGGAAATAGGCAATTTAAATTTTATTTTATTTTAATGCCACAGTATCTTCAGTTAAGCTGATCAAATAATAAATGGAGTTAAACACAGTTGGTTTATACTGTGTTAAAATATTCCTCTAATTTGAAAGAAATACATACTCATAGAGAAAATATTTGAGTTTGATATCTGTCTTTTTAGTCATTTTTCTCCCATTTGGTATATATAATTGGATATATATTATGATCATTTCCCTAAAGGTTAAAAGTTTATATCTAATATATTATGTATTTTTGCCAATATGATTTTTAATGATCACATAATACAGATTTGTCTAAAAATACTTCAGAAAATTTCCCATTTCCCATTAACTTATAATATCTTTCTGTAATGTTAACATATAACCATAAAAATACATCAAATCTAAGAAATTAACATTATGAAACTAATAAGTAAACTAGACTTTCTTTGAATTTTACAGTTTTTTCCATTAATATCGTTCTTCTGTTTCAGGATTCAATTCGGTATTTCACATTGCATTTACTTCTATGCCTGCTTAGTCTCCTTCTACCTGTGACAGCTTCTCAGTTTTCCCTTTTATGATTTAGACACTTTTGAAAAATTGGTAAATTACTTTATTTAATGCCCCTCAATTTGGGTTTGCTACCAGTTTGATGTTTTCTAATGATAAAATTGTGTTACACATTTTTCTTGAGAATACCACAGAAGTGATATTTTCTTTTCGGTGAGTCATATTAGGGGTTAAAAACATTAATATGCCTTATTACTGATGTTAATCTGAATCACTGGTTTAAGGGATAACTGCCAGGTCTCTCCACTATAAGGTTTCTATTTTACTTGAGGATGATGCATATATGCTGTGCTTTCACTGTAGTATCTACTATCAAACCTTGCTTGCAAAAATTATTACTGTGAATGGCGTGAACCCGGGAGGCGGAGCTTGCAGTGAGCCGAGATCGCGCCACTGCACTCCAGCCTGGGCGACAGAGCGAGACTCCGTCTCAAAAAAAAAAAAAAAAAAAAAAAAAAAAAAAAATTATTACTGTGGTATTTTAAGGAGATTCTCTATTTCCTTCATTTTTGTGCATTTATTAATCACTTATGGTTAGTGCTTTTTGAGACTCTATTTTAAAAAAATCTGCCTTTCCCGAGCTCATGAATGAATTATCCTCTGTCATCTTCAATGAACTTTATTGTCTAATTATCTATACTCAGACCTATGTTTAAATGTATAATTAATTTTTGTGCATGGGATGAGATATGGGTGAAAATAACTTTTTGTATGCAAATCCAATTTACCCAACACTATTGATTAGGAAGCTTATTATTTCCCTATTGTATTGCAGTGGCACCTTTGTCATAAAATAACTTTGAATGTATGTGTAGGCCTATTTATGAACTCTACTCTGTTCCCTTTATAAATGTGTTTATCCTTAACCTATACCCTACTGTCTTAAATACTGCCTACTGTCTTCATTACTGTGGCTTTATACAAATTCATGATATTTTGTATTGTAAGTTCTCCAATATTGTTCTTTTCCAGATATGTCTTGGGTATTTTAGATGTGAAGCATTCCCACGTCTACTTGAGAAGCAACTTCCCAATTACTAATAAAACTTGCAGGGATATTGATTGGGATTTTGAGGAATTTATGTATCTTCTTTACAATATTGAATTCTTCAATTCATAATCATGTTACAAACTTCCATTTACTGAAGACATCTTCACATTTTCTCAATAGTGACAGAGCTTCCAGTGCTGAGGTATTTTATGTCTTTCATATTGATGATTTTTTTTGCTGTTGCAAATGGTATCATATTTATAATTTCATATTCTAACAGCTTGTTGGTGTTATACAGAAATAATTTGTCCTTTTATTGTATATTGGCCTTAAATCTTGCAACCTTCCTAACTCAATTTTTATAGTTTCCTTGTAGATCCTTCTGCAGTTTCTTCAATTTTATTTTCCCTGTATAAAAATTATTTTATACAGAGAAGTTGTATATTGTCCCTGTATATTTTCTTGTATGTTTTATTTTTTTCTTTCATTATTGCTTTGGTAGTAATTTCAGTAAAATATAACTAGAAATAGTGATACAGGATTTCTTTACCTCATTCCAAATTTCAGAGGGAAGTTTTCACTTTTTCTGTAAATGATATTTGCTGCAACCATTTGGTTATTGTTACATAACTTCTTCAGCATAATAATGTTCCTGTTTTTTAGCTGGCTGAGAGAGTTTGATTTTTATATAAATAGGTGTTAAATTTTATAAGAGCTTAGTCTGCATCCATTGAAGTTTATAAAGTTTTTCTTTTTTTGTAAATTTGGAAAATTACATTGGCTGTTTTTTAAATGTTAAATAACCTTTGTAGTCCAAGATTAAACCCAGTTTTGTCATGATGGATACATTGCTTTGTCATTTATATTTTTTATTTGCCAATTTTGCACTTATATTTTGCATCTATGCTGATAAGAGGTATTGTCTGCACTTGTTTTTTCCTTTTAATGTCTCTGCAAGCTTTCAATTATCATGGTTTTGCTTACTTCATAGAATTAGTTGATAAATGTTTCTTCTTTTTCCATTCTTTGGAACATGTGTATAAAGTTGATATTATTTCTTTCTTAAATGTTTGAGAAAATTTGCCAGTCAAGGTTATTTAATTTGGAGATTTATTTATGGGAAGGTTTTTAGTTATAGATTCAATTATTTTAATTAAATATAAAACTATTAAGATTTTCCACTTGTTTTGTGTTAATTGGGGTAACTTTAATTATAATATCCTTAAGATCAGTAATGATTTTGCCTGTATCATTCTTAATATTGGTAAGTTGTACCTTCTTTGTACTTAATTAACTTTTCTAGGGTTTAACCTAATAGTCTTTTCAAAAACTAACATTTAGGTTATGCTAGCTCTCTTTTGTTTCTCTACATATTTTAAGGTGGTTTTTTTCTAGTTCTGTGAAGAATGATGGTGGTATTTCTATGGGAATTGCATTGAATTTGTAGATCACTTTTAACAATATGGTCATTTTCACAATATTGATTCTACCCATCCATGAGCATGTGATGTGTTTCCATTTGTTTGTGTCATCTATGATTTCTTCCAGTAGTGTTTTGTAGTTTTCCTTGTAGAGGTCTTTTACCTCCTTGGTTAGGTATATTTCGAAGTATTTTAATTTTTTTTTTTTGCAGCTGTTGTAAAAGGAGTTGAGTTCTTGATTTGATTATCAGCTTGGTTGTTGTTAGTATATAGCAGAGCTACTGATTTGTGTGCATTAATTTTGTATCCTGAAACTTCCTGAATTCATTTATCAGTTATAGGAGCATTTTGGAGGAGTCTTTAGGGTTTTCTAGTTATACGATCATATCATCAGCAGTGACAGTTTGACTTCCTCTTTACTGGTTTGGATGCCCTTTATTTTTTTCTCTTGTCTGATTGCTTTGGCTAGGACTTCCAGTACTGTGTTGAATAGAAGTGGTGAGAGTGGGAATCCTTGTCTTGTTGCAGTTTTTAGAGGGAAAGATTTCAACTTTTCCCTGTTCAGTATTATGTTGGCTGTGGGTTTGTCATAGATGGCTTGTATTACATTAAGGTATGTTCCTTGTATGCTGATTTTGCTGAGGATTTTAATTATTAAAGGATGCTGGATTTTGTCAAATGTTTTTTCTGCATCTATTGTGATGATCATGTGATTTTGGTTTTAAATTCTGTTTATATGGTTTATCACATGTATTGACTTGCATATGTTAAACCATCTCTGCATTCCTAGTATGAAGCCCACTTAATCATGGTGGATATATGTTTATGTGTTGTGTGTTTATGTATGTATGCATATGTATGTGTATGCATGTGTATATGCATATATGTATATATGTGTATATATATAAAAATACATACCTCTGCTCTTTTACTTTGCTTTGTTTTTAATCAATATTTTTTCTCTTGCTTCAGTTTGGATATATCATATAGCCTTATCTTTCATGTCACTAAAACTTTTCTCATTAATGTCCACTTGACTAGTAAACACATACTGAGTTCTCAAATTCAGGATTGTATTTCTCTTTCTAGAATTTCATAGAAAAAAAATCCATTTTTCCCAATACTAATTCTATTTCTTTAGTGAAATATTCAACCTCATAATCTATTTGTTGAATACATTAAGTGTTAAATTCTGAAGGCACCTAATGTATTATAACTGACCATCATTACTTAGGGAGTCCATTGATATATGAATAAGTCATGCATTTGCCATTGTTTGGATGATGCGTTTAAGTAATGCATTATTGTTTTTTCTGGAAACAAAGACATTTTTTATTGGAAATTTTTAGTAACTATTTATAAAATTTTAAAGAAAAGTGGAGTATAAAATATTAAAGTAATTTAATAGATTACTAAGTCTGTGAAGGCTGGGGTCCACCTACCTATTTTCCAGTTTATAAAATACTGATTTGTTGAAGTGGAGATAGAGCTAGCGAAAAATATTGAAGTATTAGTTGTTATAGATTGGCCTCATGGGCTTTATATCTTACTCAAGTGATTAAAGTATGTTAATTTCAGATAGTGAAGCTCTCCAAGTCTTTTGAAACTGAATGTATTATTGAGTGAGAATAAGTATGACTTGGTCTTTAAAATTAGACAAGCAGCACTGACTTTAAACTCAGACAAAGAATAAAATACATTTGATTGTAATGGTATAGATCTATAGCTTGTAAAATAAAAAAAAGCTCGTTTTTCTCTCTACTGCTACAAAAGATGGTGTTGACTAATTTGACTATATTCCATTTAAAATAAGTCAAAACCTTTTGTTACATGATTAGGCATAGGGGATACAGTCCCAGGAGGTATGTTAGTGACTTTAAATTTATGCTAAAGTAACTATTATTAGACCCATACTCAAAGGCAGGTTTGAATCTAAGTCGTATTGTGAGGAGAGTATCATAGGCAAACTTCTATTCATAATTCCTCATTGTTATTAGCATCTGTAATTTATATTAAGTTTAGATGTATATGCTCAGTTCTTGTGAAACAATGTAAAGGAAACTAAAAATTGGTGTCCAAACATTAGCAACATACATAGGAAGTTTGAAATGAAGAACAAGGTCTTAGTCTTGGCCTGGCCATATTAGTATTACTTATGCACTTAACAGAGTTTAGCTTCAATAGATAATAGTTATATAAACTGTATACCTATTGTGTATACAAATTTAGACTCAGTATTTAGGCAGCTATATCATCTTTTCTCAAATATGATTTGTTTTCCTGGAGTATTCTTGCTGCTTATCTACACAATTTCTCTGCATTTCTAACTTACCAAATCACCCATTTTCTTTTTTCTCTCCTCTCTCACCATTTACTTCCCTTCTTCTCAGATAATCTCCTCTGGCAATACGTGCTTATCTAATTATGTTCTTGTTTGAGAAATCCCAGAGGCTAACCTTGAAACAAACCAGACATGGAGCCCCTGTTGAATCCTCCCACTTACAGGGAGTTGGCAACAATTAGTCTACAACCATTGGGTGGATGTCAAGATATCATCAACCAGACCTCTAGATGGGTGATTGCCCAAGATAGCAATTGGAACAAAGACACACATACCCTGCACCTCGTACCATTCCTGCATGTCTCCCATACCAACTTTCTCTTTAAAAACCCTGTGGTGAAATTTAAAATGTAAGATAGTGCTTCATTCTTTTTATTTTCTTTTTAGTTTTTGTGGGTACCTTAGAATGCTAGTTCATCATCTCTCAGTTTTCTTGCTCTCTGAATAAACCTGCTTTTCCTCCCACCAACTCCTCTCTCTCATGTCTGGCTTTTGAGCAGCAAGCAGTTGAGCCTGGGTTTCATTACAATAGGATTAGTAAATTGAGTTGGAGTAACCTACTCTGGAAGTCAGACCTGTTTCAGTCATCAACATGGAAATTGGTTGACCTGTGAGAATTCATTTTATTCACCTTGTTAATGATAAAAAACTAGAGAGATTAATAGTATATATTTCTTCATTTTATCAAAAGAGTATATTACGTTGATATAATTCTTTCAAATCTTATTTGATGTCAACTAGATGCTTTCTATATACTTAACAATGTTTTCCTAAGGTACTTGAAATAAATTACAAGAAAATAAAATTTAAGTGCAATTTCCCATTCCTTTGAAAGATAACTTTAGAAAATAATCAAGGAACTTAAGATTTGTTTTGTTTTGTTTGTTTTTCCTGTAAGAGAAATGGAGGAAAGATATGGACTGAAGGAAAAGTGATTTTGTCTTTTTGCAAATGTTTCTTTCATTTTATAGAAAAACATGAGTCTTTCATTATCAAAATTTTAAAAGTCAGTTTCTTACTAACACATATAAATTTTTGTATGTATATATTTTCAGTATAGTATTCAAGATACTTGCAATATTCTGGCTATATAATTACAGCTTAACTCTAACTGGAATGTATATTCATCATTTATCAATGTATTGAAGTAGTGCACTATTTTAATGGGCCATTCATTTTTATATTGTGCAATGACAATTTTAAATGCAAATACAAGAGCATTGAATGCATAAGCAGAATGACCATTACACAATTTGTGTTTCATAGCCTGCACCTGCATATGCATTTTGTGCTTATCAGAACTGTAGAAATATTGAACAAAACTAACTTGACTGTTTTTATTTCATTTCTTTTTAAAAAACTGTTTTACTGAGATATAATTCACATATCATACAATTCACCAATGTAAAGTGTACAATCCAATGGTTTTCAGTTTGTTCACAGAGTTGTGCAACCATCATCACAATCGAATTTAGAACATTTTCATCACCCAAAAGGCAAACTCTATTACCATTATTAGCCATCTCCTGTTTCTCTCCTTCCCTCCCATTGATCACCTCCTCTCCACTTCTCAGCCCTTGATACACACAACACTTTCTACTTAGGCTTGCTGATGAGTAAGGAAGGACTGAAATAAAAAGGAAGCTATGGTTGGACTAACTTTCCCTTTCATTCATGTTAACATTTTCAGCATAAGTGGTTAGTTAATGCAGAGCAATAACGTGAGAAGGAAAGGATATAATAGAGTATTGGTCATTCATTGTTTTAAAGAATGTCATTACCTTATTTCTGTGTTAGAAGACAGTTCTGATTCAAACATAAAAGCATGACATCTCAGTGCTGTCAGCATCTCTGATTACTCATTATAAATATAATGGACTTACTTTGTACCTGCTTTAAGTCTTCTTGAACTTCCACAGATTATAGTTCTACTGGAACTCTGTAGTCACAGGGCATCACAGGTGCTGTATGAGAAGAGGGGTAAGGAGATGCAGCAGGCATGCATTTTGCACATATCTCTTCTGTTCACATGTATGTTCTACTGTCTTACTGGACTTCACTTATAAAACATAAGTTCAGAATAAAATTATTTAGAATTTCAAGATGATGACAGTACACTGCTAAATCAATATAGGAACCTTCTGAGCAAGGAAACTTGTGCAACTGCATAGGTCACAGTCCTATGAACTTGTCCTGCCTGCATCATATCATCAGTGCAAGTCTCTATTGGTGTGCATAGATCTATAAATAGTCCTATCTATAAATACAACTATTAGGATATACATATATAGATCTATAAATAGTCCTATTTATAGATATTTCTATCTACCTATCTATAAATAAGACTATTTATAGATCTATATATAGTATATATGACTATTTATAGATCTATATATAGATCTATAATTAAGACTATTTATAGATCTATATCAACCTATATCTGGCACATATCGATGTGCCAGAGGAACTTCATTCACATGACTCAAGTCTTCTCACCTTTACTAAATTGATTTTTTCTCCAGTATTTGATAACTTAATGAAGAACACCATCCTCACTTCAAGTATTGACTTAGAAATCTGCAGCTAGTCAGCCGGGTGCGGTGGCTCACGCCTGTAATCCCAGCACCTTGGGAGGCCGAGGCAGCTGGATCACTTGAGGTCAGGAGTTCAAGACCAGCCTGGCCAATATCGTGAAACCCCGTCTCTACTAAAAATACAAAAATTAGCTGGGCACAGTGGTGCGTGCCTGTAATTCCAGCTACTCGGGAGGCAGAGACAGGAGAATTGCAGGAGAATTGCTTGAAGCCGGTAGGCGGAGGTTGCAGTGAGCCGAGATCATGCCACTGCACTCCAGCCTGGGCGACAGAGCAAGACTCCATCTCAAAAAAGAAAAAAAAAAAATCTGGAGCTAGTTCAGAATGATCTTTTGACTCCTGCTTCCTCACCACCCACATCTAATCACTTGCCAAGTTCTTTCCATTCTCCCTTTCAAGTATTTCTAAATCTGAAAACTTTGCTCTATCCACTTTAGCTCCTGCCTTAGTAATATAAAGACTTCAGTTAAAATCTTTATATTTTGTTAAATAGAAGTTCTTTAAGAGTTGCACTAATTCTTCCCTAAAAGACCTCTTACACAATTTCCTTAACCAGTGTTTCTCCCTGCTGGTCTATTTTTCATTAGTAACCAATTTTCTTTCTAGAAATAGTATCATGTCATCTGCTTAAAACTACAATACCTCTCCATTGTATTTAGGAAAACATCCAAACTTCTTCACGTGGCTTCCAAAGTCATTCCGCTCATGCAGCTATTTCCAGTTTCATTTCTTACTACTGTTTCTCACTCAAATTCTAAGCTGTAGCTATCCCTACTAATTCTTATTTTTAGAAAATACCATTTTTCTTTCTCTTGTCCTTCTAACACCCCTTTCTCCCTCCCTTTCTTGTTATATCTTTCCATCCTCTCTTCCCTCTTTCTTAAGTATGTACTAAATGCAAGCTGTTCTTTTTTACTTGAATGCATTTTTTTCCACCATCTTCACTCCTGACTTCTCTATTCCTTCTTCATGTCTCAGAGATATCTACTTAACTGTTTCTCAAAGATACATTCTTTACCTCTAAATCTGGTACGCTACTTTAGTGCAATATTACTCACTTTATTTACACCATGTTTCATATTGTATTATACTTCTCTTTTTGCCTGGAATCCCAGGAATGTGTTAACTTCTTAAGGAGAGGCTTGACCTATTGTGCACAACATTGATTGTCCAGCATCTAACACAGTGTCTGACATACTGTAAGTTTTCAATAAAATTGTATTAATGAATAACTGTATTGTATGCACTTACCTTTTTTTTTTTTTTTTTTTTTTGAGACGGAGTCTTGCTCTGTCGCCCAGGGTGGAGTGCAGTGGCTCCATCTTGGCTCACTGCAAGCTCCGCCTCCTGGGTTCACGCCATTCTCCTGCCTCAGCCTCCTGAGTAGCTGGGACTACAGGCGCCTGGCACCACGCCCGGCTAATTTTTTGTATTTTTTTAAGTAGAGACAGGGTTTCACCATGCCAGGATGGTCTCGATCTCCTGACCTCGTGATCCGTTCGCCTTGGCCTCCCAAAGTGCTGGGATTACAGGCATGAGCCACCGCGCCCGGCCTACACTTACATTTTTAGTAGAATATCTGCAAATGCTGCTTTAGAGATTACCAACTGGATATAATTTAAAACCAAATGACATTGTACCAATCTGTGCACCATTAGCTCTGTCTTTTATTTTGATTCTGATATACGAGCTTCTTAACAACTCTTTGCTATTTGAAATGTTTTGGTTGTGTTTCTGAAAATATTTGTGGTATTAAACACTCAGAAGGCTATTTTCAAGATAAATTTTTATTACATTAATTTTATTATTGATCAGGTATGTTTGGTGTTTTATCTTATGATGTAACTTATAAGTAAGTCTACCAATGCCTATTTCTTTTTTTTAGAGGGCACTGGAAATAATGTTTTCAAAAATTACAACAACAGTTTACTTCTACATACTGCACTCTATAACAATGTTCATGTTATCAAGGAAAGAGCAAGCACATAAAGTTTTTCAAGATGTACGATGGGAAAATTGGCAGTCGGCTTTGATAATAGGATAATAAAAATTCTTGGCTAAAATCTTTATATTTTTGTAAAATAGAAGTTCTGTAAGAGTTCCAAGTTTCATTTCTATTCAAGTCTGCCATTTTTTCCTAAAATGAAAGATTCCAATTTAATGATTTTTATAAAGTACAATCTGGAGGTGAGAGAATATGCATTTATAAAGTTAAAGAGAGAACTTTTCAAAACTAGTTATGGTTCTTAAACTCAATTTGAATCTTTAACACTTTCTCCTATAGTTAAAGAAAATGAACTTATTTAAGAGTATGTTTAAGATTAATATTATACTTCATCCTCATTTCTTAGAATTTGAAATAATACAGAATTTTATATGTTATTCAATTTAGCTTTATATCAAATAAGATTCCAGACTTCTTATTCCAAGTTTGAAAGCTCATAGGGCAGTCTGTTAAAATTCTATTAACAACTTATATTTTGGCATTTAAAACTGACATAATTTCAACAGCTTGGGATTTTTAATGTTTCCATATGAAATGATATCTAAAAATTTCATATAGTTCAAAATATCGATGATTTCATCGTGCTTGATTAACATTAACATAGTTGCTTTAAGAGGCAAAAAAATTATTTTCTTTGATTTCATTTTATTAAGACAGATGGGTGGCAAATGGCCATTCAACATGTAATTCTTTTTGTTAACATTTCATCTTTAAGGGTATAATAGATAAAAACGCGGCACACTAAGTTAAGAACTACAGTCCTTTCTCATCTCTCTGATCCTATTATCTCCCTTTCAGCTTTCCTTCATAAGTTCTTTCTGCCTTTGCCCTTTCAAGGAAAGAAAGTCTTTGATTTTCCATAGCATCTTGTCTCTATAGGTAGTATTCATAACCTCTTTGTACCTCACTAAGACTTCCAGTCGTTTCCTTTTCACATAAATGAAAAGGGCTAAACTCTTCTCCTTTAGGAGCCAAAGGCATCCAAACACAATTTTCTGCATCCTCTTTTAGTCCATCCATTATCTAACAATTTCTGGTCTTTTGTTCATAAAGTATATGAGCTTGCATTTATGAAGTTCCTCATTCTGTCTTCATTCCACACTAATTGCTGCTACCATTCTGGGCAATTCAGTCTAGTACCTAAGAACTTAATTGCACATTTCTTTTAATGTCTCAGTTCTGAAGACATATTAATCACCCCTTTCCTTAGCTTTTCTGTGGACAATTTCTTTACCAAGAATTGTAATAACTTAAAATATGAAACCATGGTATATGATACTTTATTCAAAAATTTTTTTATGACTCTTAAGAAGCCCAGCAAATTGCTTTCTCCAACTTTAATTATCAGATAATTGTATACCATACAATTTCATATAGAATATAGTGTCACCACTAAGATCTCTTTAATTCCTTATTCTGAATGTGCAAACCACAATCTGAAACAACACACATTCTTCTCTGCTTTCCCCAATGACAATCATACAGCATGTCAATTATACATTTATTATCTTTTTCTTTGGATGTCATCCTGTCCTGTGTCTAGGTTTTTGGACATTAATTATCACTTTTTTTCTTATGGTCCCCTCTTGTCTCTACTAACTCTCTTCCTTCAACATACACATTGATCAAATAATAATTCTTTCTTGGTTTATTTATTCATCAAATAAAAATTAATTGAGTATCTACTAAATGCTTGTTATTGTTACAGGTGCTTGAGATACAGCAGTGAAAATATCAGACATAAATCTCACGTGAAGATTTCTCACATGAAGTTAGATTTTAGTGGAATCCTGAGTCTCCCTACAGCTAGCACTCTATGTATTAATTGTCTACTGCTGAGTGACAAGTTGCTACAATCAAGGGCTTAAAATAACACATAGTTTCTGCAGGTCTGAAAACTAGGTAGGCTTGACTGGTGTCCTACAAAGACAAAATCGAGGTATTGATGGGACTGGGCTATTATCTGGAGATTTTGTTGAGTAATCTGCCTTCAAACTCATTGGATTGTGTGCTGAATTCAGTTTCCTGCCTCTGTAGGACTGAACTCTCCATTTCCTTGCTTGCTTTCATCTGGGGGCTGTCCATAGCTTCTGCAGTCTACCTGCATTTCTTAGCATGTGTCTCCCACCAGCTTCAAAACCACCAACGGTGGGTAGAATCTCCCTCATGCTTTAAATCTCTGATTAATTTTCTGCTCCCAGCTAGAGAAGGCATTCTGCTCTTAGGGCTCATGTGATTAAATTAATCCACCCAGACAATCTGGCTATTTTAAAGTCAACTGTTCCATATACGATAATCATGAGAGCAATATATCATCATAGTCATAGGTTCTAGATATTAAGGCATGGGATATTGAACTGGATGGGAAGTGCACTTTTAGTATTCTGCCTGTCACACTCCATATTTTTGCTATTTTTTTCTTTCATAATTATGCTTGTTATTATTGTGGTTAAAAATATTATTGTAGTTACAAAAATGTAACATGAGATCTCCCATCTTAACAAAATTTTAAGTGTACAGTAGAGTATTCTATACTATTGAGAGACAGGACTAGCTGGATTTCCTAGGCCAACTAAAAATTCCTGAGTCTAGCTGGGGAAGGTGACCACACTCACCTTTAAACACAGGGCTTGTAACTCAGCTCACACCCGACCAGTCAGGTAGGAAGGAGAGCTCACTAAAATACCAATTAGGCTAAAAGCAGGAGGTAAGGAAATAATCAAATCATCTATCACCTGAGAGCACAGGGGGAGGCAATGATTGGGATATAAACCTCCGGCATTTGAGCTGGTGGTGGCAACCCCTTTGGGTCCCCTCCCATATTTTGGGAGCTTTGTTTTTACTCTATTAAATCTTGCAACTGCACACTCTTCCGGTCTGTGTTTGTTCCGGCTTGAGCTGAGCTTTCACTTGCTGTCAACCACTGCTGAATGCCGCCATCACAGATCCCCCGTTGACTTCCACCCCTCTGGATCTGGCAGGGTGTCCGCTGCACTTCTGATCCAGCAAGGCGCCCATTGCTGCTCCCGATTGGGCTAGAGGCTCGCCATTGTTCCAGCGCAGCTAAGTGCCCGGGTTTGTCCTAATCGAGCTGAACACTAGTCGCTGGGTTCCACGGTTCTCTTTGGTCACCCACTGCTTCTAATAGAGCTGTAACACTCACCACACAGCCCAAGGATCCATTCCTTGGAATCCGTGAGGCCAAGAACCCAAGGTGAGAGAAAAAAAGGCTTGCCCCTATCTTGAGAGCGGGACAAGAACAAAGACCTGCCAGTAACACTATAATCACAACTCTATAAAAGACATCTCTAAACTTTGCCATCCTGACAACCACCATTGTACTTTCTGTTTCAAGAGTCTGACTACTTTATAGTAGTCTGACCTCATATAAATGGGATCATGCAGTATTTGTCCTTTATTAACTAGCTTACTTCACTTAACGTTATGTCCTCAAGGGTAATACAGTTGTGTCATATGACATGATTTCCTTCTTTTTACATTTGAATAATATCTCATTGTCTATATAAATCACATTTTCTTTATTCATTCATCTCTCAAAGGACATTTAGGTGTTTCTACCACTTGGCATTTCTGAGTAATGCTGCTATGAATGTAGGAGTGCAAATATTTCTTTGAGAGCCTGATTTCAATTATTTTGGATAAATACCCAGAAATGGAATTGCTGGATCACATGGTAATTATATTTTTAATTTTTTGAGAAACCTCCATACTGTTTTCCATAGTAGCTGCTCAATTTTACATTATCACTAACTACACAGGGGGTTTAATTTCCTCACATCCTTGACAATATTTATCCTTTGTTTTTTCATAGTAGCCATCCTAACAGGTTTGAGGTGATTATATCACTGTGGTTTCAATTTGCATTTCCTTTTATTCCTAGTTTGTTGAGTGTTTCTTTCTTTTTATCATCAGGAACAGGGTTGAATTTTGTGAAATGCTTTTTGTGCATCTATTGAGGTGATTATGTAATTTTCTCTTTGTTCCTTTGTTCTGTTAAATGTGATGTATTATATTGATTGATCTTTATGTTGAACCATCCTTGTATATCTTAGAAATTAATCCCATTTCATCATGGCGTATGATTCTTTTAACATGCTGTAACATTCAGTTTATTAGTATTTTGTTGAGAAATTTGGAACCTGTATTCATCAGGGATATTGGCCTGGAGTTTTCTTTTCTGGTAGGATCTTTTTCTGGATTTTTTATCAGGATAAATGCAGGATTATTTTTGGAATGCTAGAAAATCTTTACTATCGGCCTTACTCTGTCTACCCCCATACACAGAGTTCATAAATTCCCTGTCCGGAAATGAGACTAAGTCACACATGACACTAAAAGCAACATATAAAAATATAGGTGGTGTTACCTTATTTGTTTTTCAGATTTTTTTTCTGCTCCTAGGGTTCTGCCAGAAATGTCAATCTGCCCACTTTCTGAAAAATTTATCCAATTTGTTAGCATTAAAATTATGCAATGAATACAACGGCAATCAAATACAATACAATTTTTTGGGGGGGTGCTATCACAAAGGGATATCAATGTCAATCTAGAAAAAAATTAAAGTTTCAATGAATAAAACAAAGGAAAGAATAATAGTAGGTGTGGACTTATTCATTAGACACTAAAATTTAAAGGTACAGAAGTTAAAATAGGAAAACATTAATAAACAAAATAAGAAATCCAGAAAATTTGAAAATATTTAAAAATATATTTGACATACATGAAAATATAAATATATATTTCACATGTATTTGAAATCTCAGAGTAGAAATGTATAATCCACAACTGTAGTTGGAGGTTTGAAATGCTTCTCTAAATTATCAACACAATAATAAATTTTAAAATCCTCAAGAAGATAGAATAGCTAAGCAGTATCATAAACCGAATGGATATAATTGGCATTTATAGGACACTACCAAATGACAGTAGAATAGACATTATTTTCAAGTTGGTATGAAATCATTCATTAGTATTAATCATCATCTTGTAAAAGATAATGAAACCTTATGTAAAACAATTGAAAGCACACAAGTATGTTCCTTGATCATAATGAAATTAAATCTGCAAATCTGGATCTGCAGATTTAATCTGCAAATTAAATCTGGAAAATCTGCAAATATTTGGAAATCTAAAAATATATTTCAAAGTTATTTAAAAGCTTAAATAGGAAATCTCAATAGATATTAGACAATATTTTGAACTGAATAAAATTTAAAATACAACATTATCAAAAGCAGTGCTTAGAAGGAAGTTTATTGGAATAAATGCTAATATTAGAAAACAAGAAAGTCTCAAACCTAAAATCAAAGCTTTTCTAAGGAAACTTGAAAAATTAAAAACAGTAATTCTAAAGAAATCAGAAGAAAAGAAATAAAAATAGGAGCAGAGAGCAATGAAATTAATAGCAGAACACACACACAAAATGAATAAAACTACAAAAAGATGGTTAATGGGAAAAATGACAAAATTGATAAACTTCTAACTAGTCTGATAAAGAATAAAATGACAGAAGACATACATTTTTGTCAATATTAGAAATAAAACAGTGAATACTACTACAGACCATGCAAAGGTTAAAAAATTAATAAGAAGATGCTGGAAGAAAACTCTATGAACAAAAATATTTACAACTCAGATGACATGGACCAACTTCATGAAAGGGAAAAGTGTCTTCGTCCCTTCTGTTGCTATCACTGAATTCCTAAGACTAATTAATTTATAAAGAAAATGTTTCTTAGAGTTCTGGAGGCTGAGAAGTCCAAGATTGGGCAGCCACATCTGGTCAGCTTCTGGTGAGGGCCTGGTGCTGCATCATTACCTGACACAGGGCATCACAGGGTGAGAGAGGTGCACTGAGAGCCAAACTGGTTGTTATAATGGACCTGCTCCCATGGTAACTCATTAATCCACTTATCCATTAATCTATTAATCCATGAATACATGAATCCATTTATGAGGGTAGAATCCTCATGACACAACTTCTTAAATGCCCCATCTCTTAATACTGTTACATTAGAGATCAAGTTTCAACATGAGTTACAGAGGGACAAAACATTCAAATCATACCAGAAAGCTATCAAAATTTACTCAAAAGTAAACTTATTAAGAAACTTAAAATAATGGTTAAAATGGTATGGGAAAGGACATTTTATGCACAAGTCATGTCACTGGGAAGTAATATCAAGCATTTAAAGAAAAAAGTCAACTCCAAAAAAGTTAAAAAATGAACAGGAAGAAGACCTTTCCAATTTCTGAGTCAAGAATAGCTGTGATATCAAAACCAGATGGAAGATAGTACAAGAAAATGAACATACAAACAGACAAATTTTCATCATGAACATAGATCTGAAAATCCTCAAAAAATATTAGCAAACTGAATACAGCAATATATAAAAAGAATATTATACCATAACCAAGTAGGTTTTATTGTAGCAATAATAACTGGTTCAATATTCAAAAAATATATCAATGTAATACATTATATCATCAGTATAAAACAAATAAAAATGTGATTATATTAGTTGATAGAGAAATAGCATTTGAGAAAATTTAACATCTGTTCATGTTAAAAGCTGCCAGTAAACTTGGAACATAATAGAATGTTTACAAAATTTACTTAACCTACCTAACCTCATATTTAATAATGAAGTACTGAAAGTTTTCTCTTAAGATCAGAAAAAAAAAAAAAACCATGAATGTCTACTCTCATCATTGATATTAAGCATTATACTGGAAATCCTAGCCAGCATAATAAGGCAAGAAAAATAAGTAAAATGGCACATATATTTGAGATGAATTTCCAAGGTGTTCCTCGTGCTTCTTGTATTTGGATGTCTAGGTCTCTAGCAAGGCTGGGGAAGTTTTCCTTGATTATTCCCCAAATATGTTTTCCAAAATTTTAGATTTCTCTTCTTCCTCAGGAACACTTTAGGTCCCTAGTTTTGGTTGTTTAACATAATCCCAGGCTCTTTGAAAGCTTTGTTCATATTTTCTTATTCGTTTTTCTTTGTCGATGTTGGATTGGGCTAATTTGAAGACATTGTCTTCGAGCTCTGAATTTCTCTCTTCTACTTGTTCAATTCTATTGCTAAGACCTAACAGAACATTTTGCACTTCTATAAGTGTATCCCATGTTTCCTGAAGTTTTCATTGTTTTTTCTTTATGCTATCTATTTCCTTGAATATTTCTCCCTTCACTTCTTGTTTCGTTTTTTAGATTTCCTTGCACTGGGCTTCGCCTTTCTCTGGTGCCTCCCTGATTAGCTTAATAACTAACCTCTTGAATTCTTCTGCAGGTAAATCAGGGATTTCTTCTTGGTTTGGATCCATTGCTGGTGA